>NC_000017.11:47560980-48185980 GCF_000001405.40 Homo sapiens | reverse complement strand
GGAAGCTTTTATTGACCATTTTGCCATTAGGGTGAAATAAAATCTGGTGACCAAAGAAACAACAAAACATTTTAGTGGCCAGTTAGAACAAGGAGAGATACTTTAACAAAAAAGATTCTGGTGTCAAAAAGCACTGTTCCATGGCTCCCTTCTCGCCAGTTATTTCTTACTGTGCCCATGACATTTTCTTAGTAAGAATAGTGTTTGTGTATTTCTTTTAGCTCAACCAGGTGAGCACAGTCTTTTTTCTTCTTCTTTCTTTTTTAATATTGGCATCGCACTGCCATCCTTGTCATCATTATCATCATCAAAAGGCATTTATTAAGCAATTCATTTCACATGATATAGAGCTCAAAGCATCCCAGACACTGTGGTTCCTGTTCTCTGTGTGTTCTGCCTGACCCACACAATGAGGATACAAAATTCTTGAGAGTCACCTCCTCTTTTTCTGTTTCTAACATTTTTTTTAAGTAGTGACAAGCAGAATAGTCTCTCTTCACTTATGGTCCTTTTCCTTTTATCTCCTTCCTCGTCATCTAATAATACTCAACGTTATTCTGCTACTTCCCAGGTTGACCTCTTACAAGGAGGATAAAATACTGAGTTTTAATTATTCTCCCTCTGGCATAAATTCCCACCTGACCAGCAGGGAAGGGGAAGAGAAGTTTAGCCCAAATGCTACATAGGGCATGGGAGGCGATTCTGGGACCTTATAATGCCCCCCTGTGCTGCTGTCCCTCCCCTCAAATGTGAGCTCTGCTGGCCCTGATAATAATGTTTCAGCTTTATAATAGCCTTCAAGAGCCTCACATTTACAGCCACACTCTCTCTGCTGTAATAATTCCTTCTTTCTGTTGTTATAGATCTCTTAACATTCTAATAAATTCTCTGTCTCTGTTGTACTCTTTTGGCAAAATAACCTTTCACGTTGCATTTCCCTAGCTTGGCAGTGATATCTGCCTTACTGTCGCAGTAGCCTCTTCTTAAGCTTCTCTAATAACCTTTCCTTGACTATTGTGGTTCCTCAGGGATGTAACAGCTGTTTCTGTGCTTTTATTTTACATACCAGAGAGGATGCCTTCCCTTGGCAGTTGCATCTCTCTAGGGATACAGGGAGCTTTCCTGTCTTGCAGGCAAGCAGCCCAAAGGGACCTTCCTCATTAAGGGCTACGGTGTACGGATGGCCCCCCACCTGCGAAGAGATTCCAAGAAAGAATCCTGCTTTGAACTGACCTCCCAGGATAGGCGCAGCTATGAGGTAGGACGCATCAAGGAGATGGTGATCCTTCTTGGTGTTGCAGTTTCCTTCTGTATTGCATGTGAGCCATGGTTGCTATGCTGGGTTCCAGCCTTTCTTTGTTACCTGCTCATTTCATGCCAACGAAGACCCTATTTCTTGGCATGTCCTCATATTTGCTATGCCACACCCTCCCCTCTGTTGCCACTCTCATCTTAGATACAGACTTTGCTTGGCTTCCATCCTTCATTCCTCCCCTTCTCAATTTCACTTCATAGGTGAGATGCTTGTCAATTGCAGCACACAATCAAATTCCTTACTTATAGTCTCCGATTTTATGGTTTAAATTCCCATTCTCTTTATTCTTCGACTGATTTTCTTCACTTCCTTCCATGAAATCCCAAAAAAAGATCTAACTGTAGAGTGAAAAAAAATTATTTTCCCATGTTCATCTTGCTATCCAAAATAATCTTCCTGTGTGTAGATGCTTTGCATATCTCTGGAAGGATTTCTAAGATATTGGTGACGATAGTAACAATAATAATTGAAGGACTAGAGGACCTGGTCGGGGCAAGAAAGACTTATTCCGTACTGTGCTCAGTTTGAATCTTTACCTCATTATAAAATTAATGTGTTTTATTTTATTTTTGCCATCTTCATGCTGAATGACCAATAAAATTTAAAAATTTCTGACTGTGGAAATATAGTGATTTTCACCAAAAATGTATGTTTGCATGTGTGTGTATTGTTTCCTGCTTTTTGGTAATTTTTATCTTATCACAATTTTATTAAAGCAATTTAGAAAAACTTTAGCTTATGAAAAAGGAAAACACCATACTAAGAGTAAATTAACCACTTAAGTAACACTTTTAGTCTTCAGACTTTTCTCAGCATTCTTCTTTTTTATTTCTACAGTATCTTAACTCTTATTTTGTTAAAGGACCTAGGTCTTCATTATGTAATTTCCAGAAATTTTTTGAAATTTGAACTAAAACTTTTCTATAGAGTCTTTTATGAATATATATAATATAGATCTATGCACTGAATATGTTCCTAGTTATTTTTATTATTACATTCTGATAGTAACACATCCAGGTAAAAGTTTACGTAACAAGTCTAAACCAGTATTTCTAGAAATGTTTTTATAGAAATTTGTTTTTAAGAAATCAAGAATAACAATGTCTATTAATAAGCATTATGCAGGAATCCAGTTTCTTTGTATAGCATATACCTTTACCTTACCCTAATGGCCAGATAATTAAAATATTTTTCAGGAACAATTATTTCAAGTTGATTCATTTAAAATAAAAAAATTACTAAAGGCTGATGCTTGACTGGCCTATTTTGTTAATCAGAATGTACTTTATTTACTTCTTTTCTTTGGCCTATTGAATCCAAATCGTTACCATGGTCTGTGGATTCTTCTTCTACAATATCCTTTGGCTCTTTCCCTTCTTATTTATTCCCACAGCTATCACAATAGTTAAGTTCCTGTCACTTCATCCAGAGGACCAGTTGGTCTTCTGCCTCCAGATTTCTCTATTCCAATCCTTCCTACTCACTACTATTGAAAGAATCCCCCACTCCTTTTGCTAGAGCTGATAGTGGCTTCCTGTTGCCTGCATTTTAACTCTGAACTCCTAGTACTCAGAGCCCTTTTACCGACTCTTCTCTGACCCTCAACTCTCCAACTTCATCTGTTATTGTTCTTCAGTCAAGCTGATCTGCCAGGCTTCCCCGTAAGTCATGTTCTCATTCCTGTTCTTTTGCACATAGGCCTGCCTACCTAAAATGTCCAACTCTGTCCACCAGTTTCCACCAACTCTTCTTTAAAATCCAGCCAAAATGGTATTATTTCAGCAAGCCACTCTGACCTACTCTAGGCAACAACAGGTGCTCCCTGTCTCCTCTTGATATCCGGTTGTTACAAAATGTGCCTCCTTTTAGTGTTCCCGTTTCATGTGTGTGGGTTGGTTTGCTTCTTTTTCTTGTAAACTTTTCTCAAATAAATGTCTGATGAAGGAATAGATAATCAAATGAAAGAATGCACAAGGACATGAATGTCTAGACTCAAAGAGCTGTCATCTCTGGGTATGCAAAATTGCAGAAGGAAAAAATCAGTTTGAGTGAAATATTTGGTCTTTTTTCTATATGTTAAGCAGGCAGAGAATCCTGAGCTTTAAACTTGACTCTGAAACTCAGTGGTTCCTCCCCCTTGGACATCCCTGTCAAGATTCATGGAAATTTTAGTGACAGTGATAAATTAATTCACTGATTTTTCTCTAGTTTACAGCTACTAGTCCAGCAGAAGCCAGAGACTGGGTGGATCAAATAAGTTTCTTGTTAAAGGGTAAGTGTCATTGTTACAGAAATAATACTTGAGTTGATTTGCAGTTGAAGTTATGTTGCATAAATATAATCTACAGACTTCAGTATGTATTTTTTCTGCCCTTTCTCACCTCTACCTTTCCTACCACATTCCCCATATTACAACAACAAATAGTACTATGTGTGAATGAGAAGATAAAGACAGTATCAACCTTGGGAGGACCTCTGGTATCATAGCTCATCCACCTACCTACAGGCAAGTCTGTAATATTCAAAATCACTAGAAAAGGAGATTCTAAAAATCAGCTCAGCCCAATTCGGTGTCTCCTAACCCCTTATATTCTGGAAAGGAAATTCATAATATCCAACTTAAAGTCATCTAGTTGCAATTGAGGTTCAAAATCTCCTTATTTTAGTCTTAGGAGGAAGTAGAAATCTAAACCAATCTAGATGGTCTTCAGGGACATTGGACATTAAAAACAAACTGTTATTTCCCAAGCCACAATAAGATGTTCCTTGCTTTGGGATGGGAAGAGTCCTGCCTGAAGATGGTAAATGACTGCTCTTAGAGTACCCTCTGCTGGCCAGCCTGTAGGCAAAGCAGAAACAATGGCCAGGGAAGCCTTATCTGGGAGTGGTCTGTCAGGTAGAATAAGCCAACCTTGAGTTAGTCACTCGGTATTATATAATTGTCACCTACCATCATGGCAGGACCCTACCTCTGTTCTGCAGAAAGGCAGAAACACCAACTTTATACATGGCCCAAGACCTAGAAAGACACACGTCAAGCTAAAAACGCAAAGCCTTTTCATCTCAGATTTTTATTCTGCTATAAGATTTTATTGTGGATAAAAAGAAGGAAGCACCAGTGCTTTAATTACAAGAATTGCCTGTTTTACTCAGTTATGCCTTTGCTATCACAAAAGCAAACTATTGCATCTACCAACAGCGTCACGTATAATAGACTGGAACTAGGCAAACATGAACATTGATGGCGAGACTACAGGGTACACTCTCATCTAGGTGCCTTGGATTTATGCGTGTAATATACCCCTAAGTGTGTAAACCTCAATAAAACTCAAAGCAGCTTTATTGAGCTGTACCCTGTGGTACTTTCAGAATCCCACATTGAAGAAATTATTCATTCCATTTTATTTTAAAACAAAATAATAACATATGGTTTAAGCCACAAATGTGTTTTTGATCTTTTCCTCGTATGTGGTGGCACCAAAATTCAGATGAAAATTGTTGCAAAATCTTTATTAAAAGGCTAATCAAGCCAAACAATTTTATTGCATTTTGAAATGAAAGTTGGACGTCTCTCCATCCTTTCCTTCCCCAGAGTATGCTGACTGCACTCACCCATCCTGCAGAGGGCCCTCAGCAGGGTTTCAGAGAGCACTCTGTAGTACACATCAGAGAATGAACATTCTCAGTTCCCCATTAAAATAAAAAACCAATCTCCCTCCCCTGCCCTGGTGCTCCCCAGTGCTGTAATGGCTCAACACCTTCTATGCAGTGACCCACTTTAAGGTCAGCTAGACTGTGCAGTTGCAAAAGGACATGGTAACTGCATTGTTCAGCCATTCCATTTGGTCTTGTATTACTGTTATATTTTTCCATACCCCGTTTCTTTTTATCTTCCACTGTTGCCCATTTTTTTCTCTGCGAACAAACTTGTCTGAAATTCTGCAGTGAAATCACTGGGGAGATAAGCTTCTGACAGCTCCAGCACCCTACAGAGGCCACCTTAGCTCCCACGGCCTGAGTACCCTGGAGGACTGCAAGCCTTCACTCACCCTTCCAGTTTTCTACGTGATAAGCTGTGTACAGCACACTGGCTTTTCCTCTTCTGGCCTATTTTCTTCCCTTTGCCTCATGTTCTCATTCACACACCCATACTTTTCAGGCTGCTTCACTCTGATCAAGTTTTATTGCAAGGAAGGATTTATGTTGATGGTTTAAACCTGATGCAGTGCTATTCTGGCCTTTTCTGTAGATTTCCTGCCACCAAAGCCCACATTAGAAATAATAGCATTTAACCTAATGTTTCATTTTCATTTGACATATTTTACTCTCATCCCTCCTCCTCCTTCTCCCTCTTTCCTTTCCTGTCTTATTTTCTTTTTCTCTGTTTCTTGATTCATTCTCATCTTTGCCTTGTTAGATCTGAGCTCCTTAACCATTCCATATGAAGAGGATGAGGAGGAAGAAGAAAAAGAAGAGACATATGATGATATTGATGGTTTTGACTCCCCAAGTTGTGGTTCCCAGTGCAGACCCACTATCTTGCCTGGGAGTGTGGGGATAAAAGAGCCTACAGAGGAGAAAGAAGAAGAAGATATTTATGAAGTCTTGCCAGGTGAGAAATTTTGTCCTCTGATTATCTTATGCTAGTTTCAGAAATTCATGACCTGGTGGAAGAATAATAACTTTGAAAATTCCAAAGGAAGCCAAATCTAACCCTCATCCTCTGAAGGAGATAATGTGGGACGCTTTATGAGATTGTAGGGAAGTGGGTAATGAGGCTCTGCCTTGCTCTGGGAGCAAGAAGAATTTGATTAATGAGTGTCTTCTATCCATGCCATGTGAAGTAACTTTTTACATGTGTCCACCAGGTTAAAGAGTCAACAATACTTACGTTGGTTTTTATTGGTTTATTGTGAGTTTTGGAATGAGTCATCAAAATTCTCTAGTTTCAACTTTTTGGTGTGTAGTTGTGAGAATAATGGAAAATCGCTTCAAAATTATGAAGGATTTCAAAACTCTGAAATATGCAAATGCTGACCAACCTTTCTAGTAATACCTTGATAGACCAAACCTTGATAGTAAACCTTGATAGAGAACAACTCATTATTACCTAGTTCAGATATACCATGAATCAAATCACATCTCTTAAAAATAACCCTAACATGTTTTATCTGCTCATCATTACAGCAGGTCTACTCAATATATTTCCTTTCTTCCAAAGGCATGAAAACTAGCATCTCAAAAAATGTATAGTCATCACTGCTTCTGCATAGCCATGTCTGGTGGGGATAACAGCAGCTGGTGAATGGTGCAAAGCTCAGTGGGGGTCAGACAGTGGAGAACCAAAGCCTGAGCCTTTTAATTGTGAAGTAGTTAGACCACAGGAACGCTAATCTTCAAGTCCATTCAGAAAGATCATTCCTATGGAAATTTGCCAGGAGTTCAGTGCTCTGCTGAGAAATTCAAGTTAAGCCTAAATTTATAACAATTTAGATCCCAGATGAACCCAGATGAACCTCAATCCCAGATGAACCTAAGAGCTAAGGTGAATCTAACACTCAAGTCCCTGAAGACAGGGCTGGTTGCTGAAAGCATCATCAGTAGGCAACTTGCATTTCAAGGCTTCCTAAGAAGAGCGTCCAACCCTCTCCACACTGCATTCATCTCTTCCTGGGGAAGAAGCTACGTCTTTGCTTCCTGAGTCAAGTGGCAGGACTGTGACCACATGTCCCTGCCCTGCTGGGGACTTCACCCACCCTCCAAGGAGAGCCTGCTTCTTCTCCTAGCACTTCCAGCCTCTACCAGTCCCGACTTCTCCAGCCTTTTTGTTGTGTTTTATTATGCAAATGATATCTTGGTTGAGGTCGAGCCATTTCTTGTGTCTGACGTTAAAAAAAATGATAATTTCCTCAGCAAGTCATCGTCGTTAATGAAGTTTTACAAAAACAGATACAACCAAAGGAAAATAAAATTTCACAGGTGATAAATTTTTCCAATTTCCCTGGCAGAATTCGATAGGATTGTTAAATTAAGAGTGAAGGTGTCTGTTAGAAAGCAACGAGCAGTGATGGGTAATTTTATAGAGTGGAAAATTGAATCAAATTGCTACATTAAAACACAGCTCCTCTGAGAATCTTCCCTTTCACAGTCGGCTCCATTGCAACAGCAGGGTGCAGAAATGGATCTAATTCACAATACTCCCTAAAAGGAGATGCATTCCCCAGCTTGGCCAGAATCTTCCTAGTGAGCTCACATTCTGCTCACTCCTGCCCAGGCTTGGGGAAATATCCGGGTGACACTCCACTTTGGGTTACAACTGTGGAAGAATGCTCTGGGAAAACCTCAGTGAACCTTCTCGGGTGGAAAGAAAGGGCCTTTTTCTGCACCATGTTTCGTTTTCAAAGGAGTCGGGGGGCGGGGGCTGATGCTTAGAGACACAGAGCAAAGGTGAATAAAGAGGAAGAGTCCTCAAAAAATAAGATGAGTTTGGGACTGTCACCTTACCCCAGGAGTGGGCAATGAAGGTATGATTGGCTTCCTAATGACCATCTTTCTCCTGCCTCCTAAACTCCTCCCCTTGGCCAATGCAGCACCGCCCAGAGTATCAGGGCATTTTTCCAAAATTTACACCAGCTGGTATGTTGGAGTGGCCCCAAGGGCATGAAGACTCATCTGTAGGTACATTTAACCTCTATCCACAACAGCTGCCCATTGGAAGTGAGGAAGGCCACACAGTAGGAAATCCAGGATCTCTTTCTGCAGGTTAGGGAAACAACAGCTAAACTGCACCTAGTTTCCAAAGGACAACACTGTACCCAGCCAACAGGTTCTTTCCCATAAGCCTCTATCCATCACAGTTCTTAGAGTCAGAGTTGGAGGTGGGATATATTGGCATTTAATTATGATATGAATATTTCAGCCACAAGTTTCCATCACCCAGCTTCCTGTCCACTCCACTTAGCTGTTGCTTCTGAACTTGCTGTTTGAATTTTGCATAGTGCCACACCTGGAGAAATTAAGAAGGGAATGTGAGGGGGCCTAACACTGTCTCCTTTCTGCTGCCCTCTCATAAGACCATCTACCAAGCAGCGGCACATGAGACAGCAATGGTATCCTAGGCACAGATACTAGCTCTAAATCAGGATGGATTTGCTCTGCCACCTGCTAGCTGTGAGATCTTGAGCAAGTTACTTGCCCTCTCTGTCTGATTGTATTACCTGCAAAACAGGGAAAACAATAGTAGCTGTCTCAGATGGATGTGCTGAGGAGTCTGGAACTGACATGTGTAAAGTTCTTAGCACAGAACCCTGGCAAACAATGGCATACAGTGAGTACTCAGTAAATGCTGGCTGTTATTAATGTGATGGTGTTTAAACAGGAAGTGTTACCTCCTTGAAGAACTGGGGATGGTTAGGTCCCTGCCCTCTCGAACCAGACCTGAGACAGTCCAGTTGGTTATTTCCAGCTATGTGTATGGAGCAGGTGAAACTGAAAATCCTGAGCAGATGGAATGTGGAGTGCACCTTCTGCTCAGGCCCATTTTGACTACGAGGCCAGGTGCTGGGTGGAGGGACAGCCTACAGTAACATTGGATTGTGCTAACATTGCATACCCATCAAGAGTCAAATGATGTGGGCCTCTAACATTTGTTTCCTTATAATAGGTAAATGTGCTTTGTGGAGGATATTTAACATTGACGGTTCTGCTAATCCTCCCTTTTGGGATGGGGCCCACACAAGCCCACACTGTCTCTATAGGGAAAGCCATGTAAGTGAGACCTTCCTTCCAGAGTATAATTTAGATGGGCTTCCTAATAGGGAGAAAAGTGTATGTAATACATACCAAGTCAATAAAAAATGTTTTTTTGTAATCAAAATAACGCATGGGTCATCACATTAAACTCACTCCATCACATTAATCATGGGATAATTAGCATTTGCTATGTGGCTAGCACTCTTCTCCCCTTGAGGGAAAACCAGAGCCCTCAAGGTTTTCAGCCAGGCCACAAAAACGTTAGTCCTGGAAAATATGGTTTCAAGGTTGGTATCTGGTGGAATTTCTGAACATCCGTGTTGAGCATATGTGGGCCCTTGATTTTTTTAGGATCTCATTTGCAGTAGATTAAACTGCAGGGAACTACCACAAAGAAATGCTAAAGCAATATGTAGAAAATGGAGGCTTTTCTGAGCCCTCTCTCACCACCACCACCACCACCACCGAAGTTATTTTACAGGCCAGCATAGGCCCAGCTCCATGATTCAAGATTCCATAAAAGGACAACTTTTGTCAGGTTTCGCTTTGTCTGAGGTCTCAAGGCTGGGATCCAGCAAGACGTCTGAGACCATTGAAGTGCTGTAACTGGGGCCTTGTAGCAGCTGCAATGGCAACGGAATCTGGCTGTGTTCTCTAGAGAGATTTCAGAAGAGCAAATGGAAAGAGAGATGACGAGCCATCTTTGGGAATTTCTGTGCACATTCCAATGCTGCCCACACTGCCCCAGGGTGTTATTATAAACCTAGAAACCAGATTGCTTTAAAATAAAGCATATAACTGAGTTTTTAAAATTTTGAGTCAAATGGAAACAAGCATTCTGTGGAATTATTTTTCCCCCTGTACAGTTGTTCAGACCCACAGGAAGGGGGAACAGTGAAGATAAGAAGTCTAAGGAAATGAAACAAAATAGAGACCAAAAATACAAAGTTTATGAAGAAAGAGCATCAGGGAAGAGTCAACACCAACATCAGGCCTCCTCTGAACTTCTGGCCTTTTCTCTGTCTTACTCCCATGCCCACTGAGCCCCAGCCACACAGTGCTGCTTGGCCAGCACCAAAACTAGAATCATGTTGTTTCTTCTACCTAGACCATCCCCCTGATCTCAGCCTGTGAAATCATACACATTCTGCTCAAATATGTCTCCTCAGTGACACCTTCCCAGATACTCAACTGGAATTAAGCTTTGTTTTAGCCCTCACCAGTGATTTGTATTCAGGTCTTTCTCCCCAGTTAGTAGATGCTTAGGTATTATTTGTGAAGTTAAATTCAGTGCATTCCAAGTGTTGCAGTTAGCACAAATTGAGTTTAATATCTTATACATCAAGCCCATATCACTGAAATAGGATGCGAATATTTTGAGCTAACAGTTGAGATAACCAAATACACAACAGAGAATTAAATGTGTTATTAGCATCTTGCTTGTATTTTGCATGTTGTCTGATGAGGTGCTATACATCCGTGGATTTATAACATATCTGTGCATGCGGGGGAGCAGTTTATTTCTACTTTTCTGCATGTCCCCTTTGCACCTTGAGTCTATCTGTATTTCTGTTGCATCTGTCACCACAGCACCTTGACATCTGGTTGCACATTTACACAGTTGGCATTTTTTGAAGCTTTTATCACTTTCTTTATTTGGGGAAGTAACTGATTTCCCCTCTTTCTGATTTAGTCATTTTTTTCTAATGTTATTCTTTCTGATATCAGTGTAGCCAATGTCAGAGGAGTGTCAGAGCAGCACTTCAGAAAATAGCCAGGTGTCATGAGAAGCTGCTGGCTCCTCTCTGTCCCTCTGAGGTGGATTCAGTGTCCTATTCCTCTCAGCCTCTCATTAGTGTCCCTGACATTGTGCCAAGAATGTTTATTGAAATCGACTCTCCAGATACTGATGCTCATTTGTGATGCCCCATGGTTCTCTTACATGTTCACACAGTTAACAGAATCTTCTTCAACTGTTTTCCCAATTGAGATGAGATATTTGGGGATCAAGTAGAGCATTTAATGTGATAAGTGGACAGTAATCTTTAGAGGTTAATTTGTTTAAAACCTATGTAAGGTTGGGGTCCCATATGCCCTGTTAGGAGCAAGGACCATTATAATCCATTACTGTTTAAAGTTGAGCTAGCACATAAATTTTAATTCACTCTTAAATGAAGATGTATTTCAGTAGACATAATGCTGAAATGCCTAATAATATTCTTATAAAGAAATTCAACAAGCTCTTTAGCCTAAAAAATATTTTTCAAAATAGTCTCTTAAAATTAAAGTGTCACATTAAAGATTAATAAAAATGAGAACTTTAGCTATTTAACCCACCCCTTCTTGTGAGCAACAAGACTTTTTTTCTGTTGCCATATAATAGTTGTCTTTGACTCTGGGGTTGCAAAGACACCTGTTCAGTTTCATGGAAAGATCTGAGATAACTTGTATGCCTATTTGTATTGTGCCCTCTGAACCTAGGGAGGTGTCTAGGGGTGTAATTTTCACAACCAGCTGTGAATGGTGTTTTCCTTCACTATGTGACAGTGCCCCCTACCCAGTCTTCCAAAGACCCCAGAGGCATAGCGCCAAGCCCATCAATGGGAAGGCTTCTTGATTTGAGCCTACTTTCAGCCACCTGGGAAGGACGGTGTTAGATAAAACAGATGTGGGGATTGGAGCTTCCCCGTTTACATCCATCATCGTAGAGCTTAGTAATGGCGGTGAATGATATAAAAGCTCTATAGCCAATGTTTTTTTTTTCTTTCTAGTTGATTCCAAAAGTGCAGTGGAAATCAAGAGTAACTGGTCTGGAACTGAACTGCATAGAACACATTTCTATTGTTCCATCTTTGTATTATGACTAGATTAAGTGCTGTTGCCCAAAAGAATAAAGGAATTAAGTTTTAGTTTTCATTTTTATCATTGCAAATACATTTACATTCTCCTATTTTACAAATGCAAAGAGCAGGCAAGCCACTTTCAATAATTTATTTTAAAATCAATGCTAATGAGGTTATGTCTCGTCAGTGGCCGAGTTTTACAATAAAGTCTGATTTATTTAGAAAAGATCTTTGGTGAAGCTTCCCATCTAATGGTGGTGGGAAGGAGGTGGAGTAGCAGCACTGTGACCCTCCAACTTCGGATCCAATTTGTAATTCACAGTGGAGATCTGACCCAATTTACATTGATTAGAATTGGGAGGAAGAGACAGCTGCGCACAGACAGCAGAGGTAGAATAAACCTCTGCAAAAGTGCCTAAGCACAGCAAATTATTGGTCTTTGTGATGGAGTTGTTTGATATCAACAAAAGAGCTGCTCTCTGTCCAAATTATTGGGTATCTCTAAAACTGAGGTTGTACCAACTTTTCCTCTAATGTTTCCAATCCTAAAATTAGTCCCATGTCAAAAAAGAAATGCATCATAGCTGAGAAAGGAAGGAAGTGGACGAGTAACGAGAAGACAATGTGCAAAGAATGTTTAATGTGGTTTATTTCAGCATGATCTGTTTCCTATATTTGATTTCACTCCTCCATTAGCTTAGGTTGTTTTATTCCTCGTGGTAGGGTTGAGGGAGCACTACAGGTGTCAAGTAGAACATTCTCTGCTGCTAGATCATACATGGCTATAAGAACTGTTGAGTCAAAGTGCTCCTTTTCCCATACTATATTGTAGGGCATATATATATATATTTTATTTCCCAGAGTATCCGTCCTTTTTTTTTTTTAGAGACAAGGTCTCGCTCTGTTGCCCAGGCCCAGGCTGGACTGCAGTAGCGCAATCATGGCTTACTGCAGCCTCAAACTCTTGGGCTCAGGCAATCCTCTTGCTTCAGTCTCCCAAGTAGCTGGAACTACAGGTGTGCATCACTGTGCCTAGCTAATTTTTATTTTTATTTTTTATAGAGACAGGGTCTTGCTCTGTTGTCTATGCTGGTGTCTAACTCTTGGGCTCAAGTGATCCTCCCATCTCAGCCTACCAGAGTGCTGGGATTACAGGCATGAGCCACCACACCTGGCCATATCAGTCTCTTTCTTACTTGAAATCAATTACTCCTTTAATGCTTTATAGTATTCTAATATATTTTTATGCTGCTCCTTCTTACCTATGAGCTTGGAGCTTACTTCCCCAGTTTGGCATACCGGAACTCATATTGCCCTATAAACATTACATTTAAAAAAAGAAAGAGAAATGTCAAAGTTTCATTTAGTGGCAAAACTATGGAGAAGCAAGACAAGCAAATGTCATTAAGACTCAGGAGAAAGGAAAGTAAATGTGGCCAGGAGGAGCTGAGTATTCAGCCCTCAAAACATTGCTTACTATACCCTATCTACTGTGCATATGTGTGTATATATGTGTGAGTGAGAGAGTGGGAAAAGAGCATGGTGGTAGTGAAAAGAATAACGAGTGTATTTTTCTTCACTTTGCCCCATGTATAAAATAGCTAAATATGATTCTGGTACACATATTTACATTATAAGGGTCCAATTCCTATTTTATCGGGTAATGTGACGAGATGAAACCGGTTAATGGGAGTAAGAAACTTAGGCCAATTATGTTATGACTTTGACCGTATAAACATTTGACTGGAGTTAGACACTGGCATTGAGTTAGAACCCATTGTGAATCTACGGCAATTAATTAAAAGACCATTCCAGCTACCCTCAGGAGCTTATACTCTAATGAACAAGACATGCTGAATAAAAACAGTAAAAAGATAACTACAAGCCCCAAGTACTAGGAACATAAAATTATGTACATGACCAGCCTCCATTACAGCTGAACAAAGATGGATACATTAAGGATTAAGGACTAATTAATCAAAGAGGGTTTTTTGTTTTTTGTTTTTTCCCCAGGACAGAGTCTTGCTCTGTCACCCAGGCTGGAGTGCAGTGGCACAATCTCGGCTCACTGCAACCTCTGCCTCCTGGATTCAAGCAATTCTCTTGCCTCAGCCTCCTGAGTAGCCGGGGTTACAGGCGCCCGCCACAGGCCCAGCTGATTTTTGTATTTTTAGCACAGACGGGGTTTCACCATGTTGACCAGGCTGGTCTCCAACTCCTGACCTCATGATCTGCCCGCCTCGGCCTCCCAAAGTGTTGGGATTACAGGCATGAGCCACCGCACCCAGCCAATCACAGAGGGTTGTTCACACACACACACACACACACACACACACTCTAACATCCTAACTCTAGAATGCTTAAAACTAGAGAGAATGCTTGCATAGAGATAATAATTTTGAAGAGAATTCCAGAGGGAAGGAGAAATGGAGTTTGAGGAAAAGGATTAGGATTCTGGTGATAGACATCTAAATAATCCAATGGACTGGAAGCTCCACAAGGGCAGGAACTCTGACAGTCTTGTTTATTGCTTGTCCCCAGTTCCTAGTGCAATGTCTTGCATGTAATGAGCACTTCAACATGCTTATGAATAAATGAAAGGGAAGGGAAGGAGAGGGCCAGTTTGAAGGTGACAAATTAATATTTTTTTTAAGAACACAGTAATTGCCAGGCACGGTGGCTCACGCCTGTAATCCCAGCACTTTGGGAGGCCAAGGTGGGCGGATCATCTGAGGTCAGGAGTTTGAGACCAGCCTGATCAACATGGAGAAACCCCATCTTCACTAAAGATACAAAATTAGCTGGGCATGGTGCTGTGAGCCTGTAATCCCAGCTACTCGGGAGGCTGAGCTACTCGGGAAGAATAGCTTGAACCCGGAAGGTGGAGGTTGCAGTGAGTCAAGATCACACCATTGCACTCCAGCCTGGGCAACAAAGAGTGAAACTCTGCCTAAAAAAAAAAAAAAAAAAAAAAAAACAACAGTAATTAAACTTTCCTTAAAGAAGAGAGTATGATGAGCTCAGAGAAAGGGGACCTTTCCGTATAAGGAACATGAGACTGACTGGCTGGACGCAGTAGCTCACACCTGTAATCCCAATACCTTGGGAGGCCAAGGAGGGTGGATCACCTGATGCCAGGAGTTCAAGACCAACCTGGCCAACATAGTGAAACCCCATCTCTACTAAAAATACAAAAATTAGGCGTGGTGGTGGGCACCTGTACTCCTAGCTCCTCAGGGGGCTGAGGCAGGAGAATCCCTTGAACCCCAGACGTGGAATTTGCAGTGAACCGAAAATCGTTCCACTGCACTTCAGCCTAGACAACAGAGCAAGACTCTATCTCGAAAAAAAAAAAAAAGA
Organism: Homo sapiens; assembly: GCF_000001405.40. Classification (NCBI taxonomy): domain Eukaryota; kingdom Metazoa; phylum Chordata; class Mammalia; order Primates; family Hominidae; genus Homo; species Homo sapiens. Next base: position 48,170,710 of record NC_000017.11, on the reverse strand, counting down.
ACATGAGACTGTGAACCACTAATTGCTAATACTGATCATTTATCCCCCCAGATGAAGAGCATGATCTAGAAGAGGATGAGAGTGGCACTCGACGAAAAGGAGGTATAAGAGCTTCTAAATGCACAGGCACTGGGTAGGACATTATGGGCTTCTGATTAGAGAAAGCACCTTTCTCTGAGACTACAAAAATTACTGAACTCAATAATTAAGAGGGTACCTGTGTGTGAACCCCAAAGCCCTAAATAAAGTGACTGGGTAGGGAAATACCTAAACTTTAAAAGCAGCCATACATTCACTTTAATTAATGTTCCCAGAACAGCCAAGATTTATCCTAGAGCGGGTGGGAAGCCAAACCAGACATTTATTTTTTCCTATCAATATTTCTTATATCAGTACAGTGAAAATAGAATTGCCTCATCTCTAAGAGATCAGAGGATTGAGAATGGAAAGAATGGAAATGTCTCCTCTCTGAGAGGCCCGGAGATTGCAAGTTCAGAGGGGAATGGAAATGTGTCAGATCTGAAAAGTGAACACAGGGTGAAAGATAAAATTCCTTGGTGATGCTGACTTCTGATAGCCTGGTTTGATTCCAGGCACATTTGGAAATGAATATGTAACAGGTTTGTTGAATATAAAATTACATCTTATTCATCCCAGACTGTTAACCATGCTTCAGGCTGTTAGTGAGCCCATCCTTTCTAAGGTCAGATGCCCCTCTGAAGCCTCCTTAAGTGGACCAAGGACCTATTCCATGGTTGTCAGTAAAGGAATGCTGCACATTGCAAGGGCCACCTCAAGGACATTCGTTCCGTCGGCAGAGCCCTAATCATGACTGATTTAGATACTGGCTGATATTTTTCTTAGGGAGTCTATGAAAATCTTAAGCCTAGGAATTCTTGCCCTCTTTCCCTCCCTGCTCCTTCTCCATTATCTAGCCCTGTCTTTTCCTATTCTCCTCTCTCCTTTCCTTGTGCTTTTTCTTCTCTCCTTATCCATCCAGCAAAACCCCCATTTCTAGGTTCATTCTCTACAGAAAGTGAATACTTAAAAGGTTCAGGACCCAACTTCCTAAGGGTCCAGCTTCTCCCAGGGAAGAGAAGAGACAACGAAGATGCAGCCTCAGAAGTCATGCGCCAAAGCAGGAGAGAAAGAAAGCAGTGGAGGCGGGTGTGATGCACGGATGTGAGTGTAGCTGCAAGTACCTCATGATAGTGAACACATGTGATTAGGTCCATTCTGAAACCTATTTCCTTCTGTTGTCTACTTACTGTACAGAATTCCAAATGAAAATCTGTTCTGACCCGCCCATGTTCCACATATATCTTTTCTCAACCAACTTCCATCACCAGTGCAGAAAAGAAACACTTCATGTGGACAGCTTGGGTGGAGTAACTGTAAGCTTCCTATGGCCAATTTCATATTAAACTCCATTCAGAAAGCATTGATCTTTTAGCAAAGTCTAGAATCCAGTTTCAGACTCCTCCCTCATCTCATTTCCTCCTTCCACCTCTTTCTCTAAGGTTATATCTGGGAGGTGAGAGGAGATTTATTTCTTAACTGTTCCTACAGCTATAATTCAAGTAGGTTTAAAAAAAAAAAAACCTTTTGTTCCTCATGCTTCCTGCCTCCAAAATAAGTGTTGTTAAAGTATAGCAAGCTCTGAATATGTTTCTATGGTTTACACTTCCCACCAGTTATAATGATTGGTGACTTAGTGATTAAAAAACAGGAGGACTTTTTGCTCTCTCTGCAGAATCTGAGGCAGGAATTTTTATTATTTGTGTTTACTTATTTATCGATTGATTTTATATACTGCCTTTTCTCCAAAGGCGCTATAGAAATGGTGAAAAATACATAAATCCAAATGTCATCATTTAGTTTTGTAACAATAAAAGATAGAGGTCTGGGGGAAGGGCAGGCAGCCCCAGTGAAGGCATTTAAAAGGCAGGGAGCTCTAGGACAGTGTGAATTCCTATGTCATAGACAAGCTACACAAGTTTGGGCTACTTAGTTTTTCTCAGGTGTGTGTTTTTTTGTTTGTTTGTTTGTTTTTTGAGATGAAGTCTCGCTCTGTTGTCCAGGCTGGAGTGCAATGGCGCTATCTCCGCTCACTGCAACCTCTGCCTCCCAGGTTCAAGTGATTCTTCTGCCTCAGCTTCCCGAGTAGCTGGGATCACAGGCACGTGCCACCACGCCTGGCTAATTTTTGTACTTTTAGTAGAGACAGGGTTTCACCATGCTGGCCAGGCTGGTCTGGAACTCCTGACCTCAGGGGATCCGACCGTCTTGGCCTCCCAAAGTGCTGGGATTACAGGCATGAGCCACCACGCCCAGCCTTTTCTCAGGTGTTAACATGCTTTTGGGGAGAAAAATATATATAAGCAAGTTGACCTTTCCCTTCTTCCTTTTTTCCCAAAAGATGCTATGGCTAGCAGAGTTACTTTTAAAATCCAAGTACTTTTCTCCAACCTCGATGGATCCTGTTCCTTGAATGCTGTGCTTTTTTCTCTGATGGAATTGCTAACATTCTGAAGGCCTAACTAGATCTTATCAGAATAGGGGGGAAGGGATTCGGTTCATCCTTATTGAGTGTTAATGACCCTGTAAGATGTAATTTCTTTTATTTCATTCTGTTACCTAGAAAATCTATCACAGCCTTGTAGTATTGATTGCTCAATCTATAAAGAGCTCAGTTTACAGCATGACTGTTAGTAACAGGGTTATTTTAATGAGTGACTCTTCAACACCTCAGAGTTTCACTAAATTCCAACCCATCAGCCCAGTAGTCTAACATTAAGGGTCTTAGGTAATGAGAACTTATCACCTTTCCCTATCATGAAAAGGTAACCTCCAGGTAACCAAAAATAAAACTTCCTCTGTGTTCGTTTTTTATAGAAATTACTGGCCATTTGTTTGCATGTGCTATGTCAAATAAAAAGCAACCCTGGAGGCACAAATCATCCTTAGATACATAAAATCCCTGACCAAGGAAAACCTGAAACAGACCCCTCCCACCCGTACCTCCTTCAGTCTGCCCCCAACCCCAACTCTGAAATTGTGGAAAAACTAAGCCAAAAGGAGACACAGACCACACTATTGTGGTCTTATAAGCAAATGATTGCTTTTAGGAGGGCCAAAAAATGGTTGCTTATACCATTCCATCTCTGAGGCCCCCTTCTCACTTTAGTGCGCGCCAATAGAGTGAACTACTACATGAAAGAAACAAAGGGAAACCACAGAGGTGTTTGCAGCTCTTACCTTTTGAAGCCTGTTTTCCAAGACCAAACATGAGCTGATTATTAACCAGCTAAAATTATGGCCCAATGAAAAGAGGAAATGACATGAAAATCAGAATCTGAGTATACCCCACTTCCAAATCATACTTATACCACTAAGATCATAGTAATTTCAAAACTCAAGATTAAAGGGCTATGAAATAAGCAAATGGTATTATCCAATTGCTCTTCCTCCTCTGGTGCCACAGTCATTGGGGGCTTGGCAAATATTTTCATAGCTTTCTTCTGAAATAGTTAATAAACTATCAAGGCTGGGCGCAGTAACTCACATCTGTAATTCCAGCACTTTGGGAGGCGAAGATGGGAGAATTGCTTGAGCCCAGGAGTTTGAGATCAACCTGGGCAACAAAGTGAGACCCTGTGTTTTCAAAAAATTAAAAAGATTAGCTGGGTGTGGTGGCATGCACCTGTAGTCCCAGCTACTCAGGAGGCTGCAGGGGGAAGATAGCTTGAGCCCAGGAGTTCGAGGCTGCAGTGAGCTATGATTGTGCCACTGCACTTCAGCCTGGGTGACAGAGCAAGACCCTATTTCAGAAAAAAAAAAAAGGAAAAATTGTCAGAGTTTACTTGAATGAACTCAACATGTTAGACCTTTCTGACCTGGCTTAAAGAACATTTCAAGTCACTTCCAATGGGTCACTACTTTGGCGTTTTTTGTCCAAGTCTTACCATCCCATCCTCTCGTAGGACTGGCTTTATCCATCTTCATGTTTTGTCTCTCTTTTCCATAACTTAAGAGGTTGTACTCAATGCCAGGCCTTATTGACACGATCATTTTAGTAATCAAGAAAATGTAAATAACATGCTGGCCTGCCTTTAGCCACTTTTCCCTGATCACAGCCTGAATTCTGTCGCTACCCAGTGACTCCCAAACATAAGCTGAACTGTGGAAGGAACAGTCAGATTTTATTGTCCCTAAGGAAGGAGAAAGGCAGAGAGATGTCCTGGTCCTTTTTACCTTAAAACTTTGCTCGTCACACAGGCTAATTTTCAGCCATTGACTCTATCATCAGTAGCACCAACTTGGCCTCAGTTACAAGAGAAATGACTGTCACTAGTTGTAAAGAACCTGGCATGCAATGACAAATGCTTTGCAATAAATAGAAAAAAGAAACCAATACTTTTTTTTAACTTGTTCTGTTGCTATTCTTCTTATGACATTTTGGTTGCTTGGAGTTTAGCTTCCCTTACATAGGATAAAGAGAGTAAGATGCTGCTTTTTTTTCTCTAGAAAAAGCCCTTCTCAGCTCTGCTAGCAATTTAAATGCAGTGATCATACCCATTAGCTTCTCTATCATTGTAATTGTTGTTAATTGTTATAACTGTTTTAGTTATTAGTGGTGTCATTATTGCTCTAGGTCCTCTGTCTGTTTTATGCTGAATATATTAGTGCTTTGCTTTTGAATTACCAGGCTTTATTTAGTGCAGAGTTATGTTTTTCGGAGAGACATTGAGAAATGCTGGCATTAAGCTTTATTCTTTTGTTTTTCATTCCAAATGGACAGACTGGAAAAAAAATAATTAGATGGAATAATGTCCTTAAAATGAGAATTAGGATGTTTTGAATTAATTAAATGGTCAGAATGCTGCACCATTTCTGATTTCAGACGGCTGCCAGAGTAGTGTAAGCCTAAAGGAATCTAAATCCAGCCCATAGAGGCAAGCCTCACCCTTGGGCTCTCAGTTCCTCTCTCTGCTCTACAGAAATCAAAGTCGGCCGGGCACAGTGGTTCATGCCTGTAATCCCAACACTTTAGGAGACCGAGGTGGGCGGATCACCTGAGGTCGGGAGTTCAAGACCAGCATGACCAACATGGAGAAACCCCGTCTCTACTAAAAATACAAAATTAGCTGGGCGTGGTGGCACGTGCCTGTAATCCCAGCTACCCGGGAGGCTGAGGCAGGAGAATCCCTTGAACCCAGGAGGCAGAGGTTGTGGTGAGCCGAGATCATGCCATTACACTCCACCCTGGGCAAAAGGAGCAAAACTTCGCCTCAAAAAAAAAAAAAAGAAAGAAAGAAAGAAAGAAAGAAAAGAAAAGAAAGCAAAGTCTCCTCATGCATTCTCTTGTTTATAGGATGAGTTGGGCAGGTTTAGGGAGAAGCTGGACTAGCCCTGCAGACTCTGGGCTTTTAAGCTCTTCCTGGTGCCAAGCTTCAGGAATGAAGCCCTCCTCCAACTTATCTCTTCCCCTCTTCAAGGTCTTTAACACCCACTTGGCCAGAAAAGCCTTTTCTGACCCCTCAAACTATGTTAGATTCCCTATTACACACAGCGTCCTCAACTTCTCCTTCACAGACATATCATAATCATAAATAAACATTTGTGTAACTGTTTTTTCCATGGTGCTTCCCCGACTAGAAGGTACCCTTGAGAGGAGGGCTCATGTGTGGCCAATGTGGGATTCCCAGTATCTAACACAGTCCCTGGCATTTAGTAGGTACTGTATACATGTCTGTTGGATGATGAGAATGAATTAGTGAAGTTGCATGCACACATACACATAAATGCATATCACATGTGTGTTAAACAGGAAGTCTGCAATATGGAGTCACCTTGCCCAGCTAAGGAATTATCCCTCACTGATTTCCTTAATAGAGAATACTTCTAGCTAGCTAGCAAGTTCAAACTTTTCCCAGTTTTTAGCCCTTCATTCTGCCTGTTTTTTTGGAGCTGTTCTACTTCTGACTGAAGTTCCCTATTCTTGGGCTGAGCTAAACCATCTCCTGGATTCCTGAACTCTGTCTTCTTTTGGCCTTTAATATCAAAGACCTTTTCTATCTTTATTTTTTTCCTGGAAGGCTTCTGTTTTTCTCCTAGCTTCTTGCTTTCCCTGTGATCTTTTGTGCTTTTAGAATAGATCTTTTTCCAGATGTTCTCCCAGGCCCATATATACCCAATGTCAAATCACTTTTTATGTATACACCAAAAAGGCACTCAATATTAGGACCTATCCCATATCCAGGCACACAGTAGGGAACCGTACTCCAAAGTGACTATCTGCTAGGCCAGAAAAGACCAAGATAACCTTGTTAGTCTCCTTACCACTTAGAAATATTGTTATGGTTTTAGAATCTATTTTTACAAAAATGGTTTTCTCTACCATATATAAATCCATGAAAAATATTGATGTTAATATTCTTTCATTCCTGAGTTTAGTCAAAATCTTGGGGTAATTAATCAACTCCATTAAAATGGAAAATTCATAATATATCCTCTGGGAAAACTACTTTCACTTTTCAGGGATTGATATTTCTCTATTATTTCATGTACTTAATATTTCCAAAAATGAATGCTTTGTCTATTCAATAACTAACATATTTCTCCCAAAGTATTTTTCTTCCAAACATATTATCAACTCTGTGGCAGAATGTTTTCACAGTAGTTATCTTGTTTGCTGCCCTCTGTTGTCTACTGCACACACAGACAATTTTATGTGTGAAGAAAACATGCCTGAATTTCTATATGGTTGACATTTTTACTTTTGTTTGCAATATCTGAGTTTTAACTAAATAGTTCTCTCCCTCCTCTGTTTTTGTACCCTTTAAGATTCCTACCAAAATTCTCTTCCAGAGACATATAGGGATTTTGTCCCTCCGTGCCTTTATTATTTAAATTGCTCGTAAGTCAGGAATAAGTAGAAAAAAAGCAAATATAGGGAGGGTGTCTGTGCCCCTACTGCCCACTTGCCCTATCCTCAGCCACCAATACTATCACTGCTCATGGGAGGGTAAAATGAATAAAGGGAAAGGTGGAAATCTATAGAACAGAGTCCCCCAAAATCATGTGAATTTTAATTAGAACCCAGGACTCCTGACTCCCATCTATTGAATTTCATCTTTTGTAGGTGCTTTGTTCACAGCTCTGATACAGAGCACCCCAAGGAAAAAGGAGCATGCCTGGTCTAGTGGGCATTAGCTCTCCTGCCATTCAAATCCCCAGATCCTCTCCCACTTTGTACTCTAGTGTTTAACCTTTCCGGGTAGAAGATCAATACAAATTCTTCATTGTTAAGAATCGATGGCTGTCCTGTGGCATCATTGCCATCTAGTTCTGCTGAGAAGCTCAGTAAATCTCTCCAGCTGCTTCTAAAGCTTGGTTTGTCGTCTTCAGTTGCTTTCATTTTTAATGCAGATCACTTTGGTTTCTGTTCCCCTGGGGCTTGCAGATAAATCTTGGCAGACATGTTCAAGGTCTACAAATGAGATGCTGGAAAAGGGCCAGCCCACCCAGAATTTAGTTGTAATGGATGAGACACCCCCTTGGTTCCACTTAAAGACTGGGCTATTCGTTTCAGTATTTATTGGTGATTACCTCATATAGTACCTAGGTGGGAAGTTCCCAGGACAAAGTTCCTATGGACAAAGAAGGCCGAAAAGTGAGCTGTGATCCAGAAGCCTGCTGGCTGACTAAGCCTTTCTTGTAAATAGGCAGAAGTCACAGATTTACTCTGATCCTTCAAATGCATAATGAAGAGAAAAACTAGATAGTTAGTTGCCCTGGATCAGGAAAGTCTGGCGGGAAACCTCTGCACTGCTTACTTACAAACCAAGTGAAAAATTACCTGCCTGATTTTCTTTTATTAATAAATAAATATATTTATCATATTGTTGAACGGCATCCTACTAGGAGTGATCTGTAAATATTTAATGTTAGTTAATGATCTCCTTCTCCCATAGTCCTTTGCTCATGCTGAGTGTTTGGCTGTATCTCATCTCAACTCCCCTTAATCTGAGGTTTCCTAGGGGCAATATCAGAACCCTGGTTTCCATTTGCAGCAAAAACATGGGTACCTCGGAAAAAATAGAGTCCTTTTAACTTTGATTTCTCCTCTCTTTGATCAGTAGACTATGCCAGTTACTACCAGGGCCTATGGGATTGCCATGGTGACCAGCCAGATGAACTGTCCTTCCAACGGGGTGACCTCATCCGTATTCTGAGCAAGGTAAGGACAGAAAGTGTGGGGCTTAAATAGAAAGTCAATTTTTTCATTCTTGATTTAGTCACCATAAACAGAATTATTCCATGTCATACACTTCCCATGGCTCCCTCACAATATAAATTCCCATTTATTCATAATTGTTAGGAAAAGTTTTAAATGAAAATCCAGATTCAGGAACCATTTTCACATTTAAAAATACAAGGCTAGGCCGGGCGTGGTGGCTCACGCCTGCAATCCTAGCACTTTGGGAGGCCGAGGCTGGTGAACTGCCTCAGCTCAGGAGTTCAAGACCAGCCTGGGCAACATGCTGAAACCCAGTCTCTACTAAACTACAGAAAATTAACCAGGTGTGGTAGCACATGCCTGTAGTCCCAGCTACTTGGGAGGCTGAGGCATGAGAATTGCTTGAACCCGGGAGGCGGAGCTTGCAGTGAGCTAAGATCACGCCACTGCACTCCAGCCTGGCGATGGAGCAAGACTCCATCTCAAAAATAAATAAATAAATAAATAATAAAAATAATAAAATAAAAAATGCAATAAAATTGGTATTATACCAAAACCATGCCAATCAAAATTTAATCTTTCTCAGGGACTTGTGCTTAAAGGTCATCACTATGTACATAATTTATTACCATGTAATACTATTGAAAACATTCTGGCTAGGTAAGCTGCCTTCTTATTTCATTTATAGATAAACAAGACTGTAACATAATTATGTATGGGGGAGGAGTCAGAGCTCGTTAACTCAATTGGTTTGAGCAATTGCTGATAAGGCCAAGAGAGTGAATTCAATCCCACACAGGCCAGCTAACTTTATTCTCTTCCTCAGTCATAAGTTAACCCCTAGTTCCAGCTAACCATCTTACAAATAGTAGTGTTGACCGTAAACAAACTGGTTTTTTAAAAAAAGGATGGATTATTACAGATCAATCACTGATGTGAAGAAGATTCAGAACTCATGGGCTACAGTTTGGGGGATCAGTAGCATCATGTTGGTAAAGAAAGACCATACATATTCTATAGGTGGGCTAAAATAATAGGCTCTGTCCCTAGCACTTATTAAAAAGTCCTCTCTCTATGCAGCCAATCAATCTCTACAAACACATTTTTGAAATAGGCACAACTTGCTCTTTAATTGCTGAGTATGTGGATTCCATAAGGGAAAACTGAAAACCCGTTGGTTATTAATCTGTCATTTATCGTTTATCTTTCTTCTTTTTTTTATGTGTCAGTATCTTTTATCTTTATTCTGTGAATTTTACTACCTTGGGCAAAGGTTTGTCTTGGTTTGAGATATACCATAAGCACCTTAGGAAACAGTCTAGGTCTAACCCACAGCACCTTTCTATGGTTCCAACAGAATCAGGCCCCTTTAAATATGGACCCAATTCAAATCCAACCCTTTGTTTGCAAGAGAGTAGGAGGCCTGCAGGCCTTGTTGAGTGAGATCACAATCTTCTAGTGATTTATCCTGGATCCTTAACTCAGTACCACCCTAGTGCCATTTCTGTGTGGCTCCAATACACACCAAGAATAAATTGGAAGCAAAAAAGGGAGTGGACATTGGCCTGATTGGTATTTCAAATGCCCGAAAGCAAGGTTTGCCGTGTAATAGAATTTGTGTACATTACCACACTGGCATTACAGGGGTAATCGAGTTATCCACTCAGGTGTGACCAGGCCTCTGTTTGCCCAGAGCCTGCAGGTGAACAAATTAACTGTTTACATTGTCTGGAGGTGCCTGCAGCAGGAGGGGGGAAGAACAGAGCCAGACTGGCTGCTGGCCTTCTCTCTGTCATGATTATTTTGTTTGTTTTGCATGTCTTTTGCCTTTGTTAATGGCTTCTCACTGGGGGTCCCTTTCCTCTAGTTAGAAGGGGTTGTGCGGTGACCTGTCCTGCAGTATGGAGCTGTCTGTGGTTACAGTGGCTATTGTATTTTTAAGAAATCTCAAAGAACATGGGGAACCAATCCAATCTTTAAAAAGAAAAAAAAAAAAACCTCTTCCCCTTCTCTGTTACTAAAAGCTAACATAGGCCAGGCATGGTGGCTTACGCCTGTGATCCCAGTATTTTAGGAGGCTGAGGCAGGAGGATGCTTGAGCCCAAGAGTTCAAGACCAGCCTGGGCAACATAGCAGGATCCCATCTCTACAAAATAAAAAATTTAAAAAAAAATAGCTGGGTGTGGTGGTACATGCTTGTAGTCTCAGCTACTCTGGAAGCTGAGCTGGGAGAATCACTTGAGCCCAGGAGTTCAAGGCTGCCATGATTTTTGCCATGATTGCCACTGCACTCTTGCCTGGGTGACAGAGTGAGACTCTGTCTCCAAAAAGAAAAAAAGAAGAAAAGAAAGCAAATATATCAGGGTTTAATTCAATGAGAATACCTCACTGCCCTGTTTCTATCAGTTTCTTTCTCCTCTCTTCTGGAAGGTTCTGAGTCCATTTTCATCCTGTACCATTGTATTAATAGTAGCATATTTCTTTCCCAAAAAGCTACACCAGCTGGCTCCCTTCCCCATGTTGCAAATCCCTGCATATCAAAGAGGAAATGAGAAGTTAAGAGCTCAGCTGAACTTTCCCTCATGAAGCTGCATTCCAGTTAACATTGGTTTGGGGAGCATTTCAGTTTTGATTCACCTGTATTATATTACCTAATTCAATAATAGTCCTTGGACAGGAGGGAACCTTAAAAGGCCACCCAATCTATTCATCGCCTTGCTTCTAAGAAGCACAAATGAACAAATTCAAACAGATAGAAAACGAGATTCCACTACCATTCCCAGCCATCTGTCTATTCAGAAGTTCAGTAGTGCCTCATCTCTGGAATTTTCTCTCAAATAGATCCTAATTTATTCCCACTTTAGCCTCAGCTGCCTTCTTTTGCTGGGGTCCGTTACACTCTGCAGCTGCCTCTCACGCCTGTAAGGACAGAACTGACCCAAGTTGAATTTAGTCCCGGAAAGTGGTGTCTAGAAAGCTCTATTTTACTTTTCTTTTTGTCCAGTAGAAGCTCTGTTGGACAAGAAGGGCCTGCTGTTTAGGAATCTAGGGAAATCTGTTTCCCTGAGAGACACAGATGCAGCTGTGTGCAGCTCAGCTTAAGTGGACTTGTTTCTTCACCTGTTAAAAGAGAGCGTGGAGTTGGATAGCATCTAAGAATCCTTCTACCTCAGACATTCCCATTCTAAATATGGTGGGCCTGACACTGCAAAACTGCTAAAGAAGTTCCACACAAAAATGTGTTTTAGCCTTAATTACTTATTCAGTTTAAACAAAAAAGAATTTTTTTAAATTACCAGCTCTTTTGTTTTCAGTTCTCATAAATACATCTGGTTTCCCCCTCTCTCTCTATCTGATAAAAGTATTCTGAAAGGCAGAGTCCGGAGTGCAGAGGTTAGAGGATCTAGAAGGGGAGGTGAGATGGAGGTGGCAGGGGAAATGAGGATGGCAGCTTTAGTCGTAGGCTCCTGCTGCTCCCTGCTGTTTCTTTTTTTTTTTTTTTTCTTTTTGAGAAGGCGTCTCGCTCTGTTGCCAGGCTGGAGTGCAGTGGCGCGATCTCGGCTCACTGCAGGCTCCGCCCCCTGGGGTTCACGCCATTCTTTTGCCTCAGCCTCCCGAGTAGCTGGGACTACAGGCGCCCGCCACCTCGCCCAGCTAATTTTTTGTATTTTTAGTAGAGACGCGGTTTCACCGTGTTAGCCAGGATGGTCTCAATCTCCTGACCTCGTGATCCGCCCGCCTCGGCCTCCCAAAATGCTGGGATTACAGGCGTGAGCCACTGCGCCCGGCCTCTGCTGTTTCTTAATAGTCACCCAAGCATGATCCAACTTTGAATCTTAGAAGCCTAGGACCAAACTCAGGAGAATCTTTTTTTTTCTTTTTTCTTTTTTTTTTTTTTTTTGAGACAGAGTCTCGCTCTGTGGCCCAGGCTGGAGTGCAGTGGCACAATCTCGGCTCACTGCAAGCTCCGCCTCCTGGGTTCACGCCATTCTCCTGCCTCAGCCTCCCGAGTAGCTGGGACTACAGGCACCCGCCACCATGCCTGGCTAATTTCTTTTCTTTTTTTTTTTTTCTTTTTGTATTTTTAATAGAGACGGGGTTTCACTGTGTTAGCCAGAATGGTCTGGATCTCCTGACCTCGTGATCCGCCCGCCTCGGCCTCCCAAAGTGTTAGGATTACAGGCGTGAGCCAGCGCAACCGGCCCAGAGGAGAATCTTTTAGTCTTGCCTTTGGGCAAGAATGATCACAGAAAGAGAGCTATTTATCGCATTTTTTTTTTTTTTTTTTTTTGAGACAGAGTTTTGCTCTCGTTGCCCAGGCTGGAGTGCGATAGCATGATCTTGGCTCACTGCAACCTCCACCTCCCGGGTTCAAGCAATTCTCCTGCCTCAGCCTCCCAAGTAGCTGAGATTACAGGCTTGCACCCCCATGCCCAGCTAATTTTGTATTTTTATTAGAGTCAAGGTTTTGCCATGTTGGTCAGGCTGTTCTCGAACTCCTGACCTCAGGTGATCCACCCACCTCGGCCTCCTAAAGTGTTGGGATTACAGGTGTGAGCCACCATGTCCGGCTATCCCTTTTCAAAAAAAAAAATTATCCAGAGAAGATGATTGACTGGGCAAGAAAGATGCTCCCCAGTGGCTAGGTGTGGTGGCTCATGCCTGTAATCCCAACACTTTGGGAGGCCGAGGCTGGCAGATCACCCGAGGTCAGGAGTTCGAGACCAGCCTGGCCAACATGGTGAAACCCAGTCTCCACTAAAAATACAAAAGCTAGCTGGGCATGCTGGTGCATGCCTGTAGTCCCAGCTACTTGGGAGGCTGAGGCAGGAGAATTGCTTGAACCGGGAGACGGAGGTTGCAGTGAGCTGAGATAGTGCCACTGCACTCCAGCCTGGGCAACAGAGTGAGACCCTGTCTCAAAAAAAAAAAGAGGCCGGGCACGGTGGCTTACACCTGTAACCCCAGCACTTTGGGAGGCCGAGGCGGGCAGATCACCTGAGGTCAGGAGTTCAAGACCAGCCTGGCCAACATGGTGAAACCCCGTCTCTACTAAAATACAAAAATTAGCTGGGTGTGGTGGCAGGTACCTGTAATCCCAGCTACTCAGGAGGCTGAGGCAGGAGAATCTCTTGACCCTGGAAGGCAGAGGTTGCAGTGAGCCGAGATTACGCCACTGCGCTCCAGCTTGGGCAACAGAGCGAGACTCCGTCTCAAAAAAAAAAAAAAAGATGCTCCCCAGAGATAACCAAGTGCCCATCACCTGTCCTGTTCTCAGGGAAGCAAGTAAGTGCCTGTAACAGACGGGTTATTTATGACCCTGGGCAAAAATCTCCTAATCCTGATAATCTTCAGTTTCCTCACCTGTAAAAATTGGGAAATTTTATATTTATACATTTGTTGTGATGTTTACATTAGAGAATTTGTGTAAGGAAGTGCCTGGCATGTAGGAAGTAGGAATATTTCCTTCCCTTTTACTAATAATAAACTTTTGGATCAGTGTTGGGCACATACTAGGAGTTCAATAAATTATTGAAAAAGAGATGATCTACAGCACAAAAGTCGCTCACTTGGATACAAAAAAAAATACCCAGTGAAGAGGCCTACATGAAAATCCACCATGCCTTTCCTGGTCTGAGAGCTTTCGTCCCTGACAGATTATTCAAACTTCATTTTGTGGAGAGACCAGAGCCACACATCCAAACTCTGAAACAGTAACCAGTGGCACAGTCAGCAGGAGGACTCCCACTGACCTCCCTGCATCACATCCATGCATTCCTTGGCCCCATGCAGTGTCATGCCCACTTAATTCACTGAGTTCCAATTTGGGTCTCAAAATATATTAAAGGGAGATTTTAATAACGAAGCAGATCTGTGCATCCAGCGGATGTTCCTGTGTTCCTTTTGGACTCAGATATTTCTGAACAGCTTTTTCTGGTGAGGGACTAAACTTCCCTTCCTCCCCGGAGCCAGGATGCAGCTCAAGCCACAGCAGGGTGTTTAGCGCTCTTCAGTGGCTCCAGATTGTGGCGCTGGTGCAGGTCTCCTCATACGTAACCAATGGCTCCTGAGAGCCTGCGACTCGTAAATTACTTCCCACGATGCCGGCGACCACCGCAGAATTCAAGTTTGAATAGAGCAGGGAAAAGGTGTTTGAAAGGCCTGTTCACTCAGCTGCATTTTAATTTCCTTTTCAATCTTGTCCCAATTAATTTCACAGAATTAATCTCACAGAAGCAAACTCGGCAGCATTGAGGCTGTGGTTTTAGCGTGGCGGTCGCTCTGCCTGAACATGAAATAGGAGCTAATATAAAAATCCATCTGCTGTGTTTGAAATACACGCCGGCTGCTGCTCAGTCCTGTCTGACATTCCAAACATCAACAGTGGGGAAAAGTGATTTGGGGGTTAGTGGCCATCAGTACTTGGCAGGGGTTCAACAACAGGTGTACTCCAAAAATCCATTCGGCCTGGGCACCAGGCATGACAGGGCAGGTGCCGAATCACCCTCCGTGTGATAGTGTGGTGCCCTGGCTTAGTTCCTTTTATCTGCAGATTGCAAGACCCTTTTGTGGACCAGCACCACTGTGGTCACTTGTTTTTGTTTCTGTTTTTCTTGAGACGGAGTCTCTCTCTGTTGCCCTGGAATGCAGCGGCGCGGTCTCGGCTCACTGCAACCTCTGCCTCCCGGGTTCAAGCGATTCTCCTGCCTCAGCCTCCTGAGTAACTGGGACTACAGGCAAGTGCCACGGCACCCAGCTAATTTTTGTATTTTTAGTAGAGACGGGATTTTGCCATATTGGCCAGGCTGGTCTCGAACTCCTGGCCTCAGGTGATCCATCTGCCTCGGCCTTCCAAAGTGCTGGAATTACAGGTGTGAGCCACTGTGCTTGGCCTATGGTCACTTGTTATAAGTGGGAGAAAAAGAGGTAAGAAGCCTCTATTTGGATAAGACAAGTCACAAGTCCTAGCTTTCAGAAAAGTGACCCTGTCTTCTTGGCTCCAGTGTCTCTCACTAGGGAACATTCTTTCCAAATAATAATAATGCTTGTTGGCAGGGCGTGGTGGCTCACCCAGCACTTTGGGAGGCCGAGGCAGGTGGATTGCCTGAGGTCAGGAGTTCGAGACCAGCCTGGCCAACATGGCAAAACCCCATCTCTACTAAAAATACAAAAATTAGCCAGGCATGGTGGCGCGTGCCTGTAGTCCCAGCTACTAGGGAAGCTGAGGCAGGAGACTCGCTTGAACCCGGGAGGCAGTGGTTGCAGTGAGCCAAGATCATGCCATTGCACTCCAGTCTGGATGACAGAGCGAGACTCCATCTCAAGAAAAAATAAAAATCATCATCATCATCATCATCATCATGCTTGTTCCACTATTCAAGATAACTTTTTTTTTTTTTTGAGACAGAGTCTTGCTCTGTCACCCAGACTGCGAGACTGGAGTACAGTGGCACAATCTTGGCTCACTGCAACCTCTGCCTCCTGAGTTCGAGCGGTTCTCCTGCCTCAACCTCCCTAGTAGCTGGGATTACAGGCTCAAGCCACCACACCTGGCTAATTTTTTGTATTTTTAGTAGAGATGGGGTTTCACCATGTTGGCCAGGCTGGTCTTGAACTCCTGGCCTCGAGTGATCTGCCTGCCTTGGCCTCCCAAAGTGCTGGGATTACAGGTGTGAGCCACCACGCCCAGCCAAGATAAGACTTAAACGCCCATTTTTTTTAAAAGCATCCTGTTCCATAAGTTATTTATGGTGGTAACATGAGCTGTTCAGAAGATAAGGACAAATTAAAGAGGGAAAGAGAAGCTCTTTTTCAATTGACTAGGAAGGAGAAGAGGCCACTGGGTGAGATCTTCCATTTAAGGTAAACTGAGCCAGTGTACATCTCTTGGGCTTGGGTTGTGTGCCTCATAAATTGGTCTGAGGCTCTTCCAAGGAATTGTCCAGTGCCTTATTTCCATGGAAAGCAGCCTTGGAGCAACAAGTTGGGTACGCATAAGATTTATACTTACACGGTGGCTTAGCTGGGGTGGGAAGGTATTCTCATGGCCCAGACACACCAGGGTCTGGGTCATCTTCCTTGCTGATGGAATTGATGTGGAAACAGGGAGCCATACAGACAAAGTCAAGTTTAGCGTGGAACACGTGATGCTGTCAGATGGTCATGGGTCTTATGTGGAGAAGAATGGACTTTGTCACCCTGGACTGCAGCTACTTAAACTCAGATGAGATCCTGGCTCCACAGCCAGTCTAGTCATCTGAATGCGGCAGGCCTGCGCCAGCACACCTGGACTATGTTAACACAACACTATGTCAATTATAATGGGAGTTTTAACCCGGTTTTCTCCACCTACTTCCTCAATGGGCTACTTAAAAGAATGGAGACCTTTCCCCTCCCTTGACCCCGTTCTTTCCAAAAGAGATTTGTATGTTGTAAAAATTATCTTAATGCAGCAATACTTCCTCTTTTAAGTGTGCTTAGTTGAATGTGACAACAACCCTCATAAAAACAGATAAGTTAATTCCTTCAATTGCCTTAAATGAAGGATTTTTTTTTCTTTTTTTTTTTTTTTTTAATTTCAGGGCTCTGAGGGAAAGGAGGTGTTTGGTGACATCTAGTGTCCATTTAGGACTTCCTCAGGCACCATACCCTCTGGTTGGCTGAGTGGGGGATGGGTGGGGGGTTATCTGGGAGGTAATTTAGGGGTAGTAAGTGGGGAGAATATAGGCCTGGGGCACAGGCTGCCCAAACAGTGTGATGAAACTGATCAATGCCTGTCAAAGAGCTATTATGCACCTCTGACCTAATCAAAGGGGTGGGTGAGGGGATCCTATGGCAAAGTATCTTTTCTTATTTATGATGGTATGCAAGAGAAGCAGAAGCTGTCCCCACCACCCCATTTCATGTTAACAAGCAGGTCAACACTGTGCTGTGATGACGAAGATGATGATGATGGTGTTTTCTCTCATTAATAACCCCTATGGGAGGCAACGGAGTTAGGAGGATGGGAATGGGATTTGGGGTCAGCTGGAAGGCAACGGTCATATACCGGTCAAATTCAGTAGAGGCCATTCCTTTCCCCCAGACAGGAACCAATCGTCTAGAACAAACCCTGGCAGCCTCATTCCTTCCAGGTAATTTTTATAAATGAGGGGACACCCATTCCAAGAGAGGACAAAAGGGAGAGGGTGTTTATGTGTGTGTGCATATGCATGCATGTAAACCTGCTAACAAGAGGCCCAGTTGCTCATCAACCCATCCTGCAAACCCTGACCATTTATTCTAAAACCCATTTTTTAAAAAGAGAATAAAATTGGCATTTTATTTTATTCTATCTATCTATAAATAGTCTAATCTATTTATTCCTAAACAGTTGTCCTGGACAAGACCTTTCACTTTTCTCTCTCTCTGTGTATGTATGTGTGTGTGTGTGTGTGTGTGTGTCCATGTGCACACAGTTTTCAGTTGGGGAAAATTCCAGACCAGATAATTAACTACGAAGCCCAGACAGAAACGTTTACCTAGAACCATATAAGCCACGGCCGGGTTAGGTTAATGCTCAGAATTGCCCGATGCTTTACAAACTCCAGTGTAAAAAATTCCAGCCATTTATTTTGCAGTGAATTTATAACAAATGCTGTTAACGTCTTCGTCTTTTGACAGAGGTAATAATAAATTCACTGTTAAAGATGGTAGTTTAATTCCTTATACCTCCAATACTGCACAGAATAAACCATATTCATCACTGAGTAATTTTTTACCACATAAATCTTTAAAACTAACCGGTGAAGGCTGCGGAAACTGAAATATTGTGAATTTATTAGATATGCCCATGTAGTATTGGATTCAGAGGTTTCCATTTGAATATATTATGGGGAAAATTTGTGTCTTTAACTGTGACATTCCCTCCATTTCCCACCGCCAGTATTATAACAAGCAGCTCCTCCAGAGTCAACTGCACATTTATTAGACAGAGATTTAGTAATAAACTCCCCACTAATCTGCCAAAGAGGCTGGATGACATTTTGGTGAGATGCCCTATTTAAAAGGAGTCACAAAAGCTTTGTTTCAGTATAATTATTTTCTCAAAAGAAACTCAGCCTCCCCAAACCTCTTCTGCCACCATTTCTTGGTATTGCGTGATTCAGCTCTCCAACCAAACTAGCAAAATATTGAAACAAAGTATAACCTCATTGCTAACATACAGGGCAGTAACTTCTATGGAGATTATAGGATTAGTTATGCAAGACTGAAGGTAATTGATTAGAACACAGAAAAGCTTAAATTTGCAGACATTCCCAGATGTATGGTATTTAAGGCTAATAAAAAGATCATATTGATTCTCAAATTAGAAATAATAGAAATGGTTTCAGAAAACTAGTTATTTAAAAACTTTCATCTTGACATATGAAACGTTAAAGATACAGTTAAATCCTCAGATTTGAACAAAAATCCTTTTACTCTACATATTAATTTTGAGTGAAAATCTGTACCTGATAGATGAGAATATTCTGAACCTTTCTCATGATTTGCTAGTGAAGTGACAATGAAACTAACCAAGTATATCAAATTGTAACACCCTCTCCAGTTTCATTAAGGAAACATTAATATTGCTAAAATGAAAAATATTTTTTTCTTTTAAATGCAGAAATGTTCATCATATTTAGCAAAGAGAGTCTGCAGTTTCTCTGTTCCTGATAATATTCTGTATTTGGGGAGAGTTCCAAATACTAAGAACTTACATGGAGCATTGTGAACTTTACCGTTTTTTAATAAAATTGGTTTCTAACTATTAAACAAAGGAGAAGAATCTCCTGGCAGTGCAAGGCTGTAGCCCATCCGAATAATTGTTAAAAGACAGAACCCAGCTAGAAAGATAGGCATAATACCAGCAATTAATATTCAGCATTTCACATTATAGTCAAGAGGATGTGTTTTTCTTTGTGATGTGGCTCATAAGCTAAGAGTGTTGGGAGCCAGACTCTGAACTGTGTCTTCTTTTTGTGGATGAGGATTAAGGAGGAAAAAAACAGCGACGACAATCCTGCTCCATCTGTAAATGAACAAACATCTTGATTTTATAGCTATTTGCTTTGTAAAACTAAGGAATGAAACAAAAATTACTGGATGCCTAAGTAACACTTTAATTCTGAATTCATTTACGCTATAGCTATGTAGTTGTCACAAACCATAATGCAGTATTTAATTAAAATAACAGAAGTGCATCTAGATATGTCCTGGGGTAGCTGTCACCAAATTATACTCTATGCCATCGGTATTTTATTTATGAAATGGCAGATTCTAAGGTGCAACTAGGCTGATACAAAAGCATGAACATTTTAAACTTGCATTTTTAGAAAGGCTCTTTTTTTTTTTTTTTTTCCTGCTGCGTCTTTAAATGTTTTCCTCCTTCTGTCTTTGGAAGGGGAGGGAGGTTAGTGTGATTGTTTAAAGATCTCTCTAAATCTTGCTTTTCAACTGTTGACCTCCTAAGTCTTCTGGCTGTGAAATCCCCGTCTGTTGTCATGGAAAGGCTTGCGAGGTTCACAGGAGCCACAGCAAGTGTGGGACATCTTAGGCAGAACTTGGACGTGGATTCCAGGAGGGTAGGGAAAAGAGCAAACCGTTTCAGACTCTCTGTGCCTGTTCCCACATAATCTTCCTTGCACCTTTTTCCACCTATAAATACCCGTTGTCGTGTACACGCTTGCTCGCTCTACTTTGTGGATGTTCACATGCAGACATACTGCTCTTTTTCATAAGCGCATAGCATCTATCTTATACGCACCCACCATCTATCTCCTTGTTCACATTGGCTGTCCCATCCACCTCCTTGTCTGCAGAATTATGTTCAGCAAGGTCCCGATTTATAGGAAATAAATAATGAAAATGGAACGGACTGGGAAAGATAATCGAAACATTCAAATTGTTATTTTTCACTGTACTTTACACAAACAGAGCATCTATAAACACCTAGAAAGGGTGTTGGCTGATCCCTACAAAGCAATGCCTTTTGAAACATTGTAACCAAGGGGGTCTCTACACCTTTCCTGTTCCTCCTCTCCTGCTTTTTGATGCTCACCATTTTTAAATGGTAAACAATGCTGTGTTATTATTTTCATTCTTTCTGCTTATTTATCCTGTCTATAATGACAAGTTTTTGTCATCACTTATCCTCTACAAGATAATCCTCAGAATTACAAAACAGAAACAATAATTGCAATCACCTTTTTAAAGAAAAAAGCCCTTGTATTTGCTGTATAAAGATATTTGGATAATGGCATCATCGGATCACAGCCTGATCCTACAGCAAGGGTCTTTTGGAGAGTTTCTTCTACACACTTGTAATTATTTTAGCCCCTTTCACAGGTCACATAAAAAGTTAATTTCAATCGCTGCTAATTTCCGTCCAACAAGAGTGCAGTACTTTAAACCACCCAAAATAATTGGATTCAAAACAAATTTAGGAAATTGAGTGTGTTAGAAAGCAAATAAAAATATCCTTTTGGTAAGGAGGAGGGTGAAAGTAGTAAAAATGGCCTTTTTTCCCCTTCTTTCCCCTTCACAACTTTGCCATTAAAGTTGCACCTACAGCTAGAAGTTTGTCCGTGAAAAATGGTCATTTTGTTTCTCTGCTCAAAGAATGTTATTAAAATGCTAATTTAAAAGAAAAAGGAGTTAAATATCTAGCGATGGTGCATTCTAATTGCAACCATAATGAGCTCTCTAAATGTGCGTGCCCCTGACACACACAGAGCATAAACAGCAGTAAACAGATCATTAGTACCCGCGTTCATTTATTCTGGCGACCTTACCATGACCCCACCGAGGGTAGGGTGAAAAGCAGGTGGATCTGGCTGTGACACCCCCTAGAGGGATCCAGGAAATGAAGCTATAAGCGGTTGTCATGGAAACGCCTATGTGTGCAGATGATGTAACACACCGACAGGCTGTAGGGCTCCGCAACTGGGACGTTGCTTTTCCCTCGCCGGAACAATCTTGAGGATTAAATTATTCATTTCTTTAATTCACAAAGCAAAAGGAATCCTAATTTTCTTGGTGATGTGCAACTCTCTTCCATTTGTCTAGGGTCTGGAACATGGTGACTTGTCATCCCTCTTTCTCCAAAACCCACCCCAGCTAGACCCAAATTGCTGAATCTGGCGCAATCAAGTGGGGAAAGGCAGTGGAAATCTGACACCCAACATCTCTACTTAAGGAGAGAAAATCTAAGGTTTTAAGCTAAAATTAAAAATATAGACAGAGTCCTCTCCTAATGAGGGCATGTTGACCAGAGACTAAATGTATACTTGTCCTGAATGAGATGGCTTTGTTTAGAGTGGAGCAGAGACAGGGTTGGCCCTGGGAACTAACAAGCTGGTACCTGATGCCAAGAGTGGAAAGGAGAGAGGCTCCAACCCCAAATGAACACATCACCCTAGCATACCCTATGTGTGCTTTCTAGCAAGGTGCAAGGAAAAGAGATAAGAGAGAACGAGCATCTGCTCACCCTCCCATGTCCATTTGAGAGAATCGAGATTAATAAAAATAATTCTTTGGAGAATGATTCCACTCTATCCTACCCTGTTTTGCACCAAACAACCTCAATAACCTTAAGGCAACAGTAGAATAACTTTTCTTCTTTTTTTTTAAAGGAAGCAGAAAAGACGATCTCTGGAAATTATTTTAAAATAAAAAATCTCCCGGCCTGCGCCTCCCCCAACACCCCCTCCCCATTGCACTTTAGATGAACCTGTGATATTGTAGCAATGGCCCTTGAAGTGCAGTAGGGAGGTGATTTAGGAGAATATTAAAGGCAATGTGGAGATTCAAGGCGCCTCTCTCAGGGAGATCTGGAGAAATACGCAGCACAGATGGGCCGAGCAGATTAAACATTTCCGTCACATTGTTTCCAAATTGTGTTGTGGTGCCTGAGGCTGGTACTGCGGTCAGAGCAAAACAGAGCGGTGCAGAGCTGCGCAGTTTATGGAATACATATTAATACGCCCGTCTCACATGGTATCACAATTCTATCAGCTCCGAAATGGTGCTGTCTTTATTGTTCCTGACTTCTGCACTTGGCACCTTGTTTTCTCCCATCTGCAAAGTGTTTACCTTCCCTCTATCCCTTCTTTCTTCTTTAGGTAAAGTTGTGTGCTTCTTTTCATTTCTCTTTCTTTACAGCCCTATTTCACCTTTGCTCTTACCTTCACAGCTTGATTGTTCTGTCACATACACTTGCACACACCCACTCTGTGTTTTGCACACATTTCACCCACAACATGCAGTGTGTGCACAGGCCCTCCACACCTCCGTGGCCTCAGCTTGATCATTATCCACTCCCACCCTGTTCAGGACATAAGCTTCACCTTTAAGGCTGAATGTTCTCTCGCACTCAAGTGCTCTGAGACCCTCCATCTAGAGAACACATTCCTCTTCTCAGAACACTTAGCTCAGGGTGCGCTTTGTGGAGTTGTCACC
Organism: Homo sapiens; assembly: GCF_000001405.40. Taxonomy (NCBI): domain Eukaryota; kingdom Metazoa; phylum Chordata; class Mammalia; order Primates; family Hominidae; genus Homo; species Homo sapiens. The sequence continues at coordinate 48,147,987 of NC_000017.11, read as the reverse complement.
ATGACCCACCCCCCTCCCAACTGCTGTTGCTGACTACCCAGCCTTCCCATGTCCCCCTTCTCACACTTGCATACTTTCCCCTGTATCCAGGCCCATCAATCTCCAGATTAGCAAGTTCCCTGAAATGTAACAGTAAATAAAACTAGCTCAATTGAGGCAAATTTAATGATTCATTTTTATTATGATTTATAGACCAAAACTCTGAATAATGGAAAAAGAGAAAGTGATTGCCAAGAACTTAAAACAGATTGTAAAACAGCCTGGAGAGGCTGCCACGCTACCCAAGGTTTCAGCCAAGTGCTGAGCTTCGATCCTTTCACAAGTTCCAACATCACTAACCCACCGGCCACCCAACTGACCATTTCCTTTCTCCTTCTGGAAAATCTCTTCATAAAACTATCTGTGCTGAAAAATGGGCACTTTGTCTTTGGTGAACAATTCTTGTTCCCAGCCTTGTTTTTCTCGGCAGTTAGAAGGATGCTGATTTGGAGCCCTTAATTTATTTCATAGGGTATGATATTCTAAGAAAGCATTATATATCCAAAGCTGGATTTTAGGAGTAGAGAATTTGTGGGGAAATCCAGAGTAAAAATACGATGTCTGGGACTGACCCTGGAATAGTACAAGTTACTCTGCTTAGGAATTCAAATTTCCCATCTTAACTAATAGCAATGTATGATGCACAAACACTAATAAGAGAAATAAGCAATCATAAACCAATATTTCTGTGATTGATTGACCTTTCCATACATATATCAAGCATTTACTAATCTTTCGGGTTAGGGGCTGATAGACTGTTCTCTTGAAGATGCATCCTCTTGTTTATAAGCACTGATATAGGGAACTTTTATGGTAAAAAGAACAAAAAAGTATGAGATATTTTCTGGGAATCTTGTTCCACGGAGACTTGGAACCCAATTCAATGTGAAAAGAGAATGTTTCTGTTAGGAGCTTTATCCAGGGAACTGACAGTGTCAAGCAGCTTGCTCCAAGCCATTTGAATGGAAACTGTGAGAAGACACCACAACTCTGAAGTCACAGTTAAACAGATGATGCCTTGGCCAGGCGCAGTGGCTCACGCCTGTAATCCCAGCACTTTGGGAGGTGGAGGTGGGCAGGATCTCTTGAGGTCAGGAGTTCGAGACCAGCCTGGCCAACATGGTGAAACCCCGTCTCTACTAAAATACAAAAATTAGCTGGGCGTGGTGGCGGGTGCCTGTAATCTCAACTACTCAGGAAGCTGAGGCAGGAGAATCGCTTGAACCCGGGAGGCAGAGGTTGCAGTGAGCCGAGATCGTGCCATTGCACTCCAGCCTGGGTGACAAAGAGCAAAACTCCATCTCAAAAAAAAAAGAGATGATTCCTTAAAAGAGGTACACAAGAGCAGTCGACCTTTGAGGAGGAACAGCCTCTTCAGCTGGAGGGCTGAAGCCCATGAAATCCAGCATGGAAGCAGTTAGGATTCTTGATTCCCCTTCATTGTTTTTTTTTTTTTTAAATGGAGTCTCGCTCTGTTGCCCAGGCTGGAGTGCAGTGGTGCAATCTCGGCTCACTGCAACCTCTGCCTCCTAGGTTCAAGCGATTATCCTGCCTTAGCCTCCCGAGTAGCCGGGATTACAGGTGTGCGCCACCATGCCCAGCTAATTTTTTTGTATTTTTAGTAGAGATTGAGTTTCACCATATTGGCCAGGCTGGTCTCGAACTCCTGACCTTGTGATCCACCCGCCTTAGCCTCCCAAAGTGCTGGGATTACAGGCGTGAGCCACCGTCTCCGGCCTCTCCTTCATTGTATTTTTTAAAAGCAGGGGCCTGTGTGTGGGGAGCGCGAGGATACCCACCCTGGGCCAAAGTACAGATCCAGCCCATAAAGACCATTGTATTTTTTTCCCATAGAGTGCCGGCTGGTAAACTGCAAAGGGTTCATAAACCCTTTGAGAATCTGATGAAAGTTCTGGGCCTCACCCCAGAGACGAGGCCTACGTACACATGCACACAAAATTTTACACCAGTTTCAGGGAGTTCAAAGATTCCTTCACATCCATCCACAGAGAGGCCAGGGGTTCACAGACTCTGGTTTAAGAATCTGTGCCCTGGAGGATGGTGAGTTCCTTTTGTTGGAACAGCCTAGGATTCACTGAGCCTAGAAATTGAATTCTCATCCCAAGACAGGATGGTCATTCCAGGTCATGTCTGTGCTACTCCAGGGGAGCCATGGAAGAGCTTATACAAATAGGAACCAGCAGGGAGGAGAGAAATTAAAATGTAGCAATCATGGAGTAGGGGTATTTAATCTCTTTTAAGCCTTATGATAGGCGCCTGCTGGTTTTCCCCCAATATCCCCTGACACCTACTGACAGGGTATTTGCAGCACCACACAGGGACTCAGGGCCCTGTGACAGGAGGAGCTCTGAGGAGGTCCATGATAGTCCTGAAACCATAAACAGCAATAGGAAACCACTGGAGGCAGAGTCAAGCTGTGCAACATGCCCATTGTTGGTGGCCATACTGCTTTTTGTTTATAGAATTTGCTGTTCTTTTTATGGCAGGTTTGGTAGGGTTTTTTTTTTTCCTTGTTGATGGAGATTAGCATAAATCCTTTTATGGCAGTGTGAAATCTGCCATAAACACTTTGATTGTTGCTGATGGTGAGCGCTGCGTCTATTTCAGGTTCACTCAATGCTTCATTCATCCAGACCAATAGTTTCTACAGCCATATAATGGAGTGCAAATAGCCAACTTTTATTTTTAAGACTTCTTCATGTGGGTTGTTCAAGGAGGTGGGGCAAGGTTGGTATTGAGAGAAGCAGATGTTTAGTCAAACCTAGAAATATTTATGAGGAGAACAAACCATACACTGTGCTTATTTTAGATGAAAGTTTCTAAAAAGACTTTGTGGCAAGAAGCAAGCCCTGATGGAAAGGTTTGTGGGTTTTTTTTTAATAACTTTTTATATTCTTATCTAAAACATCTTCATTGAACAATTTTGTATAATTTAAATCTTAGCCCTACCATTGAGAATATATGTAGAGTTATGGAATAGTGAGCATGTATAATTCTGAAGCCCTAACACAGTCACTTGTAGATGTGCATCCCTACCTTGAAGACAGAAACACTTCCAAATTGAGGATTTCAGGTCTCCTGGGAGCCTCTCAGCATTTTTCCAATCTTTCCAAACATCTGGGCAAAGAGAAATCAGACTTTATAGAAAACATTGATCCCAGAAATTCAGTTCTCTTTGCCATCCTAAAACTAAAACTCAAGAATCAGCAACTTAATAAAAATGCAGTAAATTAGCACCTTTAGACAGGAGCAGGGTTCATTCAGAGCTGGGGTCTGCCTGACTGAGCCAGTACTCTCTCCATTTTAATAGTTTAATAAAAATTAGCATAATTAACGAACATCTGTATGATCCAGAGTGGTGCAATTTGGCACTTGGAAACGAGGGCTTAAACATGATTGCTGTGAGTTTAATGTTGTTTTAATTCTTTTTGGCACTGTGCAGTGAAATAAACGTTTGGTGGTGATAGTTCTCGGCCGGATCTCATTTGCATTTTTCTCCCTTTGATTATGAGCAATTGTGGACTCCCCAGCAATTCATCAAAGTAGAAATTATTTTAAAATACCTCGTGGTGTTCAGACTGGGCTGGAGCAACGCATGGGGGTGGTAGTGGGAGAGAAGGTTAGAAATTTTCCATTCATGCTTTAAACATCTCAGCCCTGCAGCCCTTTTCGGGTATACAGCCAAGGGATGAAATCTGGAAAAGACAGTCAGATCCCGGGACCTGTAGGTGCTTTGATTAAGCTCCCAGGCTCCCACAGCAGGATGCATATGGTCTCTGGGACTGTGCCATCCTCCTTACACTTCTGCCTGCTCTTTTGTTTTGAAGGGCAGAGAGTTGATTTCACTCATTTCAGTTCTCATCACTGTGGCGAGGCTTCTACATCTGCAGTCGGCAGGGTCAGTGTTCCCCTGGAGCAAGAGCAGACAGACTGGGAGCCTGGCTTTTGCAGGTACCCTGCTGAGACTCATCTGCTTCCTGTTCGCACCCTCTTCGAGTTGGCAGAGAGCACCTTCCCAAGGCTTCATCCCTACTCCTGGCATTACGACTAAAGAGGGGTGCTACAAAGTGTTAGTCAAAGTTAGGAGCGTTGAACAACCCCCGGGGAGCAAATGCCTTACTGTCCCCTGCAGGTGATGCAGATGACAGCATCTGGCAGGTGGAAGACCACATTTCACACATTTCAGCAAGTTGACTTGGATCAAAAGACTCTCAGACAACACTGCCCACTCTCTGCCTGTGAGATAGCAGAAGAGCTAAAGCTAGTTTTTACGAGTTACAATGTGAGAGGTAGACAGAGTATGTATTTCCCCTTCACAGCAAGGCAACACTACAAGAAAACTTAAGTCAGAAACTGCCCTAATTTCAGTGTCGGAAAATGGACAGTAACATATCTTGTACCAAGAGGAGCTTAAAAATGCCCTGACAGGCTGGGCAGGGTATAATCCCAGCACTTTGGGAGCCTGAAGCTGGGGGATCACTTGAGCTCAGGAGTTCAAGGCTAGCCTAGGCAACATTGCAAAACTCTTATCTCTACAAAAAAAAAATACAAAATAATTAGCAAATAAAAAATAATTAGGCAGTGGCATGCACCTGTGGTCCCAGCTACTCTGGAGGCTGAGGCAGGAGAATCTCGAGCCCAGGAGGCAGAGGTTGCAGTGAGCCGAGATCATGCCACTGCACTTCAGCCTAGGTGAAGGGAGTGAAATCCTGTCTCCCAAAAAAAAAAAAAAAAAAAAGCTAAAGAATTATAGGTAATTTCCCATAAGACGTTGCGAACTGTAGGGAGAAGCTGGCCTGGGAGAGGGAGGAAATGAGGTGTGGTGGGTCAGGCACAGTGGCTCACTCCAATAATCCCAACAAGCAGGAGGATTGCTTGAACCCAGGAGTTCAGGACCAGCCTGGGCAACATAGGGAGACCCCATCTCTACAAAAAAAAAAAAAAAAGTTTTTTTTTTAACTAGCCAGGCATGGTGAAATGCACCTGTAGTCCTAGTTACTTAGGAGGCTGAAGCGGGAGGATCACTTAAGCCCAGGAGTGGTTGCAGTGAGCTATACTTGCACCACTGCACTCCATCCTGGGCAACAGAGCGAAACCCTGTCTCAAAAAACAAAACAAGAAAAGAAGGTGTGGTGTAGGAAGAGGTGGCAGACAGACACATTTAGTTATTTAAGGCTGATTTTCACAAGGCACTTCCCTGGTCCTAAAAGGATCAACTCAGTAGTCTCACTTCTTGTGGCATTTCAGACTCTTATTGTTGTATAAGGAGCCATTTGAGGAGACTGTCTCCAAAGGTAGTTGATCTCTTTCTGCCACAACTAGTTCAATCACCAGGGGAATATCTTGGAGTTAGTTGTAACTAAATCTGCTCAACTAAGAATACAAATTCCCACTGCCCCCTTCATTTCATCATAATCTCATTTAACAAGTTTTTTTGTTTGTTTTGTTTTGTTTTGTTTTTATTTGAGATGGAGTTTCGCTCTTGTTGCCCAGGCTGGAGTGCAATGGCATGATCTTGGCTCACCGCAACCTCCGCCTCCCGGGTTCAAGCAATTCTCCTGCCTCAGCTTCCCGAGTAGCTGGGATTACAGGCATCCTCAACCACGCCCAGCTAATTTTTGTATTTTTAATAGAGACAGGGTTTCACCATGTTGGTCAGGCTGGTGTCGAACTCCTGACCTCAGGTGATCCACCCACCTCGGCCTCCCAAAGTGCTGGATTACAGGTGTGAGCCACCGCGCCCGGCCTCATTTAACAAGTATTTATTTGGCCCCACTCTGTGCTGGATATAGTGCTGAATGCTGAGAACACAAAAGCAAACAAAACCAACAAGGTCCAGTCCTCAGAACTTTCCAACTAGTGATTGACACTGAGACAAAGACAGGCAGATAGAAGGCAGTGTAATCACAAGCTCTTTTCCAGGAAAGCACAGGGCACAGCACTGTGGACCGTGTAACCGGGACCCCACACAGTCAGAGAGTGTCAAGGAGAGGCTTCTAGGGAGTGAGTAACTCAGGAACTGAGATCTGAAGGCTGCTTAGGAGTAAGCCCCATGAAATGAGAAGGGAAGTAGAGGCTAAACAGGCAGAGGAAAGGTTCCAAGGTGAGGGAGCCTGTGGCCCATGGGAGCAGCTGAGACAAGTTCTATTTTACTAAGGAACACTAAATCTAGGAGGTGAGTAACAATGCTGAACAGTGAGTGGGACTGGGTCATGCAGGGCCTTGTCTACTTTGTTAAGAAGTTAAGGGGTGGCCAGGCACAGTGGCTCATGCCTGTATTCCCAGTACTTTGGGAGACCGAGGCAGGCAGATCACCTGAGGTCAGGAGTTCAAGACCAGACTGGCCAATATGGTGAAACCCCATCTCTACTAAAAATACAAAAATCAGCGAGGTGTGGTGGCAGGCACCTGTAATCCCAGCTACTCAGATTGAACCCAGGAGAATCATTTGAACCCAGGAGGCAGAGGTTGCAGTGAGCTGAGATCGTGTCAGTGCACTCCAGACTGGGCAACAGGGGCTATGGCTCAAAAAAAACAAAAACAAAAACAAAAACCAGTTAACAAGGGGCATTGGGAACCCACCGAAAGTTTCCAAGCAGAGCAGTGACATTATCAATGTGTACTGTAGGGAGCGAGTCTGGCTGCACAATGAATAGAGTGGAGAAGAAGAATGCTGATACAGAGATTAACTTGGAGACTGTTTCTGTAGTTCTCACGTGAGACGATAGCTACATGACCCTAAGGCATTGGCAACTGGGAACGGAAAGAAGATGGAGGATTTTAGTAATATTTTAGAGGGAGAATCGACAGGACTCAAGGATTGATTAGAAGAGGGGGATGGGGCTGGGCGAAGTGGCTCACACCTGTAATCCCAGTACTTTGGGAGGCCGAGGCGGGTGGCTCACCTGAGGTCAGGAGTTCGAGACTAGCCTGGCCAATATGGTGAAACCTCGTCTCTACTAAAAATACAAAAATTAGCTGGCCATGGTGGCACGTGCCTGTAGTCCTAGCTACTCGGGAGGCTGAGGCAGGAGAATTGCTTGAACCTGGGAGGTATAGGTCGTGGTCAGCCGAGATCATGAGATCACACCACTGCACTGCAGCCTGGGTAACAGAGAGCAAGACTCCATCTTAAAAAAAAAAAAAAAAGAAGAAGAAGAAGAAGAAAGAAGAAGAAGGTGAAAGTGAAATTGGGAATGACTCCTGAGATTCCAGCCTGGGTAACAGTGCATTGTAGTACAACTCACTGAGATAGAGAACCAAGGAAGCAAAGATAGCTTTGGAGTCAGGATGGAGGTGAAGGCAGGATTACATGTTAAATTTAGGACATACTGAGTTTGAACAGCTTGGTGGAATGCACTTGGCTATTGGGGTCCAGTACAGACCTGGGGTGGAGCTGTGGTCATGAGTGATAAACACAGACATGGTGGATACTCTACAGAGATATATGGGATTGCTCTAGTAAAGCGCATCAAGACAGAAGAGAAGGCCAGGACAGAACCCTGGAAAACAACCACATTAAAAAGCAGAATTGAGCAAGATGAGCCTGCAAAGGAGAATGAGAAGAAGTAGAAGTAGAAGGAGAGAAACCAGGAGAGTATAATTATCATAGAAACTAAGAGAATAAAAGGCCTCAAGGAGGACCAATAGTGCCAGCACTGCTGAGAGATCAAGTAAGTTAAGGACTGAGAAGTGCTCAGGGAATTTGAGCAATGCAGAGGTTACAGGAGACCATGGAGAGAGAGCCTAAGTAGAGGACGGCAACCAAGCCTGATGAGAGCGGCTTCAACAGTGAACAGGAAGGAAGTTGGAGCAGTGAGTGAGTAAACTTTCCCAACAAGTGTGGCATAGACTAGAAGAAATGGGAAGTAGACATCAGTGGCAGCTATTTAATGGTTGTTTTAAAAAATGAGAGAAACTTGAACACCTTTCAGTGCTGGTGGAAGGAGCCATTTACTTTACAGGCAATGGTCAGTCTCCACAGAACCTCATCTCTCGGAAAGGAAGGAGGAGGGTTGCAAGTGCGTGTTGTGAGGGGTAGTCTTAAACCAGGGGAGGGGTGCTTCCCCGACTTTAATGGGAAAGAAAGATGGTTGTCAATACAGGTAAGTTCCTGCTTTGGTGGCTGGTGGCTGACAAATCTGATGGCTTCTCTTTTCCCTTTGAAGGTGGAGAAGAGGTTGTCAGAAGCAACATGAGTTTGAGGAGGGGAGATATTAGATATCATAATTCTATGATAATTATATGCATCCAGAGATAAAAAGATCACCAGATAATGCTAGGGACTCTGAATTTTACATATCACCAATCTGGTTTTACTTCTTTTGTTTTGTTTTTCCTAATAGTACTCAGCAACCAAGTGTACAAAGAAGCAGTTAGCTCTTTGGTACCCCAAATCCAATTGAACTGGAATATGTGATATTTCCCATACTTAAAATTTCATTCGGGGCCAGGCACGGTGGCTCATACCTGTAATCCCAGTACTTTGGGAGGCTGCGGCGGGTGGATGACGAGGTCAGGAGCTCAAGACCAGCCTGGCCAACATGGTGAAACCCCGTCTCTACTAAAAATACAAAAAATTAGCTGGGCGTGGTGGTGCACACCTGTAGTCCCAGCTACTCAGGAGGCTGAAGCAGAAGAATCGCTTGAACCCAGGAGGCAGAAGTTGCAGTGAGCTGAGATCTCACCACTGCACTCCAGACCGGGCAAAAGAGCGAGACTCCATCTCAAAAAAAAAAAAATTTATTTTGGCCAGGCACAGTGGCTCACACCTGTAATCCCAGCACTCTGAGAGGCCGAGGTGAGCAGATCACGAAGTCGGGAATTCGAGACCACCCTGGCCAACAGGGTGAAACACCGTCTTTACTAAAAATACAAAAATTAGCTGGGCGCAAGCCTGTAGTCCCAGCTACTCAGGAGGCTGAGGCAGGAAAATCATTTGAACCCAGGTGGTGGAGGTTGCAGTGACCCAAGATTGTGCCACTGCATTCCAGCCTGGGCAACAGAGTGAGACTCTGTCTCAAAAAAAAAAAATTTTTTTTTCATTCTAATTTTACTTCTTTCAAAAGAAAGAAAACATTTTCTGGTGCTATCAGAAATAGCCCCATACTCAGAGTGGGCACAGTGGCTCACGCCTGTAATCCCAGCACTTAGCAAGGCCGAGGCTGGTGGATCACTTGAGGTCAGGAGTTTGAGACCAGCCTGGCCAACATGATGAAACCCCATCTCTACCAACAATATAAAAAATTAGCCAGTTGTGGCCAGGCGCAGTGGCTCACGCTTGTAATCCCAGCACTTTGGGAGGCTGAGGCGGGTGGATCATCTGGGGTCAGAAGTTCAAGACCATCAAGGCCAACATGGTGAAACCCCATCTCTACTAAAAATAGAAAAATTAGCCGGGCGTGGTGGTGCGCGCCTGTAATCCCAGCTAATCGGGAGGCTGAGGCAGGAGAATCGCTTGAACCTGGGAGGTGGAGGTTGCAGTGAGCCGAGATTGCGCCACTGCACTCCAGCCTGGGAGACAGAGCCAGACTCTGTCTAAAAAAAAAAAAAAAAAATAGCCGGGTGTGATGGCACGCACCTGTAATCCCAGCTACTCAGGAGGTTGAGACAGGAGAATTGCTTGAACGTGGGAGCCGGAGGTTGCAGTGAGCTGAGATCTTGCCACTGCACTCCAGCCTGGGCGACAGTGCGAGACTCCGTCTCAAAAAAAAAAAAAGAAATAGCCCCATACTCTTCAACATCTGCTGTGCTTTTGAGAAGCTTTTCTGTATTCAAGGAGCTGCATCCTCACTCTGTGACTACCCCTTAAACTCTCTTTAAAACCCTCTCATCCTCTTTCTTGTTTGTTCCTCTCTGTGACTAGCCTGTCATTATTAATGTACCTGTCACCTCTCACCTGTTCTAGGGAAAGAATCTAATGTTTAGAGCATCTACTATGTATCAAACACTTTCAGTTGTTTTTACTTCAGTGATACAATTTACATCCCCACAAGATAGAAGGGAGATATTATCCCTACTCTCACAAAGAAGCTAAAGCTAGGAGAACCTAAGGTCATGTGACTACTAAATGACCAAGCGAGGATTAGATCTCAGTCTGTCTGACTCCAAAGCCCATTACTCTGCTGTAAGCTCCCAAGGAGCAAGCAATCTTCTGATTCATCATTACATACCTCATGGGAACTCAAACAGCACTTTGCACATAGAAGATGCTTGATAAATATTATTGATTTGAACTATGACTTGACCCCTTGAATATCTGTAGTGTTCTGGCAATTTAATGTGTGCCCAACTTTCTCTAAGAAGCCATACCATTCGGCTTGGTTTAAAAAAAAATGCTCTTCAGGTTCAGCAAGGGCATCAAATGTGCTAATTTTACAATGTAGACAGGAAGATGGCAAAAGGAAAGTGCTTGCTCTCTTCCTCTAGATGATTTTTTTAAATTTAATAATCCCATCAGGGAAGTTAACAGTTCACAGTGATAATGGCAACAATGAAACCACCAAACAGAATCTCCCATGCAATCACTAGAATAAATGAGCAGAAGCATGAACAAATTCTAACTGACGCTATCCTCTTTTCACTTTTCAGGAGTATAACATGTATGGCTGGTGGGTGGGAGAACTGAACAGCCTCGTTGGGATTGTTCCAAAGGAGTATCTCACCACTGCCTTTGAAGTGGAAGAAAGATGAAACCCAGGTATCAGAACCATGGCCAATGAACTGCCTAATAGTTGAGTGGAACTTGTGGGCCACTACTTTGTTTCTCTGAAAGATGAGAGTTGCCAGTGAAGTAGCTTTTCTTCATTTCTCATACTAATGCTAGTGATTCACCACTGATGGAAAGAAAATGCCTCTGGAATTGTTTTTTTCTTAAATTTGGGGACAGTGTCACTTAGGATAAGGTTCAACTAATAGCAACATAAAATCTAAACTAAAAATGACTTAATTAACACAGAAAGCCAGGCACAGTGGCTCACACCTGTAATCCCAGCACTTTAGGAGGCCGAGGTGGGCAGATCACCTGAGGTCAGGAGTTCGAGACCAGCTTTACCAACATAGTGAAACCTCATCTCTACTAAATATACAAAAAAAAAAAATTAGTCAGGTGTGGTGGTGGGCGCCTGTAATCCCAGCTACTGGGGAGAATCGCTTGAACCCGGGAAGCGGAGGTTGCAGTGAGCCGAGATCACACCACTGGACTCCAGCCTGGGCAACAGAGTGAGACTCCGTCTCAAAAAAAAAAAAAAAAATTAACACAGAAATGTATTTTTCTCTTCTGCAAAAATCTAGAGGTAAGTGGTCCAAGGTATCCAGTCCCAGGTACCTTTTCTTTTTGTTCTTCTCTGTGTGCCCAACATTCTCAAGGTTACCTCAAGGCCAAGACAGATGCTCAATCTCCAGCCATCCTGTCTGCAACCTACACAGCACAGCAGGAAAGATAAAAGGAGAAGGTCAGGCCGGGCGCAGGGGCTCACGCCTGTAATCCCAGCACTTTGGGAGTCCGAGGCGGGCGGATCATGAGGTCAGGAGTTCAAGACCAGCCTGGCCAACATGGTGAAATCCCATCTCTATTAAAAATACAAAAAATTAGCCAGGCATGGTGGTGTGCACCTATAATCCTAGCTACTCAGGAGGCTGAGGCAGGAGAATCGCTTGAACCCGGGAGGCATAGGTTGCAGTGAGCCAAGATCACGCCATTGCACTCCAGCCTGGGCAACAGAGCAAGACTGTCTTGAGAAAAAAAAAAAAGAGAGAGAAAAGCATACCCTCTTCCTTTAAGGGTACTTCACAGATGTTGCGCACACACTTCCTTTCACATTCCATTGGTCAGAAGTTGGAATATATGGACACAGCAAGCTGTAAAGAAAGCTTATAGCCCTGTGTCCAGCTTAGAATTGGGAGATTCATGATTAAATACAAAGGGAAGAATGGATATTGGGATAAAACTAGCAATTTTTGCCACAGGGATGGATCTAGGTTTATCCCCAGCTCTCAAACCCAGGGCACCATTTCCCCAAAATCCCCACATATTGCAATATGACTGACCAAGATTAGGAATCCAATATGAGGATTCCTTATATTGGAACATATGAAATATTGGAACTATGGAACATAATCAAATTAACTTTTAAGTAATAGAGAATATGGTTTGCAGGGCCAGGCACAGTGGCTCACACCTGTAATCCCAACACTTCAGGAGGCCAAGGCAGGAGGATCACTTGAGATCAGGAGTTTGAGACCAGCCTGGGCAGAAGGTCTCTACAAAATTTTTTTTAAAAAATTAGCCACGTGTGGTGGTGCACGTCTGTAGGCCCAGCTACTTGGGAGGCTAAGGTGGGAGGAATGCTTGAGCCCAGGAGGTTGAGATTACAGTGAGCCATGACTGCACCACTGCACGCCAGCCTGGGTGAAAGAGCAAGATCCTGTCTCAAAAAAAGAAAAAGAATAGGTTTGTGTTGTATTAGCAAGAACCACATTGTGTTTCAAAATAGTGGGGGTGGGTGCCTGGTTTGGGTGGAGTAATAGTGGGAGCCACTTTGGTGCAGAGTGGGTTTTGGTTAGAATTAAGATTCTGATGGAGGGCCCCCAAGACCAGCATGTTGTCACTAGCTCCATCTTCTGGCCTGAAATAGGAGCAGTCTTCACTGCTGGGGGTAAAGAATGGCATCAGTGTGACAGTGATACAAACATTCCTTGGAGTCCAGACCAGAGCCCACTCTAGTGTGCTGCAGCAGCTGAGTGAACTCATTTAGGAAAATACATAAGGATAGATCTTATTCTCCAATGCCCTTGTACAACCATACAACACCAGCTCAGGCCTGTCACTCAAGGTTTGACTTTATGATTTTCCTGATGAAGACTGTTTCATGGCCACAAGTATAGAGGGTTGGAATTTTTCTGTCAAATCTAAACAAATCCAGCCAGCCGGGCATGGTGGCTTACACCTGTAGTCCCAGCACTTTCAAGGCCAAGGCAGGTGGATCACTTGAGGTCAGGAGTTCGGGACCGGCCTCACCAACATGGTGAAACCCCATCTCTACTAAAAATACAAAAATTAGCCAGGCATGGTGGCGGGCACCTGTAATCCCAGCTACTTGGGAAGCTGAGGCAGGAGAATCACTTGAACCTGGGAGGCGGAGGTTGCAGTGAGCCGAGATCGCGCCATTGTACTCTAGCCTGGGTGACAGAGACTCCATCTCAAAAAAAATAAATAAAAATAAAAAACAAATTCACCCTTTTCACTCTGTCATTTATTTGTTTATCTCTTCATTGTCTTTGGCCCAACAAATCTATTTCTAAGAATTTATCTGGCCAGGCGCAGTGGCTCACGCCTGTAATCCCAGCACTTTGGGAGGCCAAGGGGAGCAGATAACGAGGTCAGGAGTTCGAGACCAGCCTGACCAACATGGTGGAACCTCATCTCTACTAAAAATACAAAAATTAGCCAGGCGTGGTGGCGGGCGCCTGTAACCCGGCTACTCAGGAGGCTGAGGCAGGAGAATTGCTTGAATCCACGAGGCGGAGGTTGCAGTGAGCTGAGATCAAGCCACTGTACTCCAGCCTGGGCAACAGAGCAAGACTCCATCTAAAAAAAAGAATTTATCCTATTGACCATTTTTGGTTTGGGTAAAAAAAGAAAAAAAAATAGAAATTATCCTACAGCTATACTTGCACATATGCAAAATGACAGGCACATACGGTTCATTGTAATAGCAAACACTTGGAAATGACCTAAATGTTTAACAGAGAACTAGTCAAATAACTATAGTACATTCATAGAAGTGAATATTATGCAACAGTAAAAAAGAAAGGGAAACTGTGTGGAATACATTCTGAAATATGTTGGTAAGTTTAAAAAAAATAAAACAGCAAAGAATGGGAGCCAAATTTGCCCCATTTGTATAAAAAAGGACTGGAGACTATATATACCTATTTGTTTATATTTGTATGGGATATTTCTGGAGGGAGACATGAAATGATAACATGGTTGCCTCCAAGGACAGAGAAACTGTGAGACAGGGTAAGGGGGAAAACATTATACTCTGTGCCCTTTAATACATCTATATTTTGAATCACAAAAGCAAATTTATGTATTTTTCCTCCTTTAGGAAATATATTCTTCCCTCTCTCCTGCCTTTATGAGGAAACTGATCATCAAAAGTTCCCACTCCCTACTTCTGCCACCCCACCAACGCCTTGGACTCCTCTCTTTGCTGAAGAGACCCAAGTCTCTTGACACCTCAGAGTGACTGTAAGCTACCAGTAAGACAAGTGGGAAGAGGCACGTTCATCAAACCTGTTACTAAACCAGCCTAGTCATAGCTCATCCCCATCTCTAAATGTGTCCACACAACCACATCTGCCTTTTCCACAAGCTTTTCACAAAGAAGGTGAGAGAGAAGGAAACCTTGGGAGGAGGACATTACTGGTTGTTCTGGCTGGTTTGAAAAGCACAAATAAACTTGGGATGTGGTTCCTTGCCATGTGTGATGATGTTGAGCTCCTTTTTGTAAGATGATATCAATATGTCAGCTCTGGGCATTTTTACCACCTCCCAATAAAGTGGAGATAGCATGAGAGAAAACAAAAGCCCAGAGAAAAAAGGAGACTTGGAATTGTCTTTCAGAGCAGAATCTTCTCTGGAATCCACGTCTATTGTTTATTTTTTGTCTTTTTTTTTTTTTCTGAGACAGAGTCTTGCTCTGTTGCCCAGGCTGGAGTGCAGTGGCATAATCTTGGCTCACTGCAACCTCCACCTCCTGAGTTCAAACAATTCTGCTTAAGACTCCCGAGTAACTGGGATTACAGGCGCCCACCACTACACCTGGCTGATTTTTGGTTTTTTGTTTGTTTGTTTGTTTTTGAGATGGAGTCTCGACTCTGTTTCCCAGGCTGGAGTGCAGTGGCGCAATCTTGGCTCACTGCAACCTCCCCGTCCCCGGTTCAAGTTATTCTCCTGCCTCAGCCGCCCGAGTAGCTGGGATTACAGGCGTGCATCACCACACCCAGCTAATTTTTGTATTTTTAGTAGAGACGGGGTTTCACCATGTTGGTCAGGCTGGTCTTGAACTCCTGACCTCAAGTGATCCACCCACCACGGCCTCCCAAAGTGCTGGGATTACAGGGTGGCTGAGCCACTGCACCCAGCCAATTTTTGTATTTTTATAGAGACGGGGTTTCACCATGTTGGCCCGGCTACTCTCAAACTCCTTAGCTCAAGTGATCCACCCGCCTCAGCCTCCGAAAGTGCTGGGATTACAGACATGAGCCACCACTCCCACCCAGCTACTTGGTTTTTTTCCTATGTGCTGAATCTCCAAAATGAGACAGAACCAGAAGCAAGGCCTTGGAGTCAGCACATTGAAGAGTTCCTCTTCAGGCCTCGGGTTAGTTAACAACCCATGTGTCCTCCACTACAACACCTCCCAGGTAGGGGCTGAGGAAATGCTCTGAGGAGGGCTCAAGTATGGATACAGGGCTCCCTGTTTCCCTTTCCTGTTGTCTGTACCTAGCACTCAGGTTACCTGCATATTAAGAGGCAGCAAAACATAGTGATTAACAGCATAACATCTGCAACCAGACAGCCTGGGAATAAATCTCAGTTCCCTGTCTACTGTGCTCTCTGGAGCAAGTTATTTGACCATTTATGCCTCAGTTTCCTCACCTTAGAAGGGATATACTCTATTCACTGTATCATTAGGTGATTAGGAAGATTAAATGATTTAACATGTGTAATGGTACTTGGAACAATGCCTGGCACATAATAACTGTTCAATAAGGGTAGCTGCTATTATTGCCTGATTTCTCTACAGGAGAAATTTTGAAAGACAGGCAACTGGCCGGGTGCAGTGACTCACGCCTGTAATCCCAGCACTTTGGGAGGCCGAGACGGGCAGATCACGAGGTCAGGAGTTTGAGACCAGCCTGGCCAACATGGTGAAACCTCATCTCTACTAAAAATACAAAAATTAGCCGGGCATGGTGGCATGCACCTGTAATCCCAGCTACTCGGGAGGCTGAGACAGGAGAATCGCTTGAACCCGGGAGGCGGAGGTTGCGGTGAGCCGAGTTCGCGCCACTGCATTCCAGTCTGGGCGACAGAGTGAGACTCCGTCTCAAAAAAAAAAAAAAAGAAAGAAAAAAGAAATCCCTGTTCAGAGAAGCCCTGGCTTGGTGGTAGCCTGCCTCTCCTCTGTAATGAACATGTTGCAGCACTGGAGTAAGACGCCCATCTCACATCACAAAAGAGAAACCAGGGGGCAAACAGGGATGTTAGTGGGCTCTAACTTACTCAAAAAAACATAGATCTTATACCAACTATTCATTTCCAGATTATCTGATCCAAGAGTAAAAAGAAGAAAACAGTTTTGTGTATGATGGATAACTGCATGGAATGAAAAGGGGAAATTTTAGGTTTAGGAGGAAAAAAAAACCCAAGTGAGATAAAGGCAATATAGTAGTGTCCTTAACGTCCCCCTACCCTTCACACAGAGTGCTAAAGGAGAAGGAACCACTAGGTGGCAGCATATGAGCAGGTGAACCAAAGAGAACCAACTGCCTCCAGTTTTAGGAGCCTTTGCACCAATCCCATCCCACAGGAAAGGACAATGGGCAATATTCTAAAGTGTTTAACAGAGGGAGCAAACACAAACCCTTCTATACTCCTCCTCTGCCACCCACCTCTCCCCCACTCCTCCATCCCCCGCCCATCCTTCCCTGGAGACCCAGGGACCCAAATCTGAAAAGCTGGGTGGCTAAGAGGCCAGAATATCATCGTGCCACCACTCTGTGGCTGAAAGACATCAGAAAAGGGGATACCAGAAGAGAAAGGGCCGGGATCTGGGACAGGATGAGGCTGAAAAAGGAAAAGGTCAGCTGGGTGTGGTGGCTCACGCCTGTAATCCCAGCACTTTGGGAGGCCAAGGTGGGTGGATCACGAGGTCAAGAAATCAAGACCATCCTGGCCAACATGATGAAACCCTGTCTCTACTAAAAATACAAAAATTGGCCAGGTGTGGTGGCGCATGCTTGTAATTCCAGCTACTAAGGAGGCTGAGGCACGAGAATCGCTTGAACCTGGGAGGCGGAGGTTGCAGTGAGCCAAGATCACACCACTGCACACCAGCCTGGCGACAGAGCAGGAAAAAAAGAAAAAAAAGAAAAGAAAAAGGTAACTTCTTCACTCCCTACAGAGTTCAATGCTCTCTAAATCATATGGCCATTGGCTTCCAGCATTTAAAATAAAATGTCCCTTCTATACCTGTTTTCCAAGAGGAAACAACCACTTGCCAAACTGCAAAGGTCTTTGGGTACCGCCACACACCCCACCGTAGGGACCACACTCAGATCTCTGGCCCTTCTAGCTGTGAAACTCAGCAGAAAAAGAAATTAGGTTGGTCCTAAAGTATATAAACAAATTACCTCATTGGAAATCTGGTCTGTAGTTCTGGCTGTCTCTGACATTGTTATATGCAAAAAAAAAAAAAAAAAAGCGCGGCAGGGGTTGGGTAGAGCATGTTTGATGTGTTGATGAGACAATCTACAGGCTGATGGACATTCTCTGCTAGGGGATAGTTCTAAAGGAGACTTTTTGGAAGCAGCAGATTCCTACAGCGTTGGAAACTAAACCTCACCCAGCAAAACTGCTCCACACCCAGTTAGCCCCCATCTTAGCCAACGGCCTCAGATGGCAACAGGCTAATTAGATTACCGCTCCTCTGTTTGGCTCTACTAACCAAATCCCCACCTCACTGCCTGCCACTAACTGGATAACTGGGGCATTAGACCGCTTAACTAACCACATTATATGTAGGACGGCTTCTTAATCACTACCAATTGTTCTGGCAAGTGAAATAGGAGAGCAGTGGAGATGAAAGGCTTTTTTCCTTGATTTTATGTAAAAAGAAAATTTAAAAGCTAAAATCCTAAATTTAAGAAGTAAATGTATAATCATTGACACAGAAAGTACTGACTCCCAGTCGATAATCTAACCTGGGGCTGGTACAGTTTGGCCTGAATTGTCCAAGCTGGTATCCAAGAATACTAAATGCTCCGAAAGCAACATTTCAGCTACATTTCATTAAAAATACGTTTTTCTAGTGTGTTTTCCCTGTCATCCACATAGCAAAATAGCATAGATATTGTTTTGCAATTACCTCAATATTAAATTTTTCCATATGATGGCCTGGTATATCTCTTAGAAATCTGTATTTAATTCAAAGCCAACTATATCTTTCTTGATGGTGAATAAAAAATGGGAAAGAGGTGAGAATTCCTATTAAGTCTCATTCCCTAAACCCGGGTTGATTTTGTTTTCAACTAGAGTAGTGTCAAAGGTGGGGTTGACAAGGTGCCCTCCCTCCTGTTTGATTTTTTTTTTTTTTGAGACCTACTCTCCCCTCTGTCACCCAGGCTGGAGTGCAGTGATGCGATCTCTGCCTCAGCCTCCTGAGTAGCTGGGATTACAGGTGCCCACCACCATGCCCGGCTAATTTTTGTATTTTTAGCAGAGACAGCGTTTCACCATCTTGGCCAGGCTGGTCTTGAACTCCTAACCTCGTGATCCACCTGCCTCAGCCTCCCAAAGTGCTGGGATTACAGGCATGAGCCACTGCGCCCAGCTGAGACAGATTTTTTTATCTAAACAGAATTATGTAAGGAATTAGCATTGATCTCAAGTTGCCATTAACCTTTTTAAGAATTTTAGCTTCCCTAGTTGCACCACCTTATTTATAACCAGCTAGTATTTGCAAATGATGAAACTGAGGATCTTAAAGGTTGTGACCACTGGTTCAAAATCACAAACTCTGCTGTGGAAGAGGAAATAAAATGAAAGCCCCTTGAAATTATCTGTCAGCTGCTTTGCTTATTGACTTACTCGAGTTCTGTTGCAGTCAGACATCTCCAGTGAGACATCTTCAAAATCCACATTTCATGCCAGTCCCTGGCATCACAATAAAGCAGTGGTGTCAATGCAAAGCGCAAGATAATGCACGTGGCTGGGGAGGAAGACCCCTGCCTTTAAAAACCAGTCTGAGAAAGATGGAGTTGAAGAGAAGCAAGATGAAAAAAAAAAGAAACAAAGTTGTGTTTTGTTTTTTTTTTTTTATGTCTTAACAAAACTCTCAGATGCCAGGGACAGTGGTGCTTTCATCTTTGGCAAAACAAAAACAAAAATAAAAACAAAAACCCCTCCCCGCAGGTCTCCCACCAGGAGTGGCTCTGGAAGGATAAATCTTGAATGGCGTTGATTTGTTAACTCCCAGAGCACCGGCAAAATCTGCAGGGCTGAGTTTTAAAAAAGCAGACCTCTACACAGAGGATTATCTCTGCGACACAGCCCAGTGACTCCAGCTCATTTTCTAGTTTGTGGATTACCATAGTCCCTTGCTTCTTCCCTTCCCTACTGCCCAGCTATTTCATTTCCCATTAGAACTTGCCGAGATTGGGTAGGGACTTTGAAATTTATAACTAAAGATTCTTCTTTTTCAAGGGATTTGAATTAGTCTCCCTTTTTCCCTATAAAAAACTAACTATTCAGGAAACATGCTGTTTTTCTCCTCTATATGAATTGATGACCATTCTTTCGGATTCCATTAATGATATATTTTAAGATTTAGCCCATGCTGTACAAAAATCTTTTATAAATATAATGGCCCCCAAAAATACTTCCGTGTCAGAGGAAACTGAAGTACAATTAACAGAGTGATCGTATAATTTATTCTCCAAAGGAAGACATTTTTGAGAGTGAAAGGGGAGTTAATGATGATGCCAAGACCGCAGGTGTAAACTGGGAAGTGTGGTCATGCTAAAAATAAGGCAAAATGAGGTGCCCAGTCACCTGGGGAGTGGATGGTAGAGAAAGATGACCTGGCTTTCCTGGTATGAGGCTTGGCAATGTCCCTTCTAATGAAGTCCTCTCCCCTGCAGGCCTAGTTTCTAGGCAGACCCTGCCAACTGGGCTTTCTTTTCCTGATGCCCAGGCATTCTGAGGGGCCTGGTGTCTTTGGCATCAAGCTGCCTGTGGGGCTGGCCAGCTGTCGGCGGCTGTGTGCATTCAGTTCCCTCGTGGGTTCCCATCACAGTCCACCACCCCTCCAACTGGCAAAGCGCCACTGAAGGAAGCATTTTTGTGGCACCGGGCAATAGTATGCCACTTCCCTGCCTCCCGTAACAGAAGTGTTCCAAGAGGCTTCTAGTGCTGGTCCTCAAAGAGGACATCTGGTTCCACTGTAGACACTTGCAGCCTGATGGTGAGCAGCTGGTCACCTTTTATCCTCCACATCCCATCATGGAACAGGAAGCAGGCTACAGACATTTCCCTTTTCCACACCATCAGACATGCCCGCATTGCTGTGCTGTGAGTCACCAAGGTGGCATATGCACACCACCAGCCCTCTGGACGTGTCATGAACTGTTCCACCTCCAGAGAAGCACGCAGCATCTGGAGATTGAAGTTCATTTCTTCAACATCTCCACATTTAGGGTACCAGAACTTGGAGCAGATTACTTCACTCTGTTAGTGCAGGGCTTCTCAACCTCAGCATTATTCATATTTTAGGCCAGATAATTCCATGTTGTTGGGAGCATTGTAGGATGTCCGGCCACACCCCTGGCCTCTACCCACTAAATGCCAGTGGCCTCCCCCTACCCTACCCCTGAGCTCTGACCACCAAAAATATTTCTAGGCAGTGCCTAATATCCCCTGGGGGCAAAATCTCCCCTGGTTGAGAATTGCTGTCTCAGGGCATTTGGGGTGTGTTTAGCACAAAGCAGAGAAACCACCCCTCATTCTAGAAGTTTGTGCTTGAGCCGCTGGATTATGTGATAGAGATTACAGCTAGGTTGAGAAGATACAGCATTTAAATGCCACAAATCCCGCAGGGCTTAAAAACCCTTTGCTCTACCTTTAAGATTTGCTCACCTGCACTGCTGCAGATTTGCACTACGATGTGTTGGAATGAGCAAGACCATATTCGCCGGTTCAGAGACGCATTACAGTCTCTCTCGTGTCTTGAGCCCTGTGATTACTATCCCTTGTTTCCCTTTTCTGTGACAGAAATCTAAAAGAGGAGTGCTTGAAACTCCCACTTAGGACCAAGTCAAATGCTGTGTACTTCAGATCAAGAAACACCACGCAGAAGGCAGCTGCAGATGAAAGGGTTCGGCTCTGGTTCCCTCCTCAGTGCACTGGTGGGACTGGGGCCGGGCAACATGCTTTTCGTATGTTGACTACAGTCCCCAGGCAGAAGTGGGGAGATTCAGGACAGATTGCCATCTCTCGGCTGTGATTTTCCTGGTCCTCCGTGTTCATTTACTGGAAAGTTTTCTCATACAAAATGACTCCCAGGAGCTCTGTCCAGAACCAAAAAATAAATAAAACAAAAACGCAACCAAAAACCACTGCCTTCTCAGGAGGCCAAAATAGGAAGTGAGGTCCAGTGTCATTGTTGTCTCTGCCAGCACAGGCCAGACAGGAGGGCCATCACTGGTCCTGGTGCCAGCCAGAGCCCTGTCGACGCTGCCTCCCATGGGCCCTGAATCTGAGGCACCTGGAAGGGTTATTAGCAGGATTGGAACTCATCCCTCTGCTGGGACCAGATCATAATTACAGTAATTTTCTAACAGAGCTCGGCAGTAGGACTGTTTAATCAGCATCTGACTCCCTTGTGCTCCCAGCCCTCATTACTCAAGGAGAGGAGTGGGATGCCTCTTAAAGAGACAGTGCCCGCCTTTCAGCGTTTTGAACAGATGTGCCCTAATTGGTAGAATATATCTAAGTCTCACAGCTTATAGCAGGCAGGCTGCATTGCCTCCAACAAACTGCCTCAGGCATTCACTGTTCTGGGCCTTCTGCGGGAAGGATCCGGGTCAGGCTGCTGGTGGGGTGGGCTAGGCTTCCCACACCAACACAGCCACCAGGGAAAGGGACACACAGAGCTAGAGCACTTACAGGATTCGAACAGGCTGGCCCTTTCTGAACTGACGGTATCAAAGAAAATGTGCTTGGCTGAAGGACAGGAAGGAGAGACTTGACAGCCATGCAGCCATGCATGAAAAGAAATTTTGGCTGGTGGCTTCCCATAATCCAGAGATTCCAGAAGCATCTTGTGTTCCTGCCCTTCCAGGGGAAAAAAACCTTAGAGACTTCCCAGTAGTCTCCTAATTCTCACACCCTAGCTTTGTCACCTCTGTTTATTATCTGTGACCCTTTGGCAACCATGAAAGTACCCCTTGGCTTTTTTTCCTTCTCCTTTGCTTGTGAAAATAGACCAGATCTCCCCTGAACAAAAGAAAAGTAAAATTATTCACTCTGCTTATTCAGTCAGGAGGACTCTGTCTCCTAGGAAGTGTAGTTCT
Source organism: Homo sapiens (assembly GCF_000001405.40). Lineage (NCBI taxonomy): Eukaryota > Metazoa > Chordata > Mammalia > Primates > Hominidae > Homo > Homo sapiens. The sequence goes on along the minus strand of NC_000017.11, from coordinate 48,125,565 downwards.
TGTTAACATTTTGAGCATAAGTTGTCTGTTTATTATATCTTGAGATTTGAGGTCTCCAGCTTTCCAACTCCAAATCCAGTCATGGCTAAAATAGAAGTGTTTTTCCCCCCTAAGAAGTCGTATCTCTAATAAGGCCAGACTCAGTGGCTAACACCTGTAATCTCAGCACTTTGGGAGGCCAAGGAGGGCAGATCACCCGAGGTCAGGAGTTTGAGACCAGCCTGGCCAACATGGTGAAATCCCATCTCTAATAAAAATACAAAAATTAGCCAGGCGTGGTGGTGGACACCTGTAGTCCCAGATACTCAGGAGGCTGAGGCAGGAGAATCACTTGAACCCGGGAGGTGAAGTTTGCAGAGAGCCGAGATCATGCTACTGCACTCTACCCTGGGCAACAGAGCAAAACTCCATCTCAAAAAAAAAAAAAAAAAAAAGTCATTATCACCTCCCAAGCAAAGCTAACAGAGAGGATAGGAGGTACCTTGGACTCGGTAGTATGGATGTAAGGCCTTAGCATGAGAAAACTAAGAACTGTGAAAGAGCTCTGATTTCTGAGAACAATTCTGAAAAGCCCTGCAGGGTTGTTGTTTTTTTCCTTGAATGTAGTGGTAGACTTTTTCTTTTTTGGAGTGGTAGGGGACTTGTCTCACAGAGCTTGGAAAGTATCTCTCATGTGAACATATTCCACCATCATCTAAAAACATGCTTTTTAAAAAACCACACTTGGCTGGGCACAGTGGCTCACGCCTGTAATCCGAGCACTTTGGGAGGCTGAGGCAGGCGGATCACTTGAGGTCAGGAGTTCAAGACCAGCCTGGCCAACATGGTGAAACCCCGTCTCTACTAAAAATACAAAAATTGCCAAACGTGGTGGCTCACGCCTATAATCCCAGCACTTTGGGAGACTGAGGCAGGTGGAACATGAGGTCAAGAGATCAAGACCATCCTGGCTAACATGGTGAAACCCCGTCTCTACTAAAAATACAAAAATTAGCTGGACGTGGTGGCACGTGCCTGTAGTCCTAGCTACTCGGGAGGCTGAGGCAGGAGAATCACTTGAACCCGGGAGGTGTAGGTTGCAGTGAGCCAAGATGGCGCCACTGCACTCCAGCCTGGCAACAGAGCAAGAGTCCATGTCAAAAAATAATCATAATAAATAAAATAAAAATAAAAATACAAAAATTAGCTGGGTGTGGTAGCAGGCCCCTGTAATCCCAGCTACTCTAGAGGCTGAGGCAGGAGAACTGCTTGACCCCGGGAGGTGGAGGTTGCAGTGAGCCGAGATTGTACCACTGCACTCCAGCCTGGGCAGCAAAGGCTGCCCATCTCAAAACAAACAAACAAACAAATAAAAAAACACACACAAAAACATTGAGCTCAGTTTCCTCAACGAAAAAAGGAGCATATACCTAACCTACCTTCCTTGCTAGGCACTGAGAAGGGCCAATAAAATTATGTTTATAAAACTTAGTATTTTAATGTAAGAAAACACCCCCCTCACACACAAACACATTTCCTCCCACCAAACAACCTCCACAAGCTTGGAATCAGTCATCCTGGGTAATGGATGACTAGATGTGGGCCATGGAGGTATCTGACAGAAGAAAGGTGACTACATCAGGACAGAACTTGACTCAAAACTAAATTCTAAACAAAATATTTTTATCCTACAAAACAGCTCAATGAGCCACTCCCCACAGCTAATCCTCCATCTTTCATAGAGGTCATCTGGCCACAGTGGCTAGACCTGGGCACACGCAGGGACAGAGCAAAACAGAAGAGGGGCCTATGGCACTATCTGGATGGAGAGGAAAACTCATGTGCGCTATTTTTCGGATGACCCTAGGCTTGTATTATTAGAAAAGTGCTTTCCTTCCTAGGACTTCTCCTTCCAAGGCCTATACTCAGTTAAGAGAGAGACTGAAAAGAGATGGTGCCTGGCCTTAGATTAACTGAGGTGCTGTTGTATGCATGCTGCTAATGGATCATTAAAAAAGCTGGGAGTCAGAAAAATCACATCCATGTCTTTGAATGGCTCCTGCTGTCCCAGCAGCCTAGCCGGCTGGCAGAACTAGCTGCTGAGCACCAACTCCAGGAAGAAAAGGAGCAAACAGAAGAAGGCCAACCCAGCTTGCTGTTTTTTTGGCTGAGTAGGGAATTGACACAGACCACCTCCAGCTCCTGTCTGGAAGTTTCGAGATCAGAGAGCTTCAGGCACAGCTGGGTTCACAGCTGCACCATTTGGAGCATTGGGCTCATTAATATTCATGAGCCATCCCCACCAATCGGCAGAGCGGATGCCATTAGCTTAGCATCTGTCGGGTTTTTGTGAGGGTTGCACATGGAGTTTTTTTCCCCTTTTAAATGAACTTCTTCTGACATTTTGGATTTGCCTCTGTAGGTTTTCTATCCTCGCCTTGCTCTGCTGCATCATATAAAGGAGAGACCCAGGGGAGGCGGGCAGGAAAGAGGGATGAATACCAGCCAGGGCTTTGCATCTGCCTGTTGACAAACTTTATTTCTCTTTCAGCACCTGGCACCTCAGACAGACTGCGAGGATGGAAGCAGCATCAGGTAAATTATACCTAACAAGGTTCACGCCCAGAACTGTGAGAAGAGTTGGATCCCAGCTCTTTGGAAGACAATCCTTCCTCCAGTGGTGAACTTGAGCTGCACACACAATGCAGGAGGGCTACAGAGCACAGTTCTGAAGCATTATTTCCACACTGATAAATTCATGATTTATGAAAGGAAATACTGCCAGCGCTCACTCCCTCCTTCTCTGCTACAGCTTGTTAGACACAAATTGCAACAACAATCTTAAATACTTGCATTTTATTTCAGGCCAAAGCCCCTCCACTCTGAACTAAATGCCATGACAGTCCCACAGCATAGGCTGGTAGTAAAAGAGCCCACAGACAGGGTAGGATAGCCAGAGGAGGGAGGAGTGGGCGACAGGGAGGGGAAGGATCACACACACAAACCTAAGAGTAGAGCAATGCAGAATGCCTGTGGCACTCGGCTCCTACCAGCTCTGGCTCTCAGTGGAGATGAAGAATGGCAGCAGGAGGACAGAATGCCTCATTGTCTGAAGGAGAGCGTGTTGTTTCTCATCTCCATCCCCAGAGCCCTCTCTTTCAGGCAGGCAGAAACAAAGCCCTTGCACCCCACTGCACTGCGCAACACAGCAGAGACGCTGGTGGCGGAAGCCCTGGAGGCAGGGAGCTGCTACCAAAGGAGAAGAAAAGGATTCCAAAAAGAAAGGAGCCCACTCTAACCCTGCGGAAAAGATGGCCACATGTCTGCTTTATAACCAGAAGAGACAGTAACAGCCCGGGACAGCCTTTCCCAAAATAAAGGCCCCTGGGCTGTTACTGTTCCCTCTGGCTGTGGCCAGCCACTTCTCTCTCATGCATGACCATGAGCTGTTGTGCAGGTCTCAGGCTCCACTCAGCCAGGCTAAGGTCTCGGGACATAAATCCCCAGCAGCAGGAGTCACAGCACCAGTTCCATTCAGTGGTATCAGTGAAAGAAAAAGCAAGGAGGTGGGAAAGTAAATATTCATCCCCCTGTCCATGCAAGGAGGTAGGCAAGAGGCCAGCCTCCCACAAACAAAGTGCTCTAGGGCTACAGCAAAAACTGAAGCCAGCCAAGATGGGGATACAACATAACCACTCCCAGTGGGATGATGTTCAATATGGCAGCTTAGAATTTGCCACATACGGGTCCCCAAAACTGGTCACCTGAGGAGATACTCCTGGTCCTACATACAAATGACCTGCAGAAACTCAGATCCCAGGAGAGTAATATAGGGTTCTGTTCAAAAGCAACAGCCCCTGTGTCTTATGTTTAACTTACAAACATCTGCACAGTATTTGTTCCCATGGAAGAGGCATAAGGGGCTGTAATGACTGACCTCTGTCAATCAGCCCAAGCAGAGGTGACTAGAAGACACTAAGCAGCCCAGCCTCCCACATACCTGCCCTGTGCCCAGTCCCACCTGAGTAAGTCTCCTGGCCCGCATCTTCTCTGACCATCTCAGAGCAGAACCCAGAGCTCACTTTTCCAAAACTGTTTCTAACTGACCAGGGTCCAAAGGCACAGCATGATCTCCTCCCACAGCCCTCCTCACAGACTGAAGAGTGGAGGTTCCCTCTTTGGGTCTTCCAAAATCACAGCATAATGGTGAGGAGAGGGGTGGGAGAGTGGGACTTTCCAAGGAAGGAACCTCAGAGTCAACAACTGGAGCCCACACTTCTAAATGGTCCTTTTCTTCACTGGGAGGCGGTGAGGGAGAGCTCCTCCTACCCGATCTTGGAAGAAAGCAGCAACTGGAAAAGAGTGGGAAAGGGAAAAGAAAGGTATGAACAGCTTGGGTAACATAGGGAGACTCCGTCTCTACAAAAAAATAAATTAGCCAGGGATGTTGGCATGTGCCTGTAATCCCAACTACTCAGGAAGCTGAGGCCAGAAGATTGCTTGAGCCTTGGAGGTCAAGGCTGCAGTGAGTTATGATTACACCACTGCACTTCAGCCTGGGCAACAGAGTGAGACTCTGTCTCAGAAAAAAAAGTATGAACATATAAACAAAAATGAACAGAAAGGGAAGTCTCTCTGAGCCTGTTCTGACTCAGGAGGCTGCCCGATTAAAAAAAAAAAAAATGGCTGGGCATGGTGAATTATTTGAGTCTGGGAGGTGGAGACCAACCTGGGTAACCTGGTGAAACCCTATCTCAATTTAAAAAAATAAAAAAGAGGCCGGGCGTGGTGGCTCACGCCTGTAATCCCAGCACTTTGGGAGACCGAGGTGGGCAGATCACGAGGTCAGGAGATGGAGGCCATCCTGGCTAACACGGTGAAACCCCGTCTCTACTAAAAATACAAAAAAAATTAGCCGGGCATGGTGGCGGGCGCCTGTAGTCCCAGCTACTCGGGAGGCTGAGGCAGGAGAATGGTGTGAACCCGGGAGGCAGAGCTTGCAGTGAGCTGAATCGTGCCACTGCACTCCAGCCTGGGCAACAGAGCAAGACTCCATCTCAAAAAAAAAAAAAAAAAAAAGGCCAGGTGCGATGGCTCACACCTGTAATCCCAGCACTTTGGGAGGCTGAAACGGGTGGATCACCTGAGGTCAGGAGTTCGAGACCAGCCTGGCCAACATGGTGAAACCCTATCTCTACTAAAAATACAAAAACTTAGCTGGGTGTGGTGGCAGGTGCCTGTAATCCCAGCTACTAGGGAGGCTGAGGCAGAAGAGTTGCTTGAACCTGGGAGGCGGAGGTTGCAGTGAGCCGAGATCATGCCACTGCATTCCAGCCTGGGTAACAGAGCAAGACTCTGTCTCAAAAAAAAAAAAAAAAAAAAAAACAGATAAATGCAAGTGAATGGATAAACAAAATGTGGTATATAGCACCATATAAATGGACTGCTATTTAGCCATAAAAATGGGGGAAAAAAAGAGAAAAAAACAGTAATGAAGTAATGACACATGATAAAATACAAATGAACCTTGAAAACATTGTTAGATGAAAAAAGCCAGTTACAAAAGACCACAAATCATATGACTCCATTTGTGTAAATGTCCAAAATAGACAAATGCATAGACAGAGAAAGTAGACTAGTGGTTGCCAGGAGCTGGGGGGGAGGGAAGGACAGGGGAGTCACTACTCATGGGTACAGGGTTTCTTTCGGGGTGATGAAAATGTTCTAAAATTGACTGTGGTGGCTGACAGTTATACAACCCTGTGACTATATTAAAAACTACTGAACTGTATCTAAAAAGGTAAACTTTATGGCAGGTAAATTGTGTGTCAATAAAGCTATTAGGCCAGGCTTATGCCAATAATCCTAGCACTTTGGGAGGCAGAGGCAGGCGGATCACCTAAGGTCAGGTGTTTGAGACCAGCCTGGCCAACATGGCAAAATCCCGTCTCTACTAAAAATACAAAACTTAGCCAGGTGTGGTGGCACTTGCCTGTAATCCCAGCTACTCAGGAAGCTGAGGCAGGAGAATCGCTTGAACCCAGGAGGCAGAGGTTGCAGTGAGCCGAGATCACGCCACTGCACTCCAGCCTGGGTGAAAGAGTGAGCGTCCGTCTCCACACAAAAAAATAAATAAATAAAAAGGGAGGGAGGAGGAATAAAAAACCGAATAAATGAGAAAGCTTTCCCTTCTTTCTCCCCAGGTTTCAGTAGGAGCCCCTGCTACCCAGTGGTGGGTTAACACAGACCCACCTGGATAGAAAGCCACGCACCCAAAGAACAAGAAAGGTTGTGAAAGGCTACCAATGCTATGACATTACTTTCCCTAACAAATGGACACCTCTCTGGTCCAGGTTATAGCAAACCTAGCCCCTGCTATCTCAAAGAGTACTCCAGTTACCTCTTAGGCTGGTCTCCTTTAGCCAGGTGAGAAGAGCTCTGCCTCTCTTCCTGGGCCCAGCCACAGTTTGACATAGCATATCGAAGAATGGCATCAGACACAGTCATGGTACTTCGGCCCTGGACACAGGCTTCTATCTCAGGCACCGAGAGCTGGCTTTGCAGGAATAGGTGCAACTGGCTGTCTGACAGGAGAACCACACTCTGCAGGACCCTGGGAAAAACACAGGTAGCACAACACAGAGCATCACCCTGAGGAACTGCTCTCCATTCCCCATCCTCTTAAGAACTTCTGGCTACCTGAGCAGGGAGCTCCATCCTGCCTGGCACATTCCTCCACCCCTGCCTCCACCCTTGGTGGCCAGCACCAGCCGTTCTGTCCACTCACTTTTCAAGGAAGTGCTGCAGACCTTGTCGTCGCTTCTCAATGAACTCATCTGAGGTGCCGAAGAAGGTTGACTTCCCAGGAAGTTCAGGAACAGGCCTGTGCAGCCACATGATATAACACCCATGATAAGTGTAACATCTAAGATAGTCATTCCGGCCTCTGATCAAGGAAATCCCTTAAAAAGAGGTCTAATCAATACAAATAGCTTTTTTTTTTTTTTTTGAGATGGAGTCTCGCTCTGTCGCCCAGGCTGAAGTGCAGTGGTACAATCTCGGCTTACTGCAACGTCTGCCTCCCGGGTTCAAGCAGTTCTCTGCCTCAGCCTCCCGAGTAACTGGGATTACAGGTGCAGGCCACCACACCCAGCTAATTTTTTGTATTTTTAATAGAGACGGGGTTTCACCATGTTAGCCAGGATGGTCTTGATCTGACCTCGTGATCCCTGCCTGCCTCGGCCTCCCAAAGTGCTGGGATTACAGGCATGAGCCACCGTGCCTGGCCCCAATTAGCTTTTAATAAGGGGTGGTGCTAACATTGACTGCATGCCAAGTGTCAAGCCAGACTGTGCTAAATGTTTTATAAACATGATTTCATTTAGTCATCCCAAAACCCCGTGAGAAAGATATTAACTCACTTCAGATCAGAGAAGTTAAGTAAATGTCTCACTGTTACACAGCTAATAAGCAGCAAAGCTCATATCAGAACCAGATCTATGACTATAAAACCCATGCTGATACATTATTTTTGTCTGTTTGATTTTAGAGACAAGGTATTGCTTTCCAAGCTGCTCTCTCCAGGTTGCCCAGGCTGGAGTGCAGTAGCATAAACGTGAGCATAGCTCGCCGCAGCCTCAAATTCCTGGGATGAAGTAATCCTCCTGCATCAGCCTCCCAGAATAACTATGACTACCGGTACGTGCCACTGTGTGCACCTAATTTATTTATTTGTTTACTTATGTATCTGTAGAGACAGTATTGCTCTGTTGCCCAGGCTGGTCTCAAACTCCTGGCCTCAAGTGATCCTCCTTCCTTAACCTCCCAAAGCACTGGAATTACATGTGTGAGCCACCAAGCCGAGCCACACTATGTTGTTTATGAAACCCACTCCCAGCTTGGTGCCATGGTTCATGCCTGTAATCCTGGCACTTTGGGAGGCCGAGGTGGGCAGATCACTTGAGCTCAGGAGTTCAAGACCAGCTTGGGCGACATGGTGAAACCTCATCTCTCCTTTAAAAAAAAAAAACAGCCAGGCGCGGTGGCTCACGCCTGTAATCCCAGCACTTTGGGAGGCCGAGGTGGGTGGGGATCACGAGGTCAGAAAATCGAGACCATCCTGGCTAACACGGTGAAACCCCATCTCAACTAAAAAATAGAAAAAACTAGCCGGGCGTGGTGGCGGGCGCCTGTAGTCCCAACTACTCGGGAGGCTGAGGCAGGAGAATGGCGTGAACCTGGGAGGCGGAGCTTGCAGTGAGCTGAGATTGTACCCTTGCACTCCAGCCTGGGCAACAAGAGTGAAACTCTGTCTCAAAAAAAAAAAAATTAAATAAATAAATAAATAAAAATAAAAATACATAATTAGCCAGGCGTGGTGGCACATGCCTGTAATCCCCAGCTACTCGGGAGGCTGAGGCAGGGGAATCACTTAAACCTGGGAGGCGGAGGTTGTGGTGAGCTGAGATCAAGCCATTGCACTCCAGCCTGGGCAACAAGAGCGAAACTCCATCTCAAAAAAAAACAAAAAAGAGAAAAGAAAAGAAAATTAGTAGGGCATGGTGGTGCACCCCTGTAATCCCAGCTACTCAGGAGGCTGAGGAAGGAGAATCACTTGAACCTGTGAGGTGGAGGTTGCAGTGAGCCGAGATCGTGCCACTGCAAACACTCCAGCCTGCAGGATGAGACAGGAGCAAGACTCCATCTCAAAAAAAAAAAAAAGGCCGGGCGCAGTGGCTCACACCTGTAATAGCAGCACTTTGGGAGGACAAGGCACGTAGATCATGAGGTCAGGAGTTGGAGACCAGCCTGACCAAAATGGTGAAACCCCGACTCTACTAAAAATACAAAAATTAGCCAGCCGTGGTGGTGTACACCTGTAATCCCAACTGCTCAGGAGGCTGAGGCAGAAGAATCCCTTGAACCTGGGAGTTGCAGTGAGCCGAGATTGCACCACTACACTCTAGCCTGGGTGACAGAGCGAGACTCCGCCTCAGAAAAAAAAAAAAAAAGGAAAAAAGAAATCCACACCCACCATCAACTATTATTTTTAAAAAGGAAGAAACTGGAGTGGGACGCAGTGGCTCACAACTGTAATCCCAACAACTTGGGAGACTGAGGTAGGAGGATCACTTGAGGCCAAGGAGTTTGAGAGACCAGCCTGGGCAACAAAGTGAGACCTTTCTCTACAAAAAATACAAAAATTAGCTGAGCATGGTGGCACATACCTGTAGTCCCAGCTACTTGGGAGGCTGAAGTGGGAGAATCCCTTGACCCCAGGCGTTTGAGGCTGCTGAGGCTCACATTTTTTTGTAGTTGTTGTTGTTGTTTTTGAGACAGTCTCGCTCTGTCACCAGGCTGGAGTGCAGTGGCACAATCTCAGCTCACTGCAACCTCTGCCTCCCAGGTTCAAGCAATTCTCTGCCTCAGCCTCCTGAGTAGCTGGGATTACAGGCACCTGCCACCACACCCGGCTAGTTTTTTGTATTTTTAGTAGAGATGGGGTTTCACCATCTTGGCCAGGCTGGTCTTGAACTCCTGACCTCATGATCCACCTGCCTCAGCCTCCCAAAGTGCTGGGCGTGAGCCACCGCGACCGGCAGAGGCTCACTTAGCTAAGCTCTGTCTCAAAAAAAAAAAAAAAGAAAGAAAAAGAAAAACAAAACAAAAAAAAAACAGGCCAGGCTGGAGGATATAGGATTTGTCAGGGGAACGGAGTTTCACCTGGTTTATTAGGGCCTGCCCCAGGACAACAGCCTCATCAGTTCCACATGTTAACTAACTGACTTGGTCACTCAACAGGCCACCTATCACCACTGAGTATTCAGTGACCATCCTACAGCAAAATCACTGTTGTAATTCTCTCCACTTTCAGGACTTATTTGGCAGGTGGGTGTGAGGAGTAAATAATAACTGCCTTCCCTAGGCTCTCATATGTCTCTGGAAAAGGACCTCTGTATTAAAAGAGAAAAAAAAATCATTATTTTTACATGTGAAGTGGATGGAAACACTAGCTGTCAAATAAGTCCAGGTGCTTAAAATTTTCTGATAAGCAGATTTAAACTGTTTAAAATGTTAGCTGTATATTTGTTGAGCTCTAGACATATATGCATATAAAGAAAGAAAAATATTTTTGATGTTAGTATGGCTTTGTTAGGTAAAAATACTCGAAATTAGATTCTACTTTTTTCACTGACTTGAAAATATGATTTAAGAACATATATCTGGCCGGGTGCGGTGGCTCACGCCTGTAATCCCAGCACTTTGGGAGGCCGAGGCAGGCGGATTGCCTGAGGTTGGGAGTTCGAGACCAGCCTGGCTAGCATGGTAAAACCCTGTCACTACTAAAAACACAAAAATTAGCTGGGCGTGGGGGTAGGGACCTGTAATCCCAGCTACTCGGGAAGCTGAGGCAGGAGAATCGCTTGAACCCAGGAGGCTGAGGTAGCAGTGAGCCGAGATCACACCATTGTACTCCAGCCTGGGCAACAGAGTGAGACTCCGTCTCAAAAAAAAAAAAAAAGAAAAAAGGCGGAGCATGGTGGCTCACGTCTGTAATCCCAGCACTTTGGAAGGCCAAGGCAGGTGGATCATGAGGTCAGTTTAAGACCAGCCTGCCCAGGCTGGGCGCAGTGGCTCACACCTGTAATCCTAGCACTTTGGGAGGTGGAGATGGGTGGATTGCCTGAGCTCAGGAGTTCGACACCAGCCTGGGCAACGTGGTAAAACCTCATCTCTACTAAAATACAAAATAGTCAGCCAGGCGTGGTGGCAGGCGCCTGTAATCCCAGCTACTCGGAAGGCTGAGGCACAAAAATTGCTTGAGCCTGGGAGGTGGAGGGTGTCACTGCACTCCAGCCTGGGCAACAAAGTGAAACTCTGTCTCAAAAAAAAAAAAAAAAAGCAAAAAAAACCCAGCCTGGCCAAGATGGTAAAACCCCACCTCCACTAAAAATACAAAACATTAGCTGGGCATGGTGGTAACCCCCTGTAATTCCAGCTACTCGGGAGGCTGAGGCAGAGAACTGCTTGAACCCGGGAGGCGGAGGTTGCAGTAAGCCGAGATTGTACCACTGCACTCCAGCCTGGGCGACAGAGCGAGACTCCATCTCAAAAAAAAAAAAAAAAAAGAAGGCCTGGGCATGGTGCCTCACGCCTATAATCCTAGCAACTTTGGGAGGCTAAGGCAGGCAGATCACCTGAGGTTAGGAGTTCGAGACCAGCCTGACCAACATGGAGAAACCCCATCTCTACTAAAAATACAAAATTAGCCAGGAGTGGTGGCGCATGCCTGTAATCCCAGCTACTCAGGAGGCTGAGGCAGGAGAACCTCTTGAACCCGGGAGGTGGAGGTTGCGGTGAGCCGAGATCGCACCCAGGCAACAAGAGCAAAACTCAGTCTCAAAAAAAAAAAAAAAAGAACATATTTCCCAGCCAGGAGTGGTGGCTCACGCCTGTAATCCCAGCACTTTGGGAGGCCGAGACAGGTGGATCACTTGAGTCCAGGAATTTGAGACCAGCCTGGCCAACATGGACAAACCCCACCTCTACTAAAAATACAAAAATTAGGCAGGCATAGTGGTGGGCACCTGTAATCCCAGCTACTTGGGAGGCTGAGGCAGAGAGAATTGCTTCAACCTGGGAGGTGGAGGTTGCAGTGAGATGAGATCATGCCACTGCACTCCAGCCTGGGCAACAGAGCAAGACTCCATCTCAAAAAAAAAAAAAACATTATTTCCCAGCCGGGCCTGGTGGCTCACACCTGTAATCCCAACAATTTGGAAGGCCAAGGCAGGAGGACTGCTTGAGCCCAGGAGTTCAAGACCACCCTAGTAACATAGGGAGACCTCCATCTCTACAAAAATATTTTCCAAATTAGGCAAGTGTGGTGGCATGCACCTGTAGTCCCAGCCACTTGGGAAGCTGAGGTGGGAGGATTGCTAGAACCCAGGAGGTTGAGGCTGCAGTGAGCCATGATTGCACCACTGCACTCCAGCCTCTGTAACAAAGCAAGACCCTACATCAAAAAAAAAAAAAAACCCAAAAAACAAAAAAAGAAACAACATATTTCCCAATTTCCTTAGTGCCTGGTATGTTGCAAGTTCTCTTCATTGTCAACTCCAGTTCCTACATAAGCACCCAAAAAGCCAGTCACAGACCCAAGAAGGAAGCAAGAGCAAACTCACACCAAACCAGCATTTCTCTGTAGCTGCTTTCTCAGCCACACGAACTCACGGTAGCGGCGCCGCACACAGGAAGTCTTGGCAGTAAAGGCTTTGCTGTTGGTCTATACATGAAAGCACATGAAGTACATGAAAAGGGTTTAGTGGAAATAGACAAGTTCACATGAGCTCCCTATCATTGCTTTCACTGAGGAGCCATGCCATCAGGCCACAGACCTGATCAGGTCCCCAACTAGAACAAGGTGCCACCAGGCAGCCCAAAAGCAACTCAAAGACATACCTCAAGCTCTCTTTCCTTTCCTCCCTCCCTTTCTTCTAAGTCTTCTGTCTCGGGTCCACCAGAAACACTCAAAAATAGGTTACACCTTGACCTGCACGGTGGCTCACGCCTATAATCCCAGCACTTTGGGAGGCCAAGGAGGGTGGATCACTTGAGGTCAGGAGTTCAAAACCAGCCTGGCCAACATGATGAAACCCCATCTCTACTAAAAAAATATATATTCAAAATTAGCTGGGCGTGGTGGCACATGCCTGTAATCCCAGCTACTTGGGAGGCTGAGGCAGGAGAATCACTTGAACCTGGGAGGCGGAGGTTGCAGTAAGCCGAGATCACACCACTGCACTCCAGCCTGGGCAACAAGAGCAAAACTCCATCTCAAAAAAAAAAAAAAAAGGTTACACCTCAGTACAAGCCCCTCAGCCCTGCAGAGCGCTGACCCCAATACAGAAGCTTGATGTACTCACATGGAGGAATATCTTATAATCCACATAAGAGTTCCAGGAGCCCTCATTCTGCACTCGGGGGTCCTGAACACGCACTGTAATCACCTCCTGTAGGTAAGAAAAGCTCCCTCAGCTTCAGCTACACAGCAAGGCAGCTCTGACAACACAGGTCGCTAGATTTTTCCACCCAACACCAACTTTCATTCACTCAACACCAACTTTCATTTATTCAATTCAACTTTCATTCACTCAATTCAGTCACTCAATTCAACAAATTTTTACTGAGCCCCACTACGTGTCAGACACTGTTATAGGCACTGGGGATAAAGCATGAACAAGAGACGTAAGTGCCTGCCCCCATGAAGCTTACATTCCAGTATATTCCAATCAAAGGAAAATTTAGTCAGAATGGAACCCCAATTTCCTAGGAATGCCTCTGCTGTTGATTTCTTTCTCCTGACTTTATTCTGAGCTCATCAGAACCACCAAAGTAATACTGCAGGTAATAATTAATGATTTGCATCTCTATGTCCTCTTTCCTCCTAAATCCCCTCTCCAACTTTTACCCACCTGTTCTCTGCAGACCATACTCTTACCTCCTGTTCTTGGTTCTCCGACATCCTACACCAAAAGCCCATTGGAAGGAAACATCTGATGAGGGACAGAGGATACAGGATCAAGGTTAGTATGCCTCTGTTCTTATCATTCTTTACCAGGGAAAACCCCGAAAGTTTTTAATAGACCCCCGTGGGGAAACCCAGGCAACACTTTTTGTTCTTGTAAAACTTAAGAGGAAGCAAAAAAAAAATCCCCATTAGCTCAATGCCAAGCTAAAAGGCCCTGGGGGATTTGCCTCCCTTCTCAGACCAGGCCCTCAACTAGGCCACCTCTCCCCAAAGCGTGTTGGAGTCTACAGAAAGTTTGTCACACGCAGCCAGAACAGGCGGGTCCAGATGTAAAACTTTTGCCTTGAAGAATGCAGGCACAACAGGGTCTGGTGAGCACTCACATCACAGCATTTTTTTTTTTTTTTTGAGGCAGAGTTTCACTCTTGTTGCCCAGGCTGGAGTGCAATGGCACAATCTCGGCTCACCACAACCTCTGCCTCCTGGGTTCAAGCAATTCTCCTGCCTCAGTCTCCCGAGTAGCTGGGATTACAGGCACGTGCCACCACACCCAGCTAATTTTGTATTTTTAGTAGAGACGGGGTTTCTCCATGTTGGTCAGGCTGGTCTCGAACTCCTGACCTCAAGTGATCCGCCCTCCTCGGCCTCCCAAAGTGCTGGGATTACAGGCGGGAGCCACCACGCCCTGCCAGATCACAGCTTTGAAAGCGAGCCTAACAGCACCCCCTCCCGGCTGTTTAGAGACAACCAAGTCCCCACAAACACCAATGCTTCTGCATTTCTCCCAGTCTCACTAACAACCAGTCAACTCCCCACAGGTGAATCATAGAGCTAGAGCACTCCAAGGAGCACCTGAGTGGGTTGCCCAGTTGGGACCTTCCCCTTATCCAATCCATACTCTGGAACCCGAGCCAATTGTTCTAATTACTTCCTCTCCTGACATGCCATCCGGTTTGTACTTCTGTCCAAGCACCCCACAGCTGCACAGGTCGACTCAGGATGCGTTCTGCTCCTTTGTAAAGATTCATTAAAGCCTCAGCCCCTGATTTTCCCCAATGTGGCAGTTCACGTGTATAGCGACATCACCCACTCCGACAAGGGGACCATGAAGGCTGCAGCACGGGGTTACTCAAGTCCAATGGGGCCCATGATGTCACCTTCTGTTAAAATACAGCACTAATCTTGTTACTTCTACAACTATTCCAACAGCATCCACCCTGGCTGCCGCCTGCACCCCCTTCTCTCTTAAGAGAGAAACAATAAGGTTTAATTTCCCTTTCCAATTTACCTTGAAATGAAAACTGACTTCAGCCAATATGTACTGCCAACAAATGATCCAGGCTGGCTCCTGGGAAAACAAGACTATCTCTAATATCTCTAAGCCCTCCCTCTCCTCCCCCATCCCGTACTCATTCACATACCCACTCATTTTTACAGTCCCACAATTAATTTTAAACACATTCTCTTATTAGTTCTGCCTTACCATTAGAACACTGTGTAATGAGTTTCCTTCTATTTTATGTTTTGCTAACACAAGGCTAACATTTCAAAAGAAGGGGAACTCATTTACACCATGAAATTAGCAAAGCAAACCACTTTTTCAATTCTCTCCAATATACCAGAAGTATCTCCACAGACAAACACTGCATGCAGAAACGAAGCTGCATGGTCCATGACAAAATTGGGCTACACAATATTGAGCAAACCTAAGGTTTTGTGATTTCAGTACCATCTTAAATGGTATTCTTGCTGACAATCTGATTTTTATCTGATGCAGCCACCACCTCCAAGGGGTCCTGAACTGAAAGGTGGGAAATTCCAATTCCATAACAACCCATATATAACATTCCAGATATCAGTCAAATGTCTGAGACCAAAAAGAGCAGACCTATTTGCTGTGAACAATGAACCTCCTTAAGTTTTTTTTTTCTCTTCTCTTTGCAGGCATTGGATAAACTGCCAGCACAGGAGCAGAGAGTTAAATATTCTGAAGTGTCTTTAAACAAAACTAACAACGGGAAAGACGATGACAAGGAAATCACAGTCATCCACTCAGTGGAGCTCATACATCTTTTGTGCCTTGAAAAAGGTTTGTCAAATTCAGGACCATAATTTAGGAACGAAATGATCATCATACCCTTGGTCTCAGGAAGTTTGTATAGGGCCCTGCACTACCTTCATGAAGAAATTCTTCTTTCCTTTGGGGCCAATACCACTCAGAAACAAATAGCTATGAACTGGCTTTTTAAAAACCTCCAGACACCAGCCTGGCCAACGTAATGAAACTCCGTCTCTACTAAAAATAAAAAAAATTAGCGGGCGTGGTGGCAGGCGCCTGTAATCCCACCTACTTGGGAGACTGAAGCAGGAGAATCACTTGAACCCGGGAGGCGGAGGTTGCAGTGAGCCGAGATCGCGCCACTGCACTCCAGCCCAGGCGACAGTGCAAGACTCCGTTGTCAAAAAAAAAAACACAAAAAACAAAAAACCTCCAGATGGGCCGGGTGCGGTGGCTCACGTCTGTAATCCCAGCACTTTGGGAGGCCGAGGCGGGCGAAATACGAGGTCAAGAGATTGAGACCATCCTGGCCAACATGGTGAAACCCCTTCTTTACTAAAAATACAAAAATTAGCTGGGCATGGTGGCGCGTGCCTGTAGTCCCAGCTACTCGGGAGACTGAGGCAGGAGAATCAGTTGAACCCAGGAGGTGGAGGTTGCAGTGAGCCGAGATCGCACCACTGCACTCCATCCTGGCAACAGAGTGAGACTCCGTCTCAAAAAAAAAAAAAGAAAGTTTCAGTTGTAACTGTCCTTAAAAACACTGGGCTGGCCCAGTGGCTCACGCCTGTAATCCAACACTTTGGGAAGCTGAGGCGGGCAGAACACTTGAGGCCAGGAGTTCAAGAACAGCCTGGCCAACAAGGCAAAACTTCGTCTCTACTAAAAATACAAAAATTAGCTGGGCATGGTGGCACAGGCCTGTACTCCCAGCTACTCGGGAGACTGAGGCATGAGAATTGCTGGAACCCAGGAGGCGGAGTCTGCAATGAGCCAAGATCACACCACTGCACTCCAGCCTGGGCGACAGAGCAAGACCCTGTCTCAAAAAACAAACAAATAAACACTGGAACAAATACAAAAACCTAGACACCAAGTAGTAATTTCTAGCAACCACTCTTCTCCATTAGATTCCTCCCCACAGATACCACTCCTCAAAAGAAAAAGCTCAGTTCTGCCTCTGGAGAAGCAGCAGGAAGTTCCTAACTTTAGTTCTCTGATCTGGGAGATGGATCTGTACTTCATCCAAATAAGGCTAGAGTCAGTGACCATAGCTAGTTACATAACTTAGTGTTAACTACATTTTCTGGGCCCTTTCAACCACATCTGAAGTTTCCTTTACTTTCTTCACCTGTACCAGCACCAGTAGCTCTGGTGAGTACCCGATTGTTTGCTGTTTACAAAGTAGATTCATCGTAAAGCTTTCTAATATAGTAACAATGCAAGGCTTTAGTCTCACCATTTATTTTCTCTCCCATTTAAACAACTTCAAGAGACAGGTTAAGAAACAAATCAGGTGATAAAAGTAGATGGAACTACTGAGACTACCGTCCCTTCTTACTCAATCTTGAGCCTTTAGTGCCAGATGGCAGAAAGCAATTCAAAAAGCTCTCGCTCCAATTATAAATATCACAGGTACTAAACAGAGGAAGCTCCCAGTTCTGACCAAGCTCTGTGTGATCTCAACCAAGCAGTTATGCTCCATCTTTTTGTCCATCTCTAATCGTACGCCTTTCACTTGGAAGGTAAGTAACAAAGGCGACCACAATCTACCGCCAAGTCTCCCGTGTCCACGTAAAATACTCGCCATTGCCCCCAGTCTTAGCCATTTAAGTAAATGTCCCCAGAGTCTTTTACTACGGCCACTCTTTCTCCATTCTCAACAAACTAGGACCGAAAGGTCCACATGGTCCTTCTTTCTTTCCGATTAAGCTTGGGGGGTAGGAAGTGAAAGATACACTTTGAAGGTAAACTGAAAAGCCGGGTTTCCTTTCTTGGATCCCGAGCAAGCCCTTGCCTTAATCCCGGGTGGTAAGAGAGTCCCTCCCTAGGATGTAAAGCGATGCCACCATCCCGAGTGCCACTACTGACGCTCAAGCCCACGCCCCCTCACAGGAGAGCAGCACCCACTCCCCAGGCCCCGCCCACGCCCTCTCACCTGAGAACAGCACCAGCTCCCCACAGCGACACCGCCCGCGCCCCACCATATAGCCAGATCACGGCTTCTCCTTCCGGGTGAGTCGCCGGTGCCCCGGTGCACGACGGGAGACGCCCCAATCCCGGGTGCCCGGGACGCCCCGCCCCTACAGGCCCGGGCTCTGAGTGGGATTCCCGCTTCCGAATAGCGCGGCTCCGCTGGCCAAGGCCCCGGACTGGAGTCGGGATCCCCCCTCCACTCACTTGGGACGCCGGAGAGTGCACGCAGGTGCCGGGTGAGGGACGGCGAATGGATATCCAATCCGGGGCCGCGTTCCGCCCACTGTCAGGGGAAGCCAATCAGCGGCCAGGGGGCGTCAGCGACGGGCAGCCAGTGGGTCCCGGGAGCAGAGGGGTGTAAGGGGGTTGTTACTCTTGTTCTCGCTATGCGAGGGATAGTCTGCAGTGTGGGAGGTTCGGGGCTTTAGGAAGCCCACATCCCTGGATCCTCACTAAGTCCCGAGAGCCACCATTTGAACCTCGTAGTTTGCTGTTCCCCAGCGGAGCTATCAAGGGGACTCCGATTCAGATTCGTAAAGCCACGGACCGATTGTCAGAGTGAAAGTCAGACTCGAGAGGGTCCGGCGACTCAGATTGCTCACACCGAAACAAACTCGAAGCAATATCATGCAGCTAGGGAGCAAGAGAAAGCCGTTCAATGTGTTGGTGGTCTTTTAACAACTTATTTAAAGATAATTTCAGCAAGCCTAGCGCGGTGGCTCACGCCTGTAATCCCAATACTATTAGGGAGGCCGAGGCGGGAGGATCGCTTGAGGCCAGGCTTGAGACACGCCCTACCAACTTAGGGAGACCCTCGCCTCTGCAAAATATTTTAAAAATTAGCCGGGCATGGTGACACGCGCCTGTAGTCCCAGCTACTCGGGAGGCTGAGACAGGAGGATGGCTTGAACCCAGGGGTTCGAGGCTGCAGTGAGCCCTGATCACTGCAGAGCAAGACCCTGTCTGAAAAAAAGAGAGAGAGCTAAAAGGAAGAAAAGAGAGGAAAGAAAAGAAAGGGGCCGGGCACAGTGCCTCACGCCTGTACTTCCACCACTTTGGGAGGCGGAGGCGGGTGGATTACCTGAGGTCAGGAGTTCGAGACCAGCCTGGCCAACATGGTGAAACCCCGTCTCCACTAAAACTACAAAAATTAGCTGGGCGTGGTCATGGGCACCTGTAATCCCAGCTATTCAGGAGACTGACACAGGGGGATTGCTTGAACCCAGGAATCGGAGGTTGCAGTGAGACAAGATCGCGCCATTACACTCCAGCCTGGGAGACTCCATTGTAAAAAATAAATAAATAAAAAGGAAGATAGCTGGGTTCTCCTATGTGCTTCCCCTTTCTCTGTTGTGCTCTGTTGTTTTGGTACATTAAGAAAATTCAGCCTTATATAGCTATGTAGTTGAGAAAAGGAAGAGTATTTTTAGCCTTCTCAAACAATTCTGAATACTCTTCTTTGATACTACCCAAATTCAACAAATGGTAACTTTTCTTTGCTTTTTTGAGACAGGGTCCTGCTCTGTTGCCCAGGCTGGAGTGCAGTGGCAGGATCACAGCTCACTGCAGCCTCAACCTCCAGGGCTCAAGCCATCCTCCCTCCTCAGCCCTTGGAGCTGCTGGGACCGCAGGCGTGTGCCACCATACTCGGTTAATTTTTAAAATTTTTATACAGATAATTTTTTAAGTTTTTAAAATTTTATACAACATAGAGTCTCCCTATGTTGCCGAGACTGGAAGTGTTTATTTATTTATTTTTAAGTACACACCACCTTGGAGATGGAGTCATTTCTTAAAGGTTAAGTGTGATAGGGAGTCAAGCCATTTAGAAAATACTGGTACAGAGTTATGCAGATCAGCCAATGTTGATGCATTTATTCAATGTAAAAAAAAATCACATTTATTAAATTCATCACTGATCTCATCAGGAAAGTCTCAAGAAACTGCCTACTGACTAGCTGGGATTACAGGCACGCGCCACCATGCCCAGCTAATTTTTGTATTTTTAGTAGAGATGGGGTTTCACCATATTGGTCAGGCTGGTCTTGAACTCCTGACCTCATGATCCACCCGCCTTGGCTTCCCAAAGTGCTGGGATTACAGGCATGAGCCACCGTGCCTAGCCTCACATGTCTTAATATTAAGACAGCCTCAACCTCCTGGGCTCAAGTGATCCTGCCACCCAAGCCTCCTAAGTAGCTGGGACCACAGGTGTGTGCCACCATGCCCGACTAATTTTTTATTATTATTTGTATAGATGAGGTCTCACTATATTGCCCAGCCTGGTCTTGAACTCTCAAGAGATTGAGACCATCTGGTGGTGTGTGATTGTAATTCCAGCTAGTCGGGAGACTGAGGCAGGAGAATCACTTAAACCCGGGAGGCAGAGGCTTCAGTGAGCCAAGATCATGCCACTGCACTCCAGCCTAGTGACAAAGTGAGACTCCGTCTCAAAAAAAAAAAAAAAAAAAAAAAAGAATGGTATACAGGACAAAGGCAGTGATGGCCCTCTCCACCTTGAAACACACATATAAGAGCCAGAATTTACTAACACAATAAATATGATACATCTGAAACTGTTGCCCTGTAATGTACAGTTTAGGAAAATGATGACATTTAAATAGAGACCTCAGGGAACATGATGGCTGAACTTCAATATTAGAAGAAACATATGAAAGAAAGATAAGGCTTACTGTGTGGCTACAGATGCCAGAATTAGGGAAAATAGGTGGCATCTCCATGGGGAGCAGAATTCAGCTCAATACAAGGAATTAGGGATGGCAGCATTTTATGTAGACAGAAATATGGTTTGGGTGTTAGATAGAAATGAGATTAAATCAATCAAGAATTTATGGCCAGGCATGGTGGCTCACATCTGTAATCCCAGCACTTTGGGAGGCCGAGACAGGTCAAGGCCTGCTTGAGCCCAGGCGTTCCAGACCAACCTGGACAATGTGACAAGACTCTGGCTCTACAAAATAGAAAAAATTAGCTGAGTAAGGTGTGGCTCAAAGCTACTCAGGAGGCTGAGGGGGAAAGATGACTTGGGCCTGGGAAGTTGAGACTACAGTGAACCGTGATTGCACTACTGCACTTCAGCCTAGGAGAGAGAGTAACATCCTGTCTCAAAAAAAAAAAAAAAAAAAAATAGGCCGGGTGTGGTGGCTCACACTTGTAACGCCAGCACTTTGGGAGGCTGCAACGGGGGGATCACAAGGTTAGGAGTTCAAGACCAGCCTGAAAACACAGTGAAAACCCGTCTCTACTAAAAATACAAAAATTAAGGCTGGGTGCGGTGGCTCACACCTGTAATCCCAGCACTTTGGTAGGCGGAGGCAGTGGGACCACTTGAGGTCAGGAGTTCAAGACCAGTCTGGCCAACATGGTGAAACCTCCCTCTACTAAAATTACAAAAATTAGCCAGGCACGGTGGCGGGCGACTGTAAACCCAACTACTCAGGAGACTGAGGCTGGATAATTGCTTGAACCCGGGAGGTGGAGGTTGCAGTGAGCCGAGATCTCACCACTGCCCTCCAGCCTGGGTGACAGAGCAAGACTCAGTCTCGGGAAACAAAAAAATTAGCTGGGCATGGTGGTGGGCACCTGTAATCCCAGCTACTCGGGAGACCAAGGCTGGATAATTGCTTGAACCTGGGAGGTGGAGGTTGCAGTGAACCGGATCATGCCACTGCACTCCAGCCTGGGTGACAGAGTTAGACTCCGTCTCAAAAAATAATAATAATAATAAATAAATAAAATAAAATAAAAAATAAACCAGAAGTGGTGGCTCACGCCTGTAATCTTAGCACTTTGGGCGGGTGGATGCCTGAACTCAGGAGTTCAAGACCAGCCTGGGCAACATGGTGAAACCCCCGTCTCTACTAAAATACAAAAAAATTAGCTGTGCATGGTGGCATGCACTTGTAATCCCAGTTACTTGGGAGGCTGAGGCAGGAGAAGTGCATGAACCCGGGAGGCGGAGGTTGCAGTGAGCCGTGATCTTGCCATTGCACTCCAGCCTGGGCGACAGTGCAAGACTCCACCTCAGGGAAAAAAAACAAAAAAAGCACTCATTAATAGTAGCTAATTATCATTACAACTAATTTTCTCATCATCATCAGTCAAAAACAGTACACTACAGGAGGAAGTGAGGAGATGCTTGCTTCTCACTTGCTTCTTCCTAGAAACCCAGCCCAAATGTTTCAGGAAGAATTGCTCTCTTTGTGTCCGGAGTTGATTCCTTCCGGTGGGTTTGTGGTCTCCCTGACTTAAACAATGAAGCCGCGGACCTTCATGGTGTTAAAAACAGCTCTTAAAGCTGGCAGGGACCCAAAGAGTGAGCAGCAGCAAGATTTGTTGTGAAGAGCGAAAGAACGCGAAAGAACAAGGCTTCCATAGCGTGGAAACCGACCTGAGCAGGTTGCTGCTGCGGGCTAACAGGAATGGGTGGGGGGCAGGGGGCCAGCTTTTACACCCTTGTTTGTCCCTGCCCATTTGCTATTTCTGTCCTATCAGAGTGCCCTTTTTTCAATCCTCCCTGTGATTGGCTACTTTTAGATTCCTGCATTTTACAGAGCGCTGATTGGTGCATTTTGCAGAGTGCTGATTGGTGCATTTTACAATCCTCTTGCTAGCTACAGAGGGCTGATTGGTGTGTTTTTACAGAGTGCTGATTGGTATATTTTACAATCCCCTTGCTAGGTATAGAGCGCTGATTGGTGCATTTCACAATCCTCTTGTAAGACAGAAAAGTTCTCCAAGTCCCCACTCGACCCAGGAAGTCCAGCTGGCTTCACCTCTCATCTTCTCTGTGCTTTCTTGAAGCCCTTTTAACTAAACTCTATTATGATATTGCTGGGCTGGGTTTTTCTTACATGACAGTTCTCCAGAGCCGTGAACAGTGCCTGCATCAGCAAAACTGTCTTATAAATGCAAACTCCTGCCCTGAACAGTGCCTGCATCAGCAAAACTGTCTTATAAATGCAAACTCTTGCCTTTTGGGGTAGAGTGCAATAGAGTTTCCCTCTTCCTCCTGATTAGAAGGATACTTTAAAATAAAAAAATAAAACTTTAGTTATATTGTGGCTTAAAAACATGTTTTTTTCCTAATTGTGTGTTTCCTTGGGATGATTGGGTGAAAGGTGCTGACGGAGATTAATGACACTGAAAAAGGTGAGCACAACTTACAATGAAAAAGAGGACATTTTTGTGGCGCAGCCAGTGAAAAGGGGGAAATTCAGGAAGCTATGAGAGGCCTATGGGGGGACCTAACCTACTCTAGGGAATCAGGGAAGACCTCAAAGGGGAAGTAATCTTAACACTGAACAGTATTTTTTTTTTTAGACGAAGTTTCGCTCTTGTTGCCCAGGCTGGAGTGCAATGGCGCGATCTCGGCTCACTGTAACCTCCACCTCCTGGGTTCAAGCGATTCTCCTCCCTCAGCCTCCCGAGTAGCTGGCACTACAGGCGCCCGCCACGACGCCCAGCTAATTTTTGTATTTTAGTAGAGATGGGGTTTCACCATGTTGGCCAGGCTGGTCTTGAAACCCTGACCTCAAGTGATCCACCCACCTCCGCCTCCCCAAGTGTTGGGATTATAGGCTTGAGCCACCGTGCCGGCGTGAGTAGGAATTTTACAGAGATTTGAGGAGGCAGAGATTGAGGACTAAGAAATCATTGGAAATTTGAGGCAGCGGCGATATGATAAAGTTCTGGTGAAGAATCTAAGATTCAAAAATTTTGAGGATGTGAATTACAGAACTGTCCAGAAGTGGTTGATTTTTTGGGGGCCAAGCATCAGGGGGCTCGCTTATAAAAATCATATGTTCTAATTTTTTTTTTTTTTTTTTTTTGAGATGGAGTCTCGCTCCATCGCCCAGGCTGGATCGCAGTGGCTGGATCTCGGCTCACTGCAAGCTCCGCCTCCCAAGTTCAAGCAATTCTTGTCTCAGCCTCCTGAGTAGCTGGGACTACAGGCACCTGCCACCACGCTCGGCTAATTTTTGCATTTTTAGTAGAGACAGGGTTTCACCTTGTTGGTAAGACTGGTCTCGAACCCCTGACCTCAGGTGATCCACCCGCCTCGGCCTCCCAAAGTGCTGGGATGACAGGCGTGAGCGACTGCCCCTGGCCCATATGTTCTAATATTCTAGGTTACAACGCTCTACGCTGCAATCTCTCCACCGTTACAGTTTAAAAACTATAAGTCCCTACCACCCTCGCCTACTGTGCGTGCGCGGCGCGCGGCGCTTCGGGCCTTGTAGTCTTGGACAGACCCCCGAGGCCCATGGTGCCGTGCGGCGGGTCGTTGCGCCTGCGCGGTGCGAGCGGCGGGCAGCGCAGACTGCGAGGCTCTTTTGTTCGGCTGAGGGGAGGGCCGTTGGCCGGGGCCTGCGGTACGCCGCTTCAGTGAGGGACGCCACTGCGGCCACCCGGCTTGCTGCCTTCCTGGGCGCCACTCCCCCAGGCGACCCGACGCGACGCGCCAGCAGCGCAGCACCGATTCCTCTCGGGCTCTTGGGCGCTGCTCTGAGGTGAGGAGCCCGCTGGAGGCGGGAGAGCTGGGGGAGGGGGCGCGGCGGCGGCGGCGGCGGGAGCCCTGCGTGAGGGAACGCGCTTTCGAGGCGGAGGTTAGGAGCGGGGAGCGCGCCCGGGTCCAGCGTCCTGCTTCTCCGCTTCCCGCGCTGAGCTCTTCGCCTGTCGCTGAGGCGTCGGTGCCAGCTGCGTGAAGGATGGAGAGGGCGGGGCGCGAATCCTGAGCCAGAGACTGAGTGCTTGGGGGTGGGCCGAGCACTTGGGGGCCGCTCTTCGGGGCCCGGGTGGTCTGGAACAATGTTGCTTGGCTGGGCGGCTGCGGGATAGGGCGGAAGGGGACAGGCTTGAGGCTTGGATAGGCGTGAGGAGGCGCATACGACCGCACAACCCGAGGTTTGTAACTGTATTCGGAAGACGCCGGGTCCGGCTGGGACTGCCAGAGGAACCTGGCTTTGCAGGACTACGGAGGAGTAACGTCGAGTGAATTGGAAGAGGGCCCAGGGCCGCACAAGGTGTGCTGATTGGAGGAGGAGATGTGTGGAATAAATTGGGAAAGGGGACACGGAGGGGGAGGGGCAGGCGTTTGCTGGGCCTGACTCTGGAAGGGGAGGAGCTGTTAGGATAAGTAGGGCGGAGATCCCGAGAATATTTCTATAAGGTATGTAAGAAAAAAGGGGAAAGCAGGCCGCCCTTGCATCCTGATGGGTCCTTACAGTGGGGAGGCTGTAAGAATAATGTGCGAAGAAAGGATGGAATACGCTTTTTTCAGTTTTCCAGGTTTCCTACTACCTTCACTCCATGATTCCTTTGGGGAGTTAAAAAAGTCCAAGTGCAGTTCTTGCTTTGATTCAAAATTAGTTCCGTACGTTTTTGTGTGGGATCGTAACTGGTCTCACAAAGGTGATGAAATTGTAAAAATATGTAGATGAGTTAATAGTTGAGGAACGGCGTGAGGTAGTGAGAGATTGTGAGATCGTGTGAGGTGCGAGAAATTGGGAGACATAGGAAAATTATGTGAGATTGTGAGGTAATATTTGTTTCGTGGGCCCTTCTGTTTTTAGCCAGCTTTTCCTTGTTGGAAAATTTGAATAGAGTGAGCTATATTTTACCTCTTTTTTTTTTTTTTTTTGAGAAGAGTCTTCCTCTGTTGCCCAGGCTGGAGTGCAGTGGTGCGATCTTGGCTCACTGCAACCTCCACCTCCCGGATTCATGCGATTCTCTTGCCTCAGCCTCCCGACTAGCTGGGATTACAGGCACACGCCACCACGCCCGGCTAATTTTTGTATTTTTAGTAGAGACGGGGTTTCACCGTACTGGTCACGCTGGTCTCGAACTCCTGACCTCGTGATCCTCCCGCGTCGGCCTCCCAAAGTGCTGGGATTATAGGCGTGAGCCACTGCGCCTGGCCATATTTTACCTCTTTTTCAAAGTTTCAAATGAGGGTTTTTCATAAATTGGTGTTACATTTAGACGTGTTGGTTTAACGCAATTGAGGTGGAATTTACAAAAAGTTCAGCTATAATCAGTTATATACTAGAACCCCTAGCCCAGGGTAAAGTAGCCTCCTCAATTGTGTTAAGAGTCACATCAGCAGTTTGGAAAGATTGTGAAAGGTCCAAGGCTTTGGAATAGATTCAGGAATACAATGGGGAAATTAATGCCGGTGTTCCTCCCTAGGTGCCTTATAGACTTTTATATGAAAGTGGTGTGATTGAAAAGCACTTGTATTGAAACCGGTGGCACCTTAATGAAGCTTCACGGGAGTGGAGGACCTGAAGTCGTTTACGGTTTTCCCTGTGGTGATATTTTTCTTCAATGGCTGCTGTATCCTAAATTGTTTCTCATTAAAAAAATAAATAGTAGGGTCGGGCGCAGTGGCTCAAGCCTGTCATCCCAGCACTTTGGGAGTCTGAGGTGGGCGGATCATGAGGTCAAGAGATCGAGACCATCCTGGCCAACCAACATGGTGAAACCCTGTCTCTACTAAAAATACAAAATTAGCTGGGCCTAGTGGCGCATGCCTGTAGTCCCAGCTACTCGGGAGGCTGAGGCAGGAGAATCGCTTGAACCCGGGAGGCAGAGGTTGCAGTGAGCCGAGATCTGCACCACTGCACTCCAGCCCGGGCAACAGAGCGAGACTCTGTCTCAAAAAAAAGAAAAGATAGATGATAGGTAGATAGATGGTGTGTGAAATAAATAGTTTTGAATGTAAATAGAAGCCTAGTGGTAAGTAAGTTACCCTGGTCTTCTGCATTTCTGAATACAGGATACCTATAACTTACAAACTATACCTCTAAAGAAAGATAGCACTCATTCTTGTGCCCATTTTAAGGACTAGGAAAATGTTTCTCTTTGTTGTTCACACCATTTGAAAATAATTCATTAAATTTTGGCATCCTCTAGTGGTTTATCTAGCAAAACCTCCCTTTTTTAAAAAAAAATCCTATCTGCAGTGGTGTAAGAGATTTTGCATTAGATTTGGTAGATTTTCACTTCATAGGTTCTTTCCACGAAGAGTTTCTGGTGTAGAAGGCTAATTGCTAGTTTATGGGCTCCCATAAAATGGAGCCATACTGGCCCCATCTCTACTAAAAATACAAAATTAGCTGGGCGTGGTGGTGCACACCTGTAATCCCAGCTACTTGGGAGGCTGAGGCAGGAGAATCGTTTGAACCCGGGAGGCAGAGGTTGCCATGAGCCGAGATCGCGCTATTGCACTCCAGCCTGGGCAACAAGAGCGAAACTCTGTCTCAAAAAAAGAAAAATGAAAAAATGGGGACGCACCTCTTGTTCATTAGTGCCTGGCACATAGTAGGCCGTTCAGATTGTTGATGAATGAATGATGAATAGGGGAGCTTTGAGATCCATTCTGAGAACTCAGCCAAATTAATGTGCATAGTAGTTTGCTTGTCCTGTGTCTGTGACATTTGGCAGAGTTAAGCTGTTGCTTTGCCATGTTTGTCTTAGCCTCAGTTAGTTTCTTTTTGTTTGTTTGTTTGTTTGTTTTTTGTTTTTTTAAGACAGAGTGTCGCTCTGTTGCCAGGCTGGAGTGCAGTGGTGGCATCATGGCTCACTGAAGCCTCAACCTCCTGGACACAAGCAGTCCTCCCACCACAGCCTCTTGAGTAGCTAGGACTACAGTCTCATGCCACCATGCATGGCTTCTTTTTTGTGGGGACAGTCTCTGTTGCCCAGAATGGTTAGCTTCAGTTTTGTACTCACTCTGGTACTAAATATAGAAAAGGTATACAGGCTGTGCAACTGGCCGTTTTAAATACCTCAGGCCTCAGATTCTGGGTTTTGTCAGCAAGCAAATAGCTTGAATATATCTGTTTTAAAAGAATCTTGAAAAATCTTCTGTGTCCTTTGTATTGACCTGAGCAATAATTTACCAGTAGCAATGTCTGTTGAAAAATTGAATAGCCTTTCCAAGGTTATTTGGAGAAGTTACTCAGATATGGACAAAATTTAGATCTTGTCAATATTTGCATAGAATAACTTGTATTAAATCTTTCCTGCCTTTAGCATTTATACTTTGATGACCAGAAGGGGGCAACCTAATTTGTCTGTGAAATTGTGCCTTTTAAAATAATAGTTGACACTTTGAGTGCGTAACAGAACTATGGTATTAATTTTTTTTTTTTTTTTTTGAGACAGAGTCTCGCTCTGTCGCCAAAGCTGGAGTGCAGTGGCGCGATCTCAGCTCACTGCAACCTCCGCCTCCCAGGTTCAAGCGATCCTCCTGCTTCAGCCTCCGGAGTAGCTGGGACTACCAGGGGGCCCCGACAACGCCCGGCTAATTTTTGTATTTTTAGTAGAGATGGGGGTCTTGCCATGTTGGCCAGGCTGGTGTTGAACTCCTGACCTCGGGTGATCTACCCTCCTCGGCCACCCAAAGTGTTGGGATTACAGGTGTGAGCCACTGCGCCCAGCCTATAGTATTAATTTTTAACTGACAAGAATGGTGTATCCTTATGGGGTACAATGTGGTGGCGTTTTTTTTTCTTTTTTTGAGACGGAGTTTCGCTCTTGTTGCCCAGGCTGGAGTGCAGTGGCGCAATCTCAGCTTACTGCAACCTCCGCCTCCTCGGTTCAAGTGATTCTCCTGCCTCAGGCCTCCTAAGTAGCTGGAATTACAGGCGCCTGCCACCACGCCTGGCTAATTTTTTGTATTTTTTTAGTAGAGATGGGGTTTCATCATGTTGGCCAGGTTGGTCTTCAACTCCTGACCTCAGGTGATCCACCCTCCTTGGCCTCCAAAGTGCAGAGATTACAGGCGTGAGCCACCACGCCCAACTTGTGGTGGGGGTTTTTGAACTTTTATTTTTCTCACATAAATAGAGGCAGGGACTCACTATGTTGCCCAGGCTAGTTTCGAACTCCTGGCCTCAAGTAATCTTCCCACCTCACCCTCCCAAAGTACTGGGATTACAGACATGAGCCACTGCACCTGGCCCACTGTGGTGGTTTTTGTTTTTCTTTTCTTTTTTTAGACAAGTCTTGCTCTGTCACCCAGGCTGGAGTGCAGTGGTGCACTCCACTCAGCTCACTGCAGCTTCCACCTCCCGGGTTCAAGTGATTCTCCTGCCTCAGCCTCCTGAGGAGCTAGGAATACAGGTGCACACCACCATGCCCAGCTAACTTTTTTTGTATTTTTAGTAGAGATGAGGTCTCACCATGTTGGCCAGGCTGGTCTTGAAATCCTGACCTCAAGTGATCCACCCACCTCAGCCTCTCAAAGTGCTGGGATTGCAGGTGTGAGCCACCATGCCTGGCCACTGTGGTGTTCTGATACGTTTCCAATGTAGTCATAATTCTGGTCTAGCTTTCTAACCACTTTTATTTTATCTTAAATTCACCTTTGAAAGATAGCTTGAGGTATCTCTGTGTCCATACTAACATTTGTAGACTCTTGTGGCCTCTCAACCCAAAAATCTGTGTCAAAATATCCATGTCAACATACTCAAGGGGTTTTCCAAGTTTCAGAACACATCTCAGATAAAATTCAAAATGTATTCGCACACCAGCATTCTAGCCTTTGATCCTCTGGAATTCAAGGGCTGGTGTTCCTTTAAAAATGAAACTCCTGACTGGGCGTGATGGCTCACGCCTATAATACCAGCACTATGGGAGGCCTAGATGGGTGGATCACCTCAGGTGGGAACTGAAGACCAGCCTGACCAACATGGAGAAACTCCGTCTCTACTAAAAATACACAATTAGCTGGGCGTGGTGGTGCATGCCTGTAATCCCAGTGACTCGGGAGGCTGAGGCAGGAGAACTGCTTGAACCTGGGAGGCGGAGGTTGCAGGGAGCCGAGATTGCACCACTGTACTCTAGCCTGGGTGAAAGAGCAAGACTCCATCTCCAAAAAAAAAAGAAACTCCTGCTAACTGTGTGTGGCATAAGTTCTTGTTTTCTGCTTAGTCAAGTTTTCCATCTGGAAAGCATTTGCTTCGCAAACAGCCACAGCTTACAGACTACAAGCAGTTTAGAAACAAGACTACCACCTGAATATACTACACATGCCTTCACCTGCCTTTTGATGATTGGTATGTAGTTGCTGATTCTTTCAACAAAAGGTACTTCTTTCTTGTTTTCTCTTTAGGGCTTATGGATCAGATTTATCTTGCTGCTTATTCCCTTAAAAGCTTATAGCTTTGGAATTCTATTCCCTGATGCTTCTGAGACAGTCATCCTCTTTTTTTTGAGATGGAGTTTTGTTCTTGTTGCCCAGGCTGGAGTGCAATGGTGCAATCTCAGCTCACCGCAACCTCAGCCTCCCAGGTAGCTGGGATTACAGGCGTGTACCACCATGCCCAGCTAATTTTGCATTTTTAGTAGAGATGGGGTTTCTCCATGTTGGTCAGGCTGGTCTCGAACTCCCAACCTCAGGAGATCTGCCTGCCTCAGCCTCCCAAAGTGCTGGGATTACAGGCGTGAGCCACCGCGCCCCACCTGAGACATCCATCTTTATTGTCCATATAGGGTTCAACAACTTGTTCAGGTTCCAGACCTACCTTTAATTGTATGTGCAAGTAAAAATAGAAACAGAATGCTTTGGGAACCCCAAAGAAAAGAGAAATATTATTTAGCTAGGTTGGGTAGGCTTCATGGAGAAAGTAGCATTTTTAAGCTGGGTCTTGAAGAATGGATAGGATTTTGACTGTTGGCCCTGTACAGGAGCACACTACTTTCTTTTTTCTTTCTTTTTTTTTTTGAGGCAGAGTCTTGCTCTGTCACTGAGGCTGGAGTGCAGTGTCAAGATCTTGGCTCACTGCAACCTCTGCCTGCCTGGTTCAAGTAATTCTTGTGCCCCACCCTCCCAAGTGGCTGGGATTACAGGCATGCACCACCACACCTGGCTAATTTTTGTATTCTTAGTAGATATGGGGTGTCACCATGTTGGCCAGGCTGGTCTTGAACTCCAGGCGTCAAGTGATCCACCCGCCTCGACTTCCCAAAGTACTGATTTATAGGTGTGAGCCACCAAGCCCAGTCAGGAGCACACTTTTTTTTTTTTTTTTTCCTTTGAGACAGAGTCTTGGTCCGTCACCCAGGCTGGAGTGCAGTGGCGCGATCTCAGCTCACTGCATCCTAACCCCGTTTTCCGGATTCAAGCAATTATCGTGCCTCAGCTTCTTGAGTAGCTGGGACTACAGGTGCGCCATGCTGGCTAATTTTTTTTTTGTATTTTTAGTAGACACGGGGTTTCACCATGTTGCTGGGCTGGTCTCAAACTCCTAGCCTGAAGGATCCACCCACCTCGGCCTCCCAAAGTGCTGAGATTACAGGTGTGGGCCACAGAGCCCAGCCCACACTTTTTTTTTTTGGAGACAGAGTCTTGTCCTGTATCCCAGGCTGGAGTGCAGTGGCACAATCTTGGTTCACTGCAGCCTTCACCTCCCAAGTTCAAGGAATTCTCCTGCTTTAGCCTCCTGACTATCTGGGATTACAGGTATGTGCCACCACACCTGGATGATTTTTGTATTTTTACTAGAGTTGGGGTTTCACCATCTTAGCCAGGCTGATCTTGAACTCCTGACCTCAAGTGATCCACCTGCCTTGGCCTCCCAATGTGCTGGGATTACAAGCATGAGCCACTGCGCCCTACCAAGCCCACACTTCTTTTTTTTTTTTTTTTTTTTTTTTGAGACAGAGTTTCACTCTTGATGCCCAGGCTGGAGTGCAGTGGCACGATCTTGGCGCATCGCAACTTCCGCCTCCCAGGTTGAAGCGATTCTCCTTCCTGAGCCTCTGGAGTAGCTGGGATTACAGGCATGCGCCACCACACCCAGCTCATTTTGTATTTTTAGTAGAGATGGGGTCATGTTGGTCAGGCTGGTCTCGAACTCCTGACCTCAGGTAATTCGCCTGCCTCAGCCTCCCATAGTGCTGGGATTACAGGCGTGAGTCACCATGCCGGGCCTAAGCCCACACTTCTTAATACTTAATAGATGAGCAAAGCTATGGAGGAAACATAGGATATGTTCAGGTTGTGGCCAGGTTATAGTCTTTGACAGGAATGTAGATTTTGTGAGGGAAGAAGGGACATAATTAGTCTGGAATAAGAACCGAAGAATATAAGTGTTACACTGACGACTTTGGCCTTTTGTTTTAAATGGGAGGAAACCTTGTAGAAAATATTTCCTATTCAGTCAGCTCCAGCCCAAACTGGTTTATATGTGTCACATTGCCTTTGTTTACAACAGTTCCTGAAGCCAAATTGCCCTACCAGTACACCTTTTCAAATGCTAGTAAAGCCTGGTTTCAAACTCAGCTTTTCAAAATGTTTACTGATGCCCTCGCCAGTTCTTCCTCCAACCTCCTATAGTGCGTTTATGGCTACTTTTTATTGCTTATACTGCTTTTGGTAATTATGTATGCTTGCCATTTCGGACTCTCACTTGAACTTGCATTGTTTACCTTTTTGTAAATTTTTTTCGAGACCTGTCTTCTGTGTCTTTTTTTTTTTTTTTTAATTTTATTTTTGAGACAGAGTCTCGCTCTATTGCCCAGGCTGGAATGCAGTGTCGTGATCTGGCCTCACTGCAACCTCTGCCTCCTGGGTTCAAGCAGTTCTCCCTGCTTTAGCCTCCCAAGTAGTTGGGTAGCTGGGATTACAGGCGCCTGCCATCATGCCCAACTAATTTGTTTCTTTCTTTTCTTTTCTTTTCTTTTTTTTTTTTTTTTTTTGAGACAGAGTTTTGCTCTTGCTGCCCAGGCTGGAGTGCAATGGTGTGATCTCGGCTCACTGCAACCTCTGCCTCCTGGGTTCAAGCGATTCTCCTGCCTCAGCCTCCCGAGTAGCTGGGATTACAGGCATGCGCCACCACGTCCGGCTCATTTTGTATTTTTAGTAGAGACTGGGTTTCTCCATGTTGGTCAGGCTAGTCTTAAACTCCTGACCTCAGGTGATCTGCCGACCTCGGCCTCCCAAAGTGCTGGGATTACAGGCCTGAGCCACCATGCCCGGCCTAATTAATTAATTAATCTTTTAGAGATAGAGTCTCGCAGCTGGGTGCGGTGGCTCACGCCTGCAATCTCAGCACTTTGGGAGTCTGAGGTAAGTGGATCACGAGGTCAGGAGTTCGAGACCAGCCTAGCAAAGATGGTGAAACCTTGTCTCTACTAAAAATAGAAAAATTAGCCAGGTGCAGCGGCGGGCACCTGTAATCCCAGTTACTCAGGAGGCTGAGGCAGGAGAATCCCTTGAACCCGGGAGGTGGAGGTTGTGAGCCAAGATAGCTGCACTCTAGCCTGGGCAACAGAGCAAGACTCCCTCTCAAAAAAAAAAAGAGAGAGAGAGAGAGATGGAGTCTTGCTGTGTTGCCCAGGCTGGTCTGAAACTCATGGCCTTAACCACTCCACAACCCTTGCCTTGGCCTCCTAAACTGCTGGGATTACAGGTGTGAGCCACAGTGCCTCGCTAATTTTATTTTTTTTTTAATAGATAGTATTAAAAGGTAGAAGATCTGGTCGGGCATGGTGGCTCAGTCCTGTAATCCCAGCACTTTGGGAGGGCGAGGCGGGCAGATTACCCGAGGTCAGGAGTTCGAGACCAGCCTGACCAACATGGAGAAACCCCATCTCTACTAAAAATACAAAAGTAGCTGGGCATGGTGGCGCATGCCTGTAATCCCAGCCACTCGGGAGGTTGAGGCAGGAGAATCACTTGAACCTGGGAGGCGAAGGTTGTGGTGAGTCAAGATGGCACCATTGTATTCCAGCCTGGGTGACAAGAGTGAAACTGCATCTCAAAAAAAAAAAAAAAAAAAAAAAAGATCTGGCTGGGCATGGTGGCTCACGCCTGTAACCTGAGTACTTTGAGTGGTCGAGGTGAGTGGATCACCTGAGGTCAGGAGTTCGAGACCAGCCTGGCCAACATGGTGAAACCCCCTCTCTACTAAAAATACAAAAATTAGGCCTGGTGTGGTGGCTCACGCCTGTAATGCCAGCACTTTGGGAGGCTGAGGCTGGTGGATCACCTGAGGTCAGGAGTTTGAGACCAGCCTGGCCAACATGGTAAAACCCCGTCTCTACTAAAAATTCAAAAAATTAGCTGGGCATGGTGGCGCGTGCTTGTAATTCCAGCTATTTGGTGGGGCTGAGACAGGAGAAGCACTTGAACCCTGGAGGCAGAAGTTGCGGTGAGCCAAGATCATGCCCCCGCATTCTAGCCTGGGCAAGAGTGAGACTCTGTCTCAAAAAAAAAAAAAAAAAAAAAAAAAGGGCATGGTGGCGGGCACCTGTAATCCCAGCTACTTGGGAGGCTGAGGCAGGAGAATCGGTTGAACCCCAGAGGCGGAGTTCTAAAGTGAGCCGATATCACACCACTTCATTCCTGCCTGGGCAACAAGAGTAAAATTCCATCTTAAAAAAAAAAAAGCTAGAAGATCTGCAGTTATGAACTTTGATAGCCATTAACTGACTAGATCTTCAACCTAAACGGGTTAAAAGAGGGGGAAAGAAAATGGAATGGTAAAAAGAACTAGATGGAAAAAGGAATGAAGTAAGAAGTGATATGCAAAATAATTGTCATCTTCTCCGTGCCTCCCATTCCCTCAGTCTAGTCGAGGTCTTTCCACCTGGCCATGTTTCTTTTCCTCAGATAAAGCAAGCTCATTCTCACCTTAGGACTTTCAAACCAACTATTCCCTAACCTTGGAGTGCTTTTCTTATTTTGGCTGAGTTGTCTCCTTGTAGTTCGGGTTTCTGTTTAAATGTTATTCTAAAGAAATTTGCTTTGTAACATTTATCAGTAATATTTTCTTGTTTATTGTCTGTGCCATGCTTTGCAAACACATGTGTGCACACACTCAATAGTGCTCACTCACTTGTCTGCACTAGAATAATAAGGTCTAAGAGATCAAGGATTTTGTCTGTCTTGTCTACCCCATTTTTCCAGCACCTTACACGTAATAGGTGCCCAGTAGATAATTGTTATGTGAATGAATACAATAGGAGCATGTTCATACAGAGTTAACCCAGTCTGGGGCTCTAGGGAAGGAATTCTAAGGAAGTGACATTTAAGCTAAGGAAATTGGTTAAGTGAAAAGTTGGGCAAAGCGCAAGGTAATGATGATTGATAGGTGTAGGTGCAGGGGCCTTCAGCTCAAATGCCCACAGATAATGATGTGAAGAGATAGATTTTCATTTTGAAATCACTGGCTAGTGTTGAAAATGAATTGGATCAGGAGTTACCCATTGCAAGAGATGATGGTGGCTTCGAATAGAGCAGCAGCAGTGGGGCTGGAAAAAAGTATGAATTGGAAGATATTTAAGATATAAAATTACCAGGATTTAGTGAGAGACTGGATATGGAGGATGAGGAATCAGAGCTGATTCCCATATTTTTGTCTTGAGTACAGCAAAAGCTATATGAATTCTGAGACTGTTTATTTAATTGGGTGATTGGCTAGAAAAAAATATATACATGTAAATAAAAACTGAGGTTGAAATCACAATCTTCAAAGTTTCTTAAGGAACTTTACTGTGTGGATTACCAAAACTGATTTTTGTACTTACATAGGTCATCAGAAATCTTAAAATTTTTGTCACAAATAGCCGGGCGCAGTGACTCGTGCCTGTAATCCCAGCACTTTGGGAGGCTGAGGTGGGCAGATCATGAGGTCGAGATCGAGACCACCCTGGCCAACATGATGAAACTCCATCTCTACTAAAAATACAAAAATTAGCCAGGGGTGGTGGTGCACGCCCTGGAAGGCTGAGGCAGGAGAATTGCTTGAACCCAGGAGGCGGAGGTTGCAGTGAGCCGAGATCATGCCACTGCACTCCAGCCTGGGTGACAGAGCCAGACTCCATCTCAAAAAAAAAAAGTCACAAATAAATTTCGTTAAAATTTTCTGTTTGTATCCAGAATTTACTTCCTTTCTTTACTCCTTGGAAGGTAAATTCCTTTTGCCATTTATTTATTTATTTAGAGACAGAGTTTCACTCTTGTTGCCCAGGCTAGAGTGCAGTGACACGATCTCGGCCCACTACAACCTCCACCTCCCGGGTTCAAGTGATTCTCCTGCCTCAGCCTCCCGAGTAGCTGGGATTACAGATATGTGCCACCACGCCCAGCTAATTTTGTATTTTTAGTAGGGATGGGCTCTCACCATGTAGGTCAAGCTGGTATCAAACTCTTGACCTCAGGTGATCCGCCCACCTCGGCCTCCCAAAGTGCTGGGGTTACAGGCGTGAGCCACCGTGCTGGGCCCCGAGAACTGATTTATGTCTGCAGTAATGTGTGTAATTTCACTTGAGGAATATGGTTTTTGCCAATCCTCTTACAGCAGTAGCTTTTATCCAAGAATGTTCATCAAAATCACCTGTGGAGCTTTGAAAGATGCAGATGCCTGGCCAGGCGCGGTGGCTCATGCCTGTAATTCCAGCACTGTTGGAGGCCGAGATGGGCGGATCACGAGGTCAGGAGATAGAGACCATCCTGGCTAACACAGTGAAACCCTCTCTCTACTAAAAATACAAAAAAATTAGCCGGGCGTGGTGGCAGGCACATGTAGTCCCAGCTACTGGGGAGGCTGAGGCAGGAGAATGGCGTGAACCTGGGAGGTGGAGCTTTCAGTGAGCCGAGATCACACCACTGCACTCCAGCCTGGGCGACTGAGTGAGACTCTGTCTCAAAAAAAAAAAAAAAAGATGCAGATGCCAGCTTTTAAAATTGAGCTATGAATTAATTACTCTTGATTCAGATTTATGCTGTTCCTGGATTCCTTGGGATACTATAAACAAGTTTTGGGGTTTTTTGTTTTGTTTTGTGTTTTATTGAGACAGTCTTGCTGTGTCGCCCAGGCTGGAGTGCAGTGGTGTGATTTTGGCTCGCTGCCAATGTCAAAACAGCATTCTTCATTATAATAAAGGAAACCATACAATGGAATACTATGGCAGCTGTTAGGGATGGAGATCTTTATGGAATAATGTCAAAGATACATTGCATTGTATAAAATGGTAAACTGGTGCTTGCTTAAGCAGCACATGTACTAAAATTGGAACGATACAGAGAAGATTAGCATGGCCCCTATGCAAAGACGACACACAAATTCATGAAGCAGTCCATATTTTTAAGTATTTTTTTAAAAAAATCAAAAGTAAGAAATTTTTATTTATTTATTTATTTATTTTGAGATGGAGTCTCGCTTTGTCGCCCAGGCTGGAGTGCAGTGGCGTGATCTTGGCTCACTGCAACATCCGCCTCCCGGGTTCAAGCGATTTTCCTGCCTCAGCCTCCTGAATAGCTGGGATTACAGGCATGCGCCACCACGCCCGGCTAATTTTTGTATTTTTAGTAGAGATGGGGTTTCACCATGTTGGTCAGGCTGGTCTCGAACTCCTGACCTCGTGATCCACCCACCTCGACCTCCCAAAGTGCTGGGATTATAGGCGTGAGCCACCGCACCTGGCAACAAGAAAAATAAATTTTTTTTTTTTTTCAGACGGAGGCTCACACTGTCTCCCAGGCTGGAGTGCAGTGGCGCGATCTTGGCACACTGTAACCTCCACCTCCCAGGTTGTAGCAATTCTTCTGCCTCTGCCTCCCAAGTAGCTAGGATTACAGGCGCCTGCCACCACGCCCAGGTAATTTTTTGTATTTTTAGTAGAGATGGGGGTTTCACTATGTTGGCCAGGCTGGTCTCAAACTCCTGACCTTGTGATCCGCCCGCCTTGGCCTTCCAAAGTTCTGGGATTACAGGCGTGAGCCACTGCGCCTGGCCACGTTATATATTTTTGTAATTGAATGTTAATATATGATTTTAATTAGAAAAAATTAACTGCTTTAAAAACACCACTTCCTCATGTATTCGCTGTGGAGTGGGGTCTAGGCATCTGTATTTCTTCTTTTTTCTGTTTTCTTTTTTTTTTTTTTTTTTGAGACTGAGTCTCGCTCTGTTGCCAGGCTCTGGAGTGCAGTGGTACAATCTCAGCTCACTGCAACCTCTGATTCCCCGGTTCAAGTGATTCTCCTGCCTCAGCCTCCCAAGTAGCTAGGACTACATGCGTGTGCCACTATGCCCGGCCAATTTTTGTGTTTTTACTAGAGACAGGGTTTTGCCATGTTGGCCAGGAAGGTCTCGATCTCATGACCTAGTGATCTGCCTGCCTTGACCTCCCAAAGTGTTGGGGTTACAGGCATGAGCCACTGCGCCCAGCCTTTTTTTAAATTTTTTTTGAGATGGAGTCTCACTCTGTTGCCCAGGCTGGAGTGCAATGGCATGATCTTGGCTTACTGCAACCTCCGCCTCCCGGGTTCAAGCTATTCTCCTGCCTCAGCCTCCTGAGTAGCTGGGATTACAGGTGCACACCACCACGCCCAGCTAATTTTTGTATTTTTAGTAGAGACTGGGGTTTCACCATGTTGGCCAGGCCGATCTCAACTCCTGACCTCGTGATCCACCCACCTCGCCTCCCAAAGTGGTGGGATTACAGGCGTGAGCTATCACACCCAGGCAGGCATCTGTATTTCTAAACTCCATAGGTGATTCTGATTCTCATAGAGGTGAAGGTTCTTGACTCAGAGTTCGCTTTCCTCTGAATTCTTTTCTTTTTTTTTTTTTGAGATGGCGTCTTACTCTGTTGCCCAGGCTAGAGTGCAATGGTGCGATCTGGGCTCACTGCAACCTCTGCTTCCCAGGTTCAACTGATTCTCCTGCCTCAGCCTCCTGAGTAGCTGGGACTACAGGCACCCGCCACCACGCCCAGCTAATTTTTTGTATTTTTAGTAGAGATGGGGTTTCACCATGTTAGCCAGGATGGTCTTGATCTCCTGACCTTGTGATCTGCCCACCTCTGCCTCCCAAAGTGCTGGAATTACAGGCGTGAGCCACCGCGCCCGGCCATTTTTGTTTATTTATTGTTTTTTTCTTTTTCGTTTTCTTTTTTTTGAGACGAAGTCTCACTCTATAGCCCAGGCTGGAGTGCAGTGGTGTGATCTAGGCTCAAGGCAGCCTCCGCCTTCTGGGTTGAAGTCAAGTGATTCTCCTGCCTCAGGCTCCCAAGTAGCTGTGATTACAGATGTGCACGACCACGCCCAGCTAATTTTTGTATTTTTTAGTAGAGACAGGGTTTCACCATGTTGGCCAGGCTGGTCTCAAACTCCTGATCTCAGGTAATTTGCCTGCCTCAGCCTCCCAAAGTGCTGGGATTACAGGTGTGAGCCATCATGCCCAGCCCTGACCAACATTTTAAATGCCTCACCTTGGCATTTAGCTAGAAACCCTACTGGTTTAGTTTCTTAGGTCTGTAGGTGTTACCATGGCCTCACATTTATAATTTGGTTTTTCAAACTGGCAAGAAATCAGAATCGTGGAAGTTCCTAGCATAGCACTTCATAGTTCATGTTTATGGTGGCAGCCAAGAGCTGTGGCCATACTGGCTTCTTGAAGCCTTCTCGTACCCTTTCACAGTACAAACTATTTCAAACCAAAATGAAATGCCTAAGCTTGTGTCTGTTATGTTACTGCCTTCTGCAGTCAAGTAGCATTGTTGCTTCTTTACATTTTCTAGCTCCTCAGTGCAGGGGTGGAGGGTGGGTGAGGAAAATCACAACAGTACTCTTTCTCTTAAAATTGAGCTATGAATTAATTACTCTTGATTCAGATTTACACTGTTCCTGGATTCCTTGGGACACTGTAAACAAGTTTTGGGTTTTTTTTGTTTTGTTTTGTTTTTTATTGAGACAGAGTCTCGCTGTGTCACCCAGGCTGGAGTGCAGTGGCGTGATTTTGGCTCACTGCCAATGTCTGCCGCCTGAGTTCAAGCAATTCTCATGCCTTAATCTCTCGAGTAACTGGGACTACAGGTGCATGCCACCGTGACCAGCCTATTTTTTTTGTATTTTTAGTAGAGACGAGGTTTCGCCACGTTGGCCAGGTTTTTCTTGAACTCCTGACCTTAGGTGATTCTGCCCTCCTCAGCCTCCCAGAGTGCTGGGATTATAGGCGTGAGCCACCGCGCCTGGCCTGGTTTCTTAAAAT
Organism: Homo sapiens; assembly: GCF_000001405.40. Taxonomy (NCBI): domain Eukaryota; kingdom Metazoa; phylum Chordata; class Mammalia; order Primates; family Hominidae; genus Homo; species Homo sapiens. The sequence goes on along the minus strand of NC_000017.11, from coordinate 48,085,769 downwards.
TGACATTTTCTCAGTAGTTCTCTCTCTAGTCTGCTTGCTAGATGTTTAACTTAAAAAATTCTACACTATGTAGCACTTGTCAATTTAAAAGACTCAAAAGACTGCTGGGGCATTAAAAACCCAGCTTTGTTTCTGTCTGCAGGTTTAATAAACAATGAATACCTTCATATTCCAGAAACCAATTAAAAATCATTGTTTTTTTTTTTTTAACAGAGCCATACCTTTCAAGGTCTTTTCTGAGAAAAATCATTACCAGTCACTTTCTTATTTACCAGTGACAAATTGTAGGGAGGAGTCATCTTAAGAGACCTCTGTGTCCTTTCCTTATACAGGCTGGAGGGATGTTACCCTGTAGGTTTTTGGCTAGCTGCTAGTTTTATGTGTTCAACAGGGCATTTAGCCTAGCCTTGCTAGATGGCCTTACTGAAGTGCAGTGCTTCGTTTAATTGTGTGACCTTAGGTGATCTATTTCATCTAAATTTGGTCTATTTGTGAGGCAGAGATAACATCTGAATGGCTTATCTCACAGGATGGTTTTGAAGATTAAATGAGATAATGTGGTAGCACTTTGTAAACTGTAAAGTATAATGCAAATGTAAAGTATTATTTTTCTAGGAATCTTCAAATGTAGCAGACTCAGCAAATGTTTAGGTAAAAATTATGGCAATGCTAGATTTCTTTGTTTACAATATTGTGATATAAACCATACGAGTTGGCTAAGTAGGACAACTGAGGATCTCAAACTGAGGTTTGAGTACATACTGTAAAACCATACTCCCCTATTTGTAGTCCAGTCAACTCAGTTACTAGCTTCAACTAGTAACTCTTGAGAGTATTGGTTTTTTTTTGTTTTTTTTTGTGAGACGGAGTCTCGCTCTGTCGCCCAGGCTGGAGTGCAGTGGCGCGATCTCGGCTCACTGCAAGCTCCGTCTCCTGGGTTCACACCATTCTCCTGCCTCAGCCTCCCAAGTAGCTGGGACTACAGGTGCCCGCCATCACGCCCAGCTAATTTTTTGTACATTTAGTAGAGACGGGGTTTCACCATGTTAGCCAGGATGGTCTCGATCTCCTGACCTCATGATCCACCCACCTCAGCCTCCCAAAGTGCTGGGATTACAGGCGTGAGCCACCATGCCCGGCCGGGAGTATTGTAAATAATAAATGAGTAGGCAGGGCGCCATGGTTCATGCCTGTAATCCCAACACTTGGGGAGGCCAAAGCGAGAGAATTGTGTGAGGCCAGGAGTTTAACAGAAGCTTGGCGCCCGGCACAGTGGCTCACGCCTGTTATCCCAGCACTTTGGGAGGCTGAGGCGGGTGGATCACGAGGTCAGGAGTTGGAGACCAGGCTGAGCAACATGGCGACCTGTCTCTACTAAAAATACAAAAATTAGCTGGGTGTGGTGGCACGCACCTGTAATCCCAGCTACTCAGGAGGCTGAGGCAGGAGAATCGCTTGAACTCTGGAGGCGGAGGTTCAGTGAGCATGATGATTAGCACCACTGCACTCCAGCCTGGGTAACAGAGCAAGACTCCGTCTCAAAAAAAAAAAAAAAAAAAAAAAAAAAGGAAAGAAAGAGAAGCCTGAACAACATAGGAACACCTTGTCTCCACCAGAAAAAATTGAAAAAATTAGCCAGGTTTGGTGGTACAAGCCTGTAGTCCCAGCTACTTGGGAGGATGGCTTGAGCCCAGGAGGTCGAGGCTGCAGTGAGTTATGATCAGGCCACCGTACTGGGCAACAGAGCGACACCCTGTGTCTAAACAAAATTTTTTAAATAAATGAGTAAAGTGTTTGTAATAGTACCTGGCACATAATAAGCACTCACTATTATTAGATACTTCAGTGAAACTTTGCAGATAAACATGGCTGGTTGAACTACATGGTTCTACTCCTTTTGAAAATCTCACACAAGTAATGGTCAAAGGATTTTTTTTTTGGAGGGGGGATGGAGTTTCGCTTTTGTCGCCCAGGCTGGAGTGCAATGGCGCAATCTCGGCTCACTGTAACCTCTGCCTCCCAGGTTCCAGCGATTCTCCTGCCTCAGCCTTCCAAGTAGCTGGGATTACAGGCGCCCACCACCACACCCAGCTAATTTTTTGGATTTTTAGCAGAGACAGGGTATCACCATGTTGGTCAGGCTGGTCTCGAACTCCTGACCTCAAGTGATCCGCTCACCTCGGCCTCCCAAATTACTGGGATTACAGGCGTGAGCCACCACGCCACCTGGCCAATAAGAAGATTTTTAAAGAGACAAGAAAAATAGGAAAAAGACAAGTAGAGATGTCAGAAAACAGCTGGAAAACTAGTTACTGACCAGAAAAAGCTAAAAATTAAGTAGGACTGGATTTAGGAAGAGCCAAGAAGGTACAACAAACCAGTTTGTGTCACAGGATTCTGGAAAGGCCACTAGGTACCCCTGACAATAGGGGTGCAGGTGGAATTTACAAAGTGGTAATTGACCAGGCATGATGGCTTACACATGTAATCCCAGCACTTTGGGAGGCTGAGGCGGGAGGATCACTGGAGTCCAGGAGTTCAAGAACAGCCTGGGTGACATAGTGAAACCCTGTCTTTAAAAAATAAATAAATAAATAAAAATTAGGCCAGGTGCAGTGGCTCATTCCTGTAATCCCAGCACTTTGGGAGGCTGAGGCAGGCAGATCACCTGAGGTTGGGAGTTCAAGACCAGCCTGACCAACATGGAGAAACTCTGTCTCTACTAAAGATACAAAATTAGCTGGGCATGGTGGTGCATGCCAATAATCCCAGCTACTTGGGAGGCTGAGGCAGGAGAATCGCTTGAACCTGGGAAGCCGAGGTGGTGGTGAGCTGAGATCGCGTTGTTGCACTCCAGCCTGGGTGACAAGAGCGAAATTCCGTCTCAAAAAAAAAAAAAAAAGATAATTGTGTCATTAAAAAAAAATAAAATTACCTGGCACAGTGGCTTACGCCTGTAATCCCAGCACTTTGGGAGGCTGAGGTGGGCGGATTACTTGAGGTCAAGCGTTTGAGACCAGCCTGGCCAACATGGTGAAACCACGTCTTTACTAAAAATACAAAAAAATTAGCCAGGAGTGGTGGTGTGCATCTGTAGTCCCAGCTACTCGGGAGGCTAAGGAAGAGGATCATTTGAACCTGGGAGGTGGAGGTTGCAGTGAACTGATATTGCGTCACTGCACTCCAGCCTGGGCGACAGAGACTCCATCTCAAAAAAATAAATAAAATTATAGATCATTTTTCCTTTTTTTTTTTTTTTTTTTTTTTTGAGATGGAGTCTCGCTCTGTCCCCCAGGCTGGAGTGCAGTGGCATGATCTCGGCTCACTGCAAGCTCCGCTACCCGAGTTCACGCCATTCTCCTGCCTCAGCCTCCCGAGTGGCTGGGATTACAGGTGCCCGCCATCACACCCAGCTAATTTTTTGTATTTTTAGTAGAGATGGGGTTTCACCGTGTTAGCCAGGATGGGCTCGATCTCCTGACCTCGTGATCTGCCCACCTCAGCCTCCCAAAGTGCTGGGATTACAGGTGTGAGCCACCACGCCCAGCCTCTTTATCATTTTTTTAAAGACAGTCTTGCTTCCTCACCCAGGCTGGAGTGCAGTGGCACAATCACAGCTCACAGCAGCCTCAACCTCCTGTGCTTAAGCGATCCTCCCAGCACACCCAGCTGATTATTTTTTGTAGAGATGGGGTCTCACTACGTTGCCCAGGCTGGTCTCAAACTCCTGGGCTCAAGCAGTCCTTCTGCCTAGGCCTTCCAAAGTGCTGGAATTACAGGTGTGTGCTGCCGAGCCCTGACCTCTCTACTGATTTTGACAAATAGCTTTCTTGAAACCCTAGAGAACTAATTGTAAACAAAAAAACACGTTGGGAAGGCTGGCTGGGAATCTCCAGTAATACAGTATCTCTGGATGTAGATGCTCTGGGATGAGCCAGTAAAGAAAGCTCAGGAAGAAGCGGGGATCTGTTTTCTATATTCTTCTTATTTGAGTTGCTCTTAAGACAGTACTTAAAAAGTAAGGAAAGGGCCAGGCTCAGTGGCTTAGGCCTGTAATCCCAGCACTTTGGGAGGCCGAGGCAGGCAGATCACCTGAGGTCAGGAGTTCGAGACCAGCCTGGCCAACATGGTGAAATCTTGTCTCTACTAAGAGTATTAAAAAAATTAGCTGGGCATGGTGGTGAGCGCCTGTAATCCTAGCTCTTTGAGAGGCTGAGACAGGAGAATCGCTTGAACTCAGGAGGTGAAGGTTGCAGTGAGCTGAGAGTGCTCCATTGCACTCCAGCCTGGGCGACAAGAGCGAAACTCTGTCTCAAAAAATAAAAGTGAGTAAAGATCGAAGTCATGAGAATGCTTTACTTTAGATTTCCCCATTTGGGCGCTTTCTTTACCTAACAATTATGCCATTCTATGACTGTTCCTCTCTGAGGCCATGCTAATTAATGATAAAGGGAGGATAAGCTTGCAGTAGGTAGAGATCAGTTAGAAGCTATGCTGACCCTTTCGGCTCATAGCAGAAGGATCAGGTGGATAATAGTCAGTGCTGTTTTATTTTTTGGCCAGATCTCATGCCAGTAATCCCAGCACTTTGGGAGGTCAAGGCAGGTGGATCGCTTGAGCCCAGGGGTTCAAGACCAGCATTGGCAACATGGCAAAAACCCTTCTCTACCGAAAATACAAAAATTAGGCAGTCTCATAACCTGGTCTCTAAATAAGCAAATAAATAGATTAAACTTTTCAAAAAGAAATGCTATTTATTTTTCTAAGACAAATTTTATATATATATATATATATATATATATATATATATATATATATTTTTTTTTTTTTTTTTTTTTTTTTTTTTTTTTGAGATGGAGTCTCGCTCTGTCACCAGGCTGGAGTGCAGTGGCGCGATCTCGGCTCACTGCAACCTCCGCCTCCCGGGTTCAAGCAATTCTCCTGCCTCAGCCTCCCGAGTAGCTGGCACTACAGGCGAGCGCCACCATACCCAGCTAATTTTTATACTTTTAGTAGAGATGGGGTTTCGCCATATTGGCCAAGCTGGTCTCGAACTCCTGACCTTGTGATCTGCCTGCCTCAGTCTCCCAAAGTGCTGGGATTACAGGCGTGAACCACCGCACCCAGCCTTGTAGATGGACTCTAAGTGCATTCTGTCTATACATGCCAGTTTTACAGTGTTTAGAAAACTTAATGATTACACTAAGTAAGCTTCCTTTCCTAAGGATGCTAGGAATAACCAGTTTAACCTCAAATTGGTATTATTTTAAACTCAAGCGGAGACGTAACTCTTCCTTGTCTTGGATTACCTGCCATCCAGGTAATTCTTTGGCCAGTTTTGTTGATCAATTTTGTTTCATTGATACAGTGCCATCTACTGACAAAAATTGGTAATCATAAGGCTTTAAGTCTGTCAGAAGTCAAAGAGTTGGGTCCGGGCACGGTAGCTCATGCCTGTTAATTCCAGAGTTTTGGGAAACCAAAACGGGCAGATCACTTGAGGTCAGGAGTTCGAGACCAGCCTGGCCAACATGCTGAAACCCCATCTCTACTAAATATACAAAAATCAACTGGGCCTGGTGGCAGGTGCCTGTAGTCCTAGCTACTCAGGAGGCTGAGGCATGAGAATCACTTGAACCCTAGAGGCGTAGGTGAGCCGAGATAGCACCATTGCACTGCAGCCTGGGCGACAGAGGGAGACTGTGTCCCCCTCCCCCAAAAAAGTCAAATTTGGATGAAGGACTAAATAAAATAGATTTATAAGGGACTAAAATTTCAACACTGGAAAAACCCTTAGATGTTACCTAGCTTGATGATGTATTTTATAAAGGAGTAAACTCAGATTCTATTATCTTTGATAACTACAGTTCTGTTTTCCCCACACTTGTTTTCCAAATTTTTACAGGGTTCCAGTTTAGAGAATTTCATGATCATTCTGGCATTTTTATGACTCTTCCTTAGTTTTTAGAAATAAATTGGAGGCCAGGTGTGATGGCTTATGTCTGTAATCCCAGTAGGAGGCTGAGGTGGGAGGATCACTTGAGCCTGGGAGTTTGAAACAAGCCTGGGCAACATATTGAGAACTTGTCTCTACTAAAAATTTAAAAAATTAGCCAGGCATGGTGGCGCACACCTGTGGTTCCAGCTACTCAGGAGACTGAGGCAGCGGGATCACTTGAGCCCAGGAGGTCAAAGCTGCAATGAGCCATAATTACTTCACTGCATTCCATCCTAGGTGATAGAGTGAGACACTGTCTCAAAAAAGAAAAAAAGTTGTAAAATAAACTAAATACAATAAGTTAACAAGAAATTTGTGAATCGTAAGTTCAATTCAGAAAAGACTGCATAAAGAACAAGAGAACATGGCTGGGCACAGTGGCTCATGCCTGTAATCCCAGCACTTTGGGAGGCCATGGCGGGTGGATCACTTGAGGTCAGGAGTTCGAGACCAGCTTGGCCAACATGGCGAATCCCTGTCTCTACTAAAAAAACAAAAACTAGCTGGGCATGGTGGCACACACCTGTAGTCCCAGCTACTCAGGAGGCTGAGGCAAAAGAATCACTTGAACCCAGGTGGCGGAGGTTGCAGTGAGCCAAGACTGTGCCACTGCACTCCAGCCCGGCTGGAGTGAGACTCCATCTCAAAGAGGGGGAGGTGCGGGGCCGGGGCTGGAGCTGGGTTCGGTGGCTCACGCCTGTAATCCCAGCACTTTGGGAGGCCAGCACGGGTGAATCACGAAGTCACGAGTTTGAGACCAGCCTGGCAGCTTGACCAACGTTGGTGAAACCCTGTCTCTGCTAAAAATACAAAAATTAGCCGGGCGTGGTAGCTCACACCTGTAGTCCCAGCTACTCAGGAGGCTGAGACAGGAGAATCACTTGAACCCGGGAGGCAGAGGTTGCAGTGAGCCGAGATTGTGCCACTGCACTCCAGCCTGGGCTGGAGTGAGACTCCGTCTCAAAAAAAAAAAAAAAAAAAAAAGTCCAGGCACGGTGGCTCACGCTTGTAATCCCAGCACTTTGGAAAGCCAAGGCAGGCAAATCACGAGGTCAGGAGTTGAAGACCAGCCTGGCCAACGTGGTTAAACCCCGTCTCTTCTAAAAATATAGAAATTAGCCAGGCGTAATGGCGGGCACCTGTAAAACCAACTACTCGGGAGGTGGAGGCAGGAGAATCGCTTGAACCCGGGAGGCAGAGGTTGCAGTAAATTGAGATCACACCATTGCACTCCAGCCCAGCTCACAGAGTTGAGACTCCGTCTCAAAAAGACAAAAACAGACTGGGCATGGTGGCTCAGCTCTGTAATCCCAGCACTTTGGGAGGCCGAGGCAGGCGGATCATGAGGTCAGGAGATCGAGACCATCCTGGCTAACATGGTGAAACCCCGTCTCTACTAAAAATACAAAAAATTAGCTGGGCGTGGTGGCGGGCGCCGGTAGTCACAGCTACTCAGGAGGCTGAGGCAGGAAAATGGTGTGAACCCAGGAGGCGGAGCTTGCAGTGAGCTGAGATTGCACCACTGCACTCCAGCCTGGGGGCAGAGCAAGACTCCATCTCAAAAAAAAAAAACAAATTCAAATCCAGTACTTTGATGAAAAGGAAAACTTGGAATAGGAGAAAGTATGAGTCAGAGAGTAATATGTAAGTTTTATTGATATGTGCACATTTTTAGGAGGACTGCTTTTCTTTTTTTTTTGAGACAGTGTCTCACTCTGTTGCCCAGGCTGGAGTACAGTCGTGCGATCTTGGCTCACGACTGGCTAATTTTTGTATTTTTAGTAGGGACAGGGTCTCGCCATGTTGGCCAGGATGGTCTTGAACCCCTGACCTCAGGTGATCTGCCCGCCTCGGCCTCCCAAAGTGCTAGAATTATAGGTGTGAGCCACTGCACCCAGCCTTTCAATTTAATGCAATATTTTAGCTACCGTGCTCTTTTACAACGGTTTTTTTGTGAAGATGGAGTCTTGCTGTGTTGCCTAGGCTGGTCACACACTACTGGGCTTCAGGAATTCTCCCACTTGGGCCTTCCAAAATGCTGGGATTGCAGATGTGAGCCTGCACGCCTGGCCCTAGCTACCATGCTTTATGGTAAAAGGAGTATTGGGAGCCTTTTAAAATTACCAAGAATGGGTATAAAAGTTTTAAATGGATACACAAGAATAAAGAAGTTTGCTGTGAAGGCCAGGCGTGGTGGCTCATGCCTGTAATTCCAACACTTTGGGAGGCCGAGGCAGGTGGATCACCTGAGGTCAGGAGTTCGAGACCAACCTGGCCAACACATAGTGAAATCCCGTCTCTACTAAAAAAAAAAAAACAAAAAAAACAAAAAAAAAAACAACAAAAATTAGCTGGGCTTGGTGGCACACGCCTGTAGTCCCAGCTGCTTGGGAAGCTGAGGCAGGAGAATCGCTTGAACCCAGGAGGCGGAGGTTGCAGTAAGCCGAGATTGCGCCACTTTGCACTCCAGCCTGGGCAACAGAGCAAGACTCCGTCTCTCAAAAAAAAAAAAAAAGTTTGCTGTAAGATTAATTGGGGCTGTTTTATGAGCTTTCTGGCTGGACATATCAGAAAACTATTTTGTATCGAGTGTGAGAAGAAGCCTAACACTTACTATAAGCAGCATACAATATTATCACCTGTCATGTCCCTGGTTTTCTTACCATCCAGATATTATCTAACCAATAAGAGTGCTCCCTAATGCCCTTTTTATTTCATTTATCATTTTAGCAGCGTCACCCTTTACACCAGAAAGCTGGCGGGCACTATGGGGAAAAAACAAAACAAGAAGAAAGTGGAGGAGGTGCTAGAAGAGGAGGAAGAGGAATATGTGGTGGAAAAAGTTCTCGACCGTCGAGTGGTAAAGGGCAAAGTGGAGTACCTCCTAAAGTGGAAGGGATTCTCAGAGTAAGTTTCACTGACACAGGTAAATGTAGCCACCACGTGTTTATCAGGAGTCTAGAGATGTATGAGACCTCCAGTGCTATGATGGATACAGTGTGACTCAGTCCCCACCTTCATGGCTTATTGTTTAATTAGGAATATGGCCTACTGCTTATAATACAAAGCAGAATGACTTCTTTTTAAAAATTATTTCTTTTGAGACGAGGTCTCGCTCTGTCACCCAGGCTGGAGTACAGTGGTGCAGTCATAGCTCGCTGCAGCCTCAACCTCCCAGGCTCAAGGTATCCTCCCACCTCAGCCTTCTAAGTAGCTGGTACCACAGGCATGCACCACCATGTCTCGCTTAGTTGCCCAGGTTTGTCTCTTAACTCCTGGCCTCAAGCAGTCCTCCCACCTGGGCCTCCCAAAGTGTTGGGACTACAAGCATGAGCCACTGTACCCAGCCCATAGTGATTGCTGAGAAACAGTTTTGTGTGTGGCTACAGACCAATTTAAATTGACAAATAAAAGTCATTTGCCTTTGAAGGAAGCCAGTTTCTTAGCTTTCTATTTATACTAAAAAGCTTCCCCATTCCCCAAGAATTTCAGCTTTTCCATAGACATCTGAGGTCTTGTCCTCTTACGATTATCCTTAGTATGAGTATACTTATTTGAGTGAAAGTGTGACTTGCTGTGCCCTCTGGTTTCAGTGAGGACAACACATGGGAGCCAGAAGAGAACCTGGATTGCCCCGACCTCATTGCTGAGTTTCTGCAGTCACAGAAAACAGCACATGAGACAGATAAATCAGAGGGAGGCAAGCGCAAAGCTGATTCTGATTCTGAAGATAAGGGAGAGGAGAGCAAACCAAAGAAGAAGAAAGAAGAGGTAAGAATAGAAGTAAGAATTTTTACTAGCCCACAATTCAAACTACTGTCAAAGTAGTTTTGTTCTGCTTCTTCCCTGATATTAGCAGCTGTCTCTTCTTAGTCCTGAAATCTTAGGTAGGCTAATGCCTACAAAGTGAGAGTGTACTGTCATGAAGCCACATGATCTCTTACTTTTTATCCATGGTACAGGAGCAGTAAATGGAAAACTTGCTGGGGACAGATATAAGGGCAAGTGAATTCATTCTTGTAAAAAATAGTTTTCAATATTTAATCATTAAAGGTGTGAGGTGGCTATTTTGACTTAATCAGTATCTTAAAGTAAGTTGTTTTTTGAGAGTGAAGAGATAGTTGTAAACATTGATTTTGCTTGGGCTGTATGTCCCTTTTCACATAGGGAAAATCTCATGCGCTTCAGACATTGATGAATAATCACTCCAAAGGATTCTAACAGCTCTCTTACTTGAGCCAAGGTATTGGTGAAATATTGGCAAAAGAGTTTGTGATTGGGCCGGGCACGGTGGCTCACACCTGTAATCCCAGCCCCTTGGGAGGCCGAGGCGGGCGGATCACAAGGTCAGGAGATCAAGACCATCCTGACTAACACGGAGAAACTGGGTCTCTACTAAAAATACAAAAAATTAGCTGACGTGGTGGCATGTGCCTGTGGTCCCAGCTACTTGGGAGGCTGAGGCAGGAGAATCACTTGAACCTGGGAGGCAGAGGCTGCAGTGAGCCGAGATCGCACCACTGCACTCCAGCCTGGGCGACAGAGTGAGATTCCGTCTCAAAAAAAAAAAAAAAGAGTTTGTGATTACATTAATCAGAGACACAGGAATGGTTCCAGTCTGGATAATAGTCCCATATAGATAAAATTGTTCTACCCATCTTGTTTTTACAGTCAGAAAAGCCACGAGGCTTTGCTCGAGGTTTGGAGCCGGAGCGGATTATTGGAGCTACAGACTCCAGTGGAGAGCTCATGTTCCTGATGAAATGGTGAGTCGGCCAGTGGCTCTGTGTGGTTGTTTTTTTTCTTCTCCCATTGGTTTCATGCCAGAGGAAAAGAGCTGGACCTTCGAAATTCCAATCACCCAAGTGTGAAATTGTTAAGATGGCATAGTCCTTCGATAGTGACCCTCGGCCTGACTGCCACCCTGGACTCATGAGTTACAGGTAGGAGCCCTTAGGAATCTTGGGTCTTTGCCCATATTTTTAGGAGGTGGGAGACAATCTAGAGTGGAAAGAGTGTGGGAAGGAATTACATTTCACTTCTGTAAATAAAGGGGGAGAAAATGAAATGTGATTGGACCACCCTCTCCTTCTACCACCTCCTTAATAAAGATGAGGCTGGCCCCAGAATCAGAAATTCTGCTAAATTCTCAGGGTTAGGAAAGAATCTGTAGTTCTTCCTTTTGTCCTTAATTGTTGGATCCCTTTCAATTTGTGCAGATTCTACAATTACAGGATCAGCCAGCAGGGGTCAGCAAGGCTCCTTAACTGCTATCAAGCATAGAGCAAGCCTGCTTTTTTCCATTATGAGTATAAATACCAGTGATAGTAATACTCCATGAAACAGCCTAATGAAGATAGTTATCCCAACAATCTCTGTAATTTTCCTACTCTGTCAAAAGAAGGCCATTCTTCCTATTTCTTGCTCATTCTCCCCACAAAGTGGATCTCAATGATTGTATTTAAAATTTGGAAGGAATAATTCTAAGCCATTGCCAATGAAGGCAGCATTCTAGAAACTTTGTCCTTTAAAACACACACACACACACACAGTCTATGGAGCTTTGTCCTTTTGTCAGTCCAGAACTTACTCTGAAACTCGTGTCTGTACTAATTATCCTCTTTTACAGTATGGCTGGAGGGGCCTAACTTTAGCACCACTGAAAGCCAGAGTCACAACTAACTAACCTATTCTCTTCTATGTATTCCCTAGGCAGTTACTGGAGCTGCCCCTCTTTTAGCTGATTTATTGTTAACCTATAAGAGAAAAGTTCATTTTTAAGATGCTGCTTATTGGGTGGGAGAAGTTATACTGTGAGTTACTCAGTTTAGCTAGAATATACTTTTTCTGCATGTGACCAGTGTGAGTTACAGTAGTATCTCCATATTGCTTAAGATTGTACTCCTTTGGTTGACTCACTACTGTCTTTTTTTTTTTTTTTTTTTTTGAGACAGTCTCACTCTTTCGCCCAGGCTGGAGTGCAGTGGCACGATCTCAGCTCACTGCAACCTCCGCCCCTCCGGGTTCAATGATTCTTCTGCCTCAGCCTCTCAAGTAGCTGGGATTACAGGCATGTGCTACCACGCCTGGCTGATTTTTGTATTTTTCATAGAGATGGGGTTTCACCATGTTGGCCAGGCTGGTCTCAAACTCCTGACCTCAGGTGATCCACCCACCTCAGCCTCCCAAGGTGCTAGGATTACAGGCGTGAGCCACTGCACCTGGCCGACTCACTGCTGTCTACAGGTTAAAACTGGATTTGATTATAAGACAAAGTACATTTTAAAAAGTTATTTTACTGGAGAATAGAGATTTTTGTATATTTCTAAAAGTAGTAAATATTTCTGGGGAGTGAAATGACTAAATTTAACTCAGAGGGTGTTGTTCAGCTGTCAGCAAATGGCAGCATGCTTCAGATTCCCATTTCCCTCCCATTCTCTTGGGTCCATTGTTCAAAAACATACATTATCAGCTTACTCTTCTGCTCTATGGGACTATGTGGCTCTGATTTCCTGTTATTAAGGTTCTAGAGATTTGGGGTGGTGCTTTGTCAGAGATGTCATCAGGTGTCTCCTGCTTGCTTTACGCTACTGCTTCTGTCTAGGACATTCCTAATAACCTGAAGATAAGAGTTTGTTTTTTTTTTAAATGAGACAGAGTCTCGCTCTGTCACCCAGGCTGAAGTGCAGTGAGGCGATCTCTGTTCACTACAACCTCCACCTCCCAGGTTCAAGCGATTCTTGTGCCTCAGCCTCCCGAATAGTTGGGATTACAGGCGCACGCCACCATGCCTGGCTAATTTTTGTATTTTTAGTAGCAACACGGTTTTGCCATGTTGACCAGGCTGGTCTTGAACTCCTGGGCCTGCCCACCTTGGCCTCCCAAAGTGCTGGGATTATAGGCGTGAGCTACTGCTCCCTGCCTAAGAGTTTACTCCTAATTCCCTTATAATGTGTATGATTTTCAAATTTTGAAAACTTTTTTTTTTTGAGACAGAGTCTCACTCTGTCGCCCAGGCTGGAGTGCAGTGGCATGATCTCGGCTCACTGCAAGCTCTGCCTCCCAGTTTCACGCCATTCTCCTGCCTCAGCCTCCCAAGTAGCTGGGACTACAGGTGCCTGCCACCACACCAGGCTAATTTTTGTATTTTTAGTAGAGACAGGGTTTCACCGTGTTAGCCAGGATGGTCTCGATCTGACCTCGTGATCCACCTGCCTCGGCTTCCCAAAGTGCTGGGATTACAGGTGTGAGCCACTGCGGCCAGCCACTTGAAAACATTTTAAAATTCAGAAAACTACAGCTCCCTCATTTTCTACTCCCGATGTTGAAACATCATTTCAAAGCACCTGGAAGTTATGCGAGGATAGCATTTGGAAGTGTCAGTGTAATTACGATTATGCAAAAAGTGTCCATCTTCATTTGCTCTGGCCAATGCCAGATGTGGTATTTAATCCTATTACGGGCCGGGCGAGGTGGCTCATGCCTGTAATCCCAACACTTTGGGAGGCTGAGGCAGGTGGATCACCTGATGTCAGGAGTTCAAGATGAGCCTGGCCAACATCTTTAGTAGAGATGGCAAAACCCCATCTCTACTAAAAATACAAAAATTAGCTGGGTGTGGTGGCGCACACCTATAATTCCAGCTATTAGGGGAGGCTGAGGCAGGAAAATCGCTTGAACCCAGGAGGTGGAGGTTGTGGTGATCCGAGATCATGCCACTGCACTCCAGGCTGGGCAACAGAGTGAGATTCTGTCTCAAAAAAAAAAAAAAAAAAATCCTATTACAAAGCCAAGATTTCTCCATGGGTTCTTATCAGCTGGGATATGGCTTTTGGAGGAGTGTGGTAACTTCTCTTCCCTCAGAGAATCTAGGTATCCTCTCTTCCCTCAGAGAATCTAGAGAGTCATGCTTTTTGGGGCCTTGCCCAGATGTTCAGATGTGATTGGTTAAGTCCATTGACCTGGCTTTTGACATACACGAATCCCCAGAGGGAATTTTCAACAGGAGAGTTAACTCTGAGGATGTCACTTGACATACAATTGCCAGTAAATGCTGCTTGGGCCACGTTTTCATTGTTCCCTAGCCTATTTTTCTAAAATTACCATTTTTAAAGCACTGTCCCCTGGGTTATCCAACTTAGGATAGACCACCAGCACCTGGTCTCAAAGTCTCTCTTTGCTTTATTCTGCAGGAAAAACTCTGATGAGGCTGACCTGGTCCCTGCCAAGGAAGCCAATGTCAAGTGCCCACAGGTTGTCATATCCTTCTATGAGGAAAGGCTGACGTGGCATTCCTACCCCTCGGAGGATGATGACAAAAAAGATGACAAGAACTAACGCTCCTGAGTACCAGCCCCTGTCACATCTGACTGTGGGTTTCAAGTGGGAAGGGAAGGAGTTCTACTTGTCTTGACACCATAGAGGTGGCTTGAGAAGATGTCCTTTGAAGAGCCAGTATAGTTTCTGTGCCCTGCAGCAGCCCAAGTGCTTTAAAGCCGTTTCAAGCTGTATAGTTTGCACACCCATCCCAGTGGAGGGGAAAGGGGATAAGTGTTTCAAGGCAACCTTTTCTGCACTTTGCTGCGAAAAGCAAAGGGCCTTCTATGAAGGACAAAACTTGCAGAATTGGGTGTGTGGGAGAGCAAAAAAATACTGTAGATCTTCAAAGAGCATCTCCACAACCCACAGCCTTCTTCCCAATAGTGTTAACTCTGCATTTTTACAGCGTAGCATGTGTGTAGTTTTTGGCTATTACTGGTGTATTATTTGGGGGAGGGAGGGATGGGGAGGGGAGAAAGGGAGATGGGTAGCATCATTTTGATTAACATTTGGGGCCTGATAGGGGAAATGGTGAAGCAATGGAAAAGAACAGACAACTAATGATTTGCTTCTATGTCCAGAATATTTTACCTTTAAAAAAATGTCATTGGCACCATAAATAAGGACTGTGAGAGACTGTTTAAAAGCTGTGAAAGTCTGAAACCTATAAGCCAAGGTGTTCCCTGCCTAAACTTATTGCTGTTCCCACAAAGGACTAAGCCTGTTCATAAGTTACCAAAGTTGCCATTTTGGAGATGGAAATTGACGAGGAGGGAAGGTCTTTTATTGGAGAGTATACAGTACAAGCAGATCATTCTGCCTTAGAGGTGCTAATTCCCGAAATTAGAAGACCCTTTCTTTTCCAGTAACGAAGTTATAAATATCAGCTTGTTCATCCAAGCCACTGGCTGAGGTGTTAGGAAGAGGAAGAGGGTGGTAGAGGAGGTAAGACAGTAGGGAAAGACAAGGGCCCATGCTCTTAGTGGGGAAAACTCTTGGAGCCGTTTACTTTGAGCTTTGAACACTGAAACCATTGTTGGCAGGGTTCAGTCACTGACAGCACAAGTTTCACTGAATTGATCCAAGAGTTTAGTGATTTCAAAAGCCTTGGTCTCAGGAGAAGATTAAACTTTCATATTGGGCAGTGGTTCACTTTAAAACACACACATACACACACAAAACAATTTTTTAAGAAATCCTAATAAGTAACATACCCAAAATGCTCTGTCTTGAGTCATGAGAACCATCAGTTCTTGATATTGTCTAGACTTGCATCTAGAGCTACGTTGTAAAATTCTTTTAGGCATGTGTTAGATTTCTGTGTAAACTTTGTTTAAATGTAAACTTCATACTACATTGTCAGTTTTTGTCTTAATAAAACTATAGATTTATAATCCCTGATTTCTGTCTTAAGTCTTACCAGGAACCCTTCTTGCCTTATAGGTTCAGCCTGTTGGAAATGGCTTCCTCACTTGAATGGTTTTATTTCTTGAACACTGTAGGCTTGAAAATCTAGTGCCTGGCCTGAATCTTTAAGTGGTCACACCATGTTAATTTAGTAAATACTTACTGGGCATTTATCAGTTGCTGCAGAGGTTGTAAAGATGGTCGCATCATGCTGTCTTCAGTACTGCCAAAAGTTTATTGAGCACTCTGACCTGATAGCACTTCCAAACTATGGTATATTTGGAAACATGGGTTTTTAAGTTAGGTTTAGATCCTGCCTATGGTATGTAATAGATTATATGACCTTGGCTAAAATCTACTTCTCCAAAATTTTCCAGGAATTTGGCCCTGTGTTTGCGCACTGATTTAAAACGTCATTTTCTGCCTATGATTTTTTTTTTTTTTTTTTGAGATGGAGTCTTGCTGTCACCCAGGCTGGAGTACAGTGGTGTGATCTCGGCTCACTACAACCTCTGCCTCCCAGGTTCAAGCGATTCTCCTGCCTCAGCCTCCAGAGTAGCTGGGACTACAGGCGCGTGCCACCACACTTGGCTAATTTTTAAATTTTTTTAGTAGAGATGGGGTTTTGCCATGTTGGCCAGGCTGGTCTCGAACTCCTAACCTCAGGTGATCCACCTGCCTCGGCCTGCCAAAGTGCTGGGATTACAGGCATGAGCCACTGTGCCTGGCCTTGGACTTGCCTTTATTTTTTTTTATTTTTTTTTTTTTAGTCTTGCTCTGTTGCCAGGCTGGAGTGCAGTGGTGCGATCTCAGCTCACTGTAACCTCCGCCTCCTGGGTTCAGCGATTCCCCTGCCTCATCCTCCTGAGTAGCTGGGACTACAGGCGTGCACCACCACACCCGGCTAATTTTTTGTATTTTAGTGGAGACAGGGTTTCACCATGTTGGCCAAGATGGTCTTGATCTTCTGACCGCATGATCCGCCCGCCTCGGCCTTCCAAAGTGCGGGATTACAGGAATGAGCCACCACATCCGGCCAACTTGTCATTTTTGTAACAGACATAGGATTTCCACTGAGAACAAATCAGTGTAACAGTTGAGTACTACTCACTCGTGCAAAGCATTTGTTTAAAATAAACTGATGTGTAGATAATTTTTTCAGAAAGCCTCCTCAGGAAAGTTCTCAGGAGACATAAGTGGAGCTGGGGAGCCTTACTGAAGGTCTGGGTCACAGACAGGCCTTCCCGCACAGAGGTCTGAGTGTGTGCCCTGGTGGTGGTTGACAGTAGCACAGCAGTCGGTAGCTAATTAAGGGAGTTTAAGTGGAGGTGTTCTGGTTCTGTTCTGCACCATCAGATGCACTGAAATGAAACTACAGCCTTGGTTTGTATCCCAAATGGACTGCTAGTCAGCTTTGGTCTTAACCTTTGGAACTGACTGACTTGTCATTTGTGGCATTCCTGAGCTGTTGTAAAAACTGTATCATTCTCCCCCAGAGAAAACAGTAATACTGATAGGCATGCAGTGAAAACTGAGTTGAAGCTAGGTAGTCACAATTTTGTTATTTTCAAAAGCCAATTGGCATATTACTAGATCAGTAGTTTAAGGATCAACTTTTTTGATTGTTGAGGCCACAAATTCAAACTGTTATAAGTAGGCACAACAAATCTTAGGTCAGCTTGAGAAAGTATTCAGAGAATATTTCTTTGTTTTTTGTTTTTTCTTTTGAGACAGAGTCTCGCTGTCACCCAGGCTGGAGTGCAGTGGCACAATCTCAGCTCACTGCAACCTCCGCCTCCTGGGTTCAAGCGATTCTCCTGCTTCAGCCTCCCGAGTAGCTGGGACTACAGGCATGCCCCACTACACCTGGCTAATTTTTGTAGTTTTGGTAGAGATGAGGTTTCACCATGTTGGCCAGGCTGGTCTCGAACCCCTAACCTCAAGTGATCCACCTGCCTTGGCTTCCCAAAGTGCTGGGATTATAGGCGTGAACCACCACTCCCAGCCAAAGAATATTTCTTCAGGCAGTGGAAAAACATGTTTGTTGGGTGGTTTCCATGAAATTGCACCATCATAGACCTGCCCAGGAATTAAAGAGGCAATAAATTATCTTAGTTACTATTAGAAAAGGGGAGCTTGTTAATATTGTGACATCATTATTACCTGAGGTGTCCTGTACTGGTAGAGCCATTAAACAAAAATCTTGCTCCTCCATTGCCTTAAGTAAGTTTCTATTTAGTATTGTAAATGGATGGAATAATGACCACAGAAACACTCTGACAGTGCTGAGGAATAATTGTTCCTGCATTTAATATCATTTGAAAATTTTGACGACCAATTTTAAGTGATTTTTAGTAATTAAATTTTTATTTATTTTTTTGAGGAGAGAAATGGTCTCTGTCACCTAGTCTAGAGTGCAGTGGTGCTACCATGGCTCACGGCAGCCTCATCCTCCTGGGCTAAAGGGATCCTCCCACCTCAGCCTCCTGAGCTGGGACTACAGGTGTGTGCCATAATGCCCAGCTAATTCTTTTTTTCTTTTTTTTTTTTTTAACTTAGTAGAGATGGGGTCTCACTGTGTTGCCCAGGCTGGTCTCGAACTCCTGGGCTCAAGCAGTCCTCCTGTCTCTGCCTCCCAAAGTGTTAGAATTACAGGTGTAAGCCACTGCACCTTGCCTAATTAAATTTTTAAATACCTGTTTTCAGATATGACCTTATATTCCAGAACTCTCAATTCTGTGGTGGCCATAGACTTGGCTCAATTTGATGTTAAACTTGCGCCATTTGGGGTTTGTCTGTGTGCTTGGCACATCTTTATGGACTGTGGCATTGGGAATCTGCATTATAAAGCAATTATTTCTCATAGTAAAAGGGAAAATGATAGCTTGGATTAATGTGCAAGTTGGGTCTTCTGATGAAGATATGTTCTTATTTATAATTTAAAGCTGATAGAACTGAACTAAGTCCAGGCTCAGTATTAGCGTTCAACTTAATAAAGGAGTCTTGGCTTTCAGCACTAGGAAACAATGATCAGGGAGAGGCATCCTAGTGTTTTGGTGTGGGATTACAGGAGTTTGATAGAGGAGAGCTTAAGATCCCAAGACAACTTGTCAATCTGTGGATCTGCACATCACCTTGTTTTGACGATGTCCAGCACTGAGGTTTTTTCCCCAAAAGTTACTGCTTTCCTATCTAGTGTGTGAAGTTTAAAGTTACTTGTTTCTCTTATGGATGACTTAATTGACCTTGGCCTTGTAAGTTTCCTGTTGACTGTTGAATAAACTACTGAATGTTGAAAACAAATGAAATGTGAAATAAAACCATCCTGCTGGGATGAAAAGCACAGTTGGCCCTCCTTTGTGGGGGCAAGCAGAGCAGTGCCTTTTAAAGGCTTTTTGTTTTGTTTTTTTTTTCTTAGGCTAATGAAGTGGCAAAAGTGAGGGAAGGCTAAATATCAAGTTTAGAATAGGTGCTGACAATTCAGCTTCTGTAGTTTTTGGTTGTATTAAATAACCTGTTTTACAATATACCAGCAGCACAATTGGGTCTGCCTTGTGACCTTGTTGGTTTGTATGGTGGTTTGTGATAGTACCAAAGCCACTGTTTACCCCAAATGGATTTTTAAATCCTAGTTGACTTTGACCAAGCCTGCCCTTTTTGCTATTTGCATAGTTAGGGTCAGGCTGGGCAACTTTGACGCCTGGCTTTGGGACACTAGCCCATTTCAATTACTGCTTCAGCCCCTAATTGAGAATTGGAAAGTTCAAGTCAACTGTTATTACCCCAGTTACACTTGTGTTTGACACAAAAGGCAGAATGCCAACTCCTTGGTCTATTCTCCACCTCTCCCCAGGTGAACTAGATTTTTTGTTTCCTTAGTTGAAGAGCATCTAGAATTAAGTAAAAAATACTGTGCAACCTATCTCCATTCTGCAGTTTAAGTTAGGCTGGAAAAGAAGCAGCTTTAGGACTGGGCGCAGTGGCTCACACCTGTAATCCCAGCACTTTGGAGGCTGAGGCGGACAGATCGCTTGAACTCAGGAGTTCAAGACCAGACTGGACAACATGGCGAAACCCAAAATACAAAAATTAGCCGGGCATGGTGATGCACGCCTGTATGCCAGCTACCAGGAGGCTGAGGTGGGAGAATAGCTTGAGCCTAGAGGCAGTATTACAGTGAGCCAAGATCGCGCCACTGCACTCCAGCGTGGGTGACAAAGCTAGATCCTGTCTCCAAAAAAAAAACCAAAACAGCAGGCTGGGCGCGATGGCTCACGCCTGTAATCCCATCACTTTGGGAGGCCAAGGCGGGCGGATCATGAGGTCAGGAGATCAAGACCATCCTGGCTAACATGGTGAAACCCCATCTCTACTAAAAATACAAAAAAATTAGCTGGGCGCAGTGGCGGGCGCCTGTAGTCCCAGCTACTTGGCAGGCTGAGGCAGGAGAATGGCGTGAACCCAGAAGGCGGAGCTTGCAGTGAGCCAAGATTGCGCCACTACACTCCAGCCTGGGTGACAGGGCAAGACTCCGTCTCAAAAAAAAAAAAAAACAGCTTTAAGACCTTTGTTGGTATGGTGTATTCAAAAGGGAAGACAAAGACTTCTATCCAGCTAATTTTTGAAAACAGCCCTCTTCTGCAAGGTACCAGATTCTCACACTACTCCAGAGACAATACGTGTACTAAATTCTGTTTCTCGGCTAATTCAGGCAGACACGAACTGAACAGAACAAGGACTAGAACTTGTAAAGTTTCACACATAGTGGTAAGTTTCCCCATAGTCCCCAAATGGCTCATTCTCCACTCCAAAGTTCAGAGCGGGAGGCAAGGAAGATGATTGACTTCTGTGTAATACAGTAAAGGTAAAAAGAAAGGTTATTTTTGGTATATTGACAAAATGACAAGTTGAAGGTTTGTGGGTCCCTTTCACTTAACGGGGATCTTTGATAGAAAAACAAGGCTTAACTACTCATGATCATGAAGCACATGGGTTTTGCTACAAAATTTCTATACTTGGCTGGGAAAATGACTCAGAAGCAGACACCAATCTAGTACCTGTGTTTGTATACATATGGTACACCAATATGGAAACAGGCTTCTTGCTGTCCACCTGTTCACCATGGTGTGCCCTAAACTATATTTAGCGTGAGCTTCTAAAGTTGTTGCTCTTGGTCAGTGCCTACAGGATGAGGTAGGTGGCGGACTTGAGGATAGTGGGGATGTTGTTTTTTTCCACAAGGAACTGTTTACCAAGCAAACGTGAAGAGGGGCAGCAAGGTTTGGTTTAGCTGGGGGTTATAAAAGCAGGGATGAGGCCAGCTTGACAGGGCTCTATGAAAAGTACCTCCCTGTTCACCAGACTGTTGGACTAATTATTACTCAGCTTTCCCCAGTAAAGGTGGGGAAATGTCAGCTATGGAGGCCAGTCTTGATGACACTGAAGCATGTCTCTAGATCACGATTTTCCCTCTATAGTTCACTATGCTATTTTTATTGATACTGAAACAGCCCCACCTTCATTGGTGAGATCTATGCAGGGCAGAGGTTGAAAATATGGGCCTATTTCCATCTCCTTAACATGAGTAAGATGTGAGAAAAAAATCAGTTTGAATGAAGCCTGCAACTGCTGAAGTCAAGACAAAGTAAGCTTTCCCACACCCACCCAAGTCAGTCACCCTGAAGAGTTTGGTCCTTTGTTAAGCCTAAGTCCTGTTCGGCTTAGGACATCTTCTCACTTCCTGCCTTAGGTAGATGGCTAGTGGTAGCAGCCCTTCCACAGGCCTTACTTCAGTCCTCCTATCTTCCTGCCAGAAAGAGGCTGGAACACCCACTCTACCTGCCAGCAGAAAGAGGTCAGCCCCACAGCAGTGCTGACCAACTTGGCCCCATGCCCCAGCTAATCAGCACGATCCTAGACAAAACTGTACATATCTCTAAGGGGGAGGGGCTGCTAACAAAAATACTCCTTTTTTTTTGAGACAGAGTCTCGCTTTGTCACACAGGCTGGAGTGCAATGGCATGATCTTGGCTCACTGCAACCTCCGCCTCCCGGGTTCAAGCCATTCTCCTGCCTCAGCCTCCTGAGTAGCTAGGATTACAGGCACGTGCCACCATGCCCGGCTAATTTTTGTATTTTTAGTAGAGATGGGGTTTCACCATGTTGGTCAGGCTGGTCTCGAACTCCTGGTCTTGAACTCCTGACCTCGTGATCCACCTGCCTCAGCCTCCCAAAGTGCCAGGATTACAGGCGTGAGCCACCATGCCTGGCCAACAAAAATATTCTTACTCAGACCAGGGACAACACTAGCAATGGGATTAAGAAGAATTTTTCAAATCTCTTAAGTCTTTTAAGTTAAAAAAAAGTTGCAAAATAAGGTAAAAGTTACAGTGTAATTACTGAACAAAAATACATATACAGTCATGTGCTGCATATTTCATGAGTGACAGATCATGTATATGATTATGGTCTGATAAGATTATAATACCCTATTTATACTGTATTTTTTTTTTTTTTGAGACAGGGTCTCACTCTTTCACCCAGGCTGGAGTGCAGTTGCACAGTCTTGTTGCGAGTACAGGCGTTGAGCTACTGCACCCAGCCTATATTGTGCCTTTTCTAGGTTTAGATACACAAGTACTTATCACTGTACTTCAGCTGCCTATAGTATTCAGTATGGCAACATGCTGTACAGGTTTGTAGCCTAGGAGCAATAGGCTATATGGCACATAGGCTAGGTGTGTAGTAGGCACTACCATTTAAGTTTGTGTAAGTACACTATGACAAAATTGTCTAATGAGGCATTTCTCAGAATATATGTTGGCCGTTAACACATGACTGTACATACATTTCTAGGAAGGGTACAAGAATATTAAAACTTAATTTTACTTCTCACAGTTTACCCTTCTATATATAATTTGTATTTCTTAAAGTATTGGTATGTGTTTTTGAAACCTTTTTTTTTTTTGAGATGGAAGTTTTGCTCTTGTTGTCCAGGCTGGAGTGCAATGGCGCGCTCTTGGCTCACTGAAACCTCTGCCTCCCGGGTTCAAGCGATTCTCCTGCCTCAGTCTCTGAGTAGCTGGGATTACAGGCGCCCGCCACCACACCCGCCTAGTTTTTGTATTTTTAGTAGAGACGGTTTTACCATGTTGGTTAGGCTCGTGTTTGAACTCCTGACCTCAGGTGATCCATCTGCCTCGGCCTCCCAAAGTGCTGGGATTATAGGCGTGAGCCACCGCACCAGGCCTCAAACTAATTTTTAGTCTTGGTTTTTTCACCCCTTTACGTATCTTGGTTTTATCTGGCTTACAGACTTTAGTCAATTCTGAATTAGGAAAGAGTTCTTGTTTGATATGACCAAACCTTTCCAACTGGAGACTGGGGAGTTGTGGAGAGGCTCTTATAAACTGAAACATAAGAAACCATCATTATTCTTACAATTCTACTGAATTGTAAACATTACTGAAGTAGTATCACTAAAGGACTGAGCTGAACCAGGTTACAGGGTGGTATCCAGGAGTTTGAGATCACAGCTTCCATTAAGAGGATCATAGCTTCCACTCCTAAACCCTGCCCAATAATCTCACAGAAGCCAGGTGCAATGGCTCACGCCTATAATCCCAGCACTTTGGGAGGCTGAGGCAGGCGGATCACTTGATGCCAGGAGTTTGAGACCAGCCTGGGCAATATAGCGAAAGCTTGTCTCTACAAAAATTACCTAGGCGTGGTGGCGTGCGCCTGTAGTCCCAGCTATTCAGGAGGCGGAGGTGGGAAGATGGCTTGAGCCCAGTGGCAGTTGCAGTGAGCCGAGATCACGTCACTGCACTCCAGCCTGGGAGACAAAGCAAGACCCTGCCAATAAAAAGACTGCTGAGTGAGTGTTCATTCTTCCAGCATCTACTAAACACCTGCCCTAACATGGGCATGTGGAAGTTCCAGCATCCCAGAGACCTTCACACATTACAGCTCTTCACAGGGCGGGTAGTTGAGCAGTTTGAGGGAAAGCAGATTCTAGCCCCCTCAGCTGGGGAGGTTTCCCAGTGTCCTAAACCTTGGCCTCCTGCTTCTCTTTAGTGGCCCTGCTCCTGCTTAACACAGTAGTGCTTGTCACATGTTAGTCGCTGCCATGGATTTCTCAGGTTTTCAACATCATAACTACACTCCAATTCTCTGCACCCCTTTGGCAGGTGAGGCCAATAGAAAAATAACAGCACAGTTGAGTTTAAAAATGTAGTTTGTAGCAGGTGGACAGGTAAAGAGCTGGGTTAAATGACACCTCCACCTATCCTAGCTGTATGAGAATAAAAAAACTCCGAATCCTTCCTGAGAGGATTGAGCTGGCTAACCCTATGAAGTACATGGTGTCTAATGCCTGCCCCCAAGGTTTAATACAATATTTAAGACTTGCCTTTTGAAGTTCCCCACTGTCAACCTCCCCAGTTCTCCACCCATCTTCCCATGTGAGCTCTGCCTTAGCCACGCAATGGCCAGTCCTCCCTACAATGAGTCCATTTCCTTTATTCTCAATTTAAATTCAAAGTGGGGAAAAAGTGCACTTAAGAATGAATCATCCATTTTATTTTATTTTGTCATGTGCTCAACAGCATCTCTCTCTCTCTCCCCTCTCCCTGGCAGGTCACAGAGATAAATTAAAAATAAAATCTACAAGGAAAATAATTTATAAAAGCACTCCCAGGTTCACACCTTCTATCCCTACTGCTCAGTTAGGCACCCCCTAACTGGGAATCAGTGCTTCCCCCCACCCCCATTTCACTCCCACTTGTCTGGGGCAGACGGTACTCCAGAGCCGGGCAGGGGTGAGGGCAGCAGTGGCAAACAGTTAAAAATAAAGACATTGTAGTCCTGGAACCATCTGGCCACCTTGGCACTCCCATGTCTGCCTCCCCCAGGCAGCCCTCCAGGAGCCTGTGCGAAGCTGGGGCTGTGGAGAAGCTGCCTGTGGCTGAGAGCTTGTGTGTTTGGGGAGGTGCTCTCAGCCTGTCATATGCACTTCTCAATCTTCTAGAAAGAAACCCAAAAAAGAAAGCAGACGACGACCTCGGGACAGAGGAGAAAAATCCCAAGTGTTCACACAGTTACACGGAGTCTTTATGGCAAAGAGAACATTTAGCAGCTTTGAATATTGGGCATCTCCTTTTTACTCAACACAAGCATTCTAGACCCTATAAGTGAAACAGGGCACAAGCCCTAAAAAAATCAAAGCGCAAGAAATTCTAAGAGGACTAGTTCTTTTGTTGTTGCTGGGTTGTGTAATTTTTTGTGTTTTCCCAGTGATAAGCCCAGTTGTTGGTAGGCAGAGGCCCGAGGGAAGGGTGACTCCCCAGTGTTGTGCTGAATCCTGCC
Source organism: Homo sapiens (assembly GCF_000001405.40). NCBI lineage: Eukaryota > Metazoa > Chordata > Mammalia > Primates > Hominidae > Homo > Homo sapiens. The sequence continues at coordinate 48,060,679 of NC_000017.11, read as the reverse complement.
TGGAGGCTGCTACACTAGATTCTCCATCATTCCTCTGCCTCACAGCAGTCCCAGAAGAGGAAGGCTGCAGGCCCAGTTCCCGGAGCACTGCCATCACCCTACCCCAGCTTACAGAAGAGCTCAGGCAGTCTGTGAGGGGTGGGGAACACAAACACCGGACCAGGGGAGGACGGCATACACATGCAGGCTCTGATGGAGACAATGGGAGCCTCAGCTCAGGGGTGGCTGGAGCACGGAGGGAGATGGAGTGGCAAGGCAGTGAATGACATGCGTGATGTTGGGGCTGTTGCAACATGGGACCACGTGACCCTTTCCTGTTCACTCTACCCTTTGACTCTAAATCTCAAAGCCAGTGTTGGGGCCCAGTGGCTCCATTCGATTGAAACATGGCCAATGATATCCAAGAGCTCCCCTTCAGGGATGTCAAAATGCAAGGAGCAGAAAGAGTTAACACCGTCCCTCCCCACCCCCACCCTGTGTCTGTGTACCCCACCCCCCCCGGGGTGAAAATTGGGGTTTATCACACCAGTGATCTAGGCCCACCAGTCACTCCAACCTGCTGCCTGGAATCCTGGCCAGAGCCAACCTTAACCTTCCCTCTGATTTTCTTCCCGCTTTGATTTTTTTTTCGGGGGGGGGGGGGTTCCTTCCTTCCTTCCTTCTATCCCTCCTTCCTGAAATGAGACTTTCTGCCACCTTCCCTTCCTCTCACAGGTCCATTCCTTCCCCTCTGTCGGCCTTTGCTCCACATAGCTCCTCTACCTCCAGCAACTCCACCACCACCCCTGCCTCACAGGAAAGGGGTAGGGTGAGGACCCTGTCCGTCTAAATGGTCTGGCCACTTCCACTCCACCCGAGTGGAGCTGAGCCAGCCAGTGCCTGCCTCTTCCTGTACACTGACCCGCAGTCATCCCATCTGAGAAGATATATTGGATAAGAAGGCATTTAAGTCCCCGCTGTAGGTCCAGGTCCAGGTCCAGGTCCAGCCCTTCTCCAGTTTCGGTCTTGGTGGGCTTCAAACCCCCTTCTTCCCCAGGCTCACTTTCTCCGGTCCTTTGGCTTCCTCTCCTGCCGCCGGGCCTGCTGGTCGGCCATCGTGCGGGGGATGAGGAGGACACTGCCGTCCCCGGCGTACTGGAGCGCATACTGACTGGGCGAGTAGGGTCGTCCGTTCTCATCTCGCAGCCGCCCAAACACCTCCTGGTACAGGCTCTGGACCTTCTGCTTCATCTGTCGCAGGGAGCGCAGGAACTCCACTTTCTCCCGCAGCAGCCGGGCTTTGTCACGCTGCAGGTCCTCCACATCACGCTCCAGATTCAGGATGGTGTCCAGCTTGCGCTTGCGGCAGTTCTGCGCCGCCATCTTGTTCTTGCCCCGGCGCCGGATGTCTCGGATGAGGCTCAGCTGGGCTTCACTCAACTGGTATTTGGACAGCAGTTCATTGAACTCCTCCACAGGCAGGTTGATGATTTTGTCATTGGTGAAAGGGATCTTCATGGCTCGGGCTCGGTGCTCATCCCGGCTCATCTGCTTGTCCAGGAAGTCAGCCTGCTTCTCCTTGCTGCCTTTCTTGAGGGCACTGGGTGGTGGCAGGTCGGCTGAGTCCAGGGCACTGGGTGCCATGTTGTATGTGTGGTTGTGGCCCACGTGCTCCAGGTAGGGCAGGCATGAGAGCTGAGCTGGATCCTGGTAGCTCATGCGGCAGAACTTGGAATACTCAGGCTGGTAGCCCACAGCACCCTCGGCCTCTTCCAGATCCAGGGTCTCAGAGTCAGAGCTGTAGCCAACCGCACCTTCCTCAGAAAAGGAGGAAGAGGCAGAGGAAGAAGCAGAGGAAGAAGAGGAAGAGGAGGAGGAAGAAGAGGAAGAACTGCCTTCAGAGCTGCTTAGGGAAGAAGGGCTATGGCTCGAGTCTAAGGAAAGGCCTGAGTCAGAGTCAAATTCCTCCTCCAGCTGGGAGGCCTGCACAGGGTTAAAGCCTTCTTCAATGGCCAGGTCCATAAGGCTGATCTCATCCAACATAGCTTCATCTAACAGACCCCCCAAAGGGTCAGGCAGCTCTGGGCCTGCTGTGTCATTGGCTGTGCCATTGAGCTGGGGTGGAAAGAAGAGCCCTGTCAGGTTGGTGGAGCCGAAGGTGGAGTTGAGGCTGGTAGAATTGCTGGGGGCCAACGGGAGCAGCGTGGAGCTACTGGCCACAGGCAGGCTTTCCACCTCGGGGCTGAAGAGTAAGAAGTCCTGGCTGCAGCCCCCCAGGGACGCCTGATGCAGGCTGACATTCTGATTGATGGGAGTGTTGGGGGCAAGGCTGTAGTTGGTGCTCAGTGGGTCTCCAGGAGGGGCACTGTACAGGATTTCACTTGCTGATGTGTTCACTTCCATGGCCTGGGAGGGGAGAAGAGCACCACTGTTCACTAGGAACTGACTCCCTCCCCTGGGGCTCACACACTGCAGGCACCCAACAGAGGCACAGCTGCATGGGTGTAAAGGCAAAATACTATAAACCAAAGCCCACAGTGTCAGCTCCTGACCCAGCTTCGTCCACCAGGCCTGGCAGAGATGGGTTCTTCCATGTAGGCTCCACCCTAATATAGGACTGATCAGCTTTTCCTCATGTTTGGCCAGACTCCCCCATCTTGGAGGGAGAGGAAGAAAACACTACCTTGTTACTGCAAAATCAGCACAGTGAAAAGAACACCCAGACTTAAGTCAGAAAACCTAGCTGCACCACTTGCTGTGTGACGATGGGCACATCATTTAACCTCTGAGCTTCAATTTCCTCACCTTTGAGATAAAGGCTGACTAGATGACTGTGAGGGCCAAGTGAGCGAACGATGGCTGTGAAGCACCATGTGAATGTCAGCTATTATTAACGCACAACCTTGGAAGCATTCAGCCAAGTGCCTATCTGCCTGAAGGAAAGGAAGAAGGCACACCCAGGAGGCAGGCCCTGATTTGGAAGGCTGAGTCCTGAGTTTTATTTAACCCAAACCCTACCTGTCTCCAGCTCCCATTGCCCCAAGGACACACCTGGACAGGTTTCTTCTCATTGTCCCCACTTCTCTATGATTCAGGGAAAGTATTACACTTTCTCTCCTTGGAGATGGAAAAGCAACTGAGTGCTAAGACAATCTGTGCAAAATCCAATAGGTTTGTGCCCGGTTCCGACAATCCTACCTGCATTTCCATGATGGACATGAGATCTTGCCACTGCTGTTCCAAATCAAATGGTGACTCTGTCCCGGTCAGAAGAGGAGACAAGAGGTTGTTTTGAAGAGCAGGGGGCTCACTCTCACTAGGCACTGCTTCTGTTATGCTGGAAATGTCTGCTGGAAACTAGGGCAAAACACAGAGGCTTTAACAAGGGGGAAGGAAAAACCTTGTGCTTTCCTCCCAGAGATTACCACCTGGACCTGTTTCTGTTCTTCCTTCCTCTGCATTTACCCCCAGCAGCCAGAATAAGGCCAGAACCAACAGCTGGCCCCTCAGCCATGGAGGGACACACCAGGTACAGGCTGCCCTGCTCACTTGGTGGACTCTCACTGGAGTCCTGCTCACCTCAGCATTCTCCCCAAAGGGGCAGGTGGCTTCCAGCAGCCTAAGGCACTCTTCCAGGGACAGGGCCGTCTGGTCCTCCCCACTAGGCACCTGTGGCAACAGGAACTGTAAGTCTGATTGACCTGGGCCTTGGCTGCCTGGGGCTGAAGCTTCTTTCCCAGAATGGCTGAAGCCCTGCAGTCTCCCTCCCATTCCCAGGCTAATGGCTGGCCCCGAGTCCCAAACTCCCAGAAACAACAGAAGAGAGTGAAAGAGTCCTGAAGCAAGCAGGAAGATGCTACATGCTCTGCCTCCCTTGCACTGTCTGTTGCCACGGCCTGGCCATTCTGCATCTGCTGCTTTCCACTCCCCCCTTCCAAGGCTCAGCCACTGTGACTTACAGACCCCAACCCAAAACAGAAATTCAGGTCCACCCCACACACCACCTGTCTTCTCTAAAGGAAGTTTCTGGAAGAACTCCAGCCTGGTTTGTGTCAGGGTAGTAGGGACAAGAAGAGAGCCCAGTGAGCAGGGGCGATGGTACCTGTGCAGGGAAGCTCTCCCCAGTCTCTCCATCCACTAGCAGGTTCCGTGCCAGAGCTTCCGCGCCCTCGCCTGCCCAGGTGTCCTGCTCGCCTCCATCTCGCAGCTCCTTCTCCACATCCTGCTCCTTCTGGCGGTGACTATAGTCAAAAACCTCACGCCCAGCCCCCAGATCAATATCCTGTCGCCAAAGGATGTCAATCAGATCTATGTCCTGAAAGACAGATCACATGACTTTAGCTCTAAGATCCCAAGGTCCCTTCCTTGTCCTGCCCCTCAGAGTTCCCTCCTAGTGTCACCCCAGTTAGTCCTGGGTGGGGCCCCTCCCAGCTCTTCACCTGCCAGCCTTTACCCCCTGGTCCCTGCACCAGCAAGTGTTCATTCATCTACTTCCAGACACTATCCCCTTCCCACAAAAAAAAAGAGCCACTAGCAAAACCATTAGTGTGACTATCACCATAAGGGTGCAAAGGATTAGGATCTGGACCAAGACACACCCAGACAAAAGGCAGGGCCGCCTCCCCCCTACATAAGAAAGAAGGGGAACATCAGGAGACACCTCTAGCTTTGGGGATTGGACCCCTTAAAACTTGGTTTGGAGGAAGCTGGCCATGGCAAGCAAGAGCGAATTGTCATGCAGAATTACTTAGCAGTGGCCAGGCTTGCATCAGCCTGTGGTACCATTTCATTTGCATAAAGGGGTGGGGTGGGCTAGAGAGGAAAATCCCTGCATTTCCAACCACCTGATGCAACCAATGACAACGCCATGCTGTCTCCAGCCCTTCCTATAGCCATTCCCCATTCCCCAGCTGGCAGCAAGAGTAAGGCTGAACACCCACAACTCCTCAAGCCCAGGCTCACCTCAAGACTCATCCCCGCCAGAATTCCCTCTCAGCTGATCCTAGCTGCTGCCTCCATTCCAGGGAGGCTCAGGCAGTCAGATGATCCCCAGGGGTGCACCCCACCCCCTGCTCGGGCCAGCCTCACTGTGTCCCCTACACCAGTGCTCTCATTCCCTCACCATACCCCAGGACTCACCAAATCCCCATCAGTCAACCCCCTCAAGGACATAAACCCCATCACTGCTCAGCTACAACTGCCACCTTGGGCACCAAAAATGCTTCCCTCCCGCTCTACCCTGGTGGCTCGTGAACAGTTGCTGCACCAACTGCCACCCCCACTAACAGCATATAACCCCAATAAATAGAGCTATTTGGGCTTCCTATACATGGCACCCCCCTGTAGTCGAGCCCTCCCTACAAGCCTGAAGAAACCCTAAAGTGTTGCCTTCCATCCAGGGGTTAAAATGCAGACATACACTTTCCAGAAAGCAATTTCCTTAGATCAGACCCTCCTCCCTACCTCTAAGTCGGTATTCTTCTCCCATTAACCCCCCCTGACCCTAAGACCTCCCAGACGTACTACTTTAGTCTCCCCACATACACCAACCTGAACAGAAGCCCTGGACCCAGGAGCAGAGGCGGGCTGGGCCACCCGGTGACCAGCCAGCAAAGAGTTAAGGGGCCGGCTGCCTTTGGCATGGCCCCCACCACTGTGAGAGCTGCGGTCCAGGCGGGTCATGGTCTGCGAGATGAGCCCCAGGGCAGCCGGTGCCGGGAAGCCGGACAGGGGGCTGCAAGGAGCTCTTGGCTTTCAGGGAGCACACCAGGCTGGAAGGGTGGCCCCTTGCTAGCTCCGAGGGGCCTGAGGAGGGTGCCCCGCCCGTGCTGCTGCCTGGGCGGCCCAGCCAGCCCCCTTCCTCCATCCTTGAGCAGCCCCCTCCCACCTCACAACCCCAGTTCCACTCAGGCGCCCAGCTGCCCCCACCCTGAGCTCACCGCAGAGGCTGCAGTGAGATGGGACTCCCACCCCATGCTCCGTGCTCAAGCTGCAGAGGAAAGCAAGCTCCCTCCTGGGCCTATCCTCCCGCTCCTCCCCCCCACGCCCCCCAAACTTGTTACCTAGGCTGCAGCAGGGAGCCAATCCCCACCCCCTCCCACCCCGCAGGTCACTGCTGAGGCTGCAGAGAGCCAATCCCCTCCCCCAGGTCAGCAGCTGGGCTGCGCAAAGAGCCAATCCCCTCCCACTGTCGTTACCTAGGCTGCGCCGAGAGCCAATCTCCTCCCCCAAGTCTCCGCTGGAGATGCGGAAGGAGCCAATCCCCTCCCACCGCCTGTTACCTAGCTGCAGACGGGAGCCAATCTCTGCATCAGGGCAGCTGGAGAAGCTGCCGCAAGGAACCAGCCCATCCCTGGGCCGCCTCCGTCTCCTTGAGGAGATGCGCCCAGGGGCGGGCAGCCCCACCCAGCCCAGTCAGTCAGCTGGGGTGGCGCAGTGAGAGCCCTGGGGGAAGGGGTGCCACTCTCCTCCCTCCTGTCGCATCTTGCTCATCCAGCCCACTCAGGACTGGGCAGACACTTCTCCCGCAGATTCTCTGGGAATCTAAATTATTTGCTGGAAGTGGAAAGAGTTATCCCATTCCTCAGGAAGGCAGTGGCCAGTTCTCAAGGCCAGGGATCACGAGCCAGGCTGGGCAGGAACCCAGGGCACCCAGGCCCACCATAAGCCGTAAGTTTTGTCACCCCAAAATAGGCCAGACTAGAGAAAAGGGGAAGGCCATTTTGCCCACGTGCAGCAATGTCACAGTGCTGGCCAAGCCTAGCCCCAAGCAAGAGGAGGGGAGACACAACCCTGAAGCCCCATACTTAGGGAGACAGGTGCTCTGCATTCTCCTGGCCACAAATGTCCCCCCTCCCCTTTCACCCCGGCTTTATTCAAGAGCATTCTCTGCCTGATTCCTGGCCCATATCTCATCCAAGCAGGAAAGAAGCCCCTCACAGACTCAGTATCACAATTCAGACTCCCTGGATTGGTTTCTCGAGGGGAAATTTAGCTCCCTCCCCACTGCTGCTCCCCTGGAGCCTAAGGTCAGGTCAGAGAGACAGTATGTTCTCTCTGGTCACAGTCAGCTCCTAGCCTGGAAAGAGCTGTAAACAGGCCACCCCCCTGCTCTGGGCAGAATGCCAATCTCAAGGGGAATCCTATCCCTGACAACAGCCTAGGCTATGGCTGTCCATAGAGCAGGCCTGGCAGCGGGGGAGTACTGCCACCCCAGGGATAATACCGGTTCCAGCAGTGCCTGTCACATGCTCTGGACCTGGGTATTTTTATCCCTGAGTTGCTGAGGAAATGTTGTTCTAGACACATAATAATCCTCCCTTCCCCCATACCCAGCCTGGGCCCCTAATGCTGACCCACCCCACCTCCCAAAGGGAGTTATAAAGGCCTGAGATGAGGAAAAGCACAACCTTCACGAGGGCCAAGAAACAGAGGAAAGCAGGGTCAAAGTCCCATCCCATTCGGCCCCAACCCACCCAATAATATCCAAAATATCCCATCCCATCCCAGCAGGAACAGATATGCAGCTACCCTGCAGGGTTTCCAGGAGCAAACCCAGTTACACCCACCCCTGGGGGAGCTACCCTGGGGGAGGAGCATAGAGCAGAGACTGGGAAGCACACTTCAGAACACTGTGCCAAGATTAGAGCCCACTTGAAGGAAAGGGGAAGCAGAAGAGAGGTGAAGTTCCAAGTGGCCCTGTAAGAAGCTAAATTAACAGGCCCTGAAAGGTAAGAAATGTTCCTGGCTCCTGCGCTCAGATAATCCTAGTCTCTCTCAAAGCAGGTCCAGTATGAGCCATTTGAGCACAGAGCCGAGTGTCTCAATCCCTGCACTACTGACACTTGGGGTCAGACAAATCTGTTGTTTGAAGGTGTTCTGTGCCATTCAAGATGTTAACCAGCATCCTTGGCCCCTACCCACTAGGTGCCAGTAGCAACCCCGCCCCAAGATGTGACAACCAAAACTGTTTCACGATATTGCCACCTGCACCCTCGGGGACAAAATCACCCCCAGTTGAGGACCACTGGCCTAGAACAAGCCATACTCTTTGACAGTCACTAACAGTCAGAGAACTAAGCTCAGGAAAAGACTACAGAGCAGGGAAGGAGGGAAAACGTGGTCTGACCTGGCAGGCAGAGAAGCCCATTTCTGTAACATCTGTAAAACTTTTTACATTCCTTCACATGCCACCTCCAAAAACCCAATCGGGCTTTCTCCTTCCCTAATGGCCAGGGGAGTGCAGTGGGCCTCTTTCCCGGCTACTTAAGGCTGGATGGCAAGCGAGAGCCATACAAACCCAGAGCTCAAAGCAATCTTATGTTGGTGAGGCAGGGGCAGCAGCAGCCATTCACATCTTGAAAGGCAAAGAACTGCATCGCTTTCTGCCCAGAACAGTATGTCAGCCATGTGACAAGAGCTAAGGATCTCTTCTGACAGCTCAAAGCAAGTTGACTTGGGCAGCAGAATGCAGTTTCTCTTTCTAGCTCCCAGACTTCTCTTCCCTACTCCCTGCAGTGGGCCTTTTGCAAAGATTGGAAGCCTTGGCCCTCTCCTGGCCAAGAATAACTATCCAAATCTACCCTTTGGCTCAGGCCCAGGAGGTCTGAATTATCAGGACAATACAACAACAGGCCTCGCCACAAAGGAGAACTTCAGGGTATGTCTGTGTTCTGATGTGGGGGGAGGTACAAAACAAGAGTCCAAAAAGTATTTGTGTCTTAGCAACAGATGTACACTGCATCAAAGCCCATCACAACATGACTCCTCCCCCACCCCAGGCCTCCAGCAGTCACGCTGAAATCCAAGCAGTAAACACCCTGGCATGTGTAGGAACCTCCCACTGCCCTGACAGTACATTTAGAGGTAGGTCAATGGTTCAACACAGGGAAATGCTCCCAGCCCCCAATCCTAAAGTCAGAAAGTTCAGCCCATCCCTACCCAAGAACAGTGCCTGAGGCCCTGCTGAAACCTGTCTGGCTCTTTACAGGGCTCAGTGTTCTGACCACAATCCTTTGGGACCAGCCCACCCCCAAGCCCCAGGCCCCACACACCCACCACAGGTCCACTAACCTCTTTGGTTAAGTCTCCACTGACTGGGGGGGCTACAGCCCCCAAATCCTCCAAATCTTCACCGAATCCCTGCTCCGTTTCGCTTTCTCGCACCCCGTTGTCTGGGCCTGTCACATCTTGGAGGCCACTGGAACTCTCGAGGGCGAGGCCTGAGTTGGGCTGACTGCCAGAGACAGACCCCTCTGGGTCTCGGTGAACCAGCCAGGCATTTACCTCAGTGGTTGGCACCTGGAACCTGTCCAGGGCCCTCACCTGACTGAGGAGCCGCCGGGCAGTGAAGTAATTGTCCAGGTCTATGCTCTTGGGGTGGATACCATAGCCATCCAAGGTATTCCTCAGGTTGTGGAACTGGGTCTGAGTATAGGCAGAACTGGGCCCCAGGATGATCTCCCGGAGTGGGGGAAGCTGTGAGGTCAGGTAAGTATCCACGTCCACCCGTACCCCAATCAAACTCAGCAGAATGGTGAACTGGAGAAGTCCTTCCGTTAAGTATTTCTTCAGAGAAAGCATTGCTGAAGGACCAGAATGTTTATGCTTTTTGGTTTTTAAAATCTTCCAAAAGACAAATCAAGGCCACTGCTCTGCCGCTCCAGCCAGCAGGTTACCCTCCTCAGTGTCAAACCCCGTACCCCACCCTGGCAGAACACAAGGGATGAGCTCCCTGACGGCCCCAGAGGAAAGCACACCCTGTGGAGCCAAGGCCAAGGACACACTCCAGACCACATTCACTTTCCCTTCTCGACACCTCACCTCTGAAAGTACAACTGTTCCTAACCCAGTCCAGGTCCTCAAGGGCCCACGTGACTTACTTTCTCCACAGTCCACATACAGTCACTTCCTCACTCACATTAGTTGTCCTCTCTGTAGATTCCAATGCAGGCTGTTCTCAGGAACAGCTGATGGATTTTTTTTTTCCTTCTCCCTCCTAAGGTTTATTTTCTTTGGCTGGAGCTACAGGCCTTTCGTCTTGGGTCAGAGTGTCCCGCCTCCTCCACACTTACCAGGGGGGTTTCCAGAGAAACCTGAAATGGGAATCACAAAAGCAACAGGATAAGATTCCATACTTTTCACATCATGATCAGGGTAGGAAAACCTTCACAGTAGAAGGTAGAAAACACATTCAAAGGACACTTTCACTTTTTTTTTTTTTGAGACAGAGTCTCACTCTGTCGCCCAGGCTAGAGTGCAGTGGCGTGATCTGTGCTCACTGCAACCTCCACCTTCTGCATTCAAGCGATTCTCCTGCCTCAGCCTCCCAAGTATCTGGGATTACAGGCGCCTGCCACCACGCCCTGCTAATTTTTGTATTTTTAGTAGAGATGGGGTTTCACTATGTTGGCCAGGCTGGTCTCAAGCTCCTGACCTCAGGTGATCTGCCCGCCTCGGCCCCCCAAAGTGCTGGGATCACAGGCGTGAGCCACTGTGCCTGGCCTAAAGGCCACTTTTACAGGAAGAAAGGACTACTTACACTCTCAGAAAAAAAACCCAAAATATAGCAACCGATCATAGAAGAACTATCAAAGAAAGCTACTGATCACGAATGATCTCAGTTACTGAATATTAAATGTGCAATATCCTAAAATGTAGCTTGGTTTGAATAAGCAGACAATAACCAGGTCATCCAAAATATCTTACACCTTTGTTTTATTTACCAGCCCTCCTCCCCCACTACAGGCGCATTACCCAGCTTCTATTTTCACATGAGAAGCCCATTTCCTGTCTTAAAAGTAAAGCTGGATTTTCACCCCTCGGGAGAAAACCACCCATAACAGTTGTCTTTTCTCAGTTCAAAAAGGCAAGATTATTAAACAGTGAGAGTGTGGAAGGACAAAAGGACAATGTTCAGGCCACCACTTCACCCAGAAGAAGAATGCCTTTTGTTTTCTGAACTTTGAAATCTGATTTCCCTTTCCTATCCTCACAACTTACAAAAGAAAAAAAAGGAAAAGGGCCGACGCCTGTAATCCCAGCACTTCGGGAGGCCGAGGAGGGCGGATCACCCGAGGTCGGGAGTTTGAGACCAGCCTGAACAACATGGAGAAACCCCATCTCAACTAAAAATACAAAAATTAGCCGGGCGTGGTGGCGCATGCCTGTAATCCCAGCTACTCGGGAGGCTGAGACAGGAGAATCGCTTGAACCCAGGAAACGGAGGTTGTGGTGGGCCGATATCGCGCCACTGCACTCCAGCCTGGGCAACAAGAGCAAAACTCCGTCTCAAAAAAAGAAAAAAAAGAAAGAAAAGAAAAGGAAAGAAAAAAAGGAGAGGGATGGTGGGGGCCCTACTACGCAGGACTATTCCGTCCAGAATTTGCATAGGCAGGTTTTATTTTCATTCATATGACCTTCTGAGCCAAAGCAGAAGGATATGGCCACGTTCTCTAGCCAGACTGCCCAGTGCAGAGGAAGTAAATCTGTTTCTGGTCTCCACTTTTGAGCTTCCATTAATGTCACAAACCAAGACATACCGCCTCTCCTCTCCTGCGTTGTGACCCATCTACCAACTTCATTCTACAGGGGGAGAGCGAGCTATACGTACACACACGAACGTGCGCACACACACACACTCACACTCCCTCTCTCTGGTCAGAGTAAACACAATTGCGACCCAGAATTCCTGCTTACGCTACCCTCCCGTTCTCACGCAATTTATTACTAAAACCTCCCAGGAGCCAATTAAGTTCGAGGAACCGGACAAAGTCCCTTAAAAATCAAGTAGGTGCAGGGCCCATAGCCTGAGGCTGGTCCCACCCTGCCCGGATACCCGAGTCCGGCTGAGACCAAGTCGCCATGCCCACTCTCGGCGCCGGAGCTTCTAGCCTCCAGGGGCGGCCAGCGAACAAGTGCTACTTCCCTGGCCTTGACCCACCCTTACAGCAAACCCCACCCCGCCCTCCGTCCCGATGGCCCCACCCCACTCCCAAGTCCAGGCCTCACACCACGCCTTCTCGTGCCCTCAACCCTGCCCAGTCCATCCCACCCCGGAGCCAGCTTTCCTCTCGGCCCCGCGCGGGGCCCCTCCCTGTCAGGCCCAGGGCCGGGCTCTGGCGGGAACCCCGCTCGGCCCCCGCCTCCTGCACCTCAGCACCATCCCGTCGCCCCATAAGCCTCGGCCCCGCGGCGCTGCAACCCTCCCTTCTGGGAAAGGAATGTGCCCGATACCCACTGCTTAGCTCGGCGTCCGCCGCTGCCTCCACAGCAGGCCCTAAGCCCGAGTCCCGGCCTCGCCGCCGCCACCGCCGGCCGGCCTAGAGCTCGGAGCCTCCGCTTACCTCCCCGCCCCCTCCTGCTACCGCACTCGGAAACCCGCCCGCCGCAAACACCCTAGGAACAGTTTCTCCAATCAACGAGCCGAGGCCGGGGCCGTCGACGGATGTCCCTCTGATTGGCAGCAGAGAGGGCCCAATGGCTGAGTGTACCTCCTCATCCCCGGACCTGATTTCCCAAGACTGACATAATTCCCGGCCCAATGAGTACCTAGGCCCGCCCCGCGGTATGGACCCACCAATGAGGAGGGCGAAGGCCCTAGTGTCTGGCATTCTGGGCCCCTCGGCCGCGCCTTCGCGGCGGGCGATGTTAGTGGGCTTGGGCGTTGGGTGAAGTATCCAGGTTGGGCGCTTCCAGCGCTTTCTGTGGCGGGGGAATGAAGGCCTAGGTCAGGGAATAGGAAGGTGTATCGCCGCCAGAGTGCGGAACACCCTCGCCTTGAGGGTTCCCACAGTGACTTGCAAAAGTCTAGTGAGACCCGAGAATGCTGAGGCGGGACACGAAGCATGTGGTTCTTGTGGTTGCGACGCTCGTGCCGCCATCTTGGGTGCTGGCGGCGGAAACCGGTACCCCAACTTCCCCTCGGTGCGAACCTGGAGAAGCCACCCCAGCTGTGAGGGACGGTTGCGCCTCATGGCCCAGGCAAGGGTACCTTCGCTGGAGCAGTACCGCGGACGGATATCATGAGGGTGGTGGGACGTTGGCGGAACGTTGGCGGAACGTTGGCGGTGTGAGAGGTGTGGGGTAATGGCGATTTTTGTCATGGTAGAAACAGCCCAAAGGACCCCCCTCGTTTGGCCTCCCACGCAGCTTAGTCTTGCTTTTTTAGGGATGTTTCTCATTTTTTAATTTCTCCAGTCCCATCTGGTTATATTGCCAAAACATGTTTGTGACTCTCAAACGTTAGTTTACTCCCAGCATCACTTGGGGAGCTTGCTAAGCTACGAATTCCGAGGTCCCACTGGAGAGTCTGATTTAATGACCCTGGAGTGGCGGCCGGATAACCTGCCTGCTGGGGTGATTTTAACGCAGCTGATGCGAAGACCCCATTTAGGGAATCATTGGGTTGGCGTTTGCAATGCGTTCCTCCCAGCTATAGGACAAAGAGGTGTCAACTCAACTGTGTCTTCTTAGAAGAGCCCATTATTTATAGGTGAGTCATTAGTCCCTGTACAACTAAGGACAAGGCCAACTGATAACTCAGTAAATAATCGAGTCCATTTTGTGCTTGCGAGTTAGGGGCTTAATTTGGGGTGGTTTGCAGATTAAGTACTTTCACTGCATATAATAAACGTACACCAGCAAACCACTCATGGAATTCTTAAAAAAACTTCTGAGCTAGTTTACCAGTTTCAAAGACTAATTCAGAGAGCATGTTTTACCTATTCTAGGCTGGACTGGAACTCCTGGACTCAAGCGATCTTTCCATTTATCAGGGACTACTGACGCGTGTCTCCCAATAAATACCTGAGTATAAACAACATGAGGACTAGAATTTTGTGCGTTAACTGTTATAACTTAGTAGACACTCAAATACTGAGTACTTGAAGGGGGACTCAAGCAGGCAGGCCTCTGATTTTCCTGTTAAAAGCAGAAATTAACCACACCTTGGAGGATGTACAGTTTTGAAGGATATGGCATGTTAACAATAAAATAGGAGACCATTCAGTCCCCGAAGTAGTGAGACAATGAAGATAAAGACTGGTATTGTATAAGAAAGGAGGAATATTTAGGTGTGGCCATCAACTCTAAAAATAAATAAGGTTGAGAAGGAAGTATTTTAAACATAGAACTGGGCCCGGCGCAGTGGCTCACAGTAGCACCTTGGGAGGCCGAGGCGGGAGGATTGCTTGACCAGCCTGGGCAGCATAGTGAGACCCCCGTCGCTACAAAAAAACAAGCTGGGCTTGGTGCCACACATCTATAGTCCCAACTACTCAGGAGGCTGAGGTGGGAGGATTTCTTGAGCTGGGAGATTGAGGCTGCAGTGAGCTATGATGGTGCCAGTCTGGGCAACAGTGAGATGCTTCCTCAACAAAACAAAACATAAAATTGAGAGATATAAAGGCTCAACTACAGTGTTTAACTACAAGACAATTTTGAGAAGGTGAAAAGAGCATACTAAAGTTGGTCTTTTTTTGACAGAAAAATACAGAACAATTTTCAGTCCTAACAGTTCAAACTAAAACTGGACAATCGTTTATCTGTGGAGTTTCCTGCTTAGCCATTTCACAAAGGTGGGCAGAAAAAGGGAAAGAGTTGCAAGGGCCGAAGAGAGTAAAGGTGTAGAGACAAACTCAGTCGCAACAGCAGGCCTAGGCCTGGCAGGGTGTGGGCGCCCAGGATATTTGATGCTCCATGGAAGGGAGTGGAGACAGAAAGACTGTCTTCCATTCTGTCTAGAGTTCCAGATCAAGTCTGAGCAGGTGCAAGCTTTCCCAGAACCTGCTGATTAACCTTGTAAAACCCAGGGTGTGTCCTTCTTCACCCAGGAAGCCACCCCCTCCTTTCCCCCAACACTCTCCCCCTCCCTTTGCCTGGGACAGCTGTTAATAGGACAGTTACCCAAGAAGCAAAAGAAGGATCCCATGCTGATGTGTCATCAGTCCCGGTATATCCATTAAATCAGACTGAGAAGACCACTGGAAAAAGTGAGCGCATGCATGTGGCTCCCTAAGGGAAAGGCTGGCAGCCATTGTAAAACTAGGCCTTGCCCCTGCGACTCCAGGCTGGGCAGGAGAGAGAAGAAGGCAGTGGAAGCCGAGAAGAGGGTTAGGTCTAAAGCACACGGATTTGGGGCCAGCTAACTATAAAACATACACGGAAATCCCCACCCCCACCCCAGGAATAGCAGTGTAGTGTCTACCGACCCAGCTTCCCTGGTAGGAAAAGCTGCTGCTGCCGCCAACAGCCACATCCATCCTGCAGTCATCCCTGGAGGATGACACATGCCAGGAATCCTCAGAGAAGGGGCTGTGGGAGGGCAGGCTGGCTGGGGCTCTGATTTCTTCTGGAACAGTGAAATTGCTTTTTCCCTAAAAGGGAAACCCAGGCTTTCTGCCATTCTGGTTGTCCATTATCTTTCCTCTAAAAATGTCTCTAAGGCCAGGCACAGTGGCTCACACCTGTAACCCCAGCACTTCGAGAGGCCCAGGTGGGCAGATCACTTGAGCCAGGAGTTTGAGACCAGCCTGGCCAACATAGTGAAAACCCATCTCTACAAAAAAAATACAAAAATTAGCCAGGCGTGGTGGTTCATGCCTGTAGTCCTAGCTAGTGGGGAGGCTGAGGTGGAAAGATCACCCGATCCTGGGGAGGTTGAGGGTGCAGTAAGCTGTGATTGCGCCATTGCACTCCAGTCTGGGCAACAGAGTAAGACCCTGTCTCAAAAAAAATAATAAAAAGAAAAACATGTCTTTAAGTTTTGCTAATCCATATAAGTATTTCTTACTCTGTAACCTCATCTAATCCAGGGGAATAGATTAGATAGATGATTGCCTGAGATTTCCTTACAGTCCTGAGAGATGGTAGGAATACATCATGTCAATACTAAATGTTAGCATGTTTTGCAAAGAAATCAATTAGTTTTCTGGCAAATCCGGACATATGGCCCTCTCTCTTATATGGTAAACATCATCAGCAAGCTTGTTACCATTAAACCACCAAAAAGTAAAGCTCTCCTGCAAGCCAGCCTCTTTCCTATGCACCACTACCACACTCTTAGAAGATTGCTTCTCAATCCTGGCTGCATATTAGAATCACCCAGGTGGGTAGCTCGTAAGAAATACCAATGCCCAGGTCCCACCCCACACCAATTAAAACAGCTGCCCAGAGCAGAATTGGACATCAGTATTTTGTAAAAGCTCTTCAGGTGATTCTTATGCACAGCCAGAGTAGAGAATCACTAGGTTGGAGCAAGAATCCACATTGGGGTAAAAAAAAAAAAAAAAAAAAAAAAGCAAAAGATTGTGGTAATACGGGAACACAGACTAGAATGATTATCTGACTTTTTTTTTTGAGATGGAGTCGCTCTGTGGTCCAGGCTGGAGTGCAGTGACACCATCTCAGCTCACTGCAACCTCTGCCTCCCCAGTTCAAGCGATTCTCCTGCTTCAGCCTCCTGAGTGGCTGGTATTAAAGGTGCACACCACCACGCTTGGCTAATTTTTGTATTTTTAGTAGAGACAGGGTTTTGCCATGTTGGCCAGGCTGGTCTCAAACTCCTGACCTCAAGTGATCTGCCCACCTCAGCCTCCCAAAGTGCTGGGATTACAGGCGTGAGCCACTGCACCCGGCCCGTTTGACTTTTAGGGTGTGCTCATTCTCAACCCTAAAATGTTCTTTCTTCACCTCTACAATGAAAATGCCTCATTGTTCATTAGTGTCTTAGTGTAACATTTTTTGAAGCTGAGTTCAACTGTCCTGTATGTCTTGCTATGTTGTCTCAAACAATACCAGGTAGTGTTCTTCATATAGCTCTGTGTGACATGTCACACTCAAGGAGCTGCCATTAAGAGGTAGGAGGAGTGGATGTTTTGGACTCATAGGTGGGTTCGAAAATCTGGCTCTGTTTCTTACTAGTTGGGCCATCCCGAGCTAAATGGAGATAACAATGTACATATTCATAAATCTTAAAAATCAGGTCATGTGTATAAAGCCATTCATGCCTGGAGGAAGAGCTGAGTATAAGGCCCTGTCTTGAATAATCCTCTCTCCACCCACCCTACAACTTTATCTCAGAGAAAGCCAAAGGCGATGAAGAAATGAGAGCTGTCCTTAGAATGGTCTACTAGAAACCCATCCTACAGACAGAGCATGGAAGCTTTAGTTTTCTCTAGAGGATGCCACCAGTACACACTTCCACGCCTCATATTCCACACACACCTCCCCCTCTTGACATTAAGCAGGAGGGATAGAGAGAGGCTGGTACCCAAGGGAGCTGTTTCTTCTCGTCACATAAGAACAGATGCTGAAATCCTAGGACAGACAGCACAGAAATGTGGCAGCAGGAGGGTGACTCAGAGGAAATGAAATGGTCTCCCCTTCAAGCTATACCAAGGCCCAGAGGAGAACCTGCTTTGAATCACCTGCCTCCTGGGACTCCAAAGGGCAGGGACCAATTCTGAGTGCACTACTTCACAGGTTCCAGCTGGGTAGGGATGTGCACAGCCCACCTCTCCATCCTACTGTGCCTACCCGAAGGGAGTAGAGGGCAGAGAAACATGAAGGCTGCATTCTTTTTGAACCCAACTTGGCTTCCTCGAGCTGGGGAGGCTCTCCTGCCGAGTCTGCTGCTGCACGTGCATGCTTCTCATGTGCTGCCAGCCTTAAACTGGAAAGTCCTCTTAGGGCCATGCTCTGTGGAAGACACTGTCCCAATACTGGACACACATAGCTCACATGTTTATGTGAAACTGCATTAAAGGTGCACTTCAGGATGTGTGGGGAAGCGGTTGTCATGGAGAGAAAGAAGTTCTGGGGTCTCTGTTGAAGGAGTTTGGGGAGGGGTTATCATTGGGGAGAATCTTGTCCTTGAAAAGTTGAACTTGGCTCTGAATTTACTTATTCACCACTAAACTAAGATGTAAAGAGATTTTATGGGCCAGGCACGGTGGCTTACGCCTATAATCCCAGCACTTTGGGAGGCCAAGGTGGGCAGATCACTTAAGGTCAGGAGTTGGAGAACAACCTGGCTAACATGGTGAAACCCCGTCTCTACTAAAAATACAAAAATTAGCCGGGCATGGTGGCACGCACCTGTAATCCCTGCTACTTGGGAGGCTGAGGCAGGAGAATTGCTTGAACCCGGGAGGCAGAGGTTGCAGTGAGCCGAGATCGTGCTACTGCACTCCAGCCTGGGCGACAGAGTGAGACTCCATTTCAAAAAAAAGAAAAGATGTAAAGAGATTTTAAGAAGAGGAACAACAAGGCCAGGCGCGGTGGTTCACGCCTGTAATCCCAGCACTTTGGGAGGCCAAGGCAGGCGGATCACCTGAGGTCAGGAGTTCAAGACCAGCCAAACAACATAGTGAAACCCTGTCTCTACTAAAAATAAAAAAAATTAGCTGGGTGTGGTGGCGCATACCTGTAATCCCAGCTACTCAGGAGACTGAGACAGGAGAATCGCCTGAACCTGGGAGGCGGAGATTGCAGTGAGCCAATATCACCCCATTGCACTCCAGCCTGGGCAACAAGAGTGAAACTCCTTCTCAAAAAAAAGAAAAAAAGAAAAAGAAAAAGCAACAACAGTGATAGATGTGGGGGTGATGAGAACTTTGTGGTTCCTAAGCTTCCTTCCCCAGCCTTCTCTCATTCCTATCCCCTTGGCCCCTCTCCAGTGCCTTCCCATCCCTAACGTGTATAACTGACTCCTTCCCCACCTCCCCTATGGAGCCAGCCCCCTAAGTCCCCTATCTTCCCAGGTCTTCCTCTGTCCCTTCTGGAGGCTGCTGGTCTTTCATAGTGGGTACCATAGCCAAACAGAGGCTGAGAAATGCTCCTGGAGGCTTTTTGGTGCTGTCCTTGTAAATATGAGCCAAAAAAAAAAAAAAAATGGACTAGCTCACAGAAATATTAAGACATCAAAATAACCAAATCAGTATTTTTTAGAAATAACATACCCAGCCAGCATGACCATTGACATAACTTCTGATGATCTGGAATCCGAAGAAATAAAATGCCCAAATGCTGGGTCTTTTCCCTGGCTGCTGTTATCAAATAGTGTCATTATGTTCCCTATTATAACTGATAGCCTGCAAGAAAGGTTCAGATGTGCCTTCTAAGTCATCATATAGGGAGGGTCAGTAGATGCTTCCTCAGATGTCTGCATGGCCTGCTTCCTCCTTTCCTTTAGCTCTTTGTTCAAATGTCACCTTGTTAAAGGTTTTCTCAGAGGACTATGAAAATGGCTTTCTGGCTTGCCTGTCCCTTACCCCTCACATTCCACATCCCATTTCTGCTCTATTTTTCTTTGCAGCACTTATCCCCAACTCATATAATATCTACTTTTCCCATTTATTTGTGTATTATATCTTGCACAGAAACGCACGCATGTACATACACAAACACTTGATTGTAAGTTCCATGAGAGCAAAATTTTTCTTTTGTCTACTATTGTGTCCCAGTGGCTAGAAAAATATCTGGTACATACTAAGCACTCAATAAATATTTGTACAGCACATAAAATATGTTGTCTTTTTTTTTTTTTTTTTTTTGGAGATAGAGTCTTGCTCTGTTGCTGAGGCTGCAGTGGTGTGATCTTGGCTCACTACAGCCTCTGCCTCCTGGGTGCAAATGATTCTCCTGCCTTCACCTCCCAAGTAGCTGGGACTACAGGCACTCGCCACCATGCCTGGCTGATTTTTGTGTGTTTTTAGTAGAATCAGGGTTTCACCATGTTGGCCAGGCTGGTCTCGAACTCCTGGTCTCAAGTGATCTGCCCGCCTTGGCCTCTCAAAGTGCTGGGATTACAGGTATGAGCCACCACACCCAGCCAATATGGTATCATTGATAGGTACATTTTAATTATTATTAGTTAAAATTTGGTATTTGTGAATATTTATACATGATCTCCCTCATCCTGAATTCCTTTATTCATTTACTTCACAAATGCTTATTAAATATCTGTCATCGGCCAGGTGCAGTGGCTCATGCCTGTAATCCCAGCACTTTGGGAGGCCGAGGCAAGCAGATCACAAGGTCAAGAGATCGAGACCATCCTGGCCAACATGGTGAAACCCTGTCTCTACTAAAAATACAAAAATTAGCTGGGCGTGGTGGTGTGCACCTGTAGTCCCAACTACTCGGGAGGCTGAGGCAGGAGAATCACTGGAACCCGTGAGGCGGAGGTTGCAGTGAGCCGAGATCTCGCCACTGCACTCCAGCCTGGTGACGGAGCAAGACTCCGTCTCAAAAAAAAAAAAAAAAAATCTGTCACCAAGCCTTGTAAGAAACACTAGGGATTCCACAGTGAACAAGACAAACATAATTGGCCAGGTGAGGTGGGTCACACCTGTAATCTCAGGGCTTTGGGAGGCCGAGGCAGGAGGAGGGCTTGATCCCAGGAGTTCAAGACCTGCCTGGACAACACAGCAAGACCCTGCCTTTAAAAAAAATAATAATAAATAACCAGGCATGGTGGCACGTGTGTATCGTCCCACCTACTCAGGAGACTGAGACAGGAGAATGGCTTGATCCTGGGAGTTGTTTGTGTGTGTGTGTGTGTGTGGGTGGGTGGGTGGGTAGCAGGTTCTCGCTCTCTTGGCCAGGCTGGAGTGCTGTAGTGCGGTCTCGGGTCACTGCAACCTCCACCTCCCAGGTTCAAGTGATTCTCCTGCCTCAGCCTCCCGAGTAGCTGGGATTACAGGCACCTGCCACCACCCCCGGCTAATTTTTTTGTATTTTTAGTAGAGATGGGGTTTCACCATGTTGGCCAGGCTGGTCTCAAACTCCTGACCTCGTGATCCGCCTGTCTCGGCCTTCCAAAGAGCTGGAATTACAGGCGTGAGCCACCGTGCCCGGCCGACACTGGGAATTTGAGGCTGCGGTGAACTATGATCACACCACTGTACTCCAGCCTGGGTGATAGAGCAAGACCCTGTCTCAAAACAAAAAAACAAACAAACAAAAAGTCACATTCATTGGTTCTTGCAGGGCTCAAAGTCTGGGCGGGGAGAAGGAACACTTATAAACAAACTAGTAAAGGCTGGGAATGGTGGTTCACGCCTGTATCCCAACACTTTGGGAGGCTGAGGTGGGAGGATCACTTGAGCCTAGGCGTTCAAGACCAGCCTGGGCAACATAGTGAGACCTTGATCATGATCACCCTCCTCCCCCTCCTCCTCCTCTTCCTTTCTTTTTCTCTTCTTCTTCTTCTTCTTTTTTTTTTTTTTGAAACAGATTCTCACTCCCATTGCCCAGGCTGGAGCACAGTGGCATGATCATGGCTCTGCAGCCTTGAACCCCCAGACTCGGGTGATTCTCCCACCTCAGCCTTCTGAGTAGCTGGGACTACAGGTCACACCACCCTACCTGGCTAATTTCTTTGTAGTTTTAGTAGAGACTAGATCTTACCATGTTGCCCAGGCTGGTCTGGAACTCCTGGGCTCAAGCCTTCTGCCCACCTCAGCCTCCCAAAGTGCTGGGATTACAGATGTGAGCCATTGAGCCCAGACTTGAGACCTTGTTTCTACAAAAATAAAAAAAATAAAAAAATAAAAAATTACCTGGGAGTGGTTGCATGCACCAGTGGTCCCAGCTACTCGGGAGACTGAGATGGGAGGATTGCC
Source organism: Homo sapiens (assembly GCF_000001405.40). NCBI lineage: Eukaryota > Metazoa > Chordata > Mammalia > Primates > Hominidae > Homo > Homo sapiens. The sequence continues at coordinate 48,039,074 of NC_000017.11, read as the reverse complement.
TGAGCCCAGGAGGTTGAGGCTGCAGTGAGCCCAGATCGAGTCACTGCACTCCAGCCTGGGCAACAGAGTGAGACCGTGTCTCAAACAAGCAATATTAGTAAAAATAATATTTAGAGATTGAAAAAAGTGCAATGAAAGAAAGAAATAGGAACTGAGAGAATGTGACAGGAGAGACCTATCAAGTCAGATATGGTGGCTGTCAGGAGGACCTTTTGGTAATTATATTTCAGCAGAGGCTTGAAGATAAGAAGACTTGATGCATTCAGTGAGGAAAACCCCATTCTGTAACCATCTAGGGTAAGTGACTGTGGTCCACAACATAAGAGGGCTTGAAGAGAAGAATAGGGAAGAAATTTTGAGTCAAAAATCTGGGTTCTATCCCCAGTCAACTAGCTGTATAGTCTTGAAAAGGTCACACAACCTCTGAGTCTCTCTTTGCTTAAAATGAGGGTCCATTATGCCTATCTTACAGGTGTGGGCTATATTAGATAATGGATGTGAAGGTGTCAAATGTAAAATACACGCACAGTGTTTTTACCGGTAAATGCATACGTAGCACTAACATATCACTGGGATGTGAATTTCCCACTTGCCAGTGTACCCTGAAATGAGAGCTTGTCTTAGTTAGACTTAGACCAAAGAAACCAAAACATGCTGCAAAGCCCGATGTCATTGGTGGAGCATTTGTGCTGCTGGGCGTCTGTCTTGCTTCTGATGGTGCCATATCTGTGACTTAGGAGAGCCTGGGGAGGTGTCTCCGGGCCCATGGTTGCCTTCTGCAAGTAGTGAGAGAGGAATGAGAAAGCCTCTTCACAGAGGGGTGTCCCCAGAACTGTCCTCATTTGCTCTTGCTTATAGACCCTGTCCCTGAGATCTAAAGGGTGACCTGACGTATTTGTCCTCATGGTACCTACCAGAGGTCAACAGACAAAAGTGGGCTTTGCTTGTGTTTGCTGCTGGCCCCAGGACAGCCTATAGACACTGGCGCACACCAAAGCCACAGGCCGGAGAGCAGGCAGGAAGCAGGACGAGGGCTGGTCTTGGGGCACCCTGAGGATGCAGAGTTCGGGGATGTAAGGGACTCGGGAAGGAGCCAAGGAGGAGAGAGGGAGAGGAGAAGTGGGGGAAGGAGAGGTGGGGTGAGGGCGGGAGGGGAGATGGGGGAGAACGAGCAAGAGGACGGGGCCCCGAGGAAAGGGAGGCCACGCGCGAGAGGGGGCCGCGGGGCGGCGCGGAGGCGGGGCGGCGGCGGCGGGCAGGCGGCGGGCGGCGCTGTCAGTGCGAGGCGGCGAGCGGAATGCAGCGGCCCGAGGCCTGGCCACGTCCGCACCCGGGGGAGGGGGCCGCGGCGGCCCAGGCCGGGGGCCCGGCGCCGCCTGCTCGAGCCGGGGAGCCCTCGGGGCTGCGGGTACGGAGCGGGCGGGCGCGGGGATCCCGGGCGGCGGGAGCTGGGCAGGGACAGAGCAGGGTTAGGGGGAGCAGCCAACTCAGAACTCGCGCGCCCGGCGGCTGGGAACTTTGTGTCACCCCTGACTGGCCCCAGGACCCGGGAGGAAAAGTTCGTCCCAGCGCCGACCGGAGAGGAGGCCTGTCCTGAGTCCGTCGGCGCGGGGCTGAAGTTCTGGGTCCGTTTGGAGTGGGGGTGGCGGGTGAGTTGCGATTCCGCGGGGAGGGTAAGGAGTGGCCTGTCCGTCCCAGACTCGGCTCCCATCACCGGTGGGTGATGGGCATGCTTCTGGAGTCTACCCGGGCCAGGGCCTGGGGGCGCGCTGATAGCGCAGGTCCAGCCCGGCCAGGGATCAGCTGGAAGAAGGAGGCTCGGCCCGCTGTCCCCCCCGGCCCAGGTTCTGTGATACACTCCGACTCGGGCTCTGGAGCAGTCAGTGCATGACAGAACTTGGGCCCGGAAGGACCTTCTGCACCCAACGGGCACAGCGCCCACTCGGGGCCTGCAGTGGAACATCTGCCTGGGAGTGGAGTGGGCACCTGGGTTGGCCCATGTGGCACAGGGCTGGGCAGAACCAGCTGTGGACCTTGAGGACTGGGGTTGCTGGGGCCTGAGGATGTATCCTAGGGCCAGCAGATCCCATAGACACAGGGTGTCCACCTCGAGTCAGGGGCCAAACGGAACTCTCCTCTCCGGTGTCAGTTGCAGGAACCTTCCCTCTACACCATCAAGGCTGTTTTCATCCTAGATAATGACGGGCGCCGGCTGCTGGCCAAGGTAACCTCTGACCCCACCCATGAGGGACACAGTTCCCACTCAGCTGACACTCCTGTCTCAGGAGAAACTCCACTGTGATCTCTGTGACTCAGGGCAGCTCAGCTTAGACCCCTCCAGAGGTCCTTCTCATCCTCCTGCCTTGTCAAGGTGCTGCTCCCTGAAATGAGGGGTCTCCTCTATTTCTACTCATGTTCCCTGAAATGTTTCCTTATCATCCTGCTACTGGCCAGTTGGACCTGGGCATGGGAAGGTTCTGCCTAATGGGTCAGTGGAGTGTTGAGCCTGGGACCCAGGAGTCTTAGTCCCCAAACCCCCACACAAGTTCTTTTGTTCTTTGGGGTTTGTCTCTAAACCTCCACTTTTGTTCTACAGCTTGGTAAACACTAACGATTTAGTCTAAGGAGTCTAAGGATTTAGAACCAGATGGGATTTTAGAAACTGTATAATCCAACTCTTTAATTTCGTAGATGAAGAAAATGAGGGGTAGAGAAGCTAAGTGAGTTGCCTGAGGTCACAAGTATTAATATCCTAACAGATCCAAACTCAAATTTTATTTATTTACTTATTTAATTTTTTCACTTCTCCCATTTCACAGGTTTCACAGGCAAACTCGGGTTTTTTGACATGAAGCTCAAGGTGGTTTTCACTGTACCCCCATTCAATTAGCTGTTATCTATCCTAGCAAACATGGCCTGAGCGAACCAAACTAAAATAATCCAAAAATAAATTTCTGCTGTCAACACAATTAATTGTAGGGGAGCTATAGCATCTGCATTAGCTATGAAATGCATTATAAGGCCAGGTGTGATGGCTCATGCCTGTAATCCCAGCACTTTGGGAGGCCAAGGCGGGCAGATCACTTGAGGTCAGGAGTTCGAAACCAGCCTGGACAACATGGTGAAACCCTGTCTCTACTAAAAATACAAAGAATTAGCCAGGCATGGTGGTGGGCGCCTGTAATCCCAGCTACTCGAGAGGCTGAGGCAGGAGAATTGCTTGAACCTGGGAGGCAGAGGTTGCAGTGAGCCGAGATCACACCATTGCACTCCAGCCTGGGCAACAAGAGCGAAACTCTGTCTCAAAAAAAAAAAAAAAAAGAAAAGAAAAAGAAAAGAAATGTGTTGTAAGGCCAGGCGCAGTGGCTGATGCCTGTAATCCCAGTACTTTGGGAGGCCGAGGCGGGTGGACTGCTTGAGCCCAGGAGTGCCAGACCAGCCTGGGCAACATGGCACACCCCATCTCTACAAAAAACAAAACAAAACAAAAACAAAAAACAAAAAAACGAAAATTAGCCGGGCGTGGTGGTGTGTGCCTGTAGTCCCACCTACTCGGGAGGCTGAAGTGGGAGGATTGCCTGAGCCCGAGAGGTTGAGGCTGCAGTGAGCCATGATCGAGCTACTGCACTCCAATCTGGGTTATAGAGTGAGACCCCATCCCAAAAAATAGATTTTCTGTTTGTTTATTTGGAACTGAAAGTTTTTTGTTTTTATGAAATTCAAATAAGCAGCGGCCACTAGGGAGATGGCTAATCTGCCTGCGGATTGAGTATTAAGTGGCAAAATCCACATCCAGAAAATTGAAAACTGAGCTGACCACACCTTGCCCCAGCAGATGGTCAGAGGTGGATCAGCAAGGCCAAAGGCTTTTCCTCCCTACAGATTAAGAAACTGAGTCAGAGAGAGAGGCTCACCATTCCCAAACAAAAAACATTAATTTAGTTATGGGATATGTGTGAGGAATTGTTTCTTAGATATTTAATCTTCACTATAACCCTGTCTGCAGTCAGACCGTCCTTAGTGGTCAAACCCAGCTTTGGCCTCACAACTGTGAGATGTTGGGGAAGTTACCTGACTTCTTTTTTTTTTGAGACGGAGTCTCCCTCTGCTGCCCACGCTGAAGTTCAGTGGCGCGATCTCAGCTCACTGCAACCTCCGCCTCCCGGGTTCAAGCGATTCTCCTGCCTCACCCTCCCAAGTAGCTGGGATTACAGGCACCCGCCACCATGCCCAGCTAATTTATTTTGTATAATTAGTAGAGATGGGGTTTCACCATGTTGGCAAAGCTGGTCTGGAACGCCTGACCTCAGGTGATCCACCCGCCTCGGCCTCCCAAAGTGCTGAGATTACAGGCATGAGCCACCATGCCAGGCCATTACCTGACTTCTTGATGCCTCGGTTTCCCCATCCGTGTAATGGGGATAATAAAGTAGCTGTTGTTATTATCATTATTATTGTTTAAGAAGGACTCCTGGTTTTGCCGTCTTTCCTGTAGAGACTCAGGGTGCTGTAGAATTAGTGTGCCCTCGTGACCATGCCAATCCTTAGCACCCTGCACATCTGCTGAATGTACAAGATCCTCCAAGAAACCAGGAGGGGACTCCAAAAGCAGGCCTCAATATCCCTCTACTTTTTGGGACTTTCTTTGCTCAGAATTTGTTTTGGAGGGGGCCAAGCACAGTGGCTCATGCCTGTAATCCCAGCACTTTGGGAGGCCAAGGTGGGCAGATCACCTGAGGTCGGGAGTTCGAGACCAGCCTGACCAACATGGAGAAACCCTGTCTACTAAAAATACAAAATTAGCTGGGCGTGGTGGCGCATGCCTGTAATCCCAGCTACTCAGGAGGCTGAGGCAGGAGAATTGCTTGAACCCGGGAGGTGGAGGTTGTGGTGAGCCGAGATCGTGCCACTGCACTCCAGCCTGTGCAGTAAGAGCAAAACTCCATCTAAAAAAGAATAATTTGTTTTGGAGGAAGTAATGAGCCTGCAGGCCTAGGGTGCAGTAATGGAGAGATGGGGCAGGGAAGCAGGATCCCGCTTGCCCAGCGCCTACTCTTTCCTGCCCCCCAATCTAGGGAGGATCCAGGCTGTGTGGAAAGCTATGGTCCTTTCTCCTTCCCTTTCTCATAGTATTATGATGACACATTCCCCTCCATGAAGGAGCAGATGGTTTTCGAGAAAAATGTCTTCAACAAGACCAGCCGGACTGAGAGTAAGTGTCCCCCTCTTCCTCCAGCAGACTATCAGATGCACACTGTCATCTTCTCCATCTGGACACATCTGTCCCCATCAGCCTTGCACACCCACAGGCCATTTCCCTTTCTTCAGAGGCTTTTTGTCCTCTCCTTCCCTGCTGTTCTCCACTCCCTTCCTCCAGGGAACCTCCACTCCCTGTCACTCTCCAGTTCCCCCAACTACCCAACCCCCCAGCATCCCCAGGCCTCTCTCTAGCTGAGGAGGCCAACTGTGTTGTGGTCCCAACCTGGATCTGGTCCCAAGGTGCTGCACAGGGTGGGAGCGTGGGCAGGAGGTAAACGGGTCAACAACTGGGCTTGTTGACTCCTTGGCCTGAGGCAGTCCCTAGAAATAGAGTAGCAGATAAGGGGAAGGACACGGGGCTGCCTGATGGTAGTGTCCCTAGTGCTGGTCTTTCCAAGGGTTCTCCAGAAAGGGGAGAAGGAAATAGGAGAGTCACAGAGTCATACATGAGGAGGAGGGGCTAGGCTAGGACCAGGCAAGGTGGCCAGGACTGAAAGCTCCCTCCACTTCTAGGTGAGATTGCATTTTTTGGGGGTATGACCATCGTCTACAAGAACAGCATTGACCTCTTCCTATACGTGGTGGGCTCATCCTACGAGAATGAGGTGAATTCAGGAGGTTGGGGCAGTAAGAAGGGTCTGTCTATGGGGAAATGTTGTTATTTGGAATCTGGGCTTGAGGCTGGGACCTGGAGGCTCACCATTGGACCCCTTCTTTTAGGCTCCATGGGGTAGAGGAGGGCAGCCAGAAGGGTTCTTTCTGGGACAATGTGTATCTTCGATGCCCCTTAGTTTCCTTGGGAACCAGGAATGAAGTAATCACTTCATCTTCAAGGGAGGCTTTGTCCTTCTTAAACATAACTAGAGAAGGATACACTCAATGTCTCCCAGTGGAGAACTCCAGTTTCCCAGCCCAGACACATGGAAGTTCCCTCTAATGTCACACCGCAGTCAGTCTCCAGCCCAGGCCTCTGAAACTCTCCATTGCTGCCCGCACAGGTGGGCTCCAAGTGCTTCTTTTGACCTTCTCAATCTCAAACTCTCCTTTTCCTCCTCCCGTATCTGCCCATCCCAGCTGATGCTCATGTCTGTTCTCACCTGCCTGTTTGAGTCTCTGAACCACATGTTAAGGTGAGTGAGGTTCTCTGCCCTCCGAGGCCCCATCCCCCTGGCCCTGATATGTCACAGGACCCTTCCTCCCTGTTTTTCTCCTGAAGTCCCCACAAGACTAAGATAATCCAAAAAGAAAAGTTCACAGTCGACACAATGAACGAAAGTAGGGCTGTGCTATAGCATCTAACCTAGTTGTGAAACGCATCTGGGGTCCTGTGGTGGGTGCCAGGGTGTCAAGGCCCAAAGTATGGGAGGTTGGACAAGGTAGGGTGTAAGGAAGCAGAACTGCCCTTTGCTCAGAAATGCCTTGCATGGGCTCTGTGCTCACTGCCCTTCACATTCTCCTTCCCAGTCCTTGTTTGGTGAGGGGTGAATGAGGCAGTCTTTGGAGAGTGGGGTCAGCCTCACCTAGGCAGGGACTCAGTTCCTCCCAGCCACAGGGAGGCTCAGGAGCTTGTGTCCACCTTCAGGAAGAACGTGGAGAAGCGCTGGTTGCTGGAGAACATGGACGGAGCCTTCTTGGTGCTGGACGAGATTGTGGATGGCGGGTGAGGAGGGGACAGTCAGGGACACTCACAGCAGGAGTGCCTTTGATAATCATCAGCCCCAGATGGCACCCAGCATGGCTAGAACTCTGACCAACTTCTCACTCCCTTCCCCCAGCATATTCCCAGGGATCCCATTCCCCTAGCCCTTCCCCTTACTAGCGCCCCACTCATGAAGATAGAAGTTGATTTCAATGTTAGCCAAAGTCAAGCCAAACAAGAGACTAACCTGATGTCAAACTATGGGAGACTGTTGAATAGGCAGGGTTTGGGGAAAATCCAGTTTGGTCTCCAATGCCCAGGGGAAGCACTGGCACAGATGCTGGCCCTCTCTGGAAGGACTTCAGACAGTCCCACCAGCCCCACATGTCCTGCTCTTAGGGCTCAATTCCAACACAAGCTAGATGCGTGACCTGGGTCAATTACTGACCCTCCCCGAGGCTTACTTTCTCCATCTTTAGGATGGAGGTAATAAGGGATTGTGGGGATTAAATACATGTGTGAGAAGATACATGTGAAGCTTGTGGTTCTCATTCAATAGATGTTGCCTCCTATTGGTATGCTAGTATATTCTTAGGAAGCTAGGAGCTCTTTTGAGAAAAGTTGGCTTGTGAATTTCCATCAGGGGATCAATATTCAGAGAGAAAAAGAAGTTCTGGCTCTGGGGCAAAGGATAATAAAAATTTCTTTTTTTTTTTTTTTTGAGACAGAGTCTCGCTCTGTCACCCAGGCTGGTGTGCAGTAAGTGGCGTGATCTCGGCTCACTGCAAGCTCCACCTCCCGGGTTCACACCATTCTCCTGCTTCAGCCTCCTGAGTAGCTGGGACTACAGGCACCCACCACCACACCAAGCTAATTTTTTGTATTTTTAGTAGAGACGGGGTTTCACCATGTTAGCCAGGATGGTCTCGATCTCCTGACCTCGTGATCCGCCCACCTCAGCCTCCCAAAGTGCTGGGATTACAGGTGTGAGCCACCATCCCCGGCCAATAGAAATTTCTTGAGCTCCTTAAAAACATACATCCCTCTATCATTACATCATTTTATACATTAGGAAACAGGCTCAAAGTTTCAAGTGACACGCCGGAGGTCTCTCACACAGCTAGGGAGTGGCAGGGCCAAGATCTAAAACCATGTGAATAGTTCCAGAGGCCATGCTGTTTCTATGGCACTGTACTGGACTGCCTGGGGCACTAAGGAATGCCTCCTGCAGATTTCTGGGACCCAAAAGGGAGTGGGGTAACGCCAGGTTTTGGGGAGCCAGAAGCATATACAATTTGGTGAACCCTCTTGAAGGAAAACTTTACACAAACACACACAAAACTATAAATGCAAAACAAGATGCAGGGCTCTGGATGGCTGTGCAAAGGAGGATGCCTGAGGTGTAAGCTTCACAAGCTTCCCGTCTCTGCCTCTGAGGAACTCAGTTTCCTGCCAAGAAAAACTGGGGAAGCGCCAGTCGGGAGGCAACGCCTAAACTGGAGCCTTGGCCTGGGATGCTCTTTCTTTATGGATTACAGGACCCCTGGTTAGGGAGCTTGGGACAGGGGGTGCTCAGCCCAAGGATGGGGACTGGAAGAGGCTCCCAAGAAATGTTTGTCATTTCCAGTGATTTAGTAACAAAGAGAAACAAAGCTTCTGCCTTGGAGGAGTCTCAGTGGGTAAGGAGGTACACTCAGATCCTGTCATCTTTGTCCTGCCGCAGTGACAGGCCCTCACGCCCATGTACCCTGTACATAACCCCAAGGCCTCACGAAGGAGCGCCTGCTCTCTGAGAAAAGCTACAATATTTGGGTCTATCAAAAGGGAATTTTTTTGTTTGTTTCTTTGTGTGTGTGTGTGTGTGTGTGTGTGTGTGTGTGTGTGTGTTTTGAGATGGAGTCTCACTCTGTCGCCCAGGCTGGAGTGCAGTGGCGTGATCTTGGCTCACTGCAACCTCTGCCTCCTGGGTTCAAGCAATTCTCCTGCCTCAGCCTCCCGAGTAGCTGGGATTATAGGCGTGCGCCACCATTACCGGCTAATTTTTTTTGTATTTTCAGTAAAGACGGGGTTTCACCATATTGGCCAGGCTGGTCTCGAACTCTTCACCTTGTGATCCTCCCACCTTAGCCTCCCAAAGTGCTAGGATTGCAGGCGTGAGCCACTGTGCCTGGCCTAAAAGGGAAGATTTAAAAAAAAAATTTTTTTTTTTTAGACAGAGTCTCACTGTGATGCCCAGGCTGGAGTGCAGTGGCGCAATCTTGGCTCACTGCAACCTCTGCCTCCCGGGTTGAAGCGATTCTCCTGCCTCACCCTCCCAATTAGCTGGAATTACAATGTGTGCCACCATGCCTGGCTGATTTTTGTACTTTTACTAGAGACAGGGTTTCGCCATGTTGGCCAGGCTGGTCTGGAACTCCTGACCTCAGGTGATCCACCCGCCTCGGCCTCCCAAAGTGCTGGGATTACAGGCATGAGCCACCGTGCCCAGCCTTAAAAAAAAAAAAAAAGGGAGGAAGTAGGGGAGAAGGTAGATGCTGATTTTTGGAGTTTCATTTCTTTTATGCAGGGCATGACCCCATGCCATAAAATAACAGTGCAACAAGATAAGAACCCCCAGGGCCTCTCTTCCTAACTCTTTTCACAGGGAATCCAATCCTATACCCAGAAAGTGAAGTGAACTTTCAAGAGCTCTGAGTTTTGAGAGTCCCTGCTTTTGACAACCTGATCATCCTAGACCAGACTGTTCTTATCCAGTTTCAAAGATTTTGCCCAGGGATGACAAAGCATGTGGACCACTGGGTTGAAGCATCAAAGAATCAGAGCTGAGGGCTCTCCATGCTGAGGGAGAGTTCTGACTTGAGGGCTATCAGTGGGAAGGGACCTGGAAGGTGGAGATGTTGCAGGATGCCTTCGGAGAGGGAAGAGGCTTGGCAAGGAGAAGGGGCGGAGGGGAGGATTGTGCCACTGATTTGCCTCCTGGTTTTTCCTCTCATCTTGTAGTGTGATTCTGGAGAGTGACCCCCAGCAAGTGATCCAGAAGGTGAATTTTAGGGTAAGAGTCTTCCTGGACACCTCCTCTTTTAGGCTGCCCTTCCTGTCCTCCCTGGGAATAGGGCTGCTAGGGCCTAGATGGTAGAAGCCCAAGCTCCTCTAGCAGAAGCCAACCACTGGGCTGACACACTTGTTAGGGGTGAGATGAGCAGCAGTTTCTGGGTGGGATGCCAGTTAATGGAAGAAATCTTCCTGTCCTCTCCCCGGCTAGGAGCACAAGTACCTCACCTCTTTCCTGGTAGGAAGTATAGACTGGGGAAATAAATACATCTTCAAAGAGGCACTAGGTGGCTGCCTTGGCCTTGAGGTTGGGGGTCAGGGGTATGGATAGAACCTCCCTGCCTTGTTTGGCTTTCTCATGTCTGGATGAAACCTTTCTTCCCATCTTTCTTCCCATCTTCCCTCACCCTCCACGCACCATAGCACAATCCCAGAGGTCCTGGCTTCCAAATGACAGGCTGCAGGACTTCTATTAACCAGTGACACAGGTGCAGCTCTGAATCACCCTAACCACTGCACCACCTCACCCATACCCCCAAGCCCCTTTCCTTCACCTCCCTGACCCAGGACCCTCATGCTGGCCCTACCCCACCCCTTGACTCTGCTTCCTTACAGGCAGATGATGGCGGCTTGACTGAACAGAGTGTGGCCCAGGTAGGCCCCCCTGCATCTGCCTTGGCTAGAAATGGTCTAGAGAGATACGGGGAGCAGAGCATCCTAGAGCATCCTAGGGGGACCCAGTGAAGTTATCAAGTCTGAAAAATCAGGGGTGAGAAGGGAAGGGATGAGGCAGTGACAGGTCATATCTTGGAAAGACTCACTGGAGGCCTCCGGGCTCTCCAACTCAGGGGAGCTGGGTACTAATGGATGGATGGGCATGTTACCATCAGCCCACCTCATCTCCTGGCTTGGTTTAGTTGGATTGAAACTAGGATGAGCTGCCTACCTTGGAGATGGCTGGGTCACTTGTGCACCCCAAAAATCTGGGAACTCAGGCCTCTGATGCGCCCTCTACCGAAACCTGGAAAGGGTACCAAATAGGAGTTTGGCTCTTAACCCCTGTCCTTGCCACTTAGGGTGCACACTGGGATTGTTAAGGGACTCTCAAACCCATGATAGGATCTGACTTTCCCCACTCATCACTTGTCACCTTACCCCTGAGTGACCTGGCTATGGAAGAACCTGCCACAACCCTGCATGGTCTTATCTGGAGGTGCTTGCAGAGCGTAAGGCCAGGGGGAGGTTCCTGGCTCTGAAGCCTGATCAGTTCCCCAGCTGCACAAACTTCCTGCTAGTTCAGGACGACTGTCTTGACCTCTCTTCTGTCCACCTGCAGGTCTCTCTGCTCAGACTAATCCTGCTTGTATGGAACTTCCCGCCCTGGCGCTAACTCCTCGTGCTGTGGTGGCCCTACCGAGATGAGCCTGTGCTGTCTCGTGTGGAGTCCCAGGTGTGGCGCCCATTTTCCTGCACTGCCCTTAGCGCTCACTCTGCTTCGCCCTCCCCTCTGATTCCCCATGTTTCCTCATACCATGCTGGAATGAATGCAGCTGCAAGGCAATTTTTAGAGTGGAAAGAGGGTAGGGAGTAATAAGCAGAGCAGATAAGAACACAGGTGCTCATGGGAGTCATCCCAGGGTACGTGTTCTACCTTACCACCTAAAGCTGGGTGACCTAGGGCAAGTTACTCAACCTCTCTGGGCCTCACATAATAACAGGACCCTCTTCATGGAGTTATGAGAATTCAATGAGCCAATGCGTGACAAGCTCTTAGTAGGGCTCCAAGCCAGTTAACACATGCTGAATAACCATCAGTATTTCTCCAAAGGGAGAAAGAATGAAAACATAGCATTTTTGATGGAATTCTTGAGTAAAAACAAAGGAAGCTACAGGTAGCCAATGGGGGATAAAATGAGGACAAAGTTAGATTCTGGCTAGGAGAATCAGGGGAACCCTAAGCCACTGTCCCCAAGAGAGGAGGGAGACTGTGCAGGAGGAGGAGACACAGCGTTCCCTCCTTCTCTAGAGGGGAATAAGGCTGAGTGGCTGGAGGGACAATCTGAGGGACACACCTGAGTCCTGTCCCCCTCTCCTGCTTTGGTATTGTGCATGCACGTGTGCACTTATATGGATTTGTGTAAGCACTGGGCTGAGACTTTCCACCAGGCATCCCACCGCAGGGTCTGGCTGGCCACCCTTTGCCAGCTATGCCACATCAGCAGTGGGTTGCGGTGGGGTGTTGAGGACACATTGCCAGCCATGGCCAGAGCTAGGGGTTTGCTGAGGCGTCTGAGCACAGGGAGTGTCAGGCCTGGGCCCCGTCTCCGCCTGGACGTGGCACTGTGGGCGGGAACTCTCATGGCATGACAGCGGGGAGACAGGCTGCTGCCACACCCACGCTGCAGATGCAGGAGCCAGAGGTCTGGGCAGGCTTGGGCCTGAGGTGGGAGCTGGCTGCAGCCGGTTTGGTCTGCGCTTTCTGACTTGGAGGGTTGGCCGCGTTTAAGCCAAGTGGAGACAAGCTGCTGCCACCTAGTGACCGGTGGTTGCAGGGGCGCTTCGGCAAGGTGGGCTGTGGACCTCCCCATGACTGTGTATGGAGGCATTTGACATTCTCAATTCTCTCTCAACCTCCCCCACCCCACCCCAGGTTCTTCAGTCTGCCAAGGAACAAATTAAATGGTCGTTATTGAAATGAAGGCTGTGGATTCAAGGCTCCCTGCCCCCCAGATCATTTCCCCAATCCTGGCAAAAGCCCAAAGATCCCAGGGTCAGGAGAGACCCCTCTGTATCCCCAGGTCCCTCCCAGAACTGACTCCTAAGGTCTCCAGCCAGGGCTTCTGAGATGCAAAGGTTTGGCCTCAGGAGAGTCACCTTTTCTCACGGCCCTGGCCTTAACTCATATCTTAGGCATTCCTGGCCCCAGGGCCCTAATAAACCTGCTTTTGTCTTCTGCCAAGGGTCTCCTTCTCTCTTGGCCTAGGAAGTGTGTGTGTGTGTGTGTGTTCATATAAGGGCTCCTGCACTTTCTGTGGCTCATCGTGGGGATATCCAGTACCAGGGTGGGGCGTGTCCCTGTGGTTGTGTGATTGGGCAGAGATGTGGGACAAGGGAAAGGGGACTATTTAACACCATGAGGGGGTGCGACGCTGATACCACGGAGCCCCATGTGTGGCGCATACTGCCAGGTAGGGGAGAGCAAAATATGGTACCCCTATTTTGCAATGCAGTACATACATGGTAGCTCCGCTGGGGATTCCTTGAGTCATTTTTTCCATTCCCAAACTCCAGAAGGGAAGAGAGGTAAGGCTTCCTCTGAACAAACCGAGAAACAGCATGGCTATTTTTCTTGGCATGCCTGGAACCGTGGAATTCCTATCCTGGCATACATCCTGGGCACTACAGCTCTCTGCAAGCTTGCGGGTGGTGGGGGCGAGGAAGCATCGCCAGCCCCCACCGTGCACATGTGTCCTGAGCACCCTGTGCGCTGCAGAGGGTGTGAAGAATTGCAGGTCCGGAGGGACAGGAGGGTGAAAGGGTGTCGCAGGGACAAACGGGAAGGGTGGAGATTGTATAGCCTTTCTGGGCGACACGACTTCCCTTCTCTGTCGCCGTCCCAGAACCTGTTTTCTCCTTTCCACTCTCTGACGCGTACACTTTCTGCGTCCCTGTAAATGCGTCCCTGAGCTTGTCTAGCGTTGCGTCCCGGGACAGCTCGTTTCCCTCGATCCTTTGCGGACTGCAGCTGGTGGCTCACGTTCCACCCCGGCTCCACCCCGGCCCCGCCCCTGGAGTGCGCTGAGCACTGCGGGAAGCCCCGCCCCAGGAAAGCCCCGCCCCAGGAAAGCATCCGCGATCCTATGGTGCCACCTGCAGGGACCGGCAGGAAACGCGCTCCCGCCGGACCGACCTGCTGACTAACTCCGCCCCCAGGGCGGACCCGACTCCGGCTCCTGAGAGTTACTGGTTGGTTTCCGACGCCGGCGACAGGACGTTGCCCTAGCAACCTGCACGCGTGACCCACCCTGCTAGTGCTGCGCCAGCGTGGGCACAGGAATTTCAGCGAAGGAGGGAAAGTGGCGAGCCGTGGACCTTAATAGAAGTTGTCCCTGCGGCTTTCAAGTCCTACATTATAAAACTGTTTAAGATTGGACATTTATAACGGGCTTGACTACTTCTGCAATTAGAGAAAATGATATAGTTATGTAAACATTTACATTGTAAGCGCTGAGTACGTAACCCGTCCCAGTAAATAATGCAAAATGGCAACTCTTGGAAGGGGAGAAAAAAAAAGAGTATTCGGTTAAATTCCGTGGAGTTCAGGGGCTAGTATGGCGACAAGAAAGGAGACATTTTCCAGAAATATTTTGGCAAATATGCGGCCACACCCAGGGCTTGGCTTCCTCCACCACCCTTAAGCGACCGCAAGGAGGGACGGGCAAATGCGCTTCTTAGCAACGCGGTCGCGCCCGCCTCGGCCCTGCTATTCCAATGTAGCAGGGACGGGAATGTAAAGGGACAGGCAGGAGGCTGGGCCCTTCACACAAACTGGCTCACCGAATCCTGTGAATTACGCGATGCTCTCCCCATTTTACGGAAGGGAACACTGAGCCTCAGGTTGACGTGTTTGGTGTAGTTTTCGCAGGGCGGGGCTCCGGATGGGGAACTGCTGGGGACAAGTGGCTTTCTCGCGCATCCCTGCCCTAGGCCCATCCGAACCCCTGGCCCACACAGTAACCGTACTAGGTTAAAAGGAAGGGGCTGAGGGGGCATGGCAATGCCGAGAGGCGACCGGAAAGGTGTCCTCGCCCGCGATGGCTGAGGGATTGTGGGGAGCGGCGCGGCTGCGAAGCAGCCGACGGACCCACGCCGCGGCGGAGAGGACAGCGCAGAGCGGGCTGCGCAGCACTGCCAGAGGACCCGGGAGGGCCGGCAAGGAAGGGCGCTGCCCCTTCCAGAGGACCCTGAGTTTGCAGGCCCAGCTTTCCGGGGGCTGAGGCGGAGACCCCGCTGGGGGTGGAGGGCCGCCGGCTGCTGTGCCCCCAGCTCCCACGTGGCGCCCGCAGCTCGGCAGAGCCGCCAGGATGACAAGCCTGGCCTGCCGCCCAGAGTCCTGCCCGCTGGCACCGGCTTCCTCCAGACTGCCTCATTAGCGCTGCCACAGGCCGGAGCCGGCGGGCGCGGAGGGGAGCGCGGAGGACTGGTTTTCGGGAAGGGCGGCCGGCGGTTCCGTGCGGGAGAGCAGCCAGGGCCTGCCTTCCAGTGTCCTGCCATCCCCAGGGCCCCTCTGCATCTTTCTGCATTCCTCCACCCCCTTGCCCTCGTGGGCGACCCTGCGGGCCCCAAGTGTATAAGGGAAGGGGGCCTCAGGGCCTCTTCTTTCCTCCAGCAGAATGGGCACCGGGGCACGTCTGAAACCCAGACCCCAGGAGCCAGGGCCCAGCCAGACGGCACGCACAGAAACACCGGCCCGGGGGCTCTGGCACGGAACAGGACGCCAGCAACAAGCAGAGCCAACTGGGGGCGCAGAGGTAGCGCGGCCTGGCCCTCGGACCCCTTTTATACCACTTAGAGCCCCGCACGCCCCCTGCCTTCCGGCTATTGGCTGGCAGGAAGGCGGGGCTGCTCGGGTTGGCTGGCATTCAGGCGGTGATGGATGGCTCCCCGCTGGCGGGACCGCAGCCGGGCTGGGCGCTTTGCAGGGCTGCAAAGATTGGCGGGGGTGGGGCCAGCCAGGCCTGGGTGTGGGGTGCAGGGGGATGAGCAGGACACCGCCCGAGGCTCAAATTTTCTGTGCCCTTAACCACCCTTTGAAACTTTGCTATATAGCGGGGGAAAAAAAAAAAATCTTACCTCTAAATTCCTACTAGATACCCTTTAACTTTGGAGGCCGATGCAGGTAATGTTGAATAATTTACCCAAAACAGTCTGGGCACAACCTTACAGACCTCCATTTCCTTCCAATTTAGGTCTCATTCATTCAACAATATTTGTTTGTTGATTCATTATTTCAAATATTTGAGTGTTTGCCATGAGCCAGGCACTGGGGAAAGAAAGAGAGAGACTGATTAGACTCCGTAGTGGGGTGAGGGTGGAGGTTAAAAGGCAGGAAGGGATTTAAGAGATATTTGAAAGTAGAAACGCCTTTAAAAATCAAATGATGTTCTTTATCTTGATCTGAGTAGTAGTAAAAAGTCACAGGCCGGGCGCAGTGGCTCACACCTGTAATCCCAGCACTTTGGGGAGCTGAGGCGGGCGGATCACAAGGTCAGGAGTTCGAGACCAGCCTGACCAACATGGTGAAACCCCGTCTCTACTAAAAATACAAAAATTAGCCAGGCATGATGGCAGGTGCCTGTAATCCCAGCTACTGGGGGAGGCTGAGGCAGGAGAATTGCTTGAACCCGGAAGGCGGAGGTTGCAGTGAGCCGAGATCTTGCCATTGCAATCCAGCCTGGGCAACAAGAGTGAAACTCTGTCTCAAAAAAAAAAAAAAAAAAGTCACAGAGTTTACACTTAAGATATGTGCTCTTTCCTGTAGGTAAGTCATACTTCAATAAAAAAAAAAAGAAATTAATCGAATGGCTGCCAAATTATATTCTAGCATCAATGTGTGTATGGTCCTCATCTGTTTCCTAATCTCTTCCTCATCTCTATGAACAGAAACTGGTAAACATGTTAGATGAGTTTCTAAATAAATAAGAGTGTGAGACACATGTAAATTTTATACTGCACATATAGATTAACGCCATTCCTCAAAATGCACCCTTTGGTAAGAAAAGCAACGTTAATAATAATAATAAAATAAACTCTTTTGGAATGAATTCGTTCAACAGACATTTACTAACAGGCTGTTTCCAGGCCAGGTACCTTGCTGGGGATTGTTGGGAGCTTCTAAAATGAATTGGGAAACACAGTTCCTGACTCAAGGAGATTACAATTTGGCTGGGGACAAAGTCATGTATGCAGATAAGGAAATGATAAATATTCACAGAGGAAACGGTGTATTACATAACATGTAAAGAAGGAAGATGGGGAAAGAGACACCCCAAAGGGAGCAACAACATAAGCAAGGCCAGAGGTAAGGAATCTCCGTTTAGGCTGGGCGCAGTGGCTCATGCCTGTAATCTCAGCACTTAGGAAGGGTGAGACAGGCAGGTTGCTTGAGTCTGGGAGTTCGAGACCAGCCTGGGCAACATGGCAAAACCCTGCCTCTACAAAAAAAAAAAAAATTAGCTGGGTGTAGTGGTGTGTGCCTGTAGTCCCAGCTACTGGGGGGAGAGGGGGCACCGTGGGCTGAGGTGGAAGGATCACTTGAGTCCAGGAGGCTGAGGCTGCTGTGAGCTGAGATCATGCCACTGCACTCCAGCCTGGAGGACAGAGCAAGACCCTGTCTAAAAAAAAAAAAAAAAAAAAAAAAAAGAAAAAGAAAAAAAATCTCTGTATTGTTTAAGGAATTTCAGTAGGCAAATGTAACTGGAATGGTGTGTGTCTGCAGGGAGTGTGTTGAGATCTGAGGTTTCTTCTAGATAGGTTGCAACTGGGTCGCAGTGAGCAATGAATGCCATGCTGAAGAATGACTGCTATTTATTGAGTTTGCTACTATATACACCTTAAAATTACCATTGTCCTCAAAACAACCTAACAAAGTAGGTATTGATAGGCTCGCTGCAGCCTCAACCTCCGGGGCTCAAGCTATCCTCTTACCTCAGTCCCCCGAGTAGCTGGGACCACAGGCATGTACCACCACACCCAGCTAATTTTTAAAAATTTTTTAATAGACACGAGGTCTCACCATGTTGCCCAGGCTGGTCTCAAACTCCTGAGCTCAAGCGATCTGTCCACTTTGGCCTCCCAAAGTGTTGGGTATACCGCGCCTGGCCCGTTAGCCTTCTTTTTACAAATGAGAGAGCTGAGAGTCTGAGAGACTGAATAACTTGCCTCAGAGCTCATAGGTGGGATTTAAACCCATTCTGGTCTGACTCCATTGCTGGCTCTTCTTTACCCCAACCACAGAGCTAAAGAACTTGGCTTGTGGCCAGTCGCCATGGCTCACACCTGTAATCCCAGTACTTTGGGAGGACAAGGTGGGTGGATCACCTGAGATCGAGACCAGCCCGACCAACATGGAGAAACCCTGTCTCTACTAAAAATACAAAATTAGCAGGGTGTGGTGGTGCATGCCTGTAATCCCAGCTACTCGGGAGGCTGAGGCAGGAGAATCGCTTGAACCCAGGAGGCAGAGGTTTCGGTGAGCCAAGATCGTGCCATTACACTTCAGCCTGGGCAACAAGAACGAAACTCCATCTCAAAAAAACAAAACAAAACAAAACAAAAAGTCAGTAAAGAACTTGGCCTGTGTTCTGAAGGTAATAGGGAACCACTGAAGATTTTCAAGCTGTTAAGTGATATCAGCTCTATGTTTTGAGGGAGGAACTCTGCTAGCAACATGGAACCTGGGTTAAAGAAGAGAACAGGAATTCAGGGTCAATTTATGACCCCCAAAACGAAATATTTTCATTACAGTCACTTCTCATTCTTGATCTAAAACAGTACCACCCAGCTTGATTGCTGATCTTACTCACCAAGCAGCTTGCAAAAATCAAGTCCACTCTCAGAATTTGAAGAGTTGGTGCTTGAATTAATTCAGATAATTGCAGGCAATCATTCCAAAAAAGGCCCTCCAAAAGGACCATTTTGTCAGGGACAATGATCTGAATATTTAGGTTCTGAAAAGTATGTTTAAAAATAACAAGTCGGCCGGGCACGGTGGCTCATGCCTGTGATCCCAGCACTTTGGGAGGCCAAGGCAGGTGGATCACAAGGTCAGGAGTTCAAGACCAGCCTGGCCAAGATGGTGAAACCCCCGTCTCTACTAAAAATACAAAAAAAAAAAAAAAAAAAATTAGCCAGGCATGGTGGCAGGTGCCTGTAATTCCAGCTACTCGGGAGGCTGAGGCAGGAGAATTGCTTGAACCCGGGAGGTGGAGGTTTCAGTGAGCTGAGATTGCACCATTGCACTCCAGCCTGGGCAACAAGAGCGAAACTCCGTCTCAAAAAAACAAAAAACAAACAAACAAAAAAAAACACAAGTCTACTTTATATCTTATATATTTAGTGCCCTCTTATCACTCTCACGTACCCCACTCTGAAAATAGACACATACACTTCAAATGAAAGAAAAAGAAGTAGCAAGAGGGATCTGATTCCATTTGACCAGATCCACAATTTCTCTTTGTCTAGACATCTGATTTTTTTTTTTTTTTTTTGAGACTGGGTCTTGCTCTGTCACCCAGCCTGGAGTGCAGTGGCATGAATACGGTTCACTGCAGCCTTGATTTCCTGGGGAGAAGTGATCCTCCTACTTCAGCTTCCCATGTAGCTTGGACTATAGGTGCACACCACGACACCTTGCTTTTTTTTTTTTTGCTTTTTTTTTTTTGGTAGGGAGATGGGGGTCTCACTTTGTTGTCCAGGCTGTTCTCAAACTCCTGGGCTCAAGTGATCCTCCTGCCTCAGCCTCCCAAAGTGCTGGGATTACAGGATTGAGCCGCCATGCCTAGCCTTTTTTTTTTTTCCTAAGGGACAGAGTTTTGCTCTGTCGCCTAGGTTGGAGTACAGTGGCGTGATCATGGCTCACTGCAGCCTCAACCTCCAGGTAGCTGGGACTACAGGCACATGCCACCACACCCGGCTAATTTTTTGTTTATTGTAGAGACAGGATTTTGCCATGTTGCCCAGGCTGGTCTTGAACTCCTGGACTCAAGCGATCCACCCAAGTCAGCCTCCCAAAGTGCTGGGATTACAGGCATGAGCCATCACAGCCAATCCAGACACCTGATTTTTAAGAGATTGAAAATATGTGTTTTACTCTCATGGCTGCCAGTGAGCCCTCATCTGAAACAAACAAACAAATAAACTTGAGGATAGAAGAAAACTCTGGAAGTGATGAGGCTATAACCTTGCTTCCAGACAACAGCTTCTTAGTGAGTGACAGGGTGTTCTGGGGTGGGGATATATGGGGTGAGTAGGTGAGGACTCAGGTTCTGGGTGGAATGATTGGAAGACTGGTTTCAGCTGCTTACCATTCCTAGCAGCCTTGTGTTTGGAAGGTTGGAGGGCTCTTGGAACATCCTCTCCTAAGAGATGGCTGGAAAAGTCCAGAATTAATTTATCTTGGGGAAACAGGTAAGATAAAAACTTCTGGAATCGGCCGGGCGTGGTGGCTCACACCTGTAATCCCAGCACTTTGGGAGGCCGAGGTGGGCAGATCACGAGGTCAGAAGTTTGAGACAAGCCTGACCAACATGGTGAAACCCCGTCTCTACTAAAAATACAAAAATTAGCTGGGCATAGTGACGTGCGCCTCTGGTCCCAGCTACTCAGAGGCTGAGGCAGGAGAATCGCTTGAACCCGGGAGATGGAAGTTGCAGTGAGCCAAGATCGCACCACTGCACTCCAGCCCTGGGTGACAGAGCGAGACTCCATCTCAAACAAACAAACAAACAAAACTTCTGGGACCCAAAGTCCCCCAAAATCTCAGTGTTCTCCAGATGGCAGCAAGAAGAAGTAGCTCTCACAGGTTTGCCCAGAAGATGGTGCTGTAAGACAAGCCCCTCTTTCATCCTTAGCCTGGCCGGGATCAGTGACGGGACTATGAAAAGGCTTGCAGGAACCAGACCTAGAGGGCATCTCTACTCTCTATTGGGCAGGAGTTATCTCACAGTGCTGAGCATTGCAGTCCATTCCTAGATACTCCCTAGACCACAGAGGAGAACCTTGGGGGTTCCCACATCAGAGCTGTGAGCACCTCCATGGGAACACGAAGGTGAGAGACCCTGGGCACCTGGGACAGCAATTGTCCTGAGAAAACAGGGCCTCTGATCAAGAAACACTGTCAAGAAATACAGACCTGGCTGGGCATGGTGTCTCGCTCCTGTAATCCCAGCACTTTGGGAGGCCGAGGTGGGCAGATCACTTTAGGTCAGGAGTTCGAGACCAACATGGCCAACATGGTGAAACCCTGTTTCTACTAAAAATACAAAAATTAGCTGGGCATGGTGACACATGCCTGTAATCCCAGCTACTCGGGAGGGTGAGGCAGGAGAATTGCTTGAACCCAAGAGATGGAGGTTGCAGTGAGCCGAGACTGCGCCACTGCACTACAGCCTGGGTGATGGAGTGAGACTCTGTCTCAAACAAACAAACAGAAAACAAATACAGACCTTTTCCTCCAACTCTGGAGATTTGGACCCATTCCCCAAGGTAGCTGGGAGGTTGAGGAAGGGGTCTGAGGGGCTTGGGCACTGACTGAAGTTTATACTCTAAGGTAGAAAAAAAAAAGTGGATCTTTCTGGGAGAGCAAGCTAGAGGCCTTCAGATTAGGAAAGTGAAACTCAAAGGTTGACTTACCCAATGTCACACAGCTAACAAGGGACAGAACTGAGACAAGAAAGAGGGTTTCCTGGAACCCTCTTACCTCTTCCTCTTTCTGCCCTGTGTTTTCTGCAGATCATGAGAATATAACGTTTATAAATAGAATTCCCTTGACAAGGAGTGCCTTCCTGGGCAGTAAGAAAAAATAGCAGGGCTCTTGACTCAAAACCCCAATGCACATTTTTCTTTGCATGCTTTTTTTTTTTTTAACAGTCTCACTCTATCACCCAGGCTAGTGTACAGTGGCACAGTCTCTGCTCACTGCAACCTCCACCTCCCAGGTTCAAGTAATTCTCCTGCCTCAGCCTCTTGAGTAGCTGGGATTACAGGCACCTGCCACCATGCCTGGTTAATTTTTGTATTTTTAGTAGAGACGGGGTTTCACCATGTTGCCCAGGCTGGTCTCGAACTCCTGAGCTCAAGCAATCTGCCCACCTCGGCCTCCCAAAGTGCTGGGAGCCACCATGGCTGGCTCCAATAGCGTTTTCTAATTTTTATTTTATTTATTTATTTATTTATTTATTTATTTATTTATTTATTTATTGAGACAGAATCTTGCTCTGTCGCCCAGGCTGGAGTAAGTGGCGCCATCCTGACTCACTGCTGCATGTGCCTCCTGGGTTCAAGTGATTCTCGTGCTTCAACCTCCCAAGTAGCTGGGACTAGAGGCACACAACACCATGCCCAGCTAATTTTTGTATTTTTAGTAGAGACAGGGTTTCACCATATTGGCCAGGCTAGTCTCAAACTCCTGACCTCAAGTGATCCTCCCGCCTTGGCCTCCCAAAGTGCTGGGATTACCGACATAAGCCACCACGCCCAGCACGTCTGTTTTTTAAATAATGAAATTAATAAGTGAGTCCCATCAGCTGCACTTCTTTTCTGAGGATAATTTATATACAAGACACAGAAAAGCTTCTTGCACAATGTTCTTTTAATAGGATTTATGTAAACTCACATTTGTCAGGATCCGTAAAAGTATTCTATTTCTTTCACACATGTAATTTTTTTGTACCTCTATCTCAGTGAAGGAGGCAGGCGTTGTCATTCCCACTTGTGAGGTGATTGAGGATGCTCTCGGGTGCTGGGAGCAGAAGCAATGCGGCCTGAACCCAGGTATGGATTTCATTTTGAAGAAAGGTCTCCTTGTAGGGCACTATCCTGGACCCAGTGGGCCTGCCCTTCCTATTTATTTCTTAGTGAAACCAGAAAGTTTGCTGGGGCCAGTATGATGGAGCATCGTGACTGACAAATGGCTGGGATTAGTCTAATGGGTAGGCAGCTGTATATGGAGGAAGGCGATGAGGGATCAGACCATTTCCCCAGATTCCAGTGGAAACTTTGCAGGCAGTAGCTAAATGAGTCAGAGAAGATAAGAAGACTGGAGTACCTTGCAGAACACTTCCCATACCCTCCCACCTCCAGCCCCAAGGAGGATTAGGATGCAGGGAGTCTGCAGATGAAACAGTTGTTTACAAAGGCTGGAGAAGCATGCCAGGAAACTAGTCCAGGGGCAGTTTCCAGGGCCTGAGATTGATACTACTCCATCTTGAAAACTGAAAAAAAAAAAAAAAAAAAAAAAAAAAAAAGTGTGACTCTTTAGTTCTGTACTCCCTTTAGTTCTGGGAGTGCATTTGGAGTTTCCTTTAAATTCTATGTGGATACAGGATGCTGAAGGAGGAGAATCACTTGAACCCCAGAGTCAGAGGTTGCAGTGAGATGAGATGATGCCACTGCTCTCCAGCCTGGGCGACAGAGTAAGACTGTTTCAAAAATAAAACAAAAGGCCAGGCGTGGTGGCTCACGCCTATAATCCCAGCACTTTGTGACTCCATCTCAAAAAAAAAATAATAAATAAATAAAATAAAATAAATTGTATGTGGATAAATTGAGGAGAGCTAAGGTGCAACACATGAGAAAGAGACAAGGGGTGGGGGTGGGCACAGTGGCTCACGCCTGTAATCCCACCACTTTGGGAGGCCAAGGCAGGTGGATCACCTGCGGTCAGGAGTTCACCAGCCTGGCCAACATGGTGAAACCTTGTCTCTACTAAAAATACAAAAATTAGCTAGGCATGGTGGCACACGCCTGTAGTCCCAGCTACTCCGGAGGCGGAGGCAGGATTGTTGCTTGAGCCCATGAGGCAGAGGTTGTAGCGAGCCGAGATCACGCCACTACACTCCAGCCTGGGCGACACAGTGAAACTCCAACTCAAAAAGAAAAAAAAAAGGGGGCGGGCGTGGGTGCTGGGAAGGCAAGAAGGAAATAGCAGAGGAGAGACAAGGGAACTCCTGGCTTGGGAAGGCTCTTGCCTGTCCCACCTCATGCAAGCATAAGCACTCCTGCCAAGACGGGGGCCCTCCGGAGGATGTCCAACTTAAAGCTCAGATCCTGGGCAGCAGCAATGGGGAGGGGATTGGGGTATCCCAGGGCAGATGGCCTTAAGGGACCTATTTGTAGAGGCAGAGGCCCAGAGGCTGTCATATGCAAGCTGCTTAGGGTCACAAGAGAAATCCGGAGCTTCCCTGATGACCATCTTTCTTCTCCTCCTCTTTCTGACTCTCTTCTTCCTTCCACTCTCCCTAAACCTGCTGAATCCCTTAGGCAGCTGGGATCAACATAAGCTAGAAACTGATGCGTATACAAGGGAAATCGGGAAGCCTAGAAACAGCAGAACCTGGGAGGGGTACCTGTGTACAGGGCAAATGAAGGGAGCCTGAAAACAGCTGAATCTGGGGAGATGGAACTGCCTAGTGAGAGAGCAAGGGGCTTCTGGAAACTGCTGAATCCAGGGAGGCCAATTTGTATACCGGGGAAATATGGGGGAACCTAGAAACAGCAGGATCTGGGGAGACAGTCGTGTACAGGGGGCAGACAGAGGGAGTAGCCTGAAAACAGTTGAATCTGGGGAGGAAGATTCGTGTGCAGAGGGAACAAGGGGAGACTGGAAACAGCACAATCTGGGGAGATAGGATAGTGTACAGTAGAAGCTAGGGTGGCCTGGAAACTGGGGCTCTCAGGGGATGAATCTGCTTTAAATTGCACGGGGGGGTGAGGGAGCCTGGGGAATCTGATGTGGCAGGCGCGAGCAGGGACACGGGCAAGCACAGGGGTGGAGTCAGGGTGCTGGTTGCATGGAAGGGGAACGCAATGGAACTCCCTGCCTTGTAGGTTTGAGTTAGACCCCTTGGCAGCCTCTTCTTGCAGACAGGGCAGGGTAAGGGAGTAGCTCTCCAATGGGGAGCCAGGATTTCACACGGCAAGAAGAGAAGGGCCTTTGTGTGCAGTTGCTGCCCTGGTCCTAAAATGAGCAAAGCCTGGAATTCCCTAGGGGAAACAGCCCAGGAGTTGGAGTGGGAGAGGATGAGGAGGTTGAAGGAGCTTCGGTCCCCTTGCCTGCCTTCTTCCCAACCCCTCTCTGACAGGGATAGGCCTCTTTCTCCCTTTCTACCGACCAGCCTGACCTCTCCCTTCAGCAGTTCCCTTCTGAGTGACAGACAGACAAAGACAGAGCTGTAGACCATTGACTGAAGGAGGCCCCACAAAAGTTCTCTCCCAACCCACCATCCCCCCATACCCTCCCCAGAGGCCCTGAGCCAGCCAGGGCCAACAGGAGCTGTCACTCTAGTGGAGCTGCCTTCAGGTAGGTGACAGGCCTTCAGGAGGCAGGGTGACTAGGGGCTGGGAAAGGCCTGAGATTTTTGGGATTCTGTCTGTGCCTCTTGGAAACCAGAGTTTCCCAGCCGGTTGCCTCTGAGAGAGGACTTGGAAACCAGAGTTTCCCAGCTGGTTGCCTCTGAGAGAGGAAAGAGGGCAGAACAGTGGCCACTATTGCAGAAATAAAAACCTGGTTCCACTATTTCTAGCTGTGGGATCTTGGCCAGTTGTCATTCCTCTCTGGATTTCAGTTTTTTCATCTGTAAAATGAAGGATCGGTCCAGATCTCTAAAGGCCCTTGCAGCTCTAGCATGAGGATTCTTAGTAGCCTCGGAGAGAGAGCTCAGCCTGGCATTTCTTCTTATTTGCTAATACGGCTCAGAACTTTCCGGCGAACATTGGAAGGAGGCTGGCATTTGGGATGTTGTGAGAGTGTTTAAGCAAGCTTTCCCTGGCATTGGTAACACTTCTGGAACATGAGTGTTTCTACTTTTCGTCACTCCAAAGGGTTCCTCCCCTTGAGCAAAATTATTTTTTACGCCAACCACCTCAGGCTTCCTGCCTTGTGATTTAGGCTGGAAGGTGGAATCTGAACCCAGAATCTCATCTTCCTGTCCCAAATCTGCCTTCTTCCCTGCCGGCCTCACTCCCAACCTCTCTGTGCTCTCTTGCCTCTGGCTTCTGTTATTACCTCGTTTCTCCTAAAGCCAGGGATGTTTATGCTTGGGATCTTATAGTGAAGCCTCAGAGTCTCAGGGAAAGGACCCTCCTCCCCTAACAGAAAGACAGCCAGGTACCCCAAGGCCCCGAGGCATCGCACTGCCCCTTGTTCATTACTAAGTCCGGAGAGGGTTCGCAGTGCATCCCTTGCAAGGCTGCCAGCCGGGGGTACATCTGAGACCACCTATAAAAAACCACCCTCAGCCTGGAAGCATGGAAAGCATAGTGTGTGTGTGATGTGGAGGGGGTCAAATAACCATGGGCCTAACTCAGGCCAGGCCTGAGTGGCTAGAGTACCAGACCTGTGCTTCTCCACTCCTCCCTTTAGTCTGAGAAACCACTGCGTTTAGCACAAGAAGCATGGCTTGGGCTGATGCTCTGATGGTTCCAGAAACCCTGCCCACCTCCAGGCTGTGCAGATGAAATCATTCCCAGCACTTACAGAACGGGAATGGAAGAGTCTTGTCCAGATGGAAGGGGAACTATGGTTGCCTGCCTTACCTCTCTTGGGGACCTCAGGTGACCTGCCTCAACATACCAAGGGGGAGGAGGAGGAGTCTTCAGGGGACAGTGCTGGGAGCTGGACTCCCGGGGTTCAATGTCACCAAAGATGGCCTGGGGACACAGAACCTCTTGCGAACCGCACTGGGTCCAGTCCTCCCTAAACACAGGCTGAGTGCGGGTCGTCTCTCCCCCACTCTGCCTTCCTGGGCACCGTCAGGGATGCGCGGGCAGTTCTCAATGAGTCCCAAGGCTGTGGGAGCTGAAGGGGTAGTGGGCCGGGCGGAGGAGGGAGGGGGGAGGGGGGAGGGGATCTGATTAGAATCCGGGCCGTATGGCGAACACTGCGGAGATGGAGGTAATCACTGAGCGGGCGAGACAGCGTGCTCGGCGACAGCAGGCGGCCCCGCCGTCGCCATGGCAACCGCGGCCTCCGGGGCGCGCGGCTAGGCGCAGCTCCGCGTCTGCGGCGGAACATCTGCTTTGCACAGGGCTGCTGGGAGCCAGGGGGCGCGGGCGCGGCTGCTCCCCCCACCCCGCGAAAAAGAAACAAATTAGGCCAACTGTCCAATGAGGGGCCGCAAATGTATTTATTAATGCGAGGGAAAGGTTGTTCCGGAGCGCAGTTTGATTAATGTTTGAGTCTTCAGCTTGTCAGTCTGGTTTTGTCTCCTGCAAAAGGGGAAAAGGGAGGGGTTGGGTGAGGGGCTGGTAGGGGACTGGGGAGGAGAGAGACAACAAAGCGGGAGGGGATGTTAATAGCCAAATAGGCTCTTTTTCATGTTTCCCCCAGCCTGCCATCCTTGATGGATGGCTCAGACAGACACCAGAGCGCATCAGGGAGACGCAAGCCCCTCAGAGAGATGGCGGGATGGAAGAGAGGGGACCGCTGGAGCCTGGCTGGGGTCGGTGCGGCGGGAACTCCCGAGGGCTGCCTGGAGAGGAATGGCCCAGGAAACGGGCAACTTCTGGGGAAACCAGAGGAAAATTGCACTCATGTTTACAAGTCTCCCCTCCCCTCCCCAGTTTGCCCCTCTGGGCCCTGGAGATAGCACCGAGGTCGGAGAGTGAGGGGTCTCCATACTTTCTGGATATAGAAAGAGGCGAGAAGCTCTCATCCGTGTGTTAGGGACGGGAGAAGGGAAGTAGGCAAAAGCCTATGCTTCGAATTCTCCTTCCTCTCTCTTTCCTCCACCCTTTTCTTTTCTTTCCTCTCACCCTATGTCCTCGGCCGTATATCATGTCTTCACTTTTGCTCCGTCGTCCCTCCTTCCTCTTCGTCTCTTCTGTTGTTTCTTTCCTCCATCTCCCCCATGCCCCGTTGGTGACATCAGCTGGCTGTGATAGGAACTGCCTTGCGAAGATGTCTTCTGTGACCAGTCTGAACACCTATAATGCTTTCTATTTTTCCTTCTCTAGAGTCATGGGGGAACTGAGAGCCCCCTTGGAAACTCAAATTTGACGACCCAGTTTGTGAGAAAACACAACCCCACCCCTTTTCTACCCTCCCCACTAAATCCTCAGCTCCAGCCCACTAGGAATGTGGAGTGCAAACTGAAAATTACCGATTTCTGGTCAGGCCTGGGATTCAGAAACACAGGAGAAGGTCTGTAAAACTTAGGCTGCTTTGAGGTTAGAGGCTTCCTCTTTACTATCCCTTGACAAAAAAAAAAAAAAAGAAAGAAAGAAAAGAAAAGAAATACCCCTTTAAAGCCTAAGCCAAATTCTAACATTTGACTATGCAGCTCATTTTACCTTCTTGTACAAGAAAGAAGTGCATTTCTACATCTGAAGAGCTTTGCAAGAGGGAAGTTATTGGACACCAAAAAAACCTATTTGATGGTGGGGCACAGTGGCTCATGCCTATAATCCCAGCACTTTGGGAGGCCGAGGCAGATGGATCACTCGAGGTCAGGAGTTCAAGACCAGCCTGGCCAACATGGTGAAACTCCATCTCTACTAAAAATACAAAAAATTATCCGGGTGTGGTGGCATGCGCCTGTAATTCCAGCTACTCGGGAGGCTGAGGTGGGAGAATCGGTGGAAACCGGGAGGCAGAGGTTGCAGTGAGCAGAGATGGTGCCACTGCACTCCAGCCTGGGTGACAGGGTGAGACCTCATCTCAAAAAACAAACAAACAAACAAAAACGTGGAGCAGATCAGAGCCCCACTCTCCACGGAAGATTTTTATTTATTATCAGCAGCATCACAATTATTATATTTAATTATCATTTACAGTGTTGGGATGGAGGGATTATTCTCTTCAAATGTGGTCATAGCACGGTGGTTGAGAGTGGTGGCTCTGGAATCAAACCATCTGGATTGAATTCTGGTTTCTCCACCTACGAGCTGGATGACCATGGGCAAATTACTTAGCTCTCTCTAAGCCTCAGTTTCCTCATCAGTAAAATGGGACTATAGTTGTCCGTAGATCACTGGGTTGTAGAAAGGACAAATGACATAATCCATATAAAGTGTATAGCATTGTGTATAATGATTATTATGTGCCCAATACACATTGGCTGTTACTTGGTTATAGATCCTTTTCAAACACATCCCATGATCACCAGCACTGAATATGCATTGCACTCCAACTATGTATGTGGCATTACATTAAATATAAGGTAGCAAGAGATATAAACATGACTTCTGCTCTCAAAGGTTTACAGTCTTTCTGATGAGAAACAGTAGATGCATTAAAAATTACAAATCACCTAAGGAATCGTATGCCAAGTGCCAAATGAATAGTCAAATGCCAGATGCTTCAACGCTCAGCTCCAAGGGAGGGATTGCAGGACTTGGAGCTAGGGGTCCCCCGCAAAAGGGGCCACAGAGCCTGGGTCTTTAAGGAAGTGAGGGGTGGAATGAAGTGAAGTGAAAAAGGGAATGGCATGAGCAAAGACTATGAGGATGGCTTGCTTTTGAATGAATGAGTCTGGCTGCATCTATAGAGGAAACTTGGGGCTGAGTAGGTGGCCTGTGCTGGTAGTTCCAGCTACTCTGGAGGCTGAGGCATGAGGATCACTTGAGTCCAGGAGTGTGTGACCAGGCTGGGCAACACAGCAAGATCTCATCTCTAAAAAAGATAAAAATAAAGTTTATCAGCCTGGGCAACATAGCGAGACCTGTCTCTACAAATAAAAAATTGGCCGGGCATGGTTATGGCTGCCTGTGGTCCCAGCTACTTGGGAGGCTGAGGTAGGAAGATGGCTTGAGCTCAGGCAGTCAAGGCTGGGAGCTGGGAAGGTGCCACTGCACTCCAGCCTGGGAGGCAGAGTGAGACCCTGTTTCAAAAATAAATAAATAAATAAAATAAAAATAAAGTGTAGACTTGATAAGAATCTTGAATACAGGGCCAGGCACGGTGGCGCATGCCTGTAATCCCACCACTTTGGAAGGCTGAGGAGGGTGAATCACCTGAGGTCAGGAGTTCGAGACCAGCCTGGCCAACATGGTGAAACCCTGTCTCTACTAAAAACACAAAAATTAGCCAGGCATGGTGGCGCATGCCTGTAGTCCCAGCTACTCAGGAGACTGACACAGGAGAATTGCTTGAACCCAGGAGGCGGAGGTTGCAGTGAGCCGAAATTGCGCCACTGCACTCCAGCCTAGGCGACAGAGCGAGACTCCATCACCAAAAAAAAAAAAAGAATCTTTTTTTTGTTTGTTTTGGGGACTTTTTTGGAAAATGGCAGCCATAGAAAAACATTCAAACCATCCCACCACCTTCCAAGGATGAGGATCTGGTTCCTTTGAGGAAAGCAACACAAATGTGCTGAAGACTCTGAAGATAATTCCCATGGAGCCTTCCCATTTTCCAAAAAAAGTTTTGAAACTGCTTTTAGCAATGGCAAAGTGTTGAAATAGAATTATAGCCTCCTACTAAGAAGTCATGACAACTGAGTGCCATCTATGATCCTGGATTGTATCCTGGACTGGCCGTAGAGAGGGTTTGACAATGGAAATAGTCATAAAGGACATTACTGGAAAAATGGATGGACATTGAATATGGGTTGTACATTAGACGGTAGTTTCATAACAATGTTAAATTTATTGATTTTGATCATGATACTGAGGTTGTTTGTGTAAGAGAATGCCTTTGTTCTTAGGAAACACATACTAGAATATTTAGGAGTAAAGGGACAGGATGTCTCCAATGTACTCTCCAAAAGTTGCAAAAAAATGCATATGTAAACATGTAGATAGATAAGGATGAAATGAATGGAGCAAAATGTAAACAATTGATGAATCTGGGTAAAGGGCACATGGGAGTTCTTTGTACTATTTTTGACATTTTTTTATAAGTTTGAAATTTATCAAAATAAAAAGTTACCAAAAAACCAACTATATAGCCTCCATCTGAAGGAGAGAGATTCATTTAGATGTTGATTCTTTCTTTCTTTCTTTTTTTTTTTTTTTGAGACAGAGTTTCGCTCTGTTGCCCAGGCTGGAGTGCAGTGGTGCCATCTCGGCTCACTGCAAGCTCCGCCTCCCAGGTTCACGCCATTCTCCTGCCTTAGCCTCCCAAGTAGCTGGGACTACAGGTGCCCACCACCACACATGGCAAATTTTTTTTTTGTATTTTTTTTTTAGTAGAGACAGGGTTTCACCATGTTAGCCAGGGTGGTCTTGATCTCCTGACCCCGTGATCGGCTCACCTCAGCCTCCCAAAGTGCTGGGATTACAGGCATAAGCCACCGTGCCCGGCCAGATGTTGATTCTTTCAAAATGGTCCTCTTAGGAGGCACTGTACTTTTCAACACTTTATCAGGATTGGGTGAAAACATGAAAGACAAGCTCATCAGCTCTGTGGATGACACACAGCTAAAAGAGAGAATTAATGTTTCGGGTGACAGGCTAAGGATTTAATAAGATCTTAGCAGGATGGAAACATTGGCCGAAATCGAACACAGTTTAACATGATGTATGCTCCATCAGTGTTAAATTGAGTTGAGTGAGGTGAAATTTAAAAGAATTAAATAAGTTTTATACTTGTCACCAAAAGAGTTAATTCAGTAGGAATGAGGAAGACATGGTCTAAGAGTGACATATACTAAAAACAGTAAGTTTAGTTGCCTGCAACCTCAATATGCTGATATGATAGAGAAGCTACTATGGGCCGGGCATGGTGGCTCACACCTGTAATCCCAGCAATTTGGGAGGCTGAGGAGGGCAGATCACATGAGGCCAGGAGTTCGAGCCAGCCTGGCCAACATGATGAAACCTTGTCTCTACTAAAAATACTAAAATTAGCTTGGCGTGGTGGTGTAATCCCAGCTACTGGGAGGCTGAGGCACAGGCATTGCTTGAATCCGGGAGGCGGAGGTTGCAGTGAGCCGAGATTGTGACACTGCACTCTAGCCTGGGAGACAGAGTGAAACTCTAAACAAACAAACAAATAAAACTGCTGTGATCTGCGTCTGCTGTAAAAAATTATAGATTCTGAGCTGCATTAATAAAATACAGTCTTTAGAACAAGGGAGGTGATGGTCTTTCTTTATCCTGTGCCCTTTGGAATTAATCTTTAGGTCTGGGGCACTATTTATAAAGAAAGGCATTGCTAATGAAAAAGCCTATGGGATATATAAACAATAGTGAGATTTTGAAAGGAGAGCACTTGAGGAATAGGTGAAGGAATTAGGAATGTTTAACTCTCAGGGATTCCTTTTGGCTGCCTTCTAGACATTTGATTGGCATCTGAACTGTGGAGGAAGATTTACATATTCTCCATCAATTCACACAATGAAAAAAGGACAGAAGGAGGTGAATTACAGGGAAATAGTCTCTGGTTTAGTATGAGAAAGATTTTTCTAAACATTAAAACAGGGCCAGGCGCGGTGGCTCACGCCCGTAATCCCAGCATTTTGGGAGGCCGAGGAGGGCGGATCACGAGGTCAGGAGATCAAGACCATCCTGGCTAACACGGTGAAACCCCGTCTCTAATAAAAATACAAAAAATTAACCCGGCGTAGTGGTGGGCGCCTGTAGTCCCAGCTACTCCTGAGGCTGAGGCAGGAGAATGGCGTGAACCCGGGAGGCAGAGCTTGCAGTGAGCCGAGATGGCACCACTGCACTCCAGCCTGGGTGACAGAGCCAGACTCCATCTCAAAAAAAACAAAAACAAACAAACAAAAAAAAAACATTAAAACAGCCTGAAAATAGAAAGGTATTACCTAGTGAGGTAATAAGTTATCTGTGGCTGGAAGTATCCAAAGAAGGCTATTATGAGGGCTACTATAATAATAATTCTTGCAACAGGAAGGACCCTAGGTTAGGTAGACTGCTGGTCTGTTGAACTCTAAAGTTCTAGGTAATTACATGTCTATTTAGAAACAAAAACAAAAACAAAAACAAAAAAACACCTACCAGCCTCTCTTCTCTGTGGTCTTTATTATATAATGTTTACAGAAACTGCCCACACACCCACTGATTGTATAAAGCTTGGGACTGGACTGGGAGCTTCTTCATTTTGAATTCCTTGCTTCCCTACCCCATCTCTTTTCCAGCCTTCCATCCTGCCCCTTAGTTGCCTCTGTCCAGAACTTTCCATGTCTGCCTGCAGGATGGGACTTCTTGAGAGATCTGTAATATTGAAAATTCTGCCAGGCACAGTCGCTCATGCTTGTAATCCCAGTACTTTAGGAGGCTAAGGCGGGCGGATCACTTGACACAAGAAATTCGAGACCAGCCTGGCCAACATGATGAAACACCGTCTCTACTAAAAATACAAAAATTAGCTAGGCGTGGTAGCACGTGCTTATAATCCAGCTACTTGGGATGCTGAGGCACGAGAATTGCCTGAACCCAGGAGGTGGAGGTCAAAGTGAGCTGAGATTGTGCCACTGCACTCCAGCCTGGGCAACAGGGTGAGACTGTCTCAAAAAAAAAAAAAAAAAAAAAGAGGCCACATGCAGTGGTTCATGCCTGTAATCTCAGCACTTTGGGAAGCCAAGGTGGGCGGATCACTTGAGGTCAGGAGTTCGAGACCAGCCTGGCCAACATGGTGAAACCCCGTCTCTATAAAAAATACAGAAGTTAGCCAGGCATGGTGGCACGTGCCTGTAATCCCAGCTCCTTGGGTGACTGAGGCAGGAGAATCGCTTGAACCCGGGAGACAGAGGTTGCAGTGAGCCGAGATGGCGCCACTGCACTCCAGCCTGGGTGACAGAGCAAGACTCCATCTCAAAAACAAAAACAAAAACAGGACAAAAAACAAAAAAAAAAAAAAAAAAAGCTGGGTATTGTGCCAGTCTCCCTACTGAGGCTGACTCTAACCCATAGCTGACTGGCATTTGCTCTCAGAGCACAGTTTCTGCATTTGAGGAATTTCGCTGGAATCCCAGCACTCTTCTTAGTGTGGCAGAAGGCAAGGTGAAGGTGTGAGTTAGTGGAATATGTGGGTTCTAAACACCAAGCGGAGCAAACCCCCAAGGATGGACAGCACATCTCAAGAGCAAAGGAAGGTAGAAAACAGAGATCAGAGACAGCCTCTCTTTCTCTCCTGTAGCCTTTCCCCCCAGTTCTTTTCTGTTTTAATCACAGGAAGAGTGATTAGTCAGCCGAGGAAGGATGGGGGAAGAAAGCAGATGAGTTTTATCTGGCTGGGGTCTGCCCAAGCTGCAGCCATGTGACTACCTGGCTGACCTGGGGTCTCCATCATGTCCCTGCCTGTCCACAAGACGGATCAGGCTGCCCTTCTCTGCAGCACCCACCCCCGCCCCCATTCCAGGAGAGGGTTGCTAGGATAATTATAGCCTACTTGTTTCTCTCTCTCCCTCTCTCTTATTCCTGTAGGTCCTGGACATTTTTTACTTTCTCAGAGGACTGGGGAACTTCTTCAACACTGTAGTAAACTAGAATCTGGAAAGTTCCTTCCAGCAGAAATGAGGAGGTTAAATTCTCAGAAATGATTTCTATTTTTTACCCTTCTCTACCCACCTCCCTCCCAATGTTAACTGGGAACCTATTGCTTTGCCCTTCATTTCAACAACACAGAGCCTTTCCCCAAATATTCAGGCCTCTCTGTCATCCTTAAAACTGCTCCCCTCGACCTGCTGGGCTCAAGTGACTCACTCACCTCAGGCTCCTGAGTAGCTGAGACTACAGGCATGCACCACTTCTGGCTAATTTTTATATTTTTTGCAGAGACGGGGGTCTCATCATGTTGCCCAGTCTGGTCTCGAACTCCTGGGCTCAAGCTATCTGCCCACCTTGGCCTCCCAAAGTGCTGGGATTACAGGCATGAGCTACTGTGCCCAGCCTCGGGTATCTCATGCAGTATTGAAGGAAACAGACCTGGCTTTGAATCCTAGTTCTATCAGTTGCAAGCTCTGTGACCTTGGATAAGTGGCAAAATCTCTCAGAGGATCCATTATTCCACTTGTGAAATGGGAATAATTATACCCATTCACACAATTTTTGTAAAAATTCAACAAAATAATGCATGTAAAGCTCTTAGCCAATGACTGGCAAAGTAAGTGCTCAAAAGATGGCAACTACTGCTCCTAGGGCTCACCTTTGTTTGTGCTAAGTGGATGAAGCAAAAGGAGATGGCAGGGGTTAAGGGAAACACACCAGAAAGGAGGCTCACAGAGGAGATGCTGAAAGGGATGGATTTGGTTAATGTAGGACAGATGGCGGAGAAGGAGGAAGAAGACGGGGAGAAGGAAAGGGGAAGGAAAAGGCTCATTGGAGACTAGCCTGGCAGAGTAAGAGAGAAAGTTGGGATGCACAGAACAAGACAGAGCACGGGAAAGGGATGGACAAAGAGCAGATGGGAGAGGAAGACAGAATGACAAAGACGCGGAGGGCGGGGGAAACCCAGCTGGTGTGAAACAGACAAGAGGTGCTGGAGAAGACAGAAGAAAAAGAGAAAACCAAGGGGTGGGGGGCGGTGTCAAAATGAGACAGGGAAGCAGGGGCAGGACAGACAGACTGAGAGCGAGTTGGGAAAGCACAAGACGGACAGACAGATGGCAGGGACAAGAGGGTGCCCTGGGTTGCCTGCATTCTGCTGTGTTTACCAGCTAATTGAGTTAAATTGTTGTCAGAGATGTAATTAAAGGGTAGAGAGAGCTCTCTGGCAGGCCCGAAACAGATGGAGGGGGCTTTAATTGGTAATTAAATTCTTCCCTGGCAGCTGAGGAAGGAGCTTGTGCTTCAGTCTCACAAGGCCACGGGTGGCCTTCCCCCCACTCCTGGCCCCTCTCAGGGGCTCTTTGGGGAGGGGGCTGGGCCCTGCGCACCAGCAGCCCGGCAGGCGGCGAGGCCTGGTAACTGCAGGAGAATGAATGCCAAAGCGACCCTTCTTCCCTGCTGGGGCTGGCTCAGCTCCCATGAGCGAATCCAAGCACACCCACCCCCGCGCCTGCTCCTCCCCAACCTCCCCACCCTCACCCACCAAACTAGCATTGACCGATGAATTCCTACGTGGCCCCCATTGCTTCACTTGGGATCCCAGGGAAGAATAGTGGGGCTCTGGCCCTGCAGCCTGATCAGCTTGGGAAGAGTTAGTTGGTTTAGTCAGGGACCCAGGCAGACCCATCTCTTGGCATGGCTCCCACGAGTCTGTCAGCATCTGCCCCCCTCCCCCTTCCAGGAGACGCTGTGCAGAGATTCTATTCTGCGTGGCACATCACTGTCTGGCGCTGACTCTGCTTCCATCCTTCTCCACCCCCTGCCCTCACCCCCACAGCAGCAAATAAGACAGGGATGGGATCAGTCACCCTGATGGGCAGATAGATTGGTTAGATGCTCTAAGATGTGGGCATTCAGACTAATCAGCTTTCAATTCCAAATCTCAATTTGACCTTAATTTCATTGGAGAAGGACCCTTGGGATGGCAGATTTCCCTGAAACCCACAAATTCTAGACGTGATCCATTTCAAAGAAAGAGATAAGTAAAAAGAGAGCACAGAGGCAAGGCTTTTTAAAAGAAGGCTGAACAGGAAGTTAGGCAGAAAGAAAATCCAGGGCAGACATTGTGGGATTATTGTAAAATGCATGGCTGACTATGAGTCAGCAATACAGTGCTATTCTTACAAAAGCAAGCTGCATGCCGGATGCATAAATAAGGAACCTGGGGGTCATTCTCATTATATCTCAGCTGATCAGACAAAAGTTCTTTGTCTTGCTCTGGACTCCAGGGAGCCTAGAGAGTCACAGGCGAGTTTCAAGGGGTTTCTGGGAGAACTGTAGAAATGACAGAAGGATTTGTGAGGCAGAGTGCCCGACTGTATGAATTTTCACTCAGTTTGTCAAGCATTCTCTGTTTTTTTGCCTTCAGCCCCACATATGCTGGTCTTTCTGCCAGGATCTTTGCTCTCCACCCTCCCTTCCACATCCTTGGACTAACTGCTACTTATCCTAAGTCCGCAAATTAGCACTCCTTTCCTTCTTTCCCCTCCCTCCCTTCCTTCCTTCCTTCCTTCCAGTTGAGTCTCACTCTCTTGCTACATGCTGGAAAGCAGTGGTACAAACACCACTCACTGCACCCTCCACCTCCCAGGCTAAAGCAATTCTCTTGCCTCAGCCTCCTGAGTAGCTGGGATTACAGGCACACGCCACCACACCCAGCTATTTATTTTATTTTATTTTATTTTATTGTAGAGATGGGGTTTTGCTATGTTGCCTAGGTTGGTCTCAAATCCCTGGGCTCAAGGGATCCGCCTGCCTCGGCCTCCCAAAATGCTGGGATTACAGGCATGAGCCACCATACCCGACCCTTCATTTCTTCAGGAGGCTTTGCCCCACCCCATCTTACCATCCCAACATCTGCCCTAGCCTGACATCCTGACATGCTATTTTTTTTATTATTATTTTTTAGAGATGAGGGTCTCGCTGTGTCGCCCAGGCTGGAGTGCAGTGGTGCAATCAAGGCTCACTGAAGCACCGTGACCTCCTCCCAGGCTCAAGCAATCCTCCCACCTCAGCCTCTCAAGTAGCTGGGACCACAGGCATGTGTTACCATACCCGGCTAATTTTTTAATTTTTTGTAGAGACAGGGTCTCACTATGTTGCCCAGGCTGGTCTCAAACTCCTGACTTCAAGCGATCCTCCTGCCTTGGCTTCCCAAAGTGTTGAGATTATAGGCATGAGCCACCATTGCAAATTTAACTGTCTGACTCCCTTAAAAGGCTATAAGATGCAAAAGCCAAGGATAGTGTCCATTTTGCTCATCTCCCCAACAGCTACTAAAGGACCTGGTGAGTAGGAGGTGCTGAATTAATTTTTATTGAATGAAGAAATAAACCCAGAACATTCAGGGTGAAGAAAGCAAACTCTGAAATCATCAGTGAAGTTATTATGCAGATGAGAGGCCTAGAAATGCAGCCAAGATTTAGGTTAGCTGTGGGAAAGAACTCTTTTTTTTTTTTTTTTTTTTTGGTCTTTCCCTATTTGCTAAGGGAAAATGAGGAAATCTCTTTTAGAAACAGAAAGAAGACAAAGTCTTATGACTGGTCAGCTGGTGGTAGCCTTCACCCTCTGCTGTGGGAGGTCAGGAGAGGGAGTGTGCTGGTTCCCAAACACCAGACCCCTCCCCAACGGGAGATTTTTAATAATCAGTATGTCTAGAGGCAGGGTAAGAAATTGTACTTTTTATTTTATTTTTTAAAATTATTTATTTATTTATGTATTTATTTTTTGAGACGGAGTCTCGCTCTGTCGCCCAGGCTGGGGTGCAGTGGCGCGATCTCAGCTCACTGCAGCCTCCACCTCCTGGTTTCACGCCATTATCCTGCCTCAGCCTCCCAGGTAGCTGGGACCACAGGCGTCCGCCACCACGCCCAGCTAATTTTTTGTATTTTTAGTAGAGATGGGGTTTCACCGTGTCAGCCAGGATGGTCTCGATCTCCTGACTTCATGATCTGCCCGCCTTGGCCTCCCAAAGTGCTGGGATTACAGGCGTAAGCCACCACGCCCAGCCTATTTTTATTTATTTATTTATTTTTTGAGACGGAGTCTCGCTCTGTCACCCAGGTTGGAGTGCAGTGGTGCAATCTTGGCTCACTGGGTTCACGCCATTCTTCTGCCTCAGCCTCCTGAGTAGCTGGGACTGCAGGCGCCCACCACCTTGCCCGCCTAATTTTTTTGTATTTTTAGTAGAGACGGGGTTTCACCGTGTTAGCCAGGATGGTCTCAATCTCCTGACCTCATGATCCACCTGCCTCGGCCTCCCAAAGTGCTGGGATTACAGGCGTGAGCCACCGCGCCTGGCCTAGAAATTGTACTTTTTAAATTGTCCCAGGTAATGACAATTCTGATGATTGGCAGATAGAAATCACTAGATTAAATGCCAGGTTTCTTTCAGTTACAAACATTTGTTTCTCCTCTCCTTTTCTTTTGCTTGCTGGCATTTTTTCCCACCAGCTAGAAGATATCAGCCCAGCTGATTCTACTAGGCTTGAAAGATAGCAAGCTTGGGAATATTGAAATCTTCACAGAACCTTGGCAAAAATAGCAGCGAAACATGCTTGCGGGGTGGGCCCTTCCACTACATGCAGAATGAGAGCTCCATGTTCACCCCTACCGTCCCCATCATAAAGACCAGACTGAAATACGATTTTAAGCCTGGTTCAGTAGCCCCATTCTACAAAACGGTACTGAAATACAAAAAATGTCATGGTCAGGAACTGCTGGAGCTATGGCTTGAGCCCTGCATTTGAACACTGGCCTCCACTTCCTGGCTAGCATCCTCCCCACCACATAAATTGATGAAGCTTATTTGGCTCCAGCTCTCCCTGGATTCATTCATTCATTCAGCATTCATTCTCCTGCAGTATCTGAATGGATTCAAATGTCACTTCATTTACCTTCACCCTGCAGGGCAGAGGCACAGTTGTGGGGAGGTGGGTGACATTCCCTCCCCTAAAGCCATCCTCCTGCCACCCACTGAGAGATCCGCTAGTGAGAGACTGCTCTGGAGGGTGCCACTACCTGCCGAGGCCACCAGAAGGCCTTGGGACCTGCAGGGTTAAGCAACTCCAGAGGTGCTTCCTGGATCATCAAAGTTGACTTGCCCACACAGACAAGGCTCGATTAGCTAAATACAGTCATAAAACCTAAGCCTCATCATTGTTCGTCATTCTTCCTCCTGCATCACCTCTTGTGGCCTGTTACTTAGACTCACAGGATTGAGAGCTGGCACAAATCTCAGACTTCAAGTCCTGGGTTTTGGCAAAGCTTGATGTGTGTGAGGGGAGTGGGGAACCCTTGTTTCAACCAACCAAAGCAGTTCTGTTTATGTGTGTTTTTTTGTTTTGTTGTTTTGTTTTGTTTTGTTTTGTTTTTCAGACAGAGTCTCACACTGTCGCCCGGACTAGAGTGCAATGGCATGATCTCCGCTCACTGCCACCTCTGCCTCCTGGGTTCAAGCGATTCTCCTGTCTCAGCCTCCTGAGTAGCTGGGATTACAGGCATGCGCCACCATGCCCGGCTAATTTTTGTATTTTTAGTAGAGATGGGGTTTCACCATGTTGGCCAGGCTAGTCTCGAGCTGCTGACCTCAGGGGATTCGCCCACCTCGGTTTCCCAAAGGCATGAGCCACTGTGACCAGCCTGTTTATGTGTTTTTATATAACATGTTAGAGTTCTGGCCAGTGTCGTGCTGCTAAAAGTTTACTGGCTGGCTCTCACTTGGAGTGCTGAAGCCCTGATTTGTAGCCTTTGCTTATTTCTGTGGTGTAAATATTTCCACAAAAGCCCATTTCAAGCCACCAACTGGAAATCCCAGTGCAAAGTTGGGAAATGCACATAATTGGCTTTTAGGATCCAGTGCAAGCCAGCTTCAGCATGGCACTGGTTCTGGTCTTTTTTTTTTTTTTTTTTTAAGACAAAGTCTTGCTCTGTCACCCAGGCTGGAGGGCAGTGGCGTGATCTC
The DNA here is from genome assembly GCF_000001405.40 of Homo sapiens. Classification (NCBI taxonomy): domain Eukaryota; kingdom Metazoa; phylum Chordata; class Mammalia; order Primates; family Hominidae; genus Homo; species Homo sapiens. The sequence continues at coordinate 47,998,932 of NC_000017.11, read as the reverse complement.
AGTTCACTGCAACCTCTGCCTCCCGAACTCAAGCCATCCTTCTGCCTCAGCCTCCCGAGTAACTGGGACTACAGGCATACAACACCATGCCCAGCTAATTTTTGTATTTTTAGTACAGACAACGTTTCACCATGTTGCCCAGGCTAGTGTTGAACTCCTGAGCTCAAGTGATCCTCCAACCTCAGCCTCCCAAAGTGCTGGGGTTACTGGCATGAGCCACCGTTGCCCAGCCTGGTCCTTCTTTTTAAAAAGAAGTGTGGGCCAGGCATGGTGGCTCACACCTGTAATCTCAGCATTTTGGGAGGCTGAGGCAGGTGGATCACCTGAGGTCAGGAGTTTGAGACCAGGCTGGCCAACATGGTGAAACCCCGTCTCTACTAAAAATACATTTAAAAAATTAGCCAGGTGTGGTGGTGGGTGCCTGTAATCCCAGCTACTTGGGAGGCTGAGGCAGGAAAATGGCTTGAACCTGGGAGGCGGAGGTTGCAGTAAGCCGAGATTGCGCTACTGCACTCCAGCCTGGGCGATGGAGCAAGACTGTCTCAAAAAAAAAAAAAAAGTGTGAAGACTTTTCTATTACTACCTTTTAAAGATGAGGCAGCTGAGACCTAGAAAGATTAATTGTTGCTGAGAGCCACACAGCTTACTAGGACCAGATTCAAAAGTCCCTGATCCCCGAACCACCAGATGCCACACTCCACAATCCAACTCAGCTGGACTGTCATAGGCAGGGAGGAGAGGAGACAGGCATCACCACAGCAGCACCCAGGCAGGAGCGCAGGGGGCAATCGACAGTGGCCAATGTCAAAATAAGTGGCCAAAGGGTCTCGCAGCCAACCTTTGCTGGGCAAAACCAAACCAAACCCAAACAAACCCCTCAAACTTGAAGAGTCCTATTTTGACCCAACCCTGTTCATGTCCTCAGGGAGTAAATTATTTCCCATTCTGACTTGGATGAAACAAGAAGCATCCTCACCCCTCTTCCCCCAAGTCTCTCTCCCAAACCTACGAAAAGTCCTTGGGCAATGCACTGTATGTGGGTTGAGGGGGTGGGGGAGGAAGTGGGAAAGAATAACCCCTTTTAGACAAGTCCAGGAATAATTATTTCAGCAGCTGTTGTATTTTCTTCCCGGGTAAGGAGCAAGAAGGAAGCGTGGTGCAGTGCTGAGCGGAGGCCTGGGTCTTCAAGAGCCCTGGATTCTCGCTCTGGCTCTTCTACTTATTTGGGTGGATCTCTTCCGCTCTCTGGACATCAACTTCCCTATCTGTACAATGAAAGTCTAGAACTTTCCAGCATCTTATTTATTTATTTATTGAGACAGAGTTTCGCTCTTGTTGCTCAGGCTGGAGTGCAATGGCACAATCTTGGCTCACTGCAACCTCCCCTTCCTGGGTTCAAGCCATTCTCCTGCCTCAGCCTTCCGAGTAGCTGGAATTACAGGAGCCCGCTACCAAGCCCGGCTAATTTTTTGTATTTTTAGTAGAGATAGGGTTTCACTATGTTCGCCAGGCTGGTCTTGAACTCCTGACCTCAGGCAATCCACCCGCCTCGGCCTCCCAAAGTGTTGGGATTACAGGCTTGAGCCACCGTGCCCGGCCCAGCATCTCTTTCTTTTAAAATGCCATGAATTGCCGGGCGCAGTGGCTCATGCCTGTAATCCCAGTACTTTGGGAGGCCGAGGTGGGCGGATCATGAGGTCAGGAGATCGAGACCATCCTGGCTAACATGGTGAAACCCTGTCTCTACTAAAAAAAAATACAAAAAATGAGCCGGGCATGGTGGCAGGTGCCTGTAGTCCCAGCTACTCTGGAGGCTGAGGCAGGAGAATGGCATGAACCCGGGAGGCAGAGCTTGCAGTGAGCCGAGATCGCGCCACTGCACTCCAGCCTGGGTGACAGTGTGAGACTCCATCTCAAAAATAAATAAATAAATAAATAAATAAATAAATTAAATAAAATGCCATGAATCACCGTGGGGGGAAATGGTAGGGAGACCACCCAGTAACGCAATAATGGTTCTCCCCCAACCCTTGCATCCCACTCTTTCACCAGCTTCAACAAAGGCCCTTTCCTTGCACCTCTGAAGATGCTCCTCACTCCATAGACACCCCACAAAGGCCCCCTCCCTCCAGTTTCTCTGACATCTCCCAGGGCTGACTGGGGCTGCCCCAGCCTGGTATCTGGTCTCCTGTGTCCTAGTCATTCCTTGTGTCCGTGTTTCTTCCTTAGGAGCTGGGGTCACCGTGCCAAAGAGGAGGAATGAGAAGTGGGGGTCATCTGTTTTCCATAGCCTCTGCCCATCTACCGAGTCTGGTTTGCCAGAAGAGGGGAAGGAGGATAGGGGTGGGTGGTAAAAGAACCCTGTGACCCGTCCCCCAAACCTGTCCTGCAGCTTCTCACCCGACTGTCTTCTCCTCCAGAAGGAAAATGGGTCACGCTCCACAAGAGCCTGTTATCGCCAACCTGGCCCTGCTGCTGCCTGATAGAGCCCAGCCCTCCCCCGCCAGATCTCATTAAGGGGTCGCTGCTTATGCTTCCCAGCCGCCCCCCATCCATCTTTGGCCATGGATGACAGACTGGGCCTGGAGGCTGATGTCCGGCAGGTGACAGGGTTAATGGCAGAAGAGGGCAGAGGGCAGAGGCCAGCCAACTCACAGTGGCGGGAGGGCAGTCTGGGAGGCCCTGGGTCCACTCCAGTTGGGCAGCCTCACAAATTACAGCACCTGGGGGAGGGATGAGCCCCAGACCCCTCCATCCCCAGGGAAGCAAGGTGGGCAGTATCAGCCACCTTGGGAGCAGATGGTGGGAGGAGAGAATGTTAGCCTGGGAAGAAGAGGAATAAAGACACTTAGAAGGGGAAGGAGAGCTGAAAAGAAGAGGGAGAAATTTCTATATTTGTAGGCTCAGTGAAAACATTGCTTCTTGGATGCCTGGATGCTCTTTGGCAAGAAACACACATTTTGCAGACATGTATGAAGTCAGGTGAGTGTTTTGAAGATGGGTGCCCAGGACCCATTCTGTTTTCCCTCCCAGTTGCCTAGTTCAGCACCTGGCACAGTAGTTAGGAGTAAGGTTCCAGAGTCAAATAATATGAGTCCAAGTCCTTTTCAGGTCCTTTCTGTGGGACACAGGTAAATTACTTAACCTCTCTGAGCTTGATGTTCTCCATGTGTGCAATGTAGCTTTGGTATTACGCAGCTTCTGTGAGGAGAAATGACGCGGCACATGGGAAACACAGCACCTGGTCCTGGGCTGTGCTAGGATTAGCTCCTCTTGGAAGTAGCGGGCTCATTGCTTTAATTACTGCAATCACCTTTGCTGCCTCTCTCCCATCCCCAAGCTTTTCCCAAGCCGTCTGCCTGGGACCTCCCTCGTTTGACCTCATACATGCCTGTGATCACCTCCCGGCCTGCTCGGCTCACTCCCAGGGAGCCACTGAATGCTGCTTTGGGGGCAGCCGCCCCCATCATGGCTCCCAGAGGGGAGGCCCCATGGTGACAAGGGTTAGTCCCTCTGGGCCTTTGAAGCCCAGGGAGGGAAGGGGGAGGGGCTGCCCTGTGCTCCTGACCTGGGGGATGAGGCTCACCCCGCCACCATGGGAGGAGAGCTGAGAAACAATGGGCAGTGGAAGCCCGGCTCCCACGCCGGCCAGCTGGCAGTCAGGAGAGGGGGTGGGGTAAGGGTGGGAGTGTCCCCTCCTCAGAGCAAGCAGAAAGCTTCAAGAGGCTGGGTCTCCCCAAAGGGACCCTGAATGTCAAAGGTATCCTATGGAGACAAGGAGAGAAATTTTTGCAATGTGGCTTCCTGGACAGAGGTTGTCCAGAGGCCCCAAAGATGGGGTGCAGAGAATGCCCCCAGTTCCAGGGACCCCCTCAAGTACACCCCGATCTCAGGGTGGGCAAAGAAGCCAACTAGCACTACTCTGCCCTCCTTCCCAAGCCTGGATGGAGATCCCCCGCTCTGGGGGTGCTGATCGCCTCCATTAGGTCCTCAATCTTGCAAGGATAATGCATGGCCCAGGCTGGGCTGGGGGAGGAGGCCCCTCTAGCAGAGAAGCCAGGAGGCAGGATGCAGCGGTGCCTGAGCAGAATACCAAGCAGCCACCTGGTTGCCCTGGGCCTCAGGCTGCCTCTGGTGCCAGCAAATCTGGGCAAGGTGGGGGTCTGTCCCCTGGCCACCTCTATGCCTTTATGCCTAGCTCTACCAACTCCCTACTGTGGCTGAACTCAGTGAGGCTTCTCCGTGTGGTGTCAGGGTCCTGGGTAGCCTGAAACAGCCATGTCCACCCCACTCAACTAGACCAGAGCCCTGCTCATCTCAAAGTACCTGAGGATGACCCGGTAAGATGAGAATTAACTACACCTCTGATGGAGGTAGGAAGTCACAGAACACGAGAACATTCTCCCCTTTCCTTGTCTATCCACAGTTGTCAAAGGAAATAAAGCTTTCTTCTGGAGTGAATGTTGGAATGGTGTGGCCTGCTTGTCACTCATTCAGTCCCCTTTGGGATGTTGCTGCTGCCTTTTGCAGCTTGCTCTTGTTGTCCATGCCTCTAATCTTAGTGTATCAGACTCCAGCCTCCCTCGCCTTCCGTTGGGAAAGCCTTGTAGCCACCTCATATGATACTGCTTACAGGTGATGGAGCCCCTTCACTTGGATAGGCTCATCTGACTCTCTCCATCCTGCCAGGTGGGATGGACAGCTGTTACTTCCCAGGAAGGCAGTGTAGCCTAGTAGTTAGGGGCTTGGGCCCTGCAGTCAGGCACATCCAGGCTGTCAACAAGCGTCCCTGCTTACCAGCTGGGCAAGTTTCTTAATTTCTCAGAGTCTGAGTTTCCTTATCTACTACATGGGGATTAAATCAGTCTCCACACACGGTGGTTATGGGACTGCATTAAATAAGATCTTGCTAACGATGCCTGGCACATTGTAAGTGTTTAAAAACAGCAAAGGGAAAAGGAATTTCTTAAAATTTCTGTTTTAGACGGGCAAGGTGGCTCACACCTGTAATCCCAGCACTTTGGGAGGCCGAGGCAGGCATATTGCTTGAGTCCAGGAGTTTGAGACCAACCTGGGCAACATGGCAAAACCCTGTCTCTACTAAAAATACAAAAAATTAGCTGGGTGTGATGGCCCGCACCTGTAGTCCCAGCTACTCAGGAGGCTGAGGTGGGAGGATCCCTTTAGACCAGGAGGCAGAGGTTGCAGTGAGCTGAGCTAACACCACTGCACTCCAGCCTGGGCAACAGAACAAGACCCTGTCTCAAAAAAAAATAAAATATAAAATAAGATTCCTATTTATTTGAGGCAGATGAGAGGTTGAGCTAGATCCCAGAGCTAGTGATTGTTTTGAATTGAGGTCTCCTGACCTCAGTCCAAAGCTTTCCTCATCACACCTTACAGACGCCTTTCTTCCCCTCCTGCTCCATGTTTCAGCCTTGTCCCCCAAATTCTGCATGCTCTCAGATAGGGCAGCAGGTCCCCGCTCCAGCCTCTGAGTCCTCCCTGCATGTGGAGGGCTGCTTCTCTCCTCTCATCAGGACAGTGTGGAAACGTCTGCAGTCATGGGAACCACAATCAGGATTCAAGGCTTATAATTCAGCAGTGATCAGATGTAGGGGAGGTGCCGGGACAGTTATATTAATAACTGTGCCATTAAAAACAAGCAAGCGATGTTCTCATAAAGCATGGGTTGGTTGGGGTAGTTAGGTTTGTTTATTTATTTATATATTTCCCTTCAGGAGTGAACAGGGCCACACAGAGGGAGACCATTAAATTATCTCTTGAAATGATTCCAGTAATAAGTTGGGCAGGTTAGAAGAGCTGTCGGCAGCTCCCGCCAGACCTCCTTCGGCTTTTCAGAACTCGTATCTTTCACTTGGCCTTGTTTTATATGGGGCCAATTACTCCCTTCTGGGTTAGCTGTGTCCCTTGTTTAGAGGTGCTATTTACATGGACAAAATGAATTTTTTTTTCATCAGCCAACGAAGTCAGAGTGATCGTATATTATTTCTTGCTGGGAATCAGAACATGCTGTGTGACATGGAAAAGAGGGGGAACCTGTAGGGACAGGGGCTTTACATATTTGAAATAAGCAGTCTTCTGGAAAATCCACAGAGACCCAATAATAATAAATCAATAATAATAATAATAACATTTATATAGTGGGGGTGAAGGGCCAAGTTCCCTTTTGAGCACGTTTCATGTGTTAACATGTTTGATTTTCATAATAACCCTACATAGTCAATTCAGTTCCAGCCACTCTGACTTCCCAGCCTGGATTCTCATCCACTATACTGCCTTGACTATTCTTCTCTGGGGATGGTGGCTTCTCTATCTTTAAAGGTCTGAAATGGGGATGCCCTAGCCTCAATTAAGCGGGTGAATTTTTGAAGCCTAAGAACTCCTTCCTGCCTAATAGTGTCACAGCTGTGGGACCCTGAGTAACTACTAGGAGTCAAGCACTGTGCAAAGAAACATGTTATGTGCATTATCTCACTCGAGCCTTAACCTTGTGATGTTGACTCTGCAGATGAGCATATCAAGGCTCAGAAGTGTCTCAAGCCACATGGTAGCAAGCAAATACCAGATTCAAATCCAGGGCTGACTCTGCGGGCCCAGATGCCCTACAGAGTTCCTCCCATTTCCCATGCCAGGGTTTTATTTTTATTTATTTATCTCTTTTCGAGATGGAATTTTGATCTGTTGCCCAGGCTGGAGTGCAGTGGTGTGATCTCCGCTCACTGCAACCTCCACCTCCCAGGTTCAAGCAATTCACTTGCCCTAGCCTTCCAAGTAGCTGGGATTACAGGTGTATGCCGCCACATCTGGCTAATTTTTGTATTTTTAGTAGGGACAAGGTTTCACCATGCTGGCCAGGCTGGGCTTGAACTCCTGACCTCATGATCTGCCCGTGTCAGCCTTCCAAAGTGCTGGGATTACAGTCGTGAGCCACCACGCCCTGCCGGGATTTTATTATTCTAATACTCTGGACTCAGGTTTGACCAAGCCCCAGTGCAGGGTGTTTAACTCATTTCTAAGATGCCTGGATCCCCAAGGGTGAGGTCCTAGGCCAGGGGACCCAGCCTGAGATAGGCACAGACAGGGAGGCACAGGGAGTCATTTAATTTTACATTAAAAGAGAAGGTCCCCTCCTCCTCGCCCCTCCCCCTGTCCCCTGCCTGGGCTCCCTTCCAATCACTTCAGAGACCCCAGAGGGGGCTTGACCTCTGTCCTCGGGGGAGGTCAGCCGGGGTGACCCTGCCTGTGTGCAGGATCCCGTGAGAGAGGCCCAGCTGCAGGCCCCCGAGGGCTGGAAGTGCACCCCACCCGGAAACAGGCCGGGGTCACAGAGGGCGGCCCAGGCTGAAGGGGCTTCCCTGGCCCTTTGTGAGCCAAAGGGCAGGGGGAGATTCGTTCCACAGGCAGCCCCTGTGTCTCCAGAGAAAGGGGCTATTATGGTGCAACTAAAAATACAGGGCACAGCCCACCCCACCTCCCCTTTTATTGCCATGGAGATTGGGGGAGGTCTCTGGGAGGGATGAAGAGAGCAAAAGAGGGAGAGAGAGTGAAAGGCAGGTGGAAACAGGGAAGGAGCAGGGAGGGGGTGAAGTGAAAGGGGGAGGGGAAGCCGGCAGAGCTCCCGCCTGCCTTTCTCAACCAGAGGCGCTGGTGGGATCTCTCAGCTTCATCTCTCATTCTTTCCTTTCCACATCCTGCCTGCTGGGTCACAGACACTGCCTGGGGGCTACCGGGGCAAAGAAGGGTTTGCCCACTACCCTGCAGCTGGCCCTGTGACCTTTGACGGTGAGGGGTCCCACCATCTGGGATTAAATTGCAAGATGGCCACATGGAAGGCAGCTGGTGAACAGCTGCTAGGCCTCGTCCAGCCTCTGGACATACCAAGTACCCAAATCATTGACTCAGAGTCATCTGACCCAACCTCCCACTCTCAGCAGTGTCCCCACCAGATATTGATCCAATGTCAGCCTAAGGTCTTCAGTGATGTGACTTTCCCACCTGTGCCCTTGCAGGGCATTTTTGGTTGTCAGAAAGGGCTTCCTTATATCAGGTGGAAATCCATCTCCCTGTTACCTCCACAGGTGGGCTCTAGTTCTGCCCTCTGAGGCCACACAGTGGAATAAAGTAGGGATTTAATGTCATGGAAAGAAAACATAAAAGCCTGACCCTTCTTGGCATAAAATACTTGAAGAAAGCTGCTGAGAAGATAACTCAGTTGGGAAAAACACATAGTCTGTAGTTTTAAAATATCCAAAGCTAAGTGAAAGTCCTGGGGTGAAAAGTGATTCTGGACACTGGACACTGGTGGGCAAAAGACAGGACATCTTAAGATGCCAGGCTCCCTGGTGCTGCACTGCCCTGATGTCAACACAGAAGTTGATGGGGCCAGGCTCGGTGGCTCACGCCTGTAATCCCAGCACTTTGGGAGGCCGAGGCGGGTGGATCACCTGAGGTCAGGAGTTCAAGACCAGCTTGGCCAACATGGCAAAACCCCGTCTCTACTAAAAACACAAAAATTGGCCAGGCATGGTGGCACACGCATGTAATCCTAGCTACTTGGGAGGCTGAGGCAGGAGAATTGCTTGAACCTGGGAGGTGGAGGTTGCAGTGAGCCGAGATCGCGCCACTGAACTCCAGCCTGGGCGACAGAGCAAGACTGTCTAAATAAATAAATAAATAAAAGATTTAGAGATGATGACTGGGCTCCTCCAATTGGCAAGGTCATAAGTTCCAGCCTGCACTCTTGGGAGCCCACCTGCAAAGTGTCATGTCAGTTTCTGGCACCCAAAAGACCTTTTTTAGCAAGGTGGGTCAGTTACAAGGCTGCATGGAGCAAGAAGAATGGAAGTGGGAAAGAGGCAAACTCCATTGTGGAGGAAAATTCAGACTCTGATTACCTTTTTGTTCCTCCTCCCCCTCCTACCAGCTGGGGTGGCCTGGGAACCAGACTCCCTTAGGTAGGCATTCGGAACAGGTGTGGTTTAGGTGCATGAGGAGCCAGAGATAAGCTGAGAGTTGTGGTTGCATTTACCAAAGACTACATCCTGTGGTCAAGAACAGTTGTTTCAAAATACCAGGCATCCATGATATCAGAGAAGGCCATGATTCCTCCATCTACAGAGAGAAAAAGGAGGTAAGTCCATGGTCCCTATTTGAACAATGCCAAAGCCCAGGCTGTCAAGAAAGGCAGGCATACCTGCTGTTGCCTCTTCCCACTCAATGCTGGGGCTCCTGCCCAAATGCTGGTGTCCAGATTGTATTTATGACTGTTTTAAGAAAGAGTGACAGAGCCTTTTAATATCCCTGACAGCCCAGGATGTTTTAATAGATGGTGGAGCTGGGCTTCAAGAGTTAAGAAAAGAGAGCAGAGTTGTTGAGCGAGCTGTCAGGGCTAGTTTCTATGACAGACCTACTGATCGACTCCACGACAAAATAAAATACGGGGCCGTGTCTCTCCTCGGCCCTATCAGGTTGACAGACAGTCTGTCACCATTGTATGTCATCTTTCACCTCCTAATCGCTCAAGCTTAGGGGAAATCTGTGTTTAATGGGGAATCTCTGCAGGATTTCCTCCCAAACCTGCCTCCTGAACGGCAGGCCTCTATTTCAATCTCCCGGGGCTCCTGTGGGCGTTCTCCAATTTTCTGGATTTCACACAGAACTCTTCTAGCTACAGGGCCCTGCCTCCATTGTTGCTGTTTGTTAGAGGTGATTACAGGTCTCCTAGGATGGCTCAATATTCTGCAAAAACAGAATGGATAGTGATGATGGTGGTACAGCAATGTGAATGTCACTGAACTGTACGCTCAAAAAAGGTTAAAATGATACATTTTATTCTATGTATGTCTTACCTCAAAACCAAAACCAAAACCCACAGATGGATAAGGAATGAAGAGAGCTGCCTTGGCTCTTTGACCCCTTGTAGGGTGTGTGCTTGTAACCCGTATGGCCAGCGCAGGGCCATTCCCAGTGTCTCCCCTTCCAGAAGCACACTCAGCTCCCCCACCTCCTGCTTCCTCACCTCCCTGGTTAATACATCTCAAGGTCATTTTTGGAGTTGAACATCTGGAGGCTCCTTAAACACACTTTTCCAGCACCAGACTTGGGGCTGGTCTGACCAGCAACTCAGTTTGTGGCTAAAGCCACTTTAGCCACACCCTTGACATGTTTTGGCACTTGAGGTCTAAGAAATTCTCCCAGGGTTTTTGTGTGTGTGTGTATGTGTGTGTGGGGGGAGGGGAAGGATGGAAGCAAATTCAAGGGACCAGTGACTTTGCTTTTTTTTTTTTTTGTATTTTTAGTGGAGATGGGGTTTCAGCATGTTGGCCAGGCTGGCCTCAAACTCCTGACCTCAAGTGATCCACCCGCCTTGGCCTCCCAATGTGCTGGGATTACAGGTGTGAGCCACTGTGCCTGTCCTCCATGTTACTTTTTTTTTTTTTTTTTTTTTGATTCAGGGTCTCTGTCGCCCAGGCTGGAGTGCAGTGGTGTGATCTTGGCTCGCTGCAGCCTCTGCCTCCTGGACTCAGGTGACCCTCCCACCTCAGCCTCCACAGTAGCTGGGACTACAGGTGCAGGCCACCAAATCCGGCTAATTTTTTGTATCTCTTGTAGAGACGGGGTTTTGCTATGTTGTCCAGGTTGGTCTCGAACTCCTGGGCTCAAGCAGTCCACCTGCCTCAGCTTCCCAAAGTGCTGGGATTACAGGAATGAGCCACCATGCCCAACCTGACTTTGCTTTTTCTTGAATGACAGACAGAACTGTCTTCTGAAAGAACTAAGTTCTTCCTTCCCTGTGCTTTAAGATTAGTTGTGCTGGGTCTGCCCTCAGGCATTTGGGGTTCCCCTCCCTTCTACCAGGGTTAAGGGGCAGTGCGGATGCTCCTCGGTCCTGGTCCCCAGGTACAGATGCAACTACCTCCCTCCAACCTCACTGGCCCAGGGCTCTGCGTTCAAGTCCTCTGCCAGGAGAGAGTTAAGGGCTTGGGTTTAATTTGCCCGTTAATCACAGTTAAAAGAAGTAATGAGCGTCTCCCCAAAGCCTGGGTGTTTCTCTGCAGATTAAGCAGCAATTTGCATAGCCCCTTTATTCATTCCCACCTTCCCCTGTGGGGCGGCTTGTCCTTTCAGACACAGCCAAGCGCAGCCAGTGGCGGGAGCGGTTTGACAAATGGCTTTGCCATGCTCGTGGTTTGGGCGAGAGGGAGGGAGGGGAATGCTGGGAGGGAGAGAGCAGCTCCCGACAGTAATGGATAGCTGGGGCGTTAAGTAGTGCAGAACTTTTTATTAGATACACAGGAGAAGTTTAAATATTCAAACTGGTTTTCTTTGAAGCCTGGGGAATGAGAGGAGGGTGGCGGGCTGGCTAAGTAAGAGTTTACTCAGGGCCAATTTACTCAGAGAGGCCCTGGCAGTCACCAGGGAGGAAGGGCATCTGGAGGACACAGGCAGATCCGGGTCAGCTGGTGCCCCCGGGCTCTACACGCCTGCAGCAGCCTTGATGCCCTCCTGCTGGGCTCAGGCTCTGCCAGGCGGGACAGCTACCCTGGACGCAGCTCCTCGGGCCCGATTGCTCAGAGGGCAGAACGGCTTGCTCAAAGCCCAGCAGATGGTGGTATTCAGACAGGGAGGAGGCCCCAGCTTTGATAGCAAACCTAACTCTATGAAGCAATGATATCTCCAAAAGGATGGGACAATAGCCCTCTACTTTCCTCTCCAGAAATGTCCTCAACCAAACAGTGAAAGAGGAGAGATGAGGCCCAGAAATGATCCTCGGGGTAGGCAGGCACTCTGCCCAGGCTGGTCTCGAACTCCTGGGCTCAAGTGATCCTCCCGCCTCGGCCTCCAAAGTGCTGGGATTACAGGCGTAAGCCACCCCACCTGGCCATCAGTCCATTTAAAAAGCTGACTTAACCCCAATTTTCTTCCCAAACTTCTTGTGCTTCGTGAGACTCTTCCTTTGTGTTAACTTGTAAGCCACATGATCATAATATGTCAGAGGTCAAAGTCATTTTAGAGAGCATTAAGACAATTAAAGTTCAGAGAAGCTAACGTTTGATACTCCAAGAGAGACATAAATGTGGTCAAGACACCATTCCTGCCCGCAAGCAGCTCAGTGGGCAGGCACTTCAGGAAGGCATATAACACAATAAATAAGAGCTCCCCCCTCCTAAGGATATCTGCATGGGGCTGCAGGATGCTGCTGAGGGATGGAGTGACTAATTCTGCAGGGACAACTGGAGATGTCCACAGAGATGCATTTGGGCCTCATCTGAATCGGGGGTCAAGATGGTTTGGAGGGAGCCGAGTAAAGGATGGGGCCTCGAGGACACATGTGGATTTGATGTCTTGGGTGGGTAGCCCAGGCTGAAAAGGCTGGTGGGGTTCCAATTATGCAGGGCTTGGCGGCTGCTACTCTAGGAATTTGGGGCACTACAGAGCCTCAGAGTTTCTAAGCAGGGAAATGACTAGGGTGAAAAGGCCCAGGGTGGATTAGAAAGAGCAGCCAGCAGAGCCCAGGACACCACTGATGAAACTGTCAGGAAATAAAGAGAGATGCAGTGTGGGTGTGGACAATGGCTTTGATTTGGGACATGTTGGAATATGGGGCACCAGAACACGACTTTCTTTTTTCTTTTGAGACAAAGTCTTGCTCTGTCACCCAGGCTGGAGTGCAGTGACGAGATCTTGGCTCACTGCAACCTCCGCCTCTGGGTTCAAGCGATTCTCCTGCCGAGTAGCTGGGACTACAGGTGCATGTCGCCACGCTCAGGTAATTTTTGTATTTTTAGTAGAGACGGAGTGTCACTGTACTGGCCAGGCTGGTCTCGAACTACTGACCTCATGATCCACCTGCCTCAGCCTCCCAAAGTGCTGGGATTACAGGCGTGACCCACCACGCCCGGCCTAGAACACAACTTTCTAACCTCAGCTGAGGGTATTTCCACCCCACCGCCCTCTCACAACAGCTAGTCTGAGCCTTACTGTGCCAGGCACTGTTTTTTTGTTTTTGTTTTTGTTTGAGACGGAGTTTCACTTTTGTTGCCTAGGCTGGAGTGCAATGGCGCGATCTCGGCTCACTGCAACCTCCGTCTCCTGGGTTCAAGCGATTCTCCTGTCTCAGCCTCCTGAATAGCTGGGATTACAGGTGCCTGCCACTATGCTGGCTAATTTTTGGTGTTTTTAGTGGAGACGGGGTTTCACCATGTTGGCCAGGCTGGTCTGGAACTCCTGACCTCAGATGATCCGCCTGCCCTGGCCTGCCAAAGTGCTGGGATTACAGGCATGAGCCACTGCGCCCGGCCTCCAGGCACTGTTCTAAGTGGTGTGCATGCTCACCACAGCTTCCTACCCAAGGTCTTCGTCTTCATTTTACAGGTGAAGGAAATGAGGCAGAGAGGTCCAGCAACTTGCCCAAGGGAGTAAGAACAGAGACAGAGTTTGACCCAGGCAGTCCAGATCTCAAGAACGTGCTAATCACCAACACACTGTATTACATGTTTGTCTTCCTATCACTTTTATTAAATTTTGTATGTGCATGTACAGGAGTTGGGAAAGAGATCAAACAAGTGGCAATTAGATTAAATAGGCCCAATGAGGTGGCTCACACCTGTAATCCCAGCACGTTGGGAGGCTGAGGCAGGAGGATCCCTTGAGGCTAGGAGTTTGAGATCAGCCTGGACAACATAGTGAGACCCTGTCTCTATTAAAAAATAAGTTTAGGTTGCCAGGCACGGTGGCTCACGCCTGTAATCCCAGCACTTTGGGAGGCTGAGGCGGGTGGATCATGAGGTCAGGAGTTCAACACCAGCCTGACCAATGGCGAAACCATGTCTCTACTAAAAATACAAAAATTAGTTGAGCGTGGTGGCAGGTGCCTGTAATCTCAGCTACTCGGGAGGCTGAGGCAGGAGAATCGCTTGAACCTGGGCGGCAGAGCTTGCAGTGAGCTAAGATCACGCCACTACACTCCAGCCTGGGTGACAGAGTGAGGTTCTGTCTCAAAAAAAAAATAAATAAATAAAATAAGTTTAGGCCAGGCATGGTGGTTCATGCCTGTAATACCAGCACTTTGGGAGGCCGAGGTGGGTGGATCACCTGAGGTCAGGAGTTCAAGACCAGCCTGGCCAATGCTGTGAAACCCAGGCTCTACTGCACCTGTAATCCCAGCTACTTGGGAGGCTGAGGCAGAAGAATCGCTTGAACCCGGGAGGCAAAGGTTGCAGTGAGCCGAGATCGCGCCAGTGTACTCCAGCCTGGGTGACGAGCAAAACTGTCTCAAAAATAATAAGTTTTAAAAACAGATGAAATAAAAATCATTAACAGAACAGGTAGGAGTGTATGAAAAGGCAGAGAAGAGCCACAGGACCTGGGTTTCTGGGGAGAAACTGTACGCAACCATTAATTCTGGGGAATTAATGGTGGTTGGGAGGTGCATGTGAGGAGCTCCAGCAAGGTTGGCTTCTGCTCCCAAAGGCTGGGGATGTGCCTTTCTTTTGTCCTCAACTCCCGGCCAGGTCTCCAGAGCAGGTTAATTCTTTAGATGGGTGAGGAGATGTTCACTCTGAATGATGCAGCTTGTTCCCTGCTCTGAACTGGCAATAGGAAAGGAATTCTAGATGTGCCAGACTCCCCATGATACTGGCAGGCCCTCAGAGGGGCACAGGGGGTGGACCGCTGGGGCCCAGATGAACGAGCCTTAGCACTCCACTTATCCCATGTTCACAGTCAGCCACTGCAGGCTGCAGTGCAAAGGGATCCTACTTTTGTGGTCTATAAAGAGAACCACACCGGAGAGGACACGGTAGAACTGACGCAGGGAGAGAGGCAATGTTTGGGCAGAGAGGCAGTGAGTGGGGCTGAGCCATGGCTGGATTTAGCAAGCAGAGAATTTTGGAAAGGTGACTCGCTGCTTCCTTATCTGAAGCCGGGTGAGGAGTCTTAGCCAAGTAGTGAGAGGCGTTGCCTTAAATCCTCTCTGGAAAGAGGTGGGATAAAAGTCAACACAAAAGTATAGTGTGCTCTTGGCAGCATAATTCACATCAAACTAAGGATTCTGAGGGTGTAATCTTGGTGCACCGCTTCCCTCTTTCCCTGAAAGAGGGAAGTTTCAACCTGACTGCTTGAAACTTGGTCTCAAGCTCCCCTAAAGCCCCTCACCTCTCCTTTCCAAGAAGACAAGTTAGGCCAGGATGGAGAGTCCTCATCATGGTTCCCCAAACCAAAAATAAGAGCTCACACATGTCCACCAAGAGCCTCCTCCGCACCAGGCAGCGTTCTAAGAGCTCTGCATATCTTAACTCATTCTGTCCCTACAACGACTTCTGAGGGCATTCTGAGATACACAAGCAGGAACCCAAATACAACCAGTGAAGCTCAGGGAAGCTGGAGGCAGACCTGAAAGACACAGAGCTGCTCTTGCCAGGGAGAACCAGCCGGGTGGATCCCTTCAGTGCCTTCAGCATGGCCAGGAGGGCTGGACTCAGGAAGCAGGCGGCGGTAAAGGAAAGGGAGGCTAAAGGTTCTGGAGAACAAACCCAATGTTATCGAGTTAAAGGCTTTCATGAAACCACTTGCCTCAGCCTGGGGATCAGGGTGGGCCTTGATGTCACCTGTTAAGCAGTCACCTAGTATCTCTGATCCAGAGCAGTGGCCTAACCACACTGCTTACCAAGGGGGCCAAAATCAGCTGAGAAAACTCTATCTAAACCCACTTCCCTTCCTGGGAAAATAGCCAAACCTCAGTGAGCACTGCTTCCCCTCGCTGACCTTAGGCAGGGCTGGGAAAGCAGGTCAGGTGCTCATCTGCAAGCGCAGGGGCAGAAGCTTTGGAGGCCTGAACCCGGTCTGCCATGGTCACCTGGTCCACGGGGTTTCTCCCTGAAGCTCCATTGCTGTAAGCAATGGAGTCTGCGTAACAGCTGGTGACTGGGCAAAGGACATTAGAGTGGGCAAGGGTAGTATGCCTCAGTGAACTGACTGCTACTGCAAGAGGCTGGCCAGATGGCCAACGGAGCCAGCAGCTGAACAGGTGGGGCAGGAGCTAGAAGGCAATCTCCCAGAGGGAGAGGGACCAAGAGCAGCAGGCAGTTCCCTAAGCCAAGAGCATCCCTCCTGAGTGTTGAGGCCAGAGTGCAGTCCACTTACCTCCTCTATACCCTGCTAGTCTGCGGAGTCTTACCTCCATGTTCAACACCAATATTTTTCCAATTCCCGGACTTCTCATTTCAGCCCCTGATCCCCCAGAAAGAGGTGACCAGGCAAAGATTGGGGGGAAGTGGTGGGTTGACATTAATTGATAGGAACGGCTTCGAGCAGTTCATGCTGCCTTATCTCTCTCTCCTTTGGCTGGAGTCCGCGGGGTCGGTGATTAATAGGCGCCATCACTCACTGTCCAGGACGGCTGAAAGGCAGTGGGGAGGGGGTGGCCCTCCCCAGAACTGAGATAACAAGCAGCAGGAATAATGAGTGGTGTCACTCCACTTTTCATTTTGATGGAAAGTCATTACGGGAGTCAACGCCAGCGACAAAGAGCCATGAATCAACTGCTCTGCTATGAAATTAAAATCGAATTGCCAGCCACCCCCAACCCCTACCCTTCCTGGGAAATGGGGATGGGTAGGTGGCTTGGGAGAGGGCTGCTATCCTGGGGTGGGCTCTATCCGATCACAGAGCGGGCAGTTATGGGCAGGAAGTGGACAGGCAGCCAGGGAAGGTGACAGCTCCTGTCTCCACCTTGTTTATCAGACCCTTCCTCCCCAAACCGCATTTTCCCTCTGCCTGGAGGTAAGCTGTGATTAAAAGGAAAATGCAGCTTTGCTGGCTCCAACAAGGCTGCTGCTTGACCGCTCCCCCAGGGCTTCTGGCCTGAGTCGGGCGGCCTGGGCCTGGTTATGGAAAGGGGCCCACACGTAGCCATCCCAGAGCCCCTTACTGAACCATTTGTAGATGTGGGGTCCTCTTTATCACCAGAAGCAAAGGGGAAAAGTCCTCAACTTGGGGCTCCACAGTGACAGCTGATGGCCTGGGGAGCCCACCTGGATCAGGGAGCCCACCTGGATCAAGAACCCCACGAAAACAGGTGCGAAGCCTCAACTGCAGGCTCAGAGAAGCAGCATAAGGAACTGTCAGTACTGAAGCAAGAGTTTTTTCCTCTTTTATTAAGTCCGCTATACTAACTAGAAGGAGAATCTGTGGTTTTCGCCTGATAGACCACAGGGCCAATCACCACAGCTTCTTGTAGAGAACATGGAGAGTGCCAAGATCACCATCAGGTGCCGCTTCCTTCCTGTGGCTTTCCATCTTCCAGTCAGCCTGGTCTTTTGCCTTGAAGGGCCCCAAAACAACAGCCCTGGCTATCATCTTCATCCCAAAAGCGGAGAAGATGGGCAGGCAAGAACACGGAGGGTGTCACAGAGAGGTTCCCATCAGGTTCACAGGGCGCCCGCTGTACCTCTTGGAGATGTCAGCTTCAATCTGAAAGAGTGATACCAAGTGGGCAGAAGCAGGGGTGCTCAGGGCCTCATTTTGCACAGACTGGGAGTCCTCCCACTGGCAGGCCTCCCTTTCCCATCTCACCAGCTTCTGCAGCTCCTTGGTCTTCTCCAGTAGCAGGTCCAGCTTAGGCTCCAGAGCCGCCTGCTCCTCAAGTGCCTCCTGCTGCTTCTGCACCATCAGCTCTTTCTTCAAAGCCAGCAGCTGGGACTGCTTCAGCTTTTGCTGGAGGAATTCAGTCACTCGGTCCACATACCTGTGCGGGGCACTCAGGTGAGTGCTGGGTTAGCTGTGCATCCTGAGCATTCCCATTCAGCTGCTGGGGAGGTGAGAGGCTCGGGAAACCAAACCCCCAACTGGCCGCTTACCCTCACATCCTTAAACCCTTTCCTTTTAAGGAAAACCCACTCCCAGTTCCCCTGTCCTACTCAGGAAGCAAGCAGATTCTTCCTGTATATGTGAAACCTCCCCCTCTTGTCCCAAAGAGAACCCCTATCCCCAGTGGATGGCAATGGCCAGGAGGCAGGGATGGGGTTTAAGGGGTCATGGAACAAGAGGAGGAATACAAGGAGGCAGAGCTGCTCAAGATGGCAGAGCCTTGCATCAAGGGGAAGCCAGACCTTGGTGAGGCCAGGATCATAAACAGGTGTTGCAGCTGAAGACTGGTAAGCTTGCCAATCAGATCCTCCAGCACTGACACCATGGTAACCATCTTCTCTTTGGTCTGGCCCTGCAGGATGGCTGGAGCCAGCTGGAACTGGCTCACAGACAGGACATCTGCCTCCTCACTCAACTCCACTGCTCTCTGGGCTAAGAAGATCTCAAGCTGAGGACAGAAGAAAGATTGGTTCAGGCTGTACATGATGGCTCACACTTGCAATTCCAGCACTGTGGGAGGCCAAGGCAGGAGGATCGCTTGAGGCCAGGAGTTCAAGACCAGCCTGGGAAACGATGAGACCCTGTCTCTACAGAAATGTTTAAAATTAGCCAAACATGGTGGTGTATGCCTGTAGTCCCAGCTACTCAGGAGGCTGAGGCGGGAGGATCACTTGAGCCCAGGAGTTTGAGGTTATAGTGAGCTATGATTGCTGCACTGCACTCCAGACTGGGCGACAGAGAAACTCTTTTTAAAAAAAAAGGAAGAAAGAAAAAAAGAAGATAAATTGGTTCAAACTGAGAGAAGAACTCAGAATCTAAGCCCTCGGACTACTCGAAATGCAAAAATGAGACATGAGGGCTAGACTCTGGGTAAGGAGTTTCCTCTGAACACTGTAAGCGCTAGGAGAGACTACTGTCACCCTTCAGTCCCCACCTCCTATCTCATCCTAACCCCAGACCTCTGTCCTTTCTCCCCAGCCTGGGATCAGATAACTGAGAATACAGAGACTCAAAGGGTTCTCTCTGCCCAGGGAAGGTATTTATTTTGTCTCCATGGGAGGAATGAGATTCAGGGAACAGAAATACATGTTTGAGAAGCACTGGATTAAGGCAAGGCTGAAAAGAATACAAGAGCCAGCCATATTAACTTATCAATCCTATTCTGCCGTTAAAACTTCACAGATATCTTTTGTCCTCTCCCCTTGAGGCTGGGAGGAGCCTCTGGGCAGAAAGAGGAGAGAACTGGGTGAGGACAGAACTTTCAGGAGGCTCTCCGAACCAGCAGGCTACTGGGAAGGGAGCAGATACAGAGATTAACAAAGACAGGACCCCGTCCTCCCAGCCTTACAACAAAGGTCCAAGAACGCTGGCTCCTTACGCTGGGCTGCTCAACACCTTAGCCACAGGGATCGTCCTTAAACACAAATGAGATCATGTTCCTAACCTGCTCGAAACCTCCAACAGCTTCCCAGTTCACTCAGAGGCAAACCAAGGTTCAGACGCTACATCTCTGAGCTCTTCTACTCCCCACCAGCTCTCTCTCCTCAGCCACACCAGCCTCCATGTTGCTGGTCAACTGTGCAAGGTCTGCTCCCACCTCGGGACCTCTGCACTTGCTCTCTCTGCCTGGGAAGCCCTTCTGCCAGACATCTGCATGGTTCTCTCTGCACCGCCTGCAGTCTTGATTACAGGTCACCTTCTCAATGAGGCCTTCCCTGACCACCAGATACAAAACCATAGCCCTTTCCAACATCCTCGTCATCCTCCCCTACTTTCTCTTTCTCCGTGGCATTTGGTGCCATCTAGCATCCTGCATATTTTATTTATTTATCTTCTTTCCAGTCTGCATTCCCCATTAGAATATAAGCTCCATGAGGTCAAGGACTTTGACTGTCTTATTCACCACCCAAGTTCTGGTGCCTAAGGTAGTGCCAGGTGCCTAGGAGGTACCTGATAAGTAACTGGATGAATAGGAGGCATCTAATACGTGAGGCTCCTGCTGTAGGACACAAATAGCACTCACACCCTTCACACAAACAGGAGGGGTCAGGTCAGGCATCTGGAGTGAAGCCACCTGTGCTGGTGCCATGCCTCCCCCCTGCATCTTCCAGAGATGACAGTACCTCCATGAGCTCATCAAGGAACTGATTCCGGGTCTCAGTGTATTCAAGCAGTGTCAGGGCATCTGGGCCCCTGGCAACACCTTCTGGAGCTGCCAGGAAGAGACAGAGAAGTGATAAAGGATCAGAGGACTGGAGAAGGAAAAGACCCTCAAGTGTGAGAAGCCCTGGAGGATTAATACGGACAGACTCACTGTGCTAAAGCCACTTCTTGTTCTAATCCAAGGGGGAAGGCTACCTTGTCCCAGGTGTCTCAGCTCTAATCAGGTACCACTTTCCAACTCCCAGACTGAGAGGAGGACCAGAGCTGGGTTCAGAGGGGTAGAAAGGCCGGCTCTCTGCTCTGGTGGACCGCAGGAGGTAAAGTTTCATCCTGCACCGCCCTCTAGTGGCTCAGACACCACTACGTCTTCTCTGCTGTTGGGGCGGGGGTCATGTCACACTCCAGGGCCCCGATCCCCCTAGAGCCCTCCTACCATAACAGCTGGCCCACATGTGGTCTCTAAAAAGTTGAGAGTTTCTAAACTCTCAACTTTTAAGAACCTCTCTTGGGCCAGGCACGGTGGCTCACACCTATAATCCCAGCATTTGGGAGGCCGAGGCAGGTGGATCACCTGAGGTCAAGAGTTCGAGACCAGCCTGACCAACATGGAGAAACCCCAACTCTACTAAAAAAATATAAAATTAGCTGTGCGTGGTGGTGCATGCCTGTAATCCCAGCTACTCGGGAGGCTGAGGCAGGAGAATAGCTTGAACCCAGGAGGTGGAGGTTGCAGCGAGCTGAGATCATGCCATTGCACTCCAGCCTGGGCAACAAGAGCGAAACTCCGTCTCCAAAAAAAAAAAAAAAACCTCTCTTGGTCCCCCTCAGCTCACATCCTCATCAAGGTTTTGAGAAACAGTTAAATGTGCAAGAAGCCTCATCTTAGCGCTGCATTTTTTGTTTCTAGACACGTGGGGGCCCTTGAGCACCCCACTTTTGCCAGGGCTGCAGGGGATGGTGCACTTACCCTGGGTTCCTGCTTCCAGCACTGTGATCTGCAAAGCAACAGCATCGTCTCCCCAGTCTATCCCATCACCTCCAGGATCCTGGAAGGAGAGCAAAGAACCACAGCAATGGGGGGAGAATTTTCCTGAGCCAAGGAGCCAGAATAAACCAAAGCCCTTGATGAGGTCAATGGCTGCACATTCCAACTCTATTAAGGATTTGCAGCCCTGACTTAGGTGCCAAAAATGGCAGTATGGCCCATCATCCCTGCTCTGTAGTGTTCCCACCTGCCTTTACCCCTACACCCTGTACCAAACACCAAGAAAAAGGACATCAAAATTTAACTCTCACATGGGCTGGGCGCAGTGGCTCACGCTTGTAATCCCAGCACCTCAGGAGGCCGAGGCAGGTGGATCACCTGAGGTCAGGAGTTACCAGCATGGCCAACACGGCGAAACCCTGTCTCTATTAAAAATACAAAAATTAGCCGGGCGCGGTGGCTCACGCCTGTAATCCCAGCACTTTGGGAGGCTGAGGCGGGCGGATCACGAGGTCAGGAGATCGAGACCATCTGGCTAACATGGTGAAACCCCATCTCTACTAAAAATACAAAACAATTAGCCGGGCGTGGTGGCGGGCGCCTGTAGTCCCAGCTACTCAGGAGGCTGAGGCAGGAGAATGGCGTGAACCCGGGAGGCAGAGGTTGCAGTGAGCCAAGATGATGCCACTGCACTCCAGCCTGGGCGACAGAGTGAGACTCTGTCTCAACAAACAAACAAACAAAATAAAAAATTAGAGGGGTGTGGTGGTGGGCGCCTATAATCACAGCTACTTGGGAGGCTGAGGCAGGAGAATCACTTGAACCTGGGAGGCGGAAGTTGCAGTGAGCCGAGATTGCACCACTGCACTCCAGCCTGGGCGACAGAATGAGACTCTGTCTCAAAAAACAAAACAAAACTCTGACATGTGACGTGTGAAACTCTGCCTCCCTTGGACTATACCTGGTCTTAGAGCTATGAACTTCAAGTGATGCCGTTACAGACACAAATGACACTTTTCTTATGGTTAGAGTAGTGATCAGAGAGAGACAGACTGAGAAGGCCTCCTCACCTTTGAATCTGATTCCGGGAAGATGCCCCAGTCGATTCCAGCAGCCTCGGCAGAGATGCCAGAGTCAGTCCCCTCAGACACTGCCTCTACCCCAAAGTCGCCCCAGTCAATCTGGAAAGGGAAAGAGAGTGTTAGCTCATGGAAGATGGATTTAAAAAGGGCCGGGCATGGTGGCTCATGTCTGTAACCCCAGTACTTTGGGAGGCCGAGGATAGTGGATTGCTTGAGCCCAGGAGTTTGAGACCAGCCTGGGCAATATGGCAAAATCCTGTCCCTACAAAGATGTTAATAAAAAATTAGCTAGGAGTGGTGGTGCAAACCTGTAATCCCAGCTATCTTGGAGGCTGACTTGGGAGGATCGCTTGAGGCTGAGAGGCAGAGGTTGCAGTCAGCAAGGATCATGCCACTGCACTCCAGCCTGGGCAACAGAGCAAGGCCCAGTCTCAAAAATAAATTAATTTAAAAAGGAGGGTGGGGCTGCCTTCCCACAGGCCTCAGCTGCTTCTGTAGAGAGCACACTGTTCAAATGCAGTGGCCTCTAAGCTACCCCAAAGAAAGCCCATCTTCAGAGAGCTCACATGATGGAGGTTCCGAGTTCAAAGCGAACCACCTTGCAAAGCCTCTGTGGCACTCACTCACCTATACTCAGAAAAATAAAGGAGTAGGGCCTCCTGGGCCCTTCTACCTACAGTCACTCTCACAGAAATCCTCCCTTCTTCTCTCTGGGTCTTGGGTTGGGCTGTTGGGGGTGGGGAGGGGACAAGCAGCTCCCACTCCACTCCTACAGCTCATCACAAGGCCCATCTTACCGCATCTTCTGCCACCTGCTCAGGAAGCTCCTCGAGGTGGGGTCGTTCCACCACAGAGGGCTCTGTCCCTGTCCTCCACTCGTACACCGTTGAGTTTCCCCGCTTCTGCACGAACCGCAGCATTGGCAACACCTGCTCTGTGGGGCTTCAACAGAGCACACAACTGACTCTCCTGCCGACCATGCGTAAGGCCAACACTGGGCTTTGGCCTGGGCCACATGGTCAAATGGGCAAGGCCCCCACAGGTTCAGGTGTGTAAAGAGTTCAAATGTTATATGGGAACAAGACAACTGGAGAAGGGTCATGAGCTGGGGAACACAGGCAAAGCACCCCCACCAGGAGAAGCTGAGGCCTCTCTACCTCTCACACACAAACCCCACAGACGCCTGGTACACGTCAATGGCTTCCCCCAGGGACTGCTGAGCCGCTGCCCCAATCTCAGCCAGCTGACTCGGCAGGTCCTTCACCAGGGCCAGCAGTTCTCCTCGGACATTTTCGCCCTAGAGAGGGGAGAAGAGGTGGAGTCCAACAGATTGAAGAAAACATCCAAAGACCGAAGAAAAGTAAGACACTGGCCCAAAGGGGGTGCAACCAGGCTGAGGGGTCAGACGGGGTCAGAGGAAGACAAGCAGGGGCCCAGGTGTCCTCTGGCTGCGAAGAGGCTGCCGCCGCTCACCGTGATGCCATACTGCTTGCAGGAGTGGTAGAACTGCTCCCGCATCTCGGCAGCCCCTGCCTGGCACTCCTCCTCCTTGCGGCTGTATTCTTGCTGCAGCTGCTGGCACTTGGCAATCTGCTTCTTCAGTGAGGGGATCTCATAGTTGACATTCCGAACCAGGAGGCTAGAGAGTTCCACTGAGAAGTGCCCAGGAAATTCAGCCCAGGACACCCCCACATGAGGCAGGCATGCCCCAGGATGCACACACATCCTTTGTGGTGGTGAAGAGCACGAAGTCAGCTTCCCAGCCCCACTTGTTCCCAGCTGTGGAGCCTAAGACAAGTTGTTTAACCCCTCTAATCCAACCCTCATCGGTAAAACAGCGACAATAACATTTATCATGAAGATGCAAGAGAGAATCCACATGACACACCAAGCACAATTCCTTGCATTTAGTAGATGCTCAGGAAATATTAGCCATTATTATTATTTATACTACACCCAACCCAAACACAGTTAGTCCTGTAGTTGCTCTCAGGCACTTGATATTCGCTCCCAGAAAAACCCGTGCCTCTTCTGCCTTGTGTAGAATGGGGGTGCGGGGGTGGGGGTGGGGGCAGCACACTCCCGCTAACCAAGAGGTGAGTGGTGGAGGACCCACACACACCTGCTCGCTGAGGCACGGCGAATGGCCACTACCGGCCTGGACCTCCTCCTTCCCCCAGCACTCCACTCAGGGAAAATCAATTCCATCAAAAACAATTGATTTTACCACCTACAAATGGGCAACATCTACACTCCAGTCTCTTCCCACTCACAGACTGTGCCTCCTATAAGCCTGGTATCTCAGAACTCTGAGAGTGGGCTTCCCCATGGATACCAGGGCTCCCAGGCCGGGCCACTTTACCTAAGTAGGTGTTGTCCTTCTCATACAGAGCTATAATCTCCTGCCAATCCTGAGTAAGAACAGAAAAACAATGTTAAGCCAGAAAAGCACTCGACAGCCACATCCCAGCTCAATCCCTAAACAGGGTAAGTTCTCCCAGCCTTTACATCACATCAAACACAAACTCCTTGTCCTTCTTTCAACTCTGCTGGCTGGACCACCCACTTTAAGAGTGCAGGCAATCCCTAAAGCAGTGGGTTTGAAAATTAAACTCAGGGATAGGATCCACTTTTGGAGTAAACTATAGAGACAGAGTGAAAGTTCAGGAAATATTCTATGTAGGCATCCCCACTGGAGCCTCAGAGAGACCACAGAGGCTATGACTCCTCGGATTGGATGTCCCCAACCACATACTACCGGCCCTTGGCCCACACTTGCCTTCATCCGCTGTGAAGAGTATCGGCCAAAAATATTCTTCGTGGAGGCCTCTGTGCCTTTGAGAAGGTCCAGGATTCTTAGGCAGTGAAAGTAGTGAATGTCTAGAAAGCAAGAGACGGGATTTCGAGAACTAAAGTATCTTCTTCACCTACTCTGGGCACTGCAGGTGGCTGATTCATGTATAATATACTGCCAGTAACTTTAGTGTGTAGCTTTTCCCTAAATCATTTCATAGTGGAAGAAGCCAGCATCTATACCTCAAATAAAAATCGCTCCCTCTCTAAAGGCCAGCCCTGGTGGCTAAATAACAAGAGAGTAGCTCAGCTGATACATACTACCTCAGCAAAGAGGGGACTCCAGTGACAGCCCCTAAGCACTCACAGGACCCAGACAGCAGCTGGGCGATCTCTTCGCTCTCTGGCATGTCCTGGATGGCAGCATTGATCTTCTCGCGGATCGTCAGCACCAGACTCTGCCATTTCAGGCTGCAGTGCCTTCTGTCCACCAGCCAATCTACATGAGAAGCACCCAAATTAGAGCATTCCCATTCACATCACCAAAATTCCATCACTAATTCGAGTGAAATACACTGAAATTAGTCTAAAAGTTTTCTTTACATTGGTTAAAGTATGGGGGTCATGGGAAGATGGGAATAAAGACAAGCCCAAAGAGATGCCTGGGGCTAAACCAGGCTCTGACAATCTGACTTCATTAGCAGTGTGATTTTTATAGAGCAATTGCCTCAACACAGGGATAACAAAAAGTTTAAATTGGTCCTGAAAGTGCCACTTTTGACCATTCTCAATTCCCCATAATATTTTTGCTTCTATGGGTAATTATATCTTTCTTCCTGACAAGAGGATGCTGCTCAACTTCCATTTCCTCAGGGCTGGGGTTAACCATGACAATGGAAAATACAAGATGGTTATGCCAAGTACTGGATGAATGAACAGCTGCAAAGCCCCTAATACCTACAGCGCCCTAAGGACTAGATAACATGACTCTGTTGTGAACAGTGAAGTACCACCCTGTACATGTGAATACCAATGGGACTGACCTCTCAAAGTCTGGGCCCAGATTT
The DNA here is from genome assembly GCF_000001405.40 of Homo sapiens. Lineage (NCBI taxonomy): Eukaryota > Metazoa > Chordata > Mammalia > Primates > Hominidae > Homo > Homo sapiens. The sequence goes on along the minus strand of NC_000017.11, from coordinate 47,972,950 downwards.
GTGGCTTCAGAGCCATGCATATTTCCTCAGTGAGAGCTAAGAGCTGAGCTTTGTGGTCAGATGGTCCTGGGTTCTCGTTATCAAGTTTCTTGAGCAAGTCTACTATTCTGTGCCTCAGTTTTCCCACATGTAAAATGGGGAATAATAAGACACTGACTAGAAAAGGGAATGCAGGTAAAACACTGAACAGTGTGCCTGAGACACGGCAAGGACTCAAAAAATGACAGTGATCATTTTTATCATGTCAAGTGCCTAAAACAGCACCTGGTACAAAAAAAAACCCTCAATGAATGGTGGTCATTTTATTGGTCCTTTTCATGACCAAGAACAAGCTCACACACCAAGACTGCACATGGGCTGAAGGGCCAGTACAAATCTGAAGGGAGGCTAAAGAAGCTTCCCCCGTGACCACCAAGCAGGACTGACTAAATGGCACTACAGAGTGGTGAATTCAGAACTTGAACTCTGCCAACCGGTCAAACGCTGGGGTCCCACACTAGTATCAGTTATACTCTCTCTGCTATATTCCTGTAAAGTTTTCAGAAAGAAAAATTCTGTTGATGTCACAGAACTAGAAGCAACGGACTGGGGTAGTCAAACAGACACCATCTTAAGGACAAGATTGGCATCAAATCCATGAATCCAATAAGCATTTTAAAATGCCAGGAGCTGTGTGATCAGATGAAGAGGCCTTCCCTGACTATGAACTGGGGAGGAAGTATGTAAGCCCCATACAGACAACCTGGAGATGGCCTGGACACTAAAAGGTTTTCATTTGCAACTGGGTCTTAGGTCCCTCTTCCTCCTAAAATCAAGGGGGAGGTGGAAGCTTTTTAAATGAGGTTTTTTTTTTTTTTCCTGGCATAATGCAAAAGGCATGGACAGTGGGTCAGACAGACTTAAGTTCCAATTCAGATGTGCCACTTAGTGGTTGACTGTTTTTTGTCTTCTTTTTGAGATGGAGTTTCGCTCTCGTTGCCCAGGCTGGAGTGCAATAGTGAGATCTCTGCTCACCGCAACCTCTGCCTCCGGGGTTCAAGCAATTCTCCCACCTCAGCCTCCCGAGTAGCTGGGATTACAGGCATGTGCTCCCATGCCCGGCTACTTTTTATTTTTATTTTTTTGTATTTTTAGTCATGGAGACATGGAGACAAGGTTTCTCCATGTTGGTCAGGCTGGTCTCGAACTCCTGACCTCAGGTGATTCGCCCACCTCGGCCTCCCAAAGTGCTGGGATTACAGGCATGAGCCACCGCGCCCGGCAGTGGTTGACTGTTTTTAAAGCGAGTCATTTATCCTGTCCCTGAATGATACGATAACATATGTTATTAAAGGAGAAAACGCAGGTCAAACAGACTGTACATATGGTTCGTTCCCGCTGCTATCAGGGAAGCAGGTCTGGCCACAGATGGGGCATAGAACGAGGCCAGTGGTCAGCATCTCGACTCAGGCTTTCAGGGGTCAGAGCTCCCGGCTATTGGACACAGGGGGCAACGCACAGGCCTCCCCCCGACAGCCAGCTGCGCGGTGGCGCCCCCTCCTACCGAGCAGCTTGCTGGTCTGGATGTCGATGGGCACGTGCTGATGGTCCTGGCGGGAAACACGGTGAGGAGGGGGGCGTGAGCGCGGAGAGAGGACGTACCACTCGCGCGCTCATTTCAACGTCCCAACCACCACCCTGCAGGGCCAGAACGGGGCCAGAGCGATGGGCTGGGTTGAGCCGCTTCCGGAGGGAGACCGGAGACACAGGTTAGGGGTCCGCGGCCAGTCCCCAGCACACCCAGCTCCTGTCCCCACACCTCCATCTTTCCTCCACTTCCGCTTCAGGCTGGAGACTGTGGCCCGCCCCGCCCTACCACCAATCCAGTGGCGTTGTGGCCGAGCCTCCGTTTAGACACAAACGGGCATCCTTCGGCCACGTCGCCGCCTTCCGTACAGCCAATCAGGGTTTACGCTCCACTCAGGCCTCAAGCCCCGCCCACCCCAGGCTCCGAATGGCTGAGCTCGGGAGGGGCGGGAGAATGGAGACAGCCAATTGGAGACGCGAGGCGGGCTCAGGGCAGGGGACGGGAGGGGGTGCGCTGCAGCGGCCGTGGGATTGCGACAGGCGGCGCTCGAGAGCCCAGCCTGGCAGCCGCTTCCCCTGGCGGGCACTGGGTCTTCTCCACGCAGATTGAGACGTCTGCTGGCGGGGTCCTAGCGCCGATCTGGGAGGCCGTTGCAAATACCTTCTTCCCTCCTTGCGTCGCTTTACCATCCAGAGCAGTGTGCAGGTCTCTTGTGGCACTTGTCATGCTTTGCCTCCTCATTCAGTTTCTCTAATAGACATGGTTGAGCACCTGCAACGTGTTGGGCGATTAGGGCAGGGAAGGGGAAGGAAGAGAGTCGGTGAGACGTCCCAAAGAGAACACCTACATTGAGTCTAAACGAAGAGCTGAAGATAGCTGGGTGATGTGGGAAGAGGAGTTTTAGGTGGAGGAGACTACACAGACAAAGCTTAGGTGGCCACAAACTGCAAGAGGGGTGCAAGCAACAACAGGCAGGCAGGACGGGCAACGTAATTTGTGAGGTCCAGTGCAAAATGGAAATGCACAGCTGCTTGTTACAAAATGATGAAGAATTTCAAGATGAAGTCGGCTCCGCGGGCAGGCCAACCTCTATACCGTAGATGGTTTGAGGCAGCGAGTGGCTAGAGGAGAGGCTGTAAGGGTGGAAAGGCCATATCAAAGGGAGACTTATTAAGGAACTTGGACTTCATCCCTTCAGACAGAGGAATCACAGAAGGGGTTTGAGGCAGGGAGGAACCTGTACAGATAGGCTGCTGGGATGATGGATGCATGGGAGATAAGACTGGGGACAAGGAGGCTGGAAGGAGGTTGTTATCGAGGGATTATAGCCTGAGCTGGGACACAAGATATGAGGAGGAAGGGGAAGGGCTGGATCTGAGGAATATTTAGGAGGAAAATGTATAGGACTTGGCAATTGATTGGCTGTTTGGGTGGAGGAGAGAGACACTAAGGATGACACCTAGGTGATTAGGTGGGAACCACCACCTGAGACAGGGATGCAGGATGCTGAGCAGGTGTTGGGGAGGAGGGGGTCTAGCTTTGAACCTAGTCTGGCAATGCTGGGAGACCCCCAGATGGAAAGTGTGCAGAAGGCACTTGGGTCTATAATTTTGGAGTTCGAGGGAGTTGTCGGGGCTGGAGATACAGCTTGGAGAGTCACAAGCTGGCTAATCTGTGGTCCGAGTGGTGGCTGAAGCTAAGGGAGAGTCTGAGATTGGCCAAGAAGTGGGTAGAGTAAGGAGGGAGGGTAGGCTGAGGCCAGATCCCCCAGGATCTCACAGCGCTGGGTATGCCTTTTCTTTTTTTTTTTTTTTTTTTTTTTTTTTTGAGACGGAGTCACGCTCTGTCGCCCGGGCTGGAGTGCAGTGACACGATCTCGGCTCACTGCAAGCTCTGCCTCCTGGGTTCACGCCATTCTCCTGCCTCAGCCTCCCCAGTAGCTGGGACTACAGGCGCCCGCCACCACGCCCGGCTAATTTTTTTGTATTTTTAGTAGAGACGAGGTCTCACCGTGTTAGCCAGGATGGTCTCGATTTCCTGACCTCGTGATTCTCCCGCTTCAGCCTCCTAAAGTGCTGGGATTACAGGCGTGAGCCACCGCGCCCGGCCCTGGGTATGCCATTTCTAAATATTCCTTCCCCAGCTCCTGTTCACCACAGCACAACACTTGAGGCTTAGTAAATTTTTGATTGAAATGCATAGTGTGATACAGCAGCAGGAAGACCTAGATTCTGCCCAGTGAGGTCTTGGACCATTTCTATAACCTATCTGATAGCCACAGTTTCCCCACATGGAGATAACAGCTATCCTATCTCAGGGTATTTCTGTTTAGAGGCTTAAATAAACACACTAGTAACTCATGACAGTTTACAACATACTGTGGCTGTATTTCTCATGCTTTGTAAACTCTCCCTATATGAAATATCATATATGGGCCAGGCGCGGTGGCTCACGCCTGTAATCCCAGCACTTTTGGGAGGCTGAGACAGGCGGATCACCTAAGGTCAGGAATTCGAGACCAGCCTGATCAACATGGTGAAATCCCATCTCTGAAAAAAACAAAAAACACGCTGGGCACGGTGGCTCACGCCTGTAATCTCGGCACTTTGGGATGCTGAGGCGGGTGGATCACGAGGTCAGGAGTTTGAGACCAGCCTGATCAACATGGTGAAACCCTGTCTCTACTAAAAATACAAAAATTAGCTGGGCGTGGTGGCGTACGCCTGTAATCCCAGCTACTCAGGAAGCTGAGGCAGGAGAACTGCTTGAACCCGGGAGGCGGAGGTTGCAGTGAGCCGATATTGCGCCACCGCACTCCAGCCTGGGCGACAGAGTGAGACTCCATCTCAAAAACAAAACAAAACAAAAAACAAACAAACAAACAAAAACAAAAACCATCCCGGCGTGGTGGTGCATGCCTGCAGTCCCAGCTACTCAGCTACTCGGGAGGCTGCGGCGGAAGAATCACCTGAACTTGGGAGGCGGAGGTTGCAATGAGCCCAGATTGCGCCACTGCACTCCAGCCTGGGCAACAGAGTGAGACTCCATCTCAAAATATATATATATGTCATATATGATCATTATTATTATAGAACGGATTGAAAAACTGCTCTGAAAATGGCTCATAGAGCTGAATTAAGGGCCTTTTCAGGGATCTTTCATGGGAATTTGGCTCCCATCTGAGTCAGCCTGACTCAGACTGTAGGAATTGCTCAGGCTCCTCCATGATTAAACACACACTTAACTGGGCCCCAACTATGTGCTCGGGGCTGTCTGGGACATCTCAAGAGCAAGGCACTGCCCTGCCCTCAAGGTGTATCTATCTCTCTTCCTTGAACCAACAGGCTGGGCAGAACAGGACAGGGTGGGTCTGGAAGACCCAGCCCAGGTGAGTTGATGGAAGCAGGGACCACCAGCACTTCAGCCCCACCCACAGCTCCCCAAGGTGACTCACGTGGAGCAGAAGGATGTTTGAGAACAGTTCTGCCCAGCTACTGACTCCAGGGAGGCTGTCCCAAAGCCAGAGGCTCTGGGAGAGAACCTGCCTCTGCTGACTGCAGAGGCTCTGGGGGAGAGCCTGCCAAAGGCACATGCTTCTGTGTTCCCAAAGAGTGTAGGAGCATGGGCCTTTGGCGGGTTTCTGCACTTTTCCAAGGCCACAGGGAACTTCAGGGTCTGTGGGTAGATAAGCACATAATTGGTCTGGCATCCAGGGCATCGACTCTATCTCCTTCAGGAGACTTTAGTCATCGGGGCTCCCAGCAGCTAGAAGGAGGCAGAGAGAGGTATGGTAGGTTTCTGACCAGGAATCTCTCAGTTCTCTGCTGATTTAGCAGATGGGACCCTGGGAGAGGGGCAGCACATGTAGAGAGGTGAGGAGGATATACCAGGGCTGCACCAGCTTTGGACAAGGAAGCACAGAGCCCCGAGGCACCGTGTAGGCAGCCTACCTTGCCATCCATTATTGTTGTTGTTAGCTTGCTTATTACGTGATAAACATGCCCACGTGCCAGTGTAGATCTAAATGTTTTACAAGCCTTATCTAATGTGATTCTTCTAACAACCTTATAATGTGGGTACCATCATTAACCAGATTTTAAAGGCAAGGAAGCCAAAGATTAATTACGTAACATGTTGAAAATCATCCAGTGGGCCAGGTGCGGTGGCTCACGTCTGTAATCCCAACACTTTAGAAGGCCAAGGTGGGTGGATCACAAGGTCAAGAGATCGAGACCATCCTGGCTAACACGGTGAAACCCCGTCTCTACTAAAAACACAAAAAATTAGCTGGGTGTGGTGGCACGTGCCTGTAGTCCCAGCTACTCAGGAGGCTGAGGCAGGACAATCACTTGAACCCAGGAGGCGGAGGTTGCAGTGAGCCGAGATCGCGCCACTGCACTCCAGCCTGGGTGACAGAGAAAGACTCCGTCTCAAAAAAAAAGAAAAGAAAAGAAAATCATACAGATCATACAGTGGGCCAGGCGCGGTGGCTCACACATGGAACTCAACACTTTGGGAGGCCGAGGCGGGTGGATCACCTGAGGTCAGAAGTTTGAGACCAGCCTGGCCAACAAGGTGAAACCCCAACTACTAAAAATACAAAATTAGCTGGGCGTGGTGGCACATGCCTGTAATCCCAGCTACTCGGGAGGCTGAGGCAGAAGAATCCCTTGAACCTGGGAGGCAGAGGTTGCAATGAGCCAAGATTGTGCTACTGCGCTCCAGCCTGGGAAACAGAGAAAGACTCAAAAAAAAAAAAAAAAGGAAAATCATACAGTGGGTAGTTGATGAGGCTGGGATTCAAACCCAGGCCTGTTGGGCTACCCAGCCTGCATTCTTCTTCTCTGTGTGATGTGCCTTTGCTTCTCCTGCACCCCTGCCTACCCCTTTGGCTCAGCCACAACAGCTTCAGGTCTCTTCCTCCCTTGGGCCTGATTCCTATTTTCTCCCCAGTTGTTGTGCCAGACACTCAGAACTCCCACCCCTGCAGGCCCTGCCCCTTTCCAAAGTTCATTCTTACCACACCCCATTCTGGGAAAGGGAGCCCATTACTTATCCTCCTGCAATATCCATAAAAGAAGGCTTACTTTCAACATTCAAATAACTCATTTATTTTATCTGCTATATTTTTATTACTTTATGGTCTGTGTGTTTGCTCACAGCCACACTGACTATGGGGTGTGGTGTGTGTGCCTGTGTGTGTGTGGTGTATCTGCCTGCTAGGCTGGAAGCTCTGGAAACATAGCAGCCTTGGGCCTCTTGCTGCCCGGAGTGTAACCACTGTGTTGCTTTTTTCTTTCTTTCTTTCTTTCCTTTTTTTTTTTTGAGACAGAATCTCGCTCTGTCACCCAGGCTGGAGTGCAGTGGTGTGATCTCAGCCCACTGCAACCTCCTCCTCTTGGGTTCAAGCGATTCTCCTACCTCAGCCTCCCAAATAACTGGGATTACAGGCACGTGCCACCATGCCTGGCTAATTTTTGTATTTTCAGTAGAGATGGGGTTTCACCATGTTGGCCAGGGTGGTCTTGAACTCCTGACCTCGTGATCTGCCCACCTTGGCCTCCCAAAGTGCTGGGATTACAGGCGTGAGCCACCGTGCCCGGCATGTTGCGTTTTTCAGTCTGTCTCCCCACCTAGTCTGCGAGTACCTGTGGGCTGGGAAGCCAAAGCAGACTTGTTCATCTCTATAACCCCAGCATCCGGTGTGACTCTTGACATTGAGTGTCAGGAGCTTAATGGATGCTTGTAATGAAGGAAAGCCATATGCAGGAAGGCATTTGATGTTGGTGGTAGTTGTGATAAGTGGGGACCATGATTGCTTTGTCTTGGGACAAGAGGTTCAAGGTCCCCAGATCCTTTTCTCATCCTTTCCTCTACAGCTCAGGACTTGGAGTCAACATCCTCTGAGCCTCTTGGGAGTGAAGGGAGGAAATCAGGGAGAAGAAATTAGGGGTGGTCAGCTTCACGAGTTTGGTACAGACCAGTGAAAGTCTATGTGGGGCCAGTCACCTGGGTCATGCTCTGGGGCCACTCATTTTACCCTTAACTCTGGCAACTCATGCCCTCCTGGCCACCTCATCCCTCCACCTTTGTTAGTCTTCTGGGGAAAAAGAACTCCCTGGGTGGCTTCATGAAATGGGTCCTGTTTGTCATCTTCTAAGGATGCCACTGTATTTCATTATTTCACCATGCTTATCATGGAAGGCGGTGGGAATCTAATCTGCTAAGAAAAGGAAAACCAAGGATACTACCAAACCACCCATCCATTCACCTCTTTTCCATTGGAGTTCAACTTTATGCACCCTGAGCACCTTATCACAAAGACACAGTCCTAGGCCTCAAAGGAAGTAAAAGTATGTTGAGTGAGGGGCCCACCACCTTCCATATCCCATGACGACATCTCCAGAGTGTGTCGTCACAGAGTGTGAGAGTACTGTGCTCATGCATAGAAGGTGCTCAAAAAATCTATGCAAAGCAAATAAGAGGTACCTGTAATCCCAGCGCTTTGGGAGGCCGAGGCAGGCAGATCACCTGAGGTCAAGAGTTCAAGACCAGCCTGGCCAACATGGCAAAATCCCGTCTCTACTAAAAATACAAAAACACAGAAAATTAACTGGGTGTGGTGGTGCCTGCCTGTAGTCCCAGCTACTTAGGAGGCTGAGGCACAAGAATCACTTGAACCCAGGAGGCAGAGGTTGCAGTGAGCTGAGGTCATGCCACTGCACTCCAGCCTGGGCAACAGAGCAAGACTGTCTCAAAAAAAATAAAAAAGCTAATAAGAGGTCCACTCAGAGATGCTCAGAGTGCTAAGGGAACAGAAAGAAGGAGACGGAGTATCCAACTCAGCATGGGAAAAGGCAAAGGAGAAGGACAGAACACCACCAGAGCAGGCTCTTAGGAGAAGTAACACTTGAGCTGAGTCTTGCAAGATGGCATGAATTGTAATAGAAAGGAGAGGAGAGAAAAGAGGAAGGGAGGTGACAGGTGTCATTCTGGGAAAAAGGAAAAGCAAGGACAAAGCCTAGAGGTGAGAGAATGGCTGTTCCAGAAGGAAGAAGTTTATTATGGGAGCATGGATGTTTATGGGGAGAGTGGAGAGAAATTAGGTTGAAGAGACCGGCAAAGGGAGATCTTGAAGAACTTTCAGGTCCATTATAAAGGGTTGAAATTTAATTCCATAGGTTAGGATTCCCAATCAATGGGCAAGCAGGTCCCTGGAAAGCTGTAGAAATATGCAAAGGTGGGAAGATCGCTTGAGCCAAGGAGTTTGAGGCTGTAGTGAGCTATGACTGTGCCAACTGTATTCCAGCCTGGGTGACGGAGACAGACCCTGTCTGTAAAAAAATAAATAAATAAATAAAATAGAATTATGCAAATGTGCCAGGGATCCATAAATGCAATGATTTTTTTTTAAGTCAGTGGTTACTAGAAAGACAACTCCCATATGATGAGATGCAGAAATTTTTCTACATTGAAGAAAATGGTCATTTTGGCTGGGCATGGTAGCTCACACCTGTAATCCCAGCATTTTGGGAGGTTGAGGAAGGAGGATCACTTGAGTCCAGGAGTTCGAAACCAGCCTGGGCAACATAGTGAGACCCTGACTCAGAAAAAAAAAAAAAAAGAGAAAGAGAGAGAGGAAGGAACGAAGGGAAGAAGGAAGGAAAGATCATTTCAGAGAATATGACCAATAAATGTATGAAAAGATGTCCAACCTTACTAGAAACAAAGTGTCTAGTTTCCTGGTGCTGCTGTAACAAATCACCACAAACTGGGTGGCTTAAAACAATAGAAATTTACTCTCTCACAGGGCCGGGCTCAGTGGCTCAAGCCTGTAATCCCAGTACTTTGGGAGGCCGAGGCGGGTGGATCACCTGAGGTCAGGAGATCGAGACCACTCTGGCTAACACGGTGAAACCCTGTCTCTACTAAAAATACAAAAAATTAGCTGGGCGTGGTGGCGGGCGTCTATAGTCCCAGCTACTCGGGAGGCTGAGGCAGGAGAATGGCGTGAGCCCGGGAGGTGGAGGGTGCAGTGAGCCGAGATCGCACCACTGCACTCCAGCCTGGGCGACAGAGAGACTCTGTCCCAAAAAAAAAAAGAAAAGAAATTTACTCTCGCAGTTCTGGAGGCTTGAAGTCTGAAATCCAGGTGTCAGCATGGTTGGTTCCTTGCAGAGGAGATGCTGTCTGTGCCTCTCTCCTGGCTTCTGTGGCTGCTGGCAGGCCTTGGTATCCTTGGCTTGCAGGTACCTCCATTGTCACATGGCTTCCATTGTCACATGACATTCTTCCTGTAAGGACACTACTCCTCAACCTTAGGGCCTACACTAACCCAGGTTGACTACATCTGAAAACCACATCTGGAAACCCTAGTTCCAATGCAGGTCACATTCTGGGGTTCTGAGTGGACGTGAATTTTCGGGGACACTATTCAATCCAGTACACTAGGGAAATGCAAATATAAAGGACATGGGCCTGGTGAAATGGTGCAATGGTGCACACCTGTAATCCCAGCACTTTGGGAAGCCGAGGTGGGTGGATCATCTGAGGTCAGGAGTTCCAGATCAGCCTGTCCAACATGGTGAAACCCCGTCTCTACTAAAAATGCAAAAATTAGCTGGGTGTGGTGGTGCCCACCTGTAAGTCCAGGTACTCGGGAGGCTGAGGTGGGAGAATTGCTTGAACCTGGGAGGTGGAGGTTGCAGTGAGCCAAGATGGTACCACTGCACTCCAGCCTGGGAAACAGAGCGAGACTCCATCTCTAAATAAATAAATGACATGAAGAAGACCACTTCACTTCCATCATACTGGCAAAAATGGAAATGTCTGTGTCATGGGTTGCATTCTACAGAAGTAGGTGGTGTTTTGGGGGGCAAGATGTTTATTAGGAATCATTTCCTGTGAGAGGAATCAGATGGAAGCAATGCTGGGCAGAGGCAGAAATCCAACTGCACTGCAGGCCCAGCAAAGCTTTAGTCAATGTGGTGGAGGCCTCTGAGTGAATATTGCTCCGAGAATGTCCTTCATGGGGCTGAAATGGCTGGGCTTTTTTATCCCTAGAAGTGCGCTGCTCCAGAATGGTAGCCCTAGGGCAAGGTGGCTTTCTGTCGCTGAGACAGACCTTGAAGGAGCTGATGGCCAACTGCTGACCACACTCCTGTGACCTGGCAGCAAGTCCTTCCCTGAAAAAGGATGTAGGAAGCCCACTTATGTCTGACAATACAGAGAGGTTGTCTGAATGAAGAACGTGGAAGGCTGAAAAATGATCCCTCCAAAGATAACCATGTCAAATCTCCAGAAGCTATGAGTGTGACCTTATTTGGAAAAAGACTCTTTGCACATGTGATTATGTTAAACGTCTTGAGATGAGAGAATCCTGGATTATCTGGGTGGACCCTAAATGCCATCCCAAGTGTCCTTATAAGAGAGAGGTGGAGGGAGTTTAGCCAAACCCACAGAAGTGAAAACAAAGGAGGCAGAGATTGGAGTGATGTGGCCACAAGCCCAGGAGTGCCTGCAGTCACCAGGAGCTTGGAAGAATCAAGGACAGGTTCTCCCTGGAGCCTCCAGAGGGATCACAGCACTGGCAACTCGTTGGTCTTGACCAGTTAAACTCATTTCTGACTTCTGACTTACTGGATAGGTCAGAAGAATCCATTTCTGTTGTTTCAAGCCATGGAGTTCATGGTAACTCATGGCAGCTACAGGAAACGAATGCAAACAGCAACAGGAAAATTGCTGACGGGGTGCAAATGGGTGTACTCGGTTAGAGAATCCACCTTAAGGGGCAGCTGTGGGGATCAAGAGTTCACACCTATGGAACATTTGGAAGAGTGCCTGGAACACAGTCCCCCTAATATTGGCTGCTCATACCCCCACTCCCTGCTGAGATCTCCTTGAAGGGAACGCCTCGCATGAAAACAAGGAGAAAGCCCCCTCCAATGGCAGCCCCACCACCCACCTCAGATCAGAATGCAGCTTCTGCCTGCCCCTGCCTCCCCACTGCACCTGGTGTAGCCCACCAGAGACTGATCTTTGGTCTTGCCCCACCTGTCACCTCGACCAGGCTGGACACCCCCAGGATCTCCAATCTCCTGGCCTTCCAGAGAATGGGGAGAGCTGAGGAGAATGGCAGCACCTCTCTTCTCCGTGTTTTAGGGAAGAAATGTCCCTGAAGCCTAGATCTACTTGCTGGGCAGAGATCTGTAAAATGGGATGGATATGCCAGGCTGATTAGATTTGTAATGCAATGGGGCCCCATGGCTGTGTACCCCAAAAGGGCACCAAGGTCCTTGGGGCTCCCTTAGGTGAATTTAACTTGCTTTACTCAACAAGAACACATTTCTTGAGACGTGCACACTGCATGTATATAGCATGTTACACTTAAACCTAGTTTTAGAAAGGTGTGCTTAAAGGTGATTTTTTTTTTTTTTTAGACAGAGTTTCACTCTTGTTGCCCAGGCTGGAGTGCAATGGTGCAGTCTCGCCTCACTGCAACCTCCGCCTCCCAGGTTCAAGTGATTCTCCTGCCTCAGCCTCCCAAGTAGCTGGGATTACAGGCATGCATCAAAATGCCTAGCTAATTTTGTATTTTTAGTAGAGATGGGGTTTCTCCATGTTGGACAGACTGGTCTCAAACTTCCGACCTCAGGTGATCTGCCTGCCTCAGTCTCCCAAAGTGCTGGGATTACAGGTGTGAGCCACTGTGCCTGGCCAAAGGTGAAAATTTTTATAAAGCAATAAAGTGGCCTGTACGTGAGGAGTTATATTCGTAGCTCACAGCCTTATCTCAAACTTTCCTCCCAGCCCTGCTCCTCCCAGAAATAAATGCCCTGAAGGCCAGGGGTTGTGCCTGACTTCCCAGGCTGGCCCCTCCCTGGTAATGCGCTAGGTCCTCACACCTGCACCTGGGACTGGTGGCACTTGGGAAGGGAGAGCCACAGGTAGGCCTGCCACGGCACTTATGGGGGCTCCTTCTCCAGTGTGGAGCCAAGAGAACAGGAATCTGCTCCCCTGGGCTCAGACATCAGAGAGGCTGGATCTCCGAGGCATGGGGAATTAGTACCTCCAGGGCAAGCCCTTCCTTCTATGGATGGGGAACGGGGAACTGACTCTGAGTTACCATCCCCCAGACCAAAGCCCATCCCACTAGCCTTCTGGTCTCTTCCCAACACCTGAGCTGGAAGGAGTTTTTGTCTTCTGAACCAGATATCCACTCTGAGTAGACGAGGCTTTTATAGAAAGTGACAGATCTAGGAGGCTGTGGGCACCTTTCTGGGACAGCTGTGTGTACTTTGCACTAGAGGTAGGGGACCTTACAAAATTATATCCTTCAATTCAAATCACCCCCCAGGGAGATGATAGCATGACAGCAAGCCAGCTGTGGCTGGAACCACAAGAAGGCAAATAAATGGGTTTTCTTGCACATTTACCTGCCCCAGGGAGAGTGGGACAAAGCAATTGGCTACATTAACAGTTTCTTTGGGTAAAAACAATGTTTCTGTTTCTCATTTGTGTTTTCGAGCTTGCATAAGTACCTACTGTATGTCTGGTCTGGATCAGTGATACATAATTCTGGGCTCTAAGAGCTAAAAGTCTGTAAGTGGAAACCAATCATGGTATATATATCATGTTAAATAGAAGTATATGAGCAGGTTCTATGGGAACACAGAAGGGGAAACAAGAAAACTCCTGGCGGGGTGGGAGGTGTGATCATTAATTCAGGTTCTGAGGGATGAAAAGAAGTTTCTCTTGGGTCGCACAGGTGATGGGGGGGACATTGTTACCCAAGAGCACAGCCAGCACTCCTAATCTCACCCTTCTAAGGCAGCCTCATGCCTACAAAGGCAGGCAGAGAAGAGCCTAGTGTTCAGGGAGAGTTGGCAGGGGTGGGTGTGCATGAGAGGAGGCTGCAGAGGCCCCATCCTAGGAGAGCCAGGCCAAGCGGGTTCTGCTGTGGGCTGTGGGGAGGCTTTGGAGGACTGTCCACCCAAGGACATTTTAAGGGAAGGGGGGCTATTTCAGATGGAGGAGAATACAAACCCAAGAGGCCATCAGAAGCTGGAGCGAGTAGAAGCAGGATTGGAAATGGGGGACAGCTTTAAGAGTTGGTGAGCTGGGATTTCAAATGTAACTTAGAGGGAGAGCCAGGGAAAGGGGGGATTTTATGCCTTTTCTCTACCCCGTGCCTCACCCTTTGCCTGACACGCACACCTGGTCCATGGAGGAAGGTAGCTGGTGGGTGGATTGGGCACCTAAGCTGGTAGCACTGGGCCCAGGAAGTGGCAGAGACACTGAGTATGTAGCAGATGTTTTCCACTCTCCAGCGATGCCCATCCGAGGGGAGAGAGAATGCAAGCGCAAATAGGACAGGCCACCTCCGGGTGGCTGCAAAACAACGCTCCCCAGACACGGAGCCATCTGCAAGAGCAGCCCTGGCTGAGCGCTGCACACAGCTTGGCCAATGGTGGGTTTGCAGGGGCAATGAGACTGCAGATCGGTGAGGACGAAGGCCCCTGTGCACACACACTCTACCCCTGTCCCCAACCGTGTGCCCATCCCCTGCCTTCTTGCCCTTCCTTCTCTTCCAGACTCACTAGGGACCCATCTCTCCTTTCCTTGAGAACTTGCTCCAGGTTTTGCCAACTTTATAATACCCAGGAAGGCCCTTTCAATAGACTGCTGGACATCTGGGAGGAGTTGAAGCCAGTGGCACTTTGCTAGTGGGGACACTGGCACAGGTCTCTTTGAGAGTCTGATAAAAGTATAATCTATGCAGAAAAAGCAATGCCCCTCTGCCCACAAACACGGAATTCTGCATAAGATCTCAAGGGCCTTGAAGCCCACCTCCAAGCAAAGTGGGAGAGGGATGACAATGTTTGAGGTTGTGGTGGGTCTGGAGAGCCTGGCCCGAGGAGAGGCTGTGCCCTTTTTTTTTTTCTCCCTAGGGAGATTTTTGAAGAGGGGCTCTTCAGGTCAGGAGGAAGCCACAGCCCCCAACCCAGTCCCCACTTTGAGGCTTGAGGCAGGGGAGGGACAGCCTGGGAACCGGTCTGCCAACCAGTTTAACCGGGACTGGTTTCGACTCAGGGAGTTCAAAGGAAGCTGGGGTGCACCCCGTCCTACCCAGCCTGCCAATGGAAGCAGCAGCCCTTAACTCTTTCCTGGTTGTGCCCTGGGCAACATCCAGGTGGTGGTCCATGCTGGAGAGGGGTCTGCGCCTCCTCAGAAGATGAAATGGGTGGGGTGACCCTGGCTATAGCTGGGAAGTGCAACCAGACACCCAAGAGTGGGGAAACTGAGCGAGAGCCTCCTGTGCTCCCTGACCCCAGATCTCCCTTGGGATTCCCTCCTCCTGCGTGGCGGTCCCTGGAGAACCCTGGCTTCTGGGTGGATGCAGGGGCGCTGGGATTGGATTTCTGGCATGATGAATATTCATCAGCTTGAGCCGGCCTCTGCTTCTGTTTACTTAGCCGGGAGGGGCTGGGTTTCAGGTTCACCTTGACTCCAGGAGCTGCAGCAGAGCAGGTAACAGCTCTTGCACCTGTTTCTCTTGCACCTGACGTGCAGCTGCTCCTACCCACCTCTCCTGGCTGAGCCTTGCCTGATACAGCAGCCCGGAGGCACCACTTGCTTCCCGAGTCTCACCCTCCCAGGCAGCTCCTACACTCAACTGCTTCTCTAGGAAAGGTCTCACCTCCAGCCTGGAGCAGTCGGGATTACAGGTACAGGCAGAGGGCTGGTGGGTGGGGAAACCAAGGCATAGACCCCAGTCAGAGCACCTGGTTCTGCCTCCAGGGCTGACAAGCCCAGCAGGAAAGAGGAACCCAGGCCTCTAACCTGGTCTCCACTCAAGACTCATCCCACTGGCCTCTTGGAGTCAATCCAGGCCTCCAACAGAGCTCCTGCTGAGTAGTTTTCTGTTAACCCTTGCTGAACTGGAGCCCACCCTTCTGACCCCCCAGTCTGGAGCATTTTTCCAGCTGTCTGGTAGGAACATCTCCCCATTCCTATCCAGGGTACCCCTGTCTCATCCTGCAGGCCCCCTAAGTGCCATTGGGGCCCTGCAGAGGGATGGGGGAGGGAGTTCTGGGGTTTTGTCTTACAACATATTAGCTGACTTGCTTCCCCTATCTGTCCCCCTGCCCCTCCACCTCTGCCCCAGTCAATGGTTAACTTGACCCAGCTCAGGAGGGGCCTGGCTCAGTCTGGGCAAAGCCCTTCAGAGCAGCTCACAGAACCCAGCTGGTATGGAGGGGCCTCTCCTGGGACACCCATGTGCATGCTATAGCGCTGGCCACCAAAGACAGGGGGTGGCAGGCTGTCCCATGAGGCCTTTCATGGCCCCAAAGCTGTGCAAACAGCAGAGGTGAAGCTGGCATCCTCAGGGGCTGATTTCCATCATCCCTGGATTGCAAGGCCCCAGGGCAAGGGCCCAGCCCTTAGCTCGGCCAGCTCAGGAACCTGCACGAGCTAACTGCAGGGCCCACCATGTGTCACTAAATGCTGGGTCTGTTTGAAGTCCCAAGCACCTGCCCCCACTCCCCCAACCCCTTTCAGCCCTCTGTGGTGAGGCACAGGCAGGCGGTTGTAGATATCTTGTTCTTTGCAACTTTGAGAAACTGGGAAGTTTGGATATCACATCACCTTTTTTGTTTGCTTGTTTTTAAAGCAAATCAGATTTTACACTATCTTTTATGATGACTATTTACAGATCCTACAGCTGGGTTATTTTGTAAAACAAAGAATAGTCGGCTAATTTTTCCATTTTGCAAACTCAGATTTCCATAAGTCAGGCTTGCTAATGGGGCAAACACCTGCTTACTGGTCCCCACATGTCCTCCTGGGCAGAAGAGACAGGAAGGCCTGGCAAAAAGGGTATTCTCTTTTTTTGTTGTTGTTGTTTTTTGAGAAAAGAGTCTCACTGTGTCGCCCAGGCTGGAATGCAGTGGCATGATCTCAGCTCACTGCAACCTCTGCCTCCTGGGTTCAAGGGATTCTCGTGCCTCAGCCTCCCGAGTAGCTGGGACTACAGGCATATGACACAACATCCGCCTAATTTTTTGTGTTTTTGTGTTTTTAGTAGAGATGGGGTTCCCCCATGTTGGTCAGGCTGGTCTTGAACTCCTGGCCTCAAGCAATCCTCCTGCCTCAGCCTCCCAAAGTGCTGGGATTATAGTTTGAGCCACTGCACCTGGCCTCTGGCAGAGTATTCTAGAGAGACCAGAGTACAAGGCTAGGATGCAAGGGCACCAGAGTTGATGCCTTGGTGGAGGCCCCAGGGCAGGGCACAAGGGCTGTTCCCATCTCTACAGTTTGCTGAGAAGTTCCTCGTGATCTGTGGCTCCCTTTATGCCAAGGAGAGTTAAGCCCCAGGTTTGCCAACTTGAAATACCTGTTAAAACAGGTGAATTTTAATGGCACAGGCAGAAGCCCTTTTCTCTCTGGAGCTAGAAAATCTGGTGGTTATGATAGTCTCAGGAGCTGGATCTTCTGTTTTTCCATTCCCCAAGTTCCTTGGCAGCCCCAAATGGGCAGTGGTGGGGCTGTGGGCCTCATTCCAGACAAGGCAGTGACTCGGGCACCCACAGACCAAGCAAGTGCCCTGTTCCTCCTTCTCTGCTCTCCCCCACCTCCTTCCAGAAACCCATTCTGGAACACTAAGTTCTGTACAAGGCTGTGCTAAGCCCAGGTGGGGCAAGCTGCCAAAACAAACCTCTCAGGCTGTCCCTAGGTGTGCTCACCTCTCCAGGGTGCCCTGGAAGTATTTATGGAGCCCCTCTCACTGCTCCTTCACTTTCTGAGCGGGAGCTGCACAAGATCTCCCCTCAGCTTCTCTTGCTACTTGAGCCCAGCTAAAGGGACAGAGCTGGCAATGTGGGAGCTGCTTCCCAGACAGAGAGGTGGGAAGGAATCCACCGGCTGTGTGCTCTGAGGGAGGGGGTGGGGAGCAGGAGACCAGAGCACGAGGGGTATGGATGCAGGCATTCAGCTCATCGTAAAGTCTAGGCCTGCGTCGTGCTCTCCTCTTTCCTAAATTTGATATGCTCCCCCACCCCTAAAATAATCTATACTCATCATGGAAATTCCAGAAATCAGAAAACTAGAGAAGAGAAAGCATCCTCTACTCCTACATAAAGAAAGGCACTATTGGGCTGGGCACAGTGGCTCATGCCTGTAATCCCAGCACTTTGGGAGGCCGAGGTGGGTGGATCACCTGAGGTCAGGAGTTCGAGACCAGCCTGACCAACATGGAGAAACCCCGTCTCTACTAAAAATACAAAATTAGCCGGGCGTGGTGGCGCATGCCTGTAATCCCAGCTCCTCGGGAGGCTGAAGCAGGAGAATCGCTTGAACCTGGGAGGTGGAGGTTGTGGTGAGCCGAGATCATGCCATTTTACTCCAGCCTGGGCAATAAGCAAGACTCTGTCTCAAAAAAAAAAAAAAGAAAAAAAAAAGGCACATCATTTGGAGTGTCTTTCTGGTCTTTTTCAAAAATGGAGTGAACACTTCCAGTTTTTAAAAGGAGGTGATACCCTCTAGCTTTCTGGTGTACACTGGCTGCGCCTTCCTTCCTGGGAGCTTTCACAGCCGGCAGCTAGGCATCCTGAGAACAAGACCACCGACCTCACCAGTCATCAGTGTTCCTCTACCTGTTCTGTCATTGATCTTCCTTCATCTAGCAGACTGTCATCTGCTTCTATCTTACATACCCCAGCAATCAATGATGTCCAGGCAACCTCCTCTCCGAGAAGTTCCGCTAGCTCATATAGTACCTTTGTGGAAATTAGTCAAAGGTGAGCCCCCAGGGAAGGCAGCTCCATGGCAGGACACATGGCCTGTGAGTGGAGAAGCCTGGATTTCAGCCCCAAGCCCCACCCTGCAAGGTACAACCTGTGATGACCATGTCTCCCCTGTACTTCTGGGATCCTTCTAACTGCTTTCTGCCTTTTTAGCTCCCCTTCCAACTCCTGTCCTTGTGGAAGCTTGGTGGGGAAAGGGAACCATCCCTTAGTAATTATTCCCATTATCGTAAGTTTTACTTTGCAATGCATGGTTACCTCTGTGGGCAGGGATTAACAGTAGAGCTAAATGCTAGTGCTGGATGGGATGGGTGAGGAAACTGAGGCCCAGAGAGGTGGTGGCTTGCCAGTGGTCATGAGGCTAGGACAGCCCCCAGGACTTCCCACTCCCAGCCTGAGGATCTGACTCCTGCCTTAGGAACAGCCCAGCAGTTACTTTAGCCCTGCTGGTCACCACTGGGAAGTTCAAATTGCTTGGAATGCCACTAATTATATTTAATTTTGTAATGAATTCCAAGCAAAATGCACAGGGTGTTTCCCTCCCTATGCTACCAGTCAATGGTCTGCCCATGCCTGGCAGCAGGGTCTGGTGGTATAGTGGGAAGTTTGGGAAGAGCATCAAAGGCCTGGATGCTGTGTGACTCAGGCAAGCTGTCCACCTGCCTGTGGCCCTGAGGGGCCTGGCAGGAATTATCTCAAAGCTCCTGACAACCCTGCAGGGCAATGGTGTGTGCCTGTCCCACTGCCTCTCTGTCTGGCGAGTGGCTTCCCTGTCTTGACCTTGACTTTGACCCTTTTCTTGTCTCACACTCTCCAAAAGCATTGTGTCACCCCACTGACCTGAATCTTGGGTTTATTCAGCCCTACCTTAAATTCTTTCTTTAATTCTTCTTCTTCTTCTTCTTTCTTTTTTTTTTTTTTTGAGATAGTCTCACTCTGTCACCCAGGCCGGAGTGCAGTGGCATGATCTCAGCTCACTGCAACCTCTGCCTCCCGGGTTCAAGTGGTTTTCCTGCCTCAGCCACCCGAGTAGCTGGGATTACAGGTGCGTGCCACTACGCCCAGCTAATTTTTGTATTTTTAGTAGAGCCGGGATTTCACCATGTTGGCCAGGCCTGTCTTGAACTCCTGGCCTTAGGTGATCCACCTGCCTTGGCCTCCCAAAGTGCCGGGATTATAGGCATGAAGAACCACGCCCAGCCCTTTATTTAATTCTTAAAACAGCCCATGATTAGGAGTCTGCAGCAAGCTGGTCCAAAGGCACCCACCCCCTTTTCCCACTGACCCCTTTGTCTCCCCCACCCTGCTCCAGCAGAAAGCCCCATCCTTGGCTTAGGGAGCGCCATGACGACTGAAATTGGTTGGTGGAAGCTGACTTTCCTCCGGAAAAAGAAATCCACTCCCAAAGTGCTGTATGAGATCCCTGACACCTATGCCCAAACAGAGGGAGATGCAGAACCCCCGAGGCCTGACGCTGGAGGCCCCAACAGCGACTTTAACACCCGCCTGGAGAAGATTGTGGACAAGAGCACAAAGGGCAAGCACGTCAAGGTCTCCAACTCAGGACGCTTCAAGGAGAAGAAGAAAGTGAGAGCCACGCTGGCAGAGAACCCTAACCTCTTTGATGATCACGAGGAAGGACGGTCATCAAAGTGAAGGGCTGAGGAGGGTGCTAGCACCTCTTGGCTCCCTGCCATCAGCCAGATCTGAGACAGGACCTTGCCACGCTGGCCTCTTTGGCCATAGCTGAAGCTGTGGGGCCAGTTGATACCTGCTGGCAGGAAATGGCTGTTTTTTAGGTTTGTATTTATGTGCCGCCACTTTTGTAAGGCCTGGGAGATCCCAGGGTCCTCCACCCTCCCCCTGACCACATACAAAGGCACTCTAGTTCAAGAGTGAAAAGTCTCACCCAGGAGGAACAGCCCTCCTTGAAGCAATGGCAGGGCCAGCAGGGAGGTGGGCATGGCAGGGAATGGAGAGAGTGAGCCAGACAGACTTCACCTCCTTACTGGACACAGGGTCAAGGGCGAGTTTCAATTGCTGCTCCCTTTACTTTCTCTACCTGTGACTACTCCCTGGACCAATCCTGAGGAGGGCACATTTTCCAGAAGCCACGTGATAGGGGCTGGTTTCTGTGGAGCCAGAGGCAGAGACACTGAACTTGAGCTCACCTCCTAACACCGGCAGTAAACTTCCTGGAACTTTGCCCTCAGGTGCGGAGGGGACAGAGGACCCTGGCACTCTGTTAGGGTGCTGTAGAAGACTAGATTGATGGTAGTTTGGCCTGTTAGTTCCTGTTTTGGCCATGACTTTTGCAGATGGCAAGTCACACACCCTCAAAGGGAAGCTACACGGGCCAAATCGGGGGAGTGGGTGGGGAATTTTCTCCTCTCCCTTTCCTACTATAATAGTATTTAAGACATATCAGCTCCAGAGATGAGTCCTGGAGCCTTGAATTTTGTTTAACAAAATAATTGTAGGTTTCTCTCTGTAATAACAACGCTGGAAAGGCAGAGAACCTCTTTTATGCTCATGTCTTGCATTTATTGAGATGACTGTTTCTCATGCCTTTATGTTCCTTCATGTAAGTAAAGTGGACCTTTGTGCTCAAACTGTTCCTTTCAAGCTTCAGGAAGGGTTCCCAGGTGTGACAATGTAGGAACTGGGTCACTAATTTTTACCATCAAACTAGCCTTAGTATGGGGATGGGGCAGCAGAAGGAGCTAGTTACACCTCAGTGGTCAGTTCTCTCCAGTCAACAGAGAGCCCGTCAGGTGCTCTAAGAGAGTAGGGCAGACCTTTGGTGATTGACCCCAAAGTTTCAGTGGTTTGGTTTGGGATTAAGATTCAAACTCGGGCTCTACCCCTTAGTAGCTGGGTGACCTTGGGAACATTTGCTTGTACTCTGAGCCTCAGTTTCCTCTTCTGTAAAAGGGGGCTGAAATAATACCTATCTCATAGGGAGTGGTCAGTATTAAGTGGCCTATGAGAGGTCCCATAGTAAGTGCTCAGTTTAATACTGGTTTCCTTCCCCCTTCCTTTATAAGGAACTCCACCATACCCCACAGCTTTGGTTTAAGAAAAAGGAGAAGGTGGGTATAGTGGCTCAGGCCTGTAATCCTAGCACTTTGGGGGCTGAGGTGGGAGGACTGCTTGAGCCCAGGAGTTTGAGACCAGCCTAGGCAACATAGAGAGACCCCATGTCTAAAAAAAAACCAACCAACAAACAAAAAGTAGCTGACTGTGGTGGCACATGCCTGTAGTCCTATCTACTTGGGAGGCTGAGGTGGGAGGGTTGCTTGAGTCCAGGAGTTCAAGACGACAGTGAGCCATGATTGTGGCACTGCACTACCACCTGGGTGACAGAACTAGGTCTTATCTCTAGGGGAAAAAAAAAATTAATAAATAAGAGATGCTTGGCACGGTGGCTCATGCCTGTAATCCCAGCACTTTGGGAGGCTGAGGCAGGCAGATCACCTGAGGTTGGGAGTTCAAGACCAGCCTGGCCAACATGGAGAAACCCCGTCTCTACTAAAAATACAAAATTAGCCAAGTGTGGTGGCACATACCTGTAATCCCAGCTACTTGGAAGGCTGAGGCAGGAGAATTGCTTGAACCCAGGAGGCCGAGGTTGCGGTGAGCCGAGATAGCTCTATTGCACTCCAGCCTGGGCAACAAGAGCAAAACTCCGTCTCAAAAATAAATAAATAAATAAATAAGAAAGAGGAGAGAAAGCTGTCACTTTATGAGGTTAGGTCCAGCTCTTTCTCAAGCCATAAGAGCTGGGAACTAAAAAAATGTTGGCCAAATCTCTGGAGCTCGTGGTAGAAATACAGGGAGAGACCAAGGTGGCCACTAAACAATGTGGTCCTGCGGCTTCCAGGTCAGCTCCTGGCAGGCTGCTGGGCCACCCCACCCCAGGAGCTGTTGCTCAGGGAATTTATTAGTGAAACAAACAGACCTATACAAGGGAGGCTTTGTTAGGTGCCTCGTCCCAGCCAGGGGGACCTCAAATGATGAGTAAGGGAGACCAGGAGCTGGAGGGATGGAAGTCAGGCTCAGGGGTGCTGCCTTACCCAAAGCCTCTTTCCCCTACCCCGTCCCACTACACAGAACTTTCTAGGGTCTCACCAATTACTCAATCCATGAGGCCTCCACAGAGGATCTCAGACTTTCCCTACACCGCAGCCCTGCCCAGTGTTAATAGCTAACATTTATAGGGTGCTTAAGGCAGGCAGCCCCTAGAACAAGTCCTCCCTAAGGTTGTTCATTTAATCCTATCATCACCTGAGACAGGTGCTGTCATTATCCCCATTTTTCAGACAAGTTGGCTGAGGCTTAGAGGTTAAATCACTCACCCTGGGGGCCAGGCGCTGGCATTGGTACAGCTGGGACTGAAGCCAGAGCCAGCTTGTACATGTGACCACTGTCCCACACAGCCACCTTCCACTCTTGATTCTCATCTGCTACAGGGACAGGAAACTGAAGCTCAGAACAAAGAAAAGCACAGACACCTTCTGCAGAAGGGGAAGTTGGGAGGGGAGGGAGCAACGTCTGGGTCTTAGGATCCTGGGAGGTGAGCATCACTCGAGGGGGCTGGACAAACTCTGGAAGCAGATGGATAAAGCCAACCAGCTTTGAAGCTGAGTGTCCCCTAAGACCCTAGACTACAGGTATCTCCCACATCCGCCCATTCTCGGTTTCCCTGAGGTGGGGGATAAGGATGGCCCCTGGGCCACCAACCTAAGGTTCTAGATAATACTGGCACTGTACTGCCAACTCCTCCAGTATCACCATTACCCCTCTGGGTGAGAGTATCCACAGCCCCTCTGCCCCTTGCATACTGACCCCGGCTCCATCTTCTAGGTAAAGTCCACATATGTTTCTAAGCTGGGTGGCCAGATGGATGTGGGGTAGGTACTAGAAGCCAAAGGGAGATCTGGATGCCCAGGGAAGCAGAGCGAGGCAGCTGCAAGTTTTCATGAGAACAGGGGAAGAGGAGGAACCGAGAGCGCAAATATGTGCGGCAACCGGGAGAGGCTACGGGTTATCGACCACAGTTTCACTGGGACGCGGCCCAAGCCGATGAAGGGGGAGGCCGGCTAGAAGTTGCTTTCACTGCCCGGAAGGGGCCGACCTTGGGCGGCGGGCTCCCCCTACTGGACGTACTGCCTACAAGGTGCAGAGAAGTGAGGGGACAGGAAAGTTGCTTAAATTCCCCAAGTCCCCTCCTTGGGGGTTGAGGGAGACCAGGCCGGGTTGAACATCAATAAAGTGCACGGCTGATAGGCTTTTATTACAGACTGGGGGCGGTAACGGCTGGACAGAGAACGGAAAAGGAACATCTGAGACCAGGCTCAAAGCTAGGGGGTTACACAACCTCCAATAACACAAGGTGAGTGCAGCACTTCTAGACACACACACAGACACACATCACTTACTCATAAACGGCACAGCCTACGGTACAAGAAAAAGGGCAAGGTAGGTAAGGGCACCCAACACCCTCCTGCCTGCAGGGGGCCACAGGGTTAATGTGCCTTCCTGCACGCAGGCTTAAGAGGGATAAACAAGGAGAGGGCTGCCCTTGGAGAAGGCCTGCGGATAATAGTGACTGAGGCACAGGTCCATGCAGGGGAAGGAAGCACAGTTCACAGAGTGGCAAGCTCAGTGCCAGCCAGTGCAAGCAACAGGCAGTTCTTTGATCCTGGCTTAGTCACAGCAAACATTTACCCAGCCTGGCTCTTCTCCATAGCCAGCAGGTTGCTTGCTCATCCAGTCTGTCCCTGGTTAGCGGGCATGTGCTCAAGGAGAACAAACACAGTTCAGCACAGGACTCAGCTGAGGGTCACTAAAGGATCATAGACTGTGAGGGTGGGAGGTCTTGGTTTAGAGGTTGAGTCTAGTGCAGCTGATCACCTGGGGTCTAGTGAAAATGCAGGGTCAGATTCAGTGGGTCTGGGGTCTGAATCTCTAAGGCGCTGCCAAGTGATGCTGATGCTCCTGGCTTGTGGACCACCCTGTGTATAGCAAAGCTCTAGACTAGGAGGTCTCAACCTTGGCTGCACAGAATTATCTGGGGAGTTTTTAAATTTCCCAGTGCCCAGGCTGCATTCATATCATAGTAGAGACAGGGTTTTGCCATGCTGGCCAGGCTGGTTCAATCATCTCTGAGGGTGGGACCCAGGCATCAGGGTTTTTTAAGCTCCCCAGGTAATTCCAGTGTGGGGGAAAAACCAATGAACTAGGAATTATCAGCAGAGGTGGGGAGTAAGAAAAGCAGATACGTGAGTAGTCTGAAAAACATAATCTCTATAATCATTTAATTTTTCTTTTTGGAAAATGTATGTATACATACACACAGTTTCCATAAAAAAACATAGATAGTAAAGCTGATTAAAATCTTCCTGTCCTATTGGTACCAGCACATGAAGCCCTTCTACAAAATTCCTGACGGACTGGGAATAAAAATTCCTAGTGACAGCCCACTCCTTCTCAGGCAGGTGTGATTGTTTGAAATCTCTCCCAATATTGAGATGAAACCTGCTTCCCTGTAACTTCCCTGTAATTCTGTGGGTCCCTTGTAGCCACAGAGAAGGCAGCAATCAGTAGGGGAAGTGCTATAAAAATATACTATCCCGGCCAAGCGTGGTGGCTCATGTCTGTAATCCCAGCACTTTGGGAGGCCAAGGCGGGCAGATCACTTTAGGTCAGGAGTTGGAGACCAGCCTGGCCAACATAATGAAACCCCGTCTCGCTGGGTGTGGTGGCTCATGCCTGTAATCCCAGCACTTTGGGAGGCTGAGGTGGGTGGATCACAAGGTCAAGAGATGGAGACAATCCTGGCCAACATGGTGAAACCCCATCTCTACTAAAAATACAAAAATTAGTTGGGTGTGGTGGCGTGTGCCTGTAGTCCCAGCTACTTGGGAGGCTGAGGCAGGAGAATTGCTTGAACCTGGGAGGCAGAGGTTGCAGTGAGCCAAGATCACACCACTGCACTCCAGCCTGGGTGACAGAGTGAGACTCCATCTCAAAAAAAAAAAAGAAAAGAAAAAAGAAAAAAAGAAAAAAAAAAGTCCTATCCGTAAATGAGTTAGTTAAGTTGTAATCAACAGAAATAGATTCTAGCTAGATTAAGTAAAAAAAAAAAAAAGAGAGAGAGAGACTTTACAGAGATAGTGGGGTGTTTTAAGGCAGGGGGAGGAACTGCACAGCCCAGACCTGGGAGGGAGGGATCCAGGGAAGGAGAGATCCTGGGAATTGCAATAGCAGCAGGCAGAGGCTTTTGGTTCCTATTGTTTCCTGGCTGCTATGAATGACTTGGCTTTAATGACTCCCAAGGTTCTGGATCTCTCCAGTTCAAATTTCAAATTATTGACAAAACAATCTGATTGGCCAGGTTGGCTCAGGTGCATATGCTAGGACTAAGCTTTGGCCAGTATGACTCACATGGTAACAGACAGGGCTGCTGGGGCCCTGTCTGTCACCAGAAAGGGAGTCACACCGGCTGCTACCCCTAGAGGGAGCTATCCTAATCAATCATAGGCAAGGTCAAAAAAATAATTATGGAATTATTTTCCATTTGTGATTCTCTACGCCACCATTACACTCCACTTGACCAGCTAACTGAGAACCAACTGAGTACAGAGAACTTAGAGGATTAGCTCTGAAGAGTCCTGAAGATAAGGGGTAGGGAGGGAAATGGGTTGAGTTTAGAAAGAAGGGCCTGGGTCCCAATCCCACACCCTCTCTTGACACCTAGCCCTAGCTCCACTCTGGGCCAGCAGGTCCCAGAGTTAAGGTGCAAGTCTCTCATAGAGCCAGTCTTCCTCCCCGCGGTGGGTCATGGGCCCCAAAGGGGAATCTCCTGTGGGTAGGCCCCGCCGAAAGACTATCCGGTCATGCAGGCGGTTGGTTTGACCTTGCCAGAACTCCATCACCTGAGGGTACAGGACATAGCCACCCCTATAAGGAGAAGCAGAGGTTTCAGTGCTCTGTGGAGTTTTCTAGCCAGGTCACTCTCCCACCCTCACCCCTCATCCCAGGGCCTCTTGAAGGAAGTTGCTGGGATGCATCTGACAAGGGTGGCCAGGGAGGAGGAGATCTGTGATTCCCCAGGCAGGTGGCTTCAAGTAAACACAGGGGCCTGGTGTCCCTTTCTAGAGGACTACCAGATGTCACTCACCAGGATTTTGGCTTGGGCACCTCTTGATCCTGGTAGAGCTGTTCCAGTTCCTCATTTTTCTTTCTCAGATACTGTCCAGGGGGAAGAGTTAGAAGAAGGGCCAGGCCCAGTCAATGATTCATTAACAAGGACTTCCTGGGGATATGTGCTGGGGACATGGGTGAGCAGAGCAGACTGGCCTCTGTCCTCCAGGAGCAGTCAACAGGATGGCCAGATGGACAGAGGAGGCCTATTTCCCCTCTCCCTACCCCCACTTTCCCTTCTCACTGTCCTTTTCACTGTTTTCACTGGGCTGGAGAGAGAGGACATCTCCTGGGGACATCTCCTGGCATCTCCTGGGGACAGCTTCTGGGGATAAGCCAAAGCCTCCACCACCTGGAGGACTACAGCGGAGCTCCACTCACCTCCCGATCAGGGATCACAGAACTCTGGTGGCTGACCACAGCCCCAATCTGGCTGCTCTTGGGGCGGGAGTGGAAGTAGCACTCAGCCTCCTCCTCAGGCAGTTTCTTCACAGGGCCTTCCACACGCACCTGCTCAGGGATGGCTCTGGGTGAATGGCATTAAATGCCACCTGCCCTCCCTACCAGCACAGGCCCCGTTCCTCTCTGTTCGATCGGCTGCCCCACCACTCTTGGCTCCAACTAACTGAGGGCTATTTTAGAGGCAGAGTGCCCAGCTGGGATGTTTGCCCAGTCTGGGGACCTTCGCTAGACGTAGCCATAAACTCAGGCCCTGCCAACCCAGCCCATCCCAGGCTGTCCTGGGAAAATTCACTCACCTGACGGTTAAGTGGCTCCCAGTAGAAGACAAGGGAAGCAAAGGGATTAGAGTCCTAGAAGTAAAAGAGAATCCACAGCCAGCCATCAGGACAGGGAGAGGAGGCCTCCGGCATGCAGGGAAAAGGCAGGAGAGCTGTAGTGCGCAGGCCCACAGCAGATGCACCCACCGTAAGAGCTCATTTAAACCCTCAAAAGTAGGCCTATTGTCACAGACACAGAGACAGGCTAAGTCACGTGCCCAAGTTCCTGCAGGAAGTGGTGGAGCTAAGTTTAAGCCAGTCGGACTCCAAAGTGAGACTGGGTGATTTCTCTCACCCACAGATTTGTGAGTCTTGAGAAATGCATGCTTGGCTGGCATGGACTCAGGGAGGTTTACTCATTTTGGATTCATTCATTGAATGCACGCGAAGTGCCCACTCTGGGTCTGACAACAGGAGACGTGCGGGGGATACAGCAGAGATAAAACAGAGCAGCCTCCACTCCTACAGAGCTTACTGTTGAGCAGAGGAGACAAATATCAGTTACATAATCACCCAAACAAATGCTCAGTTACAAACTGAAGAAGAAGACAAAAAAGAAAGTTGCAAGTTATAATGGCAGCAAACAGCATGAGGGGCTGAGTCTGAGTGAGAGTCAAGGAAGGCCTTCCTGAGGAGGTAACATGTGGGCTGAGATCTGAAGGAACAGGTCATGGCTGATGGGGTGAGGCTGGTTAGAAAGTGCATTCATTCATTTATGGCAAAGAGCACAGCAAGTGCCAAGGCCTCATGGCAGGAGGGCACCTGCACACAGAGAGCAAGTAGACTGGGGGGGTGGGGTGGCATAAGAAGGTGACTGAGGAAGCAAGAGCCAAACCCTGCAGGCCCTGGGAAAGATTACTAGCTCTTTTCACCCACCAGCTCTTTTCCTTTTCGACTCTCGAAGTTAGTGAAGAAGCGGAAGCCATCTTTCCCGAAGCCCTTCAGCAGCAACATGCGAGCAGAGGGTTTTCCATCTCTAGGAGCAAAGAGCAGAGCACTGTGGTCAGAGTCTGCTTCAATGTTCTGGCTATAGTCCCTCTCCCCAAAGGATGTCTCAGCACCCCCTCCAGCTGCACCCCCTTTATTGGGCTGTCAGGCTACCCCGTCCCATGTGCTCCTGGGGATTTGTCCTAGAGGTATGACACCACAGCCTGGGGCCCTGTTATGGGCTGAATTGTGTCACCCCAAACCCCTATGTTAAAGCCTTAAACCCCAATGTGACTGTATTTGGAGAAGGGGACCTTATGGAGGTAATTAAGGTTAAGTAAGGTCATAGGGGTGGGGCCCTAATCCAGTAGGACTGGTGTCACTGTAAGAGAAGAGACACTTCAGAACCACCTCCCTTGCCCTCCACAACACACACACACACACACACACACACACACACACACGAAAGGCAGTGTGAGGACATGGTAAAAAGTAGCTGTCTGCAAACCCCAAGCAGAGGCCTCATCAGAAACCACCCCTGATGGCACCTTGATCTTGGACTTCCAGCCACCAGAACTATAAGGAAATAAACTCCTGTTGTTTAAGCTATCCAGTCTACAGTATTTTGTTAAGACAGCCCTAGCAAATTCATAAGACCCTAAGGGCAGGGACTAACAATAATGCAATCATCCAATGCTTCGGGATCACAGTGGTGCTATGAGATCAGCCCCTCTGCTCAGAGCTCTGGGAGATATCCACTCGCACAGTACAAGAGCACTGGCTACAAGGCCTTACACTTTATCGAGGAGAATTGAATAACAGGCTAATACAAGTGATGTCTCAAAGGGCATATGATTGTCAAAGGAATGATATAGTCAAGCACTGTGCTAGATTTCGAGAGAGAGACAGAGCTTCACCAGGAGAAGTAGCTCCTGAATGGCAGACGGGGCTTGGGTAGATGGGGAGATGAGGGAGGCAAGGGGTTGTGTGTGGATGTATCAAGGGCAGAAATGAACAAGGCACTGCATTTTTATCACTGAAATGTAATTTTGTGGCCTGGTCTTTGGTTTATAGGTAAGGACACAGGCCCAGAGAGGACAAGTATCTTGCCTAAAGCCACAGAGCATGTTAATAACAGAGCTGGAACCATAAAATTGGCATCCAGAGTAGAGAGCTTCATAAGCTTCCTAGTTCATATGTATCCACCCAAAGAGGGGCCCACAGCCATGCCCACCTGGTGCAGGTAGCCAGACACATGGCATTGGCTTCCCCTATGTCAGGACACTGAACAGCCTCCTCAAACCAGGCAGCAAACTGTTTCACTGGGTCAAGGGAGGTCAGATGAGTCTCCTCAAATGCCTAGGAAAGGAGATTTATTTCATTTAATAAACATATATAGTGCTTACTATGGACCTGGCACTGTTCTAGTCACTTTTCAAAAATCAACTCATTTAGTCCTCATGACAATGACCTTAAAATAAGAAATAGTATGCAGTAAGAAGATTCTGTGCCCCATTTTACAGGTGAGGAAACAGGCATAAAAACTCAGACAACTTGCTGTCCCACAGCTAGTGATGGATAAATCAGGGTTACATGTCATGGGTGTCAAAACTGTCTGTGCATCAGAATCACCTGGGGAGCATAAAAAAAACTTTCTGGGCTCCACCCCCAAAATTTCTCATTCAGCAGGTCTGAGGCTTCATCAAAAACTGCATTTTTATTTATTTATTTATTTATTTTAGACAGGGTCTCACTCTGTCACCTAGGCTGGAGTGCGGTGGTGTGATCTCGGCTTACTGCAGTCTCAACTTCCTGAGCTCAAGCAATCCTCCAACCTCATCCTCCCAAGTAGCTGGAATTACAGGCACGCTCCAACATGCTCGACTAATTTTAATTTTTTGTAGAGACAGGGTCTCACTATGTTGCCCAGGCTGGAAAAACTGCATTTTAAACAAGCGTTTCTAGAAATGCCCACATGCAACCAGATTTGGCAACCAGGGCCCTGGACCCCAATTCCTAAAAGGTTCTCTTGGTTCCCCTCCTGAGGAGCGAAAAGGAAAAGAACTTCCCAGTGGTCAGCAGAAAGTACTGAAGGCAGTAAGCTAAGAGCTTTCTCCTCCCCTCCTCCCCGAGCTAGTCCCCTTCCCCCATATTCCACTTACTTTTTTGTCAAACAGTTTGTAAGCTGTTTGTCACTGTACCCACCTAAAGAGGGGCCCATGACCATGCCCACCTGGCACAAGGAGGTTTGGGTGACCCCCAAATCTCCTTGCCCCAGGGGGTGGCCCCAGAAGCCCTGAGGGGCTGTTTCCTCCTACTCCCCTCCCCCCAGTAGATGACTCCGAGGACCCCTCTTCCCCCGCCCTTGAGGGAGGCCCAGCACAGTCCTGACATCCATCACATGAAACCCCGATTCATTCATCACTAGCTGTGGGACTGAGCAAGTTATTTGACCTTGCTACCTGTCGAGTAGCAGGGTTCTAAGCACTTTACAAACATCTTAGACCATAACATCCCCGTGAGGCAGATACTATCACTTCCCAGATGAGGAAACTGAGGCCCAGATACATTAAACATTCCAACCCAGGCAGGCTCCAAAGTTCGAGCTCTTACCCATTACGAAAGGCTGCCTTTTGAACCCATCTTCATTTGCGTTTCCCCGGAACTCCTCCCCTGGTGGGATGTCTTTGAAGCCCCCTTTTCCCACGGGGGGTGATCCTCAAACCTCCTTGCCCCACCGGGTGGCCCCAGAAGCCCCGAGGGGCTCCTACTACTCCCCTCCCCGCTGTAGATGACTCCGGGGACCCCTTTTCCCCCGCCCCTGCAGGAGGCCTGGCCCTAGCGGCGGCACCTCTCGGTCCCCGCGGTAACTCTTGCGCATGGGTCCCAGGTCCATGGCAGCACTGCGACCACACAGGTGACTGAGGTAGCCTGGCCACTCGGCAGGTCGCCCGAACGTCGCCGTGACGCCCCGCAGCCAGCACGTCATGGGGGGCCGCCGGCCACGTGACCCGGCTGTGGCCCGGCACTGGGTTCCTTTGAGTTCGGAACCAATTTCTCACCCTGGACTTCTACCCCGGGGAAGGAAGGATTTGCCAGTCGCCCAACCAAGCTAACAGGTCCTAAGTCCTCGGAGCCAATGAGTTTCCAGGATCGGAGGAGGGAGACAGACACGGAGAGGTCATTGGTTGGAGCTTTTCGGTAACGAGGCCAATTAGAGCGAGAACAGAGGAACCCAGCGGCCAATGGGTAGCGCCTTTGGGGGCGGGAGCAGAGAGACAAGGAAATGCTGTCACCGCGGTTAACACGCACGTGGAGGTTGGTTAAAGGTATAGGAGGATCTCTTGCAGCTCAGGCGGGGCGGAGGATGTGTCCCGGGGGCTTGAGGGGAGTAGTCAGTATTAAGTGGCTGGCCCATAGTAGGTGCCTGTAGGTGAGCTTAGGGCAGGAAGTACCCCCTGGGAAGGGAGACTAGTGGAATGGGAAAAGAAAAATGGAAAATGGAATTAGGGGCCAGACTCTGAGGCAAGGTGATGGGGACACATAGAGAAAAGGGTAATCTGGTTGTGGGGAGAAATTAGGGCATGAGAGTGGGAGAGGTTGAAATGACTTGTGGACCATGCCCCGAGTGGGGAGGTGCAGTGGGGTGAGGAAGAGACGGTGAGGTGAGAAGGAAGATGGCTGAATGGGAAGGGGGAAGAAGGAAATTTGGGACCAAGGTATCCCAGACCAGAGTGGTTTTCCTCTTCTAGTTTTGGTTTTGTTTTGTTTTGTTTGAGACGGAGACTAGCTCTGTCGCTCAGGTTGGAGTGCAGTGGCGCGATCTCGGCTCACTGCAACCTCCACCTCCCGGGTTCAAGCAATTCTCTGCCTCAGCCTCCCGGGTAGCTGGGATTACAGGCGCCCGCCACCACGCCCGGCTAAGTTTTGTATTTTTAGTAGAGACGGTGTTTCACCATGTTGGCCAGGCTAGTCTCAAACTCCTGATCTCAAGTGATCTACCCGCCTTGGCCTCCCAAAGTGCCGGGATTATAGGCGTGAGCCACCGCGCCCGCCACCTCTTCTAGTTTTAAACCCCTTCCCTCCAGCCTCATTTATTTAAGCAAGGGTCAGAGCATTTTACTCCCTTTGCTCATGGTTTCCCCTGCCATGGTGCACTGGAGTTCATAGGAGCCAGTGTCCTGGTAGATAGCAAGGCTGCCAATGTCCCATTTCTCCAGGGTCTCCCCAATCTTTGTCAAGCTTCCCTTTTTCCACATTTTGCCCATGCTAGGTAGTAGGAGTCTAGCCCCTAGGTCAATGCAAGCAATTGCCAACTGAGAGTACACTGAGCAGGTGGCTGTGCATAGCCTTTCCAGGCTGTGGATGCAAGGCTGAAAAATGGGAAACCCACTCATGCCCAGTCCAATTCTGAGCTGGCTGGGGCGGCCTTGGGTCGAGACCTCTCTGTAGCCCTGCTTTCCACCAGCATCAGGAAGGGGAACTGCAAGAGCCATCTAGGCAGGCACCCAGGACTGTGCCAGGTAAGGGGAACTTCCTGGCCTGGCCAGGTGTCTGCATTACAGCTGAGCTTCATGAAGCCCTACATTAGATACCTGTCATCCTTTATGTGTACATAGCTTGAGCCAGATAGAATCTGGAAGACAATTTTGCTGCAAAGAAATAATACATGTCTCAAGGCTTAATGATATTGGTCTATGGATTCTCCACTGGTTGGATTTTTTTGTGCTGCCATCATTTTCCTCCATCAGCATAATTGAGAGAAAGTTGAGTAGATTTACTTTCCTGTTGAAGTTGTCTTTCTTTTTTTTTTTTTTTTTTTTTTTTTTTGAGATGGAGTCTTGCTCTGTCGCCCAGGCTGGAGTGCAGTGGCGCAATCTCGTCTCACTGAAAGCTCTGCCTCCCGGGTTCACGCCATTCTCCTGCCTCAGCCTCCCAAGTGGCTAGGACTACAGGCGCCCGCCACCACGCCCAGCTAATTTTTTGTATTTTTAGTAGAGATGGGGTTTCACCACGTTAACCAGGATGGTCTCGATCTCCTGACCTTGTGATCCGCCTGCCTCAGCCTCCCAAATGCTGGCATTACAAGCGTGAGCCACCGCACCTGGCCGAAGTTGTCTTTCTGTATAAGAACATTGCTGTACTCCTGCCCTCCTAAGCCCCTGCAGTTGAACCTGTGTAAGCAGTAGTGAGTGCACTTCAACTCAGATGGGTTTGGTTCATGGGTTTTTTTTTTTTTTTTTTTTGAGACAGAGTCTCCCTCTGTCACTCAGGCTGGAGTGCAGTGGCGCAATCTTGGCTCACTGCAACCTCTGCCTCCTGGGTTCAAGCCATTCTCCTGCCTCAGTCTCCCAAGTAGCTGGGATTACAGGCGTGTGCCACCACACCTGGCTAATTTTTTGTAATTTTAGTAGAGATGGGGTTTCGCCATGTTGGCCAGGCTGGTATGGAACTCCTGACCTCAAGTGATCCACCCACTTCGGCCTCCCAAAGTGCTGGGATTACAGACGTGAGCCACCGTGCCTGGCCATGGGGTTTTTCTTCACACTCAGCACTCCTGGGCTGCTGCTACCCTGGACCTGGATTCTAGGACACCAAGACTAAGATCATCTATGTACTTAAAAGCCAACAGCTCAGTATAGTGGAAGTAGATACATATTTATGTATTAATTCAGTAGACATTTGTTAAATACTTCCTTTGGACCGGGCACTGAACCAGGTCTGAGAATATTGAGATGAAGATGACAACCCGGGCTTGTAGTCTATAGGGGGAGGCAGATTTGTGAGCTTAAGAGTTGTTGCAGATTTTTTTTTTTTTTTTTTTTTGAGACAGAGTCTCACCCTTTCACCCAGTCTGGAGTGCAGTGGCACAATGTTGGCTCACTGCAACCTCCGCCTCCTGGGTTCAAGAGATTCTCTTGCCTCAGCCTCCTGAGATATTTTAACGGGTGTTTCTGTACAGTAAAGAGGAGCAAAAAGAAGAGGATCAAACAGTCAGGAAAGGCTTTGTAAAGGGAGTGGACATTTGATGTCTTAATGAGTAAGTTTTCGCTAGATGGACAATGGAACAGGCGTCCCAGCAAGAGGGAACATTGTGAGTAAAGGCATGGTGCACTTGGGGGAACCTGGAGACATGTAATACTGCTGGAGCAAAGGTGATGAGAAAACAAGCTGAACAAGCAGGCAGGGATAGGTGCTCCTTGCTGCAGAGTCATCATGCAGGTGCCCAGGGTCAGGCTTTTAGACACAATGATTCTGATATTTTATCCTGTGATATTTTTTAGCCTGTGAACCAGTGTCTAGTTCCTGCTTTTTAAAGACCAGATGGGGAGAAAAAGTGCTAGATTCTGACAGCGTCTCCTTCCCTTGGCGATTAGCAAAGAAGTGTGCAGTTGATTGCCCTTTTGTATTTTTCCCTTTGTCTTGAGGATAATAAGTAGACTTGGGTTATGTTTTTCTGCTTAGTTGGATTTGGTTTCTGGGTCACAAAGCAGCCCCTCAGTGCACAACCAGAAGGGAAACAAGCCTGCTAGCTACTTTTGCTACTGACGCAACCACGAGCAGGGACTTTCTGAGTGGGAGAAAGGAATTATTTTACTGTTTCAGTCTTCTCTTGAGAAAGTCTTAAATGAATAGAAAATACATAGTAACATTTTTATTGTACAGAGAGGCACACTGGTTTCTCAAGATGAAACAAAAAAGTCTGCATGGCCGGGTGTGGTGGCTTATGCCTATAATCCCAGCACTTTGGGAGGCCGAGGTGGGTGGATCACTTGAGGTCAGGAGTTTGAGACCAGCCTGGCCAACATGGTGAAACCCTGTCTGTACTAAAAATACAAAAATTAGCCAGGCATGGTGGCGGGCACCTGTAATCTCAGCTACTTGGGAGGCTGAGGCACGAGAATGGCTTGAACCCGGGAGGCGGAGGTTGCAGTGAGCTGAGATCGTGCCACTGCACTCCAGCATTGGCAACAGAGCAAGACTCAGTCTCAAAAGAAAAAAAAAAAAAACGGTCTGCATGTGGGTTTGGGGACTGTGCCTTGCCTGTTTTCTTCTAATGCTTTTCCTTTTTTTTTTTTTTTTTTTTTTGAGACAGAGTCTCACTCTGTTGCCCAGGCTGGAGTGCAGTGGTGCAATCTGGGCTCACTGCAACCTCCGCCTCCCAGGTTCAAGCAATTCTCCTTTCTCAGCTTCCCGAGTAGCTGGGATTACAGGTGTCTGCCACCATACCTGGCTAATTTTTTGTATTTTTAGTAGAGAGGGGGTTTCACTGTGTTGGCCAGGCTGGTTTCGAACTCCTGGCCTCAAGTGATCCACCCTCCTTGGCCTCCCAAAGTGCTGGGATTATAGGCGTGAGCCACCACACCCAGCTACGTTTACTTTCTTAAACCACCTTTTTTCTAATTATCTGACTAAATTATGTATTTCAGTTTTACTTTAGTGATTGGATTTGTGTTTTGGAACCTGGCTCTGGTGACCAAATGGGTGATGAGCAAGGGAGGGTCAGGCTGGTGGCAGGGATAGGTTGGGAGAAGCTGTGGTGTTGTCTAAGTGGAAGGTGGGGGCAGGATCCTGATGCATGAGTATGGCGTAGGGCATGTGGAGAGGAGGGATCCACCCACCAGGGCTGGCTTTAGGTGACACAGGTGGTGCTGTTCATTGAAGTGGGGCTTGTTGGAGGAGGAGGTTTGGGGGAAAGGTGAATTCCTTAGCAACATTTTGAGTGTGAGGGTTGATGGGACACCCATGTTTGGCCAGGTTGGATAATGGAGTCTGGAGCTTCGTGGGGAGGTCAGGGCTGATGATACTGGTTTAGGTAGCATGAGCCTCGAGGTGGCACTTAGAGCCACGAGGGAGGATGAGAATGTCTGAGAAGGGAAGAGGGCCTGGGAGAGTTAGGGAGGGTGGTAGGGAAATGGAGAGTCAAGGAGGAGTGGTAATGATGCTGGTGAAATATAGCATCCAGCTTTCTTTTTTTTAATTTTTTTTTATTTTTTGAGATGGAGTTTCGCTCTTGTCACCCAGGCTGGAGTGCAGTGGCATGATCTCGGTTCACTGCAAACTCCACCTCCTGGGTTCAAGCAGCTCTTCTATCTCAGCCTCCTGAGTAGCTGGGATTACAGGCATGCATGACCACACTCGGATAATTTTTGTATTTTTAGTAGAGACGGGGTTTCACCATGTTGGCCAGGCTGGTCTCAAACTCCTGACCTCAGGTGATCCGCCTGCCTCAGCCTCCCAAAGTGCTGGGATTACAGGTGTGTGCCACCATGCCCGGCCTGTGTCCAGCTTTCTAAGAGGTGAGAGGAAGAAGGCTGATAGCAGAGCAAGGGGTGTGCTGGAGGGCCTGAAGCTCAGGAATTCTTGGGCCCAGCCTTGAAGTGAACTCAGCTTGGAGCCCCAAGAGTAGCAACACCAGGACTTACAGAAGGGCGTGTGCTTGGTGCTCTGCCAGCAGATGCCTAAGCCCTGAGTGGGTTTATCAGAGGCCCAAGGGAGGTGGGTCCTCAGAGGCTTGGGACGAGATCAGAGGAGGCTGAAACTTATCGGTGTCCTGCCTGTTGGTGCTTGTGGCTAACCCTCTAAACGATCCTTGCATGTGCTTATAGATGGCTTCCCAAATACATTGTGGGTGGCTGGTATTCCCTGTTAGAATGGGACCTCCTTCACGAGAGGGACCACATCTCTTAACTTTCTCTGGCTTCTTCTCACAATCCTAGCCCACAAGGTGTGCTCAAAAAATGCTAATCTGTAATGTTTATGCATAAACCACTTTTTTAAGCTTTTCAGTATGATGGGTGTTACGTATGGTGAGTAGGGTGCAGGACATTTTTGCACATGGTGGGAGCAGGGCTGAGTGTGTGTTTTGTTGTTTTGGTTTTTTTTCTTTTCTTTCGTTTTTTTTGTTTGTTTGTTTGTTTGTTTGTTTTTTGAGACAGGGTCTTACTCTGTTGCCCAGGCTGGAATACGGTGGCACACTCATAGCTCACTGCAGCCTTGACCTCCTGGGCTTAAGAGATCCTCCCACCTCAGCCTCCTAAGTAGCTGGGAGTGTAGGCACATACCACCATGGCTGGCTAATTTTTTTATTTTTGTAGAGATGGGGTCTCACTATGTTGCTCTTGGTCTCAAACCCCTGGGCTCAAGCAGTCCTCCTACCTCAGCCTCCCAAAATGCTGGGATTATAGGCATGAGCCACTGTGCCCGTCCACGAGTGTGTTTGTTGACTGGAGGGATGTTGAGCTTCAAAGTCCAAGTGAATTAAATCAGTTTCAGTCCCCAGACTACCTGCCTTGGTAATTATGGTGTCGGCCACAGGCAGTGAGTGGGAGGAGGCCTGGTGGTGGGTTTTCAGGCAGGCCCAAAGGACATGGCCTAGCGGCTTCCTAGTTTCCTTTGAGAAATCTTGGTCCTTGCATTTGGCCTGCCCTGGAGTCAGTTCTCATTTCCTTTTGCCCAAGGTCCCTATGAGCAGGTATTTGACCCTCTTTTCCAGGCTCTGAGTCACTACCATAGTCCACCATGGTTTGCTTCCTTTTTTACCCACAGCCCTGTTCATTATTCCATCCTTGCAGGCTCACTTCCTGCCTCTTCTACTCCCTGAGGACCCCTTCTCCTAGGAAACCCAACTGCCACCTGTCCTATTACCGCAGTTTCTTTAGTGACTCACCCCAGCCCCAAAGACCTTGGTTGAATCACAAGTGTTCTCTGTCCCAAGGCAGCATCTCATCCTGAGTTAGGTTCCTTGGCATCTGTGTTCTATCAGCCATGAGCCCCTGATGGGTCTGGGGACCTGAGGTGGTGCAAGTGGCAAGGGGCAGAATGGAGGTGGGGCCATAGCTGGCAAGCTCTGCCTAGCAGGTGCCCACACCTCTCATAATCTCCAGAATCTCAGGGTCCTAGTCACCATAGTATGTGCTGTCCACTCTGATTCTGATGCTGCTTGGGTGATCTTGTTCCATTTGCTTCATTTTTTACTTCTCTATTCCAGGTCTTCCATTCCATTTTATTTTTTACAGTAATTTTAGACTTACAAAAAAGTTACAAATATAGTACAAAGATTTCCCATACACTCTTCACCTACCTTCCCCAAATATTAAGATCTTACTACCATAGCACAATTGTCTACATCAAGAAATTAACACTGGCACACCACTATTAATTAAACTACAGAGGCCAGGCATGGTGGCTCACGCCTGTCATCCCAACACTTTGGGAGGCCTAGGTGAGCGGATCCTTGAGTCCAAGAGTTTGAGACCAGCCTAGGCAACATAGGGAGACTCCATCTCTACCAAAAAAATAAAAACTAGAAAAGTAAACTATGGGCTTTTTTGAGTTTTACCCCTTTTTCTCCCACTCATGTCCTTTTTCTGTTCCAGGACCCCACATTGCATTTAGCAGTCCTGTCCCCTTAGTCTCTCATCCGTAACAGTTCTCAGTCTTTCAGCTGCTTCGTCCAGGTCCCCTCAACTTAAGAATGGGTGTGGTGGCCGGGCGCGGTGGCTCACGCCTGTAATCCCAGCACTTTGGGAGGCCGAGGCGGGCGGATCACGAGGTCAGGAGATCGAGACCATCCTGGCTAACACGGTGAAACCCCGTCTCTACTAAAAATACAAAAAATTAGCCGGGCGTGGTAGCGGGCGCCTGTAGTCGCAGCTACTCGGGAGGCTGAGGCAGGAGAATGGCGTGAACCCGGGAGGCGGAGCTTGCAGTGAGCCGAGATGGCGCCACTGCACTCCAGCCTGGGCGACAGAGCGAGACTCCGTCTCAAAAAAAAAAAAAAAAAAAAAAAAAAAAGAAGAATGGGTGTGGTGTGTGGGGAAATGGGTCCACTCAGCTTGGTTTTGGAGACAGGACAAGAGATAGGGTTGGCCTTGGGCAGGGTGAGTTTTCCTTAGGGCAGTGTGAACTAGGAAA
Source organism: Homo sapiens (assembly GCF_000001405.40). Lineage (NCBI taxonomy): Eukaryota > Metazoa > Chordata > Mammalia > Primates > Hominidae > Homo > Homo sapiens. The sequence goes on along the minus strand of NC_000017.11, from coordinate 47,933,747 downwards.
CTTCTGCCATATTCCCTTTTGCCTGGGGTAAAGGATGATGCTGCTGATAAGAAGTTGTATCTGTGTGCGTGACCACAGCCCACTTTCTCACCGTGAGCTGGGGAGCCCAGGGTGTTCCCCCTGAGGACTCCCAGTCATGACAGTTCTATTAAACTTTGGGCTTGTCTCCCTAAAAGCTCCCTGGCATGGGGTAGGTGGCCCTGCTGTGCTGAATAAGACCGCCTGCCTATGGGAGGACAGTGTAGAAGACACACGCCTCATGGGACCCTGGTGTGGGCATTGCTGTAGGGGGTGGATCTAGCCCCCTCTGACTGCAGAGGGGTCTGTGTCCAGTCAACATCATGGCCAAGCTTTTCTAGGACTGGAAATTAGGAAGAGACTGAGACAATGTCAAGATTAATGACTGGGGACCAGGCCCTCTTACTGTCCTGCAGGACAGCAGTGGACCTAAGGTAGAGCTGACCCCAAACTCAGGTGTGTACATCACGCAACTGCAGTCTGCAGAGCTGCCACAGATGTCACCTGAAAAGCCCAGGCTGATGACACAATGGATGCTCCACTACTTCTCCTGGGGGTCTGCAGCCTGTTCTTTCACTATTGGGCAACACATTCTTGCTGACACTGCCACCATGAAAAGCCGTTTGCCTGCTCACTGGAGGGGTCAGTGCTGGTCTAAGGTCCTCTAGGAAAGGTCAGTGTGTCAGGGGCCTGGTGCACGAGAGGAACTGAGAACCCTGTTCACCCCTTACAGGCAGGGGAAGAAGCAGAAGCAACAGGTGCTTGAGCCTTTGGACACTGAGGCCAGTGGTCTAACCCCTAGGGGCTGTCCCACTTGCTTTGGACAGTTGAGTCCTTCCACTTTGATAATCTCTTGGGCAGCAGGTTAAACTGTTTGGGGAGCTGGGTGCAGTGGCTCACGCCTGTAATCCCAGCACTTTGGGAGGCCGAGGCAGGCGCGTCACCTGAGGTCAGGAGTTCGAAAGCAGCCTGGCCAACATAGTGAAACCTTGTCTCTACTAAAAATACAAAAAATGAGGCTGGGCATGGTGGCTCACACCTATAATCCTAGCACTTTGGGAGGCCGAGGCTGGCGGATCACTTGAGGTTAGGAGTTTGAAACCAGCTTGGCCAACATGGTGAAACCTCGTCTCTATTAAAAAAAAAAAAAAAAAAAATTAGCTGGGCGTGGTGGTGGATGCCTGTAATCCCGGCTACTTGGGAGGCTAGGAACAAAAGAATTGCATACCCGGGAGGCAGAGGTTGCAGTGAGCTGAGATCGCACCATTGCACTCCAGCCTGGGTGACAGAGCAAGACCCTGTCTTAAAACAAACAAAAAATGTTTTGGCCATTGTGATCCTGTAACTTGGGGAAGGGAAGACTGAGAGGTTGGAGACTGTCAGGGGGTAGAGAGGATGTCACTGGCCAGGGAAGAGGGGATGGATGATGCAGAAGTCAAAAACTGGTAGCTCAAGCACTGAAACTGGTCCTGCTGTATTTTTAAACAATTGAGCAAACATGGAAAGATCAGATTCCACCCCAAACTCCACATTTCTGGGTTCTCTTACAAAAATCACAAGAGTTTGCATTCTCACATACCATCAACTGGCCGAAGCAGAATAGGGGCACCCCCTGTAGTCGGGGGTGGATGTCCCAGTTTTGCAGTCACACACTCCAATATTTGCCCTAAGCAGAGGGTCACTGACATTGACCACAGTACTTGCTTTGTTTTCCTTATGGTTAAAAACAGTTTCCCTCCTCGTCCCTGGGGCACTGGGGTTGCAGTGGGCCTGTGTTTAATCAAGGTACATGCGGGAGTCTATTTTGAAGCTGAAGAGAAAGAGGGGGGTTGAATAGCAGTGGGGCTTGAGGTGAACCCCAGGAAGAAGAGAGAATAGTAGTGGGGTTTGAGGTGAAGCCCATGCTGACTAGGAGGGCTCTGAAACACAGGTGGAGGGAGGAAGGCGAGGGGTCCCAGACCACTGCTCAGGAAGGTTCTAGTGATGAAGGAGCCAAGATCAGACCAGGCCTTAGAAGGCAGAGAAGATGCCTTCATTTTTATTCAGAATTGAAATAATCAACAGCTTAACTTCTTTGGCCCAATTTCTGGGTGTGGCAACTTTAAGGGGCAACCTTAAAGGGGCCTCAGGTTTGGGCAGTGGAAGACTCAAATGGAGAACCCGAACACCCCATTCTCTGCACTCAGACCAGGACAGCTTTCATCCATCCGCTCAGGGCTCCTACACACCTACCCTGGGCTTGGGGATAGATCTGAACCCTTATCTTGCTCCATCCTGTCTTCCTCAAAATATGTCGTGTGGCAGGCTGTAACATCAGCACTGTCATCAAACAAGCCTGGGGCCTCACAAGGGCACTGGAAAGATGATTTTTTTTCTTTTTTTTGAGACAGAGTCTTGCTCTGTCACCCAGGCTGGAGTGCAGTGGCACGATCTCGGCTCACTGCAACCTCTGCCTACTGGGTTCAACCAATTCTCCTGCCTGCCTCAACCTCCCAAGTAGCTGGGACTACAGGCATGCGCCACCACGCCCGGCTAATTATTATATTTTTTAGTAGAGACAGGGTTTCACTATGTTGGCCAGGCTGGTTTTGAACTCCTGACCTCAAGTGATTCACCCGCCTCGGCCTCCCAAAGTGCTGGGATTACAGGCATGAGCCACTGTGCCCGGCCAGAAAGATGATTGTAAAAATGGACTGGGTGGTCTGAAGGAAGGGCAAGGAAGACCCATTTGCTGGTTTTGTTAAAGAAAAAAAAAAAAGTACATATAATGCCTGGATTTGCCTTTGGGAGGGAAATCCTGCCCAGTCCCTCTTTCTTCCAGGCATGGAATCCTAGGCTGTGGGATAATGAGCACAATGCCAAGTGTCAGCTGGACAGAGAGGAAGGGCATGAGGGATGGGCTTTGGTGCACATGACGCTGGGGACAGTAGAGGACAGAGGAGGAACTACACATGTGGGGCCCCTACCCTTGAGCTGCACCCAGATTTTCATCAAGGGCCCATCAGGATCAGGTGTCTGTGGGAGCCTCTTGCCTAGGGTGAGCTTAGACTGCATCACACCTTCAACAGTTCCCCTGCAACTCTCAAATAATGGATAGGTTAAAGCCAGAGGAGGGTTAATTTGCCCACAAGTCTTTCTGTGCTTTCCTTGTGCCATCACTCAGCTAGGCAGAATACATTCTCTCGCTCTTAGCCATCCCAAGGGAGGCAGAGATGATCAGACATAACTTTTGAACCCCCATCTCACTGGAGAAGGGAAATCCTACATGGGAAATGCTCATCCTGCCCAACTTGGGGCTGGCACCTTCATTTCCAAATGATGCTGGGGAGTCAGGTCAGTTTCTGTACTGGAAGCATAAAGCACATGGCTTGAAATCAGCTCCCAGGAAAGGATCATTCTTTGTGCCTGAGAGCAAAGCCAAGGGAAACGTGGCAAAAAGAGGTCACTTTGTTAATATTCCCCTTCTCTCCACCAATCCCCTTATTCAGAATGCAGCAAGGCAGTTTTCTAGTCATGCAGTCCACGCATGAGGAATAAATACACCTCATGTCTTCCACCTGCTGCCAGTGCGGTGATGAGATGCAGAGCTGAGGGGCTGAGGAAGAGGCTTCTGTGTCAAGGTAGATTCAGCTGGTGGTCTAGTATTGCCCAAACGACTTCCGTAGGGATAGGAAAGGCCCCTGCTTGTTAACAAAGAAGAGGGAAAGGGCAGAGAACCTGGATCCATCTGAGATCTGTGGGCTTTTTACTTTTTCAGCCATTTGAGGGTTGACTGGCTCTAAGGAAAAGCTGTTTGCTGGCAGACACAGGTGGCTGGTGACAAAGGGAACAGAGCAGGGGAATGGATAGCTCAAAACGAGCCTCGCCACTCCTGAACAGAACAGCAATCCCAGCTGTGTCCTTTCGAGGGTGAGTGAAAGCACATGCTGTCCTTTACATGCTTGAGGCGGACTTGCCTGTCTCTTCAGGCCGGATGCTCTTCAGGGCCCTGTGGGGCTTAAACACATGTACTGAGCTAGCTCCAATCTTAATCTGCACAACATCGCAACCCCTGAGTTCCTATTAGTTCTGCAAAACAAAGCAAAACAAATCCCCACCAAAATTTCAGATTTGTAGCATCTGCTAAAACCAAAAGGCACAATCAACTTCTTGTCCTCTCTGGGTTACTGGGCAGGCGATATAGAAGGAACCAGTATCTGTGGCCAGAGTCCTCTATCGGGTGCAGCTGGGCTCCAGGCCTCTCTAGCTGCCAAGCCCTCCCAGGAACCTGCCTCGCCCTTCACTTTGGGAAGGGACCTTGGCCCTTGGGGAAATGCATTGTTGCCAGACTGTAGCCTTCTGGAGGGGACTGAGCCAAGGCCCCATTGGCTCTCCTCTCTAAGCTTCTTATTAATGGGCTCTGAGGCCAATGCCTTCCTCCAGGGGTTGGGGAGGTGGGTGGAAGAGCTAAGTTGCTGGCTGAGGTCACTGCTGTAACTTGGCTCTTCGTATCTGCTTTGTGTACAGGCAAAACTGGCTTACAGAAGAAAAAGGCAGGAACACCTGCATTGGGCCCTGGCCCTTGGAGGTGCTCTGGGGGCTCGTGCCAGTGTCATGAGGTATATGTGGCCGCGGCCCCTTTTGGGCATGTGGCTTGGGTTTGCCGAGGGTCAGGAGGGCAAGGTCCTACCTTGGTCCCAGTGTGGATCGCTCTGAGAGACCACAGCTCCCTCCTCTGGAGTCCCCTCTCCGAGCTCTCCAAGGGAAAAGACAAAGGAAGCCGAACTGCCAAGTTGAAGATTTTGCCTCAGGCAACTAAATTTATTAGCAAGAAAAAATTTTTGTCAGCCCAGTGCTGACCAACAAAGTACGTTAATAAAGGATAACAAATCTGTCACTTAATTCATAAAACATACCTCAAGCAGTTACAACTAAAAATAAAGTTGGATTTTTGTTTAATTTAAAAGCCTCAAAAATAACAAGCAATGTGTTTTTAAACATGTAGTAGACACAATTGTCTATTATACAATATACACTGTACACAAGTAGAGCTTGGGCCGGGCAGGGGTGAGGTGAAGGGAGAGGGAGGAGGTGCAGGATGTGCAGGTGCTGTTATCTGAATCCAGATTTGAGTTTAAATGCTGTGTCATTTAGAAAAGGGAATTGCTAGAGTGAGAAAAAATTCATATGCTCATCATTGCCCCCAACCCTCAACTGAAAGCAGGCATCAGGGAGGTGAATAACAAGGAAAGGAAGAAGGGAGCAATTAAATAAAACTTCTTTAAAGCACACACAGTACACAGTGTTCATCATCTGAAGTAGAGTATAAGGCAACGTTCTCCATAGAAAAAGAGGGGGATCAGGAGTCGGTGGGTGTCTTTACTTTTTAAATAGAGCTGGAATGTGCTGGAGGAGAGGTTGTGGCGGGGCTGGGCACATGGAGTGGAGGTGGCCCCGAGTTTCTCCAGAGGTGGGTGCCAAGCCCCAGGGCGTCCACAGTGGCCGGCAGGGCCAGGGAGGTGCAGGAGAGGGGGCATGGCATGACGCGACTCCGGCAGTGTTGGGAGCGGGGATCGGGGTGGGGGGTAGGGGCTCACTTTGCTCCTCGACGGAGTGAAATGCATGTTTTTCCTTTGGAAATAAGGGTTCCCACGCGTCCTGGTTTAGAACGTCTCATTGGGCACGGCCAGTGTCCACAGTCTGGGCAGGCCGGGAGCTCGTGGTGAGGGGAAGGGCCAAGGCAGAGCCAAGGGGCTTCAGAAGGAGGACAATACAGGGAACAGAGCCCCTTCCTGTGGGGACAGTTGCAGAACAGGAGTGGGGCTGAGGGCAGGCCCAAGGCAGCCACAGGGCTCCTTTCCACCAGGGGCCCAGGGAGGACACAGGTGGGGGACTGCATCTTCAGGGCCTCCCGCCGCAGTTGGCCTTACAAGTTCTTCGTGACCAGGTGGGTCTTGTAATGCTTGGTGAGGTGGTCACTCCTCATGAAGCGCTTCTGACACTGGGCGCACTCGAAGCGTTTGTCCCCTGGGAAGAGGAGATGCCCATCACCCACAGACCCTGTGCACAGACCCTGTCTCTGCCCAAAAAGGTGGGGTGCGTGTGAGGTGCACCCAATCAAGCTGACATGGCCTTGTCACCACATTCTGCCCACCTCCTGCTCTCACATTTGCTCACTGGTGCTTACTCATCTATATCTTTTTTTTTTTTTTTTTTTTTGAGATGGAGTCTCACTCTGCTGGCCAGGCTGGAGTGCAGTGGCACAATCTCCACTCACTGCAACCTCCACCTCCCAGGTCAAGCAATTCTCCTGCCTCAGCCTCTCAAATAGCTGGGACTACAGATGCCCGCCACTGCACCCAGCTAATTCCTGTATTTTTGTAGAGACAGGGTTTCGCCATGTTGTCCAGGCTGGTCTCGAACTCCTGACCTCAAGTGATCCGCCCACCTTGGCCTTCCAAAGTGCTGGGATTACAGGCACGAGCCATCATGCTTGGCCCCTACTCATCTAAATCTCTTTATCAATTCTCATTTCTCTCTGACCCCCCATTTGACCTCTCCAGTCTATTTCGTTCCCATTCCTTGTCCCTGGAGCCTCTGCACCTAAGAGTCTTCCTGTGCAAGGCTGTCTGCCTGCTTTCTTCTTTTGTCCCTCTGACTTTGAACCTGGATCAGCATCCTCCCCATCACAGGAAAATCCCCCTCCACCCTGACCTTGCCAGCCCTGAGCACTCAGTTGGAACCATGTTGACCCCAACTGCTTTTCTGTGGAGTGTTGACTCCTCTGCCTTTTGGGGAGTAGGACCTGTCCCACCACACTGGCCAGGAGCCGGAGCTCTGGGTCACGCTTCCCTCAGCCCTCTAGCCCCAGGACAGGTGTCTGCTCACTGTGGGCATTCACTATAGCACTGTTTGCCAAAGTGTATGTGTGGACCACTGTGGATACCCAGGACAATTTCAGGTGGTAGATGTATAATCCTTTTTTTTTTTTAAGAGATGGGCTCCCGCTATATTGCCCTGGCTGGTCTCGAACTCCTAGGCTCAAGTGATCACCTGCCTCAGCCTCCCAAAGAGCTGGGATTACAGGTGTGAGCCACTGTGCCCAGCTTGGATCAATATTTTTAATAGTTTTGCATTGATTTGCTAGTACCTAAAACTATAACTGTGATATCTCACTTTGGGAGGCAGAAGAGGGAGGATCATCTGAGTCCAGGAGTTTGAGACCAGGCTGGGCAACACAGTAAGACCCTGTCTCTAAAAAAATTTTAAAATTAGCCAGGTGTGGTGGTGCATGCCTGTAGTCCCAGCTACTCAGGAGGTTGAGGTGGGAGAATCACTTGAGCCCAGGAGTTCAACACTACAGTGAGCCAAGATTGTGCCACTGCACTCTAGCCTGGGTGAAAGAGTGAGACCCTGTCTTAAAAAAAAAAAAAAACAAAAAGCCATGGCAGGGCCTGGGTGTGAACCTGGCCGCACCAGTCACTAGCTGTGTGACTGGGCCAGCTCTCCATGCCTCAGTAAAATGGGCATCAACAGGCCGGCGCAGTGGCTCACGCCTCTATTCCTAGCACTTTGGGAGGCCAAGGTGGGTGGATTACCTGAGGTCAGGGGTTCGAGACCAGCCTGGCCAACATGGTGAAACCCCGTCTCTACTAAAAATACAAAAATTAGCTGGGTGTGGTGGTGGGTGCCTGTAGTCCCAGCTACTTGAGAAGCTGAGGCAGGAGAATTGCTTGAACCCAAGGGGTGGAGGCTGCAGTGAGCTGAGATCGCACCACTTCACTCCAGCCTGGGCAAAAGAACGAAACTCCATCTCCAAAAAAAAAAAAAAAAAAAAAAAAAAAAGGCATAAACAAAGTATCTTCCCATAAAGTTCTTACCAGGATCAACTGAGGTAATCAGTAAAGTGCTTAGTACTGTGCTTGGCATACCATGTCAGTGTTTGTTAAATAACTATGCTGACATGGCAAAAGTTATCAGGTTGTGTCATGCAATGACAACTATTCCTTTCCCATTACTTGGGGAAACAACAGTGATAACAGAATGGCTTGAAAATAATTTCCTATGTCGTCCCTAGATAGTCTGTAGCTTTTGCTCAGTGTGGCAGTTCCAGGAGTGTCAATGTTGCTAAAGCCGGTAGAGTGGGGGTGGGAGGAGAGGCAGGAATTTGACCTCTGTGGGTGGAGGGTCCCGAAGGCAGGGGGCTGACCTGTGTGGGTGCGAGCATGCCGTTGGAGCTCGTCACTCCGTGTGAACCTCTTCCCACAGAAGAACCAGTTGCAGACAAAGGGCCGCTCGCCAGTGTGCAGGCGCACATGGGCACGCAGCAAGGACGTCTTACGGAACGTCTTGCCACAGTCGGGGATGTGGCACACGTGCTTCTTCTTGCCCTGCTCTCCAGACCTGAGAATTGGGGTGAGGGTGGAGTGGAGGGAATAGGAAGAGGAGAGAAAAGCGGTAGAGGATGGGGCAGGAACAGGATGCAGTGAGGATGTGGGGTCAGGTCAGAGAGCACAAGGAGGCAGGGGGCAAGGTGGCACAGAGCTGCCAGCTCTTCCTTGCCTGGTCTGTGCCAGCTTGCAGCTCTGGACAACTGTCCAGGAGGGGCTTGGGGAACACAGGCCAGCCTTGTGGCTTGGGCCTTCTCCTTGAATTACCTCTTCTCCCCATCCTTGCAGTTGGGACACGTGCAGGCCATGCGGCGCCGCTTCTCCCCGGGCTGGGTCTCTCCGGCCAGGGCTTGTTCCATTTGCAGCTGGATCTGGGTGGGGCTCAGCCCACTGATGGTCAGGTTGTTCCCAGAAACATTCTGCACTGTCAGCTGCTGCTGCCCTGTGGGGACAAAGAGGGGCAGAGTTCAGGGTGAGGAAGCCTGAAACCTCGAGTCAACCCTTCTGCCCTTCTGCACATGACAAAGATGATAATCACAGCAGCTATTTTTGAGAGCCTGCTGTATGTTGGATATCATTTTAAGGACCTTTGTACAGGGACTCATTTAATCTCCATGACCCTATAAAATAGGTACTATCATCAGCACTTTACAGATGAAGAAACTGAGGCTCAATAACATATCAAGATCACACAGCTAGTAAGTGGTAGAACCCAGATCTGAACCCAGGAAGCCCATTTCAAAGTCAGTGCCCTGAACCACTGTACTATGTAGGCAGAATTTGCTTTAGAATATTGCCAACATGATTTCAGCTGGGAAGGGTCTTAAGACATTTCTTCCTGAATCTCCTCCAACCTTAGGCCCCTGTGAGATACCAACTCTGCTTTTAGGAAAGTCTCCAGGGATTTCTGTTAAAAAGACAAGAGGTCACAGGCTAGGTACAGTGGCTCATAGCTGTAATCCCAGCACTCTGGCAGGCAGGACAATTGCTTGGGCCCAGGAGTTCAAGACCAGCCTGGGCATATAGGGAGACCCCCATCTCTACAAAAAACTAAAAAATTGGCCGGGCATGGTGCTACATGCCTGTAGTCCCAGCTACTCAGGAAGAAGAAGTAGGAGGACTGCTTGAGCCCAGGAGGCTGAGGCTGCATTGTCATGATCGTGCCACTGCACTTCAGCCTGGATGACAGAGCGAGGCCCTGAGGCCATGTCTTAAAAAAAAAAAAACCAAAAAACACAAAAGAGGACACAGTTCTATGGGCTTTGGGAAAAATCAGATCCTCTAGGATGCCTTATCCTCTTGGGGGTCACCTCAAGAGGGAAAAGCAAATGTGTTAAAGTGCTAAACATTCATTAAGGATGGGCTGGGCACGGTGGCTCACACCTGTAATCCCAGCATTTTGGGAGGCTGAGGCGGATGGATCACCAGGTCAGGAGTTCAAGACCAGCCTGGCCAAGACGGTGAAACCCCATCTCTACGAAAAATACAAAAATTAGTCGGGCGTGGTGGTGGGCGTCTATAATCCCAGCTACTCGGGAGGCTGAAGCAGAGATCGCACCACTGCACTCCAGCCTGGGCGACAGAGTGAGGCTCTGTCTCAAAAAAAAAATTCATTAAGGATGAAGAGAAATTCAGAGAGCTCCCCCTACATAAGGAGCCATTTTTGCTAGGTTGCTCCAATTTTTCCTTTGGTTATTTGCAAGGCTGGTTTCACAGCATAAATCTCACCACTGAACTGAAGTGCAGCACAAACTATTCTGACTGCCAGGGCTCCCTTCTTTTCTTCCAACCTTAACGCAAGGCTTTCTCCTTCAAGAAGCCGTCTTTGCGTTTGGATGTCAGTTGGAAAGTTTTCCGAGTACATCTATCTTCTCTGTCTTCAGCTGTCAGATGGGGACATGTGCCTTAAACTATCTCTGAGTGCTATTGTAAGGACTAGGTGAGAAGCTGCAGGTGGACGTACCCTTAAGCTATGATGGACAGCATCCTCACTATTGTTACTGGAAATCCCGGGGCCAGCCCATAGTTTCCACCTGCTAGGAGCAGGTACCACTGCCAACACCCTGGCCACAGGGGCCATCCTCACCGCCTGTGTTGGTGATGGTGACAGGCACGCCCTGGACCTGGACACCATTGATGTTGATGGTCTGCATTGCCTGGGCAGCTGCCGCCAACTGGGCTGCATTCAGGCTGATGATGCTCCCGGCTGGGGCAATCTTTGGCAGGGGACGCTCTTTTCGGAGAATTGCAGCTGAGTGCTTTTTGCTGGTCCCACTCAGATGGGGAGCACGGGATGCAGGGCTGCTACAGGTGGTGTTAGAGGTGGCTGCAGCTGTTGCTGGGGGGCTGTCCTGGACAAGGACTGTCTGCACCTCACCGGAAGGCGTGCGGATGTAGACCTGGGAGGGGCCAGAGAAAAAAAATCAGTGCCTGGAAGAGACTAGGTTCCTGGGGCCTTCAAATGTCCCTGCCCAAGTGAGAACTGGGGGCGCCTGTCCACTAAAAGTCTCTTCAATTCACCCAAACCTACATTTATACACAGCTAATGCTCGACAAATGGCTGCTGGCATCCTATACTAAGCTGGCGAATGTTGACTATTGATTTGAAACCAAACGTTGAATTTACTTAGCATGGAAAAAGTAATTGCCAAGAATCAGAATTGGAGATTTAGAAGGCAGTGCACTGTGAATGACCATCAAACAAATGACACAGGTTCACTTTAGTTTTTAAGAGCCACATTTTAGAGCCCAGGAATTCCAGGTTTTCATAAGCTATGATTCCTCTACTGCACTTAGCCTGGGTGACAGAGCAATACGCTGTCTCAAAAAAAAAAAAGTTTCTGGTCTTTGTTATCAGAAAAAAAAAAAAGAGCCACATATTAATGAAAAACAACTTTTCTCCAATTCAGATTGACAAACATGGAAAATAAAATATGCTCATTGTTGGTGAGACAGCAGGAAACAGACACTTGTATATTAGGAGTGGAAGTATGATGTGGGCTAAACTTGCTGGAAGGAAATTTGGGGATATGTATCAAAAACCTTAAAAATACGCAAATTAGAGGCTGAGCAGGACAAGGAGGGCATTTGTAGCGGGGAGGAGGGTGTCCGTGGTGGGTAGGGAATGGCGGTGGCAGGCTGAGGAGGGTGTCTCTATGGGAGAGCTAATGGCTGTGGGAGACTGGCTGCATACCGAGGACTTATCCAGAAAGGAAGCATGTTAAGGATAATAGGAGTGAGGGCTCTCACTGTCACAGAAGGGAGTTATGGAAAGGGAGAAGGCTAGACGGAACACTGTGGTGCTAGATGGGAATTAGAGACATTGGTGGAAACTCATGGGTTTCAATATATATAGACAGAGAAATATAGATTCAAATGTGTGTATATGTGTATGTGTATACATGTGTGTGTGTCCTTATATAAGTTTATCTACATCTATCTACGTAGACATTGCATAGGTATGTCTATTTATATATACTTCCTAGCTGTGTCCATTGAGAAGGGCTGGGACCAGCCATGCCCAGTAGCAATGAGCTTACCTAGCACCCAGGCCTTAGCTTGTAACTCACATGCTCCACTAAAAGGAACCCAGGCTCCTTGGAGAAATAGCTGATTCCAGGGTTGGGGCAGGGAAGGTACAAGGAAAGCTTGGAACACTTGCACCAGAAAGTAAAGAAATGCTTACAGAATGGTGGGGACTTGAAAAGATACAAGCCAGCTTAAAGGGGCACCCACTGGCCAAATCTAGGTCAATGAAAACATCAAAATAATCTTAACAGATTATAACCCAGTGAATAAAACAGGAATCTGGCTGGGTGCAGTAGTTCACGCCTGTAATCCCAGCACTTTGGGAGGCCAAGGCAGGCGGATCACTTGAGATCAGTGGTTCAATACCAGCTTGGTCAACTTGGTGAAACCCCGTCTCTACTGAAAATACAAAAAAAATTAGCCGGGAGGGATGGCGCACGCCTGTAATCCCAGCTACTGGGGAGGCTGAGGCAGGAGAACTGCTTGAACCTGGGAGGTGGAGGTTGCAGTGAGTCGAGATTGTGCCACTGCACTCCAGCCTGGGTGACAGAGCGAGACTCCATCTCAAAAAAACAAAAAAGCAGCAATCCGTGAGTCCATAATGACATAAATAAATAAATGGGGGAGGAAGACAATGACAGAATTAAAAAGAGGCAATCACATCCTTCAATGAGAGGAACCAGGAATCTGAGAAGAAATGGTTGACCCTAAGGCTGAGGTTGGGAAAATATAAGGAATGAAGTTCAGACACATGCTACAACAGGATGAACCTTGAAACATGCTAAGTGAAGGAAGCCAGTCACCAGACACATGCTACAACATGGATGAACCTTGAAAACATTACAAATAGACCAGTAGTTGTCAGGGGCTGCAGAGAGGAGGAAATAAATGGGGAGTGATGGCTAAAGGGTAGAGAGTTTCTTTTTGGGGTGATGAAAATGTTCTAAAATTATATAGAGGTAATGGCTGCACAACTCTGTGAATATACTAAAAATCACTGAATTGTATACTTTAAAAGGGTAAGTTTCATAGTATGTGAATGTTTCAGTAAAGCTGATTTTATAAAAAAAAAGAATGAGAGCCTGTCAGAGGGATATAAGAGCCAACCTGAAGGCTGGGTGTGGTGGCTCGAGCCTGTAATCCCAGCACTTTGGGAGGCCGAGGCGGGTGGATCATAAGGTCAGAAGTTCGAGACCAGCCTGGCCAAGATGGTAAAACCCCGTCTCTACTAAAAAAATACAAAAATTGGCCGGGTGCGGTGGCTCATGCCTGTAATCCCAGCACTTTGGGAGGCTGAGGCGGGCGGATCACAGAGTCAGGAGATCGAGACTACCCTGGCTAACATGGTGAAACCCCATCTCTACTAAAAATACAAAAAATCAGCTGGGCATGGTGGCGCTCGCCTGTAGTCTCAGCTAGTTGGGAGGCTGAGGCAGAATTGCTTGAACCCGGGAGGCAGAGGTTGCAGTGAGCCGAGATGGCGCCACTGCACTCCAGCCTGGGTGACAGAGTGAGACTTCGTCTCCAAAAAAAAAAAAAAAATTCAAAAATTAGCAGGGCGCAGAGGCGGGTATCTGTAATCCCAGCTATTCGGGAGGCTGAGGCAGGAGAATCGCTTGAACCCGGGAGGCGGAGGTTGCAGAGAGCCGACCTGAAAAGAGCTGCCAATGGCCAAAGAGAAAAAAAGAGCCGACCTGAAAGAGCTGCCAATGGCCAAAGTTGACCTTTAGCCTTCAAAAGTGTCAAGGTCATGATGGTCAAGTAAAGAATGAGGAAGTCATCCTGGCCAACACGGTGAAACCCTGTCTCTACTAAAAATACAAAAAAAATTAGCCGGGCGTGGTGGCACGCGCCTGTAATCCCAGCAACTTGGGAGGCTGAAACAGGAGAATCGCTTGAACCCAGGAGTTGGAGGTTGCAGTGAGCCAAGATTGCCACTGCACTCCAGCCTGGTGACAGAACGAGACCCTGTCTCAAAAAAACAGAAAAAAAAAAAAAAAAAAAAAAGGAATGACAAAGTGTTTCAGATCAAAAGAGACTAAGGAGACAACTAAACGTAATGTGTAATATTGGATCAGATCCTTTTGCCACAAAGGAATTAGTGGGGCAAGTGGTGAAAACACAGTGGGGTCTTGGAATTAGCAGTGTGTTTCACTGCTAATTTCCTGGGTTTGACGATTGTATTGTGGTAATGTAGAATGTTCTTGTGTGTAGGAATTAAAGCGTTCAGAAATGACAAGGGGGATCATGGTGGCAATTTACACTCAAATGAGTCAAAAGGAAAAAAGTTCTTTGTAAAAAAAAAATCCTGTTGTGATTTTGATTTGGGTAATTTTTAATTCCTGGATTATTTATGACTGTGCTTCTTCTCACTTAAAAGCTAACAAACATCTCATCTCTTTAAAAAAAATTTTTTTTTTTTAAATAGAGACAGGGTCTCTGTCACCCAGGCTAAAATGCAGTAGAATGATCATAGTTCACTGCAATCTCGAACTCATGGGTTCAAGTGATCCTCCCACCTCAGCCTCCTGAATAGCTGGGACTACAGGTGTGTAGCACCATGCCTCACTAATTTTTAATTTTTTTGTAGAGATGGGGTCTTGCTATCTTGCCCAGGCTGGTCTTGAATTCCTGGGCTCAAGCAATCTCTAGCCTCAGCCTCCCAAAGTGCTGGGATTACAGGCATAAACTACCTCACCTGGCCCATTTCTTAGTAAATATGCAAATCTCATTCCCAGTTTTCTGATATGTGCCCCTTTTTCAAATCACTGATATTTTATGTCTGATTTTGTGTGTGTGTGTGTATGCGTGCATGCATGTGTGTGTGTGTATTTGCATCTGAAGGTTCAGCAAGCTTTTTTTATAAAGGGCCGGAGAGTAAATATTTTAGCTTTGCGGGGCATATTGTCTCTGCTACTTAACTGTGCTACTACTGTAGTGCAAGGGCAACACAAATGGACGTGTCTGCACTCCAATTAAACTTTATTTACAAAAACAGGCAGGTGGGCTAGATTTGGCTTCAAAGTTGGTCACAGACTGCAAACCTCTAATATAGAATACAAATTTTTTAAAAATGTACGTGTCCTTGACCCACTTTCAGGGATTTATTTAGCTGTAAGATTGGAAACAGCCTAGATATATACAGTTAACAAGGTATCAGTTGTATAATAATCAGCATGTTGGGATGTTATAAAGCTGTGTAGTCATGAAAAAATAATACTGTAGCTAAATCTTTCTGCATATGTATCATTATTTCCTTAGGGAAGACCTGGGTTTTAGTCCTGTCTCCATCAACCTCAAGAAATGGGACCTCATGGAAGGGAGGGGAGGCAATGCCGAGGATGTGCTCCTGAGCAGGTGCCACAATTCTTCACCTGTAAGGTAGGTCTGATCATGGGAATTCACAGATATTTGTGATAGATGACTTATAAAAAATCACCTGGCAACATAAAATATCACCTGTAGGGTAGGTCTGATCATGGGAATTCACAGATATTGTGATAAATGACTTATAAAAAATACCTGGCAACATTAAATATGCCAGAAGGGTGAATTCCTGTGTGATTTCTATGTCCACAGTTCAAATTCAAAGGCTCTCTTCTCCACCCAGGAAATTACACAACTTCCCACTCTCAGTCATTCGGTTCTTCCTCTATAGACAACTAGGTCATACATTCCTCGATGGCAGGAACTGTTTTTTATATTAAAAAAAAAAAAACTCCTCAATTTTAATGGTAGCACCTGCTACACATAAGACACAAGAGTCAAGGTGGAAGATGGAAGAGTGTGGGGTCTGAAGTTACAAATCTCAATTGACTCCTGGTTCCTGTCATTTATGCCCTATTTGATCTTGGATACTTCATAAATTATCTGAGTTCTGGGTTATCCATCTGCAACATGGGCACAATTACTGGCACTTAGCAGGCATGAACAAAGAATAAAACTTGCCTCACAGAGCCAAAGAGATTCCAGAGTATTAGAGCACATTAATAAATGCCAAAAATAAGAACATTCTTGTTGAATTCAGCATCCCAGTTTGGCAGGAAGCAGTGGCTCAGCCTGGCATGGTGACATACACCTGTAGTCCTGGCTACTCAGGCTGAGGTGGGAGGATTGCTTGAGCCCAGGAGATTAAGACTGTAGTGACCGCATCACTGCACTCCAGCCCGGACAACAGAGTATGACCCTATCTCAAAAAAAAAAAAAACACCCTAAAACAAACAAACATTCCAGATGAATCTAGCCTAAATATTCCTGCTATAAAGCTAGGCTGCTCTTCCTGTTTTTTTCTTGTCATTAATAATGATCAGCATTTTTCTCATTAATTTTCTTACTTTACATAAAATTCTATGAACTGGAATGTTTTCATTCTTGCTAATGTTTTGAGTAATTCTATAATCAAAAATAAGTTATTAACAAGTATGTATCTATCCCCTCACCATCCCCTGAAAAAAAACAACCTATAAGGAAAAGGTGCCAAAATATCCCTATGTTTCATCAATTTCTAAAGATAAGAAGTACTTGGCCCTATGAACTAAAGAGAGCCCATTTGTCAGGTAGAAACGGCCACTTACTGCCCACCCCAAAAGATACTGACTCTCAAGGTCAGATCAAGCTGGGAGATGACCAGCATCATCTTCAAAGCAAGCCAAAAAGAGATAACCAGAGGAGGAGAAGGAGGACAGTACAGGGAGTGTGGTACCTGAGTAGGTGTCGGCTCAGCTGCCTGGATCTGAAAGTTCTGGGAGGGCTTCTGGGGTACAGTGGGGAGGGTGGCAGATGCCGCCTGCACCACCCGCAGAGCCTGCTGGGGGATCTGTACCACCTGCTGCTGCTCGGCCTTGGGGGGCACCACCTGGACCTGCTGGACCACAGCTGGCTGGCCCCCACCAGGGCTCTGAACAATGAGCAGGTTATTTCCTGCCTGGATGATGTTGTCCGCGGTGGTCTCGATCAGCACCGTCTCCACCTGCTCAGCCACAGCCACAGGGGGCTGGGAGGCAGGAAGGCTCTTCTTCCTTGCTTTCTTGTTAGTCTTAGACAGCGGGGTTGGGGGGCTTTCAGTGAGGAGCTGAGTAGGGGCCCCGGTGTCACTGGCGTTCACAAGGTTGTTGACGGGCAGAGTGAGCGTCACATTGCCGCCCCCACCTGTCAGCTTCACCACATTGGCCCCGCTCTGCACGGGGGTGGTGGTCGTACTCGACTTCTGGATGGGGGCTGGCTTGATGGGGACAGGCTTGTGACTGGACGGTGAGGGGGTGATGATGGCTTGGTTGGTGCCAGGGATGATCTGGATCTGGTTGGTGAGATTGGGCTGTACTTGGATGGTTTGGGAATTGCTTGCCTGAATCTGAGGGACCGCCTGGTACTGGATATTGGCATTTGATCGGGTCCCTTTGTTGATCATGGTGGGATTCTGGATAGCGAACACCAGCTGCCCTCCAGGATAGGAGGCGCTCAGTTGTGACCCCTGAATCTGAAGTATATTTCCTTTGGAGGACAAGATTCCAAAGCTATTCTTGCCGGGGCTGAGAGGGAGAGGGGCAGGTTTGATAGGGACAAGTTTCCGCGGTGTGGGCTGTGGGGGAGCAGGAGGTGTCACAGCAGCTTCAACTGCTGGAGGGCCAATTTTGCTACATGTTGCAGCAAGCAGGGCTAAGGGAGATGGCTGGGAGTCCTGCAAAAAAACAGCAGAGAAAAGGAGTGAGACAGGAAGGCCCGCTGCCCGGCCGCCTCTGTCCATGATCCTCTCCTCCTGGCGGCATTCCACGCCAGTCTTCCCCACCTCCGGGGCAGGCATGTTGCCAGTACCCTCCCCTGCTTGGCTGCTGTCTCCCCTTCTCTACTGGTTTCTCCATTAAGTGAGGGAGAAAAGGTGGGCAATGTCTTTCTCAGGAAGGAACCCCTGGCAGCACCCCACAGACAGGGTAAACTAACAGCACGAGCTGACTTCCTACTCTCCGCTGGCCTTGTTTCTAAGGACAGTGAAGCATGTTTGGCTCTCAGATGGAGTTTGTTAGCCCACCCCAGGGACTGAGGGGTCCCTGATTGCTCAACTGAGGAAAGGAGGGAGGAAAAAATGGAGGGGCAACAGGAGGAATAAATACTTCAGTAAAGTGCTTTTTAGTACTCGGAACATGTAACTTTATAGACTGGGGAGGGCTACACTTTCGAGACAATGAGAAAGCCTCTGTTTTCCTTTTCCTTTTTTAGTGAGGTCTGGTGGAAGGAACACAGAGTTTAATCCTTGTTTTTCCCCCTGGCCCAACTGCGGCACCTTAGGTAAATGGCCATAGTTTCTCAGTAAAGAAAATGTGGCTAACTGAACCTTCCCCAGTCTCATAACCTAGGGTATTTATAGTGAGACAGTGAAGAGAGAGTGTTTTCGGTGAGTCTGTCCAGGATGCTGCAGCCCCAAGCCCTCGGAGCCCACTGCCTACTCGCCTGGGTGGTGGAGGCGGCAGGCTGCAGGTAGTCACTGGGACTCACAGCAGCAGTGGCAGCCATGCTGGTCTGTGGATCTGTTGGAAGAAAAGAGATGGAGTAATGTATAAAATGCCCAAAAAGAACGCAAGCCCACTTGCCTCAGATTTTCTTTTTTTCTATTTTTTTTTTTTTGAGACGGAATTTTTGCTCTTGTTGCCCAGGCTGGAGTGTAGTGGCATGATCTAGGCTCACGGCAACCTCCCCCTTCCAAGTTCAAGCAATTCTCCTGCCTCAGCCTTCTGAGTAGCTGGGATTACAGGCGCTGCCACCATGCCCAGCTAATTTTTGTATTTTTAGTAGAGACAGAGGTTTCACAATGTTGTCCAGACTGATCTCGAATTCCTGTCTTCAGGTGATCCACCCGCCTTGGCTTCCCAAAGTGCTGGGATTACAGACATAAGCCATTGCACCCAGCCAGATTTTCTTTTTGCCTCTATTTGTTGCTGCTTCTCCAAGGGAAGTTAATGACTTTTCCCCAGACTTACCCACCCTGGGTTGATAGCCTTACATCTATTTCAGTAGATTACTTTCTCCTCTCCTCTCCTCAGACTCAGCCATCTGAGGCTGTGAGGACAGCTGGTCCTGCTGTCGTTGGACTGCCCCCTCCAGCCACCACAGAGTCTGAGATAACACAAAAATAACCAAGATTATACCAGGACTCTCTTCTGTAACTCAGCTATGCCCTCTCTGCTGGGCACTGCTGGCTCTCCATAGCTAAACTGGAACTCCTCTATGGTGGGCAGGGGGGAGCTCCCCAGCTAATCCTCTAGCTCAAACTCAAGCCTCCTGTTCACTCCTGCTGTAGACAGATGCCAAAACTGGGAGGGAAGTATCGCTCAGCCAAGATTTCTGACAAGGAGGACACACCTGCTCCACTGCCAAGTCTTGGGTGTTTTATGCTCAGCCTTCACCACAAAGGCCGTTGTCCCCAGGCAGCATATACAGCACATGGGTCAATTCTTTTTTTTTTTTTTTGAGAAGGAGTTTCACTCTTGTTGCCCAGGCTGGAGTGCAATGGCACGATCCTGGCTCATTGCAACCTCCACCTCCCAGGTTCAAGTGATTCTCCTGTCTCAGCCTCCTGAGTAGCTAGGATTACAGGCATGTACCACCATGCCCAGCTAATTTTTGTATTTTTAGTAGAGACAGGGTTTCACCATGTTGGTCAGGCTGTTCTCAAACTCCTGACCTCAGGTGATCCACCTGCCTCAGTCTCCCAAAGTGTTGGGATTACAGGCGTGAGCCACCATCCCTGGCCTCATGGGTCAATTCTTTACTTGAATTTACGCTTTTACATAGTACAATAGGCACGGCCCCACAGGCATCAACCAAGACTCAGTAGAGCTAATGACTAACTGGATATAACAAGGAGAATGAAAACAGAGTAAATTCTATTTTTGTTTAAATGTGTATATATTTCTATATATGAATATAATCAAATAGGAAAAAGTCTTAAGCCATTATCTCCTAGCGGTTGAGTTTTGTTTGACTTAAACTTATTTTGCACCTTGGTTTTCTGTACTTTTTCATTTTCCCATGATAAATATATTCTACTGTACTTTTTTTCTTAAATAAAGAAAAATAAGGTTGAGGAAGTAATGAAGGGACTCTCTACTGTGCACTTAAGTCATCCAAAAGAGGCTAGGTACAGTAGCTCATGCATGTAATCCTAACACTTTGGGAAGCCGAGGTGGGAAGATCGCTTGAACCCAGGAGTTCAAGACCAGCCTAAGCAACACAGTTAGACCCCGTCCCTAATAAAAATTTTTTAAAAAGAAAGAAACACAGTATCAGGAAAACGAAAGTCATGAGAATTTTAGGAGAAAGAATCTATACCATCTTAAAGTGCATAAATCACTAAGGAAAAGAACACCAGGCAGAGTCAGACTTCAATCCTGGACCTCTGGAAAGCAGATTTCAGTAAGTACAGAAATAAGAGGGGTATTACTTTAAAGACTAAAAGAGACAAAAAGGCTCAGGATGCATTCTGCTTGGAAGGCTGAGATGGAAGGATCACTTGAGGCCAGGAATTTGAGGCTGCAGTGCCCTATTATCACACCTGTGAATAGCCAAAACACTCCTGCCTGGGCAACATAGCAAGACCCCATCTCTTAAAAAAAAAACAAACAAAAAGGCGCAGGGGTTGAGTCCTTGTAAGGAATTTGGCAAAAAGAGGATAGATATTGGGCTGGGTGTGGTGGTTCACGCCTGTAATCCTAGCACTTTGGGAGGCTGAGGCAGGCAGATTGCCTGAGCTCAGGAGTTAGAGACCAGCCTGGGCAACATGGTGAAACCCCATCTCTACTAAAAAGACAAAAAATTAGCAGGGCGTGGTGGCAGGTGCCCGTAATCCCAGCTACACAGGAGGCTGAGGCAGGAGAATCATTTGAACCCAGGAGGTGGAGGTTGCAGTGAGCTGAGATCGTACCACTGCACTCCAGCCTGGGCAAGAGTGAGACTGTGTCTCAAAAACAAACAAACAAACAAACAAACAAAAGGATACATATTGGGAAAGCAGAACCGTTCACATTTTGGCTGGCCTCAGGCTTCTCTGTTTGGAAGAACAATTCTTAAATGGGGAAAAGTAAAGAAAAGGTGAAGGCACGGGATGCAGTGACTCGTGCCTATAATTCCAACACTTCGGGAAGGTGAAGTGGGAGGATTGCTTGAGGCCAGGAATTTGAGACCAGCCTGGGCAACATAGGGAGACCCCATCTGTACAAAAAATTTAAAAATTAGCTGGACATGGTGGCACATGCCTATGGTCCCAGTTACTTGGAAGGCTGAGGTGGGAGGATCGCTTGAACCTGAGAGGTCAAGGCTACAGTGAGTCGTGATCACACCACTGCACTCCAGCCTGGGTGATGGAGCAAGATCCCATCTCCATAAAAAAAAAAAAAAAAAGGTGAAGTGGAAACTGAAGCCCTGGATAGGTGATGAGCTGGTAAGAAAGCACACCAGTGCCTTAAATGGTTACCAGGCCTGAAGTCCACACAAACTATACTCCAGAGGAGGGGAGACTTTGCAGACACACCTGCAAATGTGTATGGAGCTGGAGGGCAGCTCTGGGCAAAATTATATATGCAGATCCCGTAATATTACAGGCACTGATTCTTGGCAAAATCCTAGGACAAATGATTGAATAGTACTGTTAACTACTGAGGAAAGGAAGGAGTGACCACAAGGAATAGCATTATAATATAGAAGAACAGGTCATGCTGAACAAATCTGTTTCTTTTTTGTAGGGTTTTGGATGGATACATCAAGAGCATGGTATACACCAGGTATTTTATTTCAACAGGCATCTGGCTGACATTTTCATAATATTCTTGTGAACAAACAAGGAGGAAACTTGGGCAATATGATAGTCTAGTTTGTCTGGGGCTAAGCTGAGCATGCCTCCACCTAAGTGCTGAGAAGTCTGCTGCTGCAAAGTGTCTCGAACTGGGGTGGGTCTCAGGACCAGGGTTCACAGGCATCTCCGCAGAGGCCTTTTTATTCTTTTCTTGTGTGTTTTCACTGTGATTTTTTTTTTTTTTTTTGAGACGGAGTCTCGCTCTGTCGCCCAGGTTGGAGTGCGGTGACACGATCTCTGCTCACTGCAAGCTCCGCCTCCCGGGTTCACGCCATTCTCCTGCCTCAGCCTCCCAAGTAGTGGGACTACAGATGCCCGCCACCACGCCCGGCTAATTTTTTGTATTTTTAGTAAGAGAGGGGGTTTCATGTTAGCCAGAATGGTCTCGAGCTCCTGACCTCGTGATCCGCCTGCCTTGGCCTCCCAAAGTGCTGGGATTACAGGCGTGAGCCACTGTGCCCGGCCAATCTTTTTTTTTTTTTTTTGAGATGTAGTCTCACTCTGTTGCCCAGGCTGGGGTGCATGATCTTGGTTCACTGCAACCTCTGCCTCCCAAGTAGCTGGGATTACAGGCACCCACCACTACATCCGGCTAATTTTTTTTGTATTTTTAGTAGAGACGGGGTTTTGCCTTGTTAACCAGGCTGGTCTCAAACTCCTGACCTCAAGTGATCCACCCACCTTGGCCTCCCAAAGCGCTGGGATTACAGGCATGAATCACCATGACCAGCCAAAACAAAGATTTATTTGTTTGTTTATTTATTTAGAAACAAGGTCTTGCTCTATCACCCTGGCTGGAGAGCAGTGGCGTGATCTCGGCTCACCGCAACCTCTGCCTCCTGGGCTCATGTGATCCTCCCACCTCAGCCCCCCAAGTAGCTGGGACCACTGGTGCACACCACCACACCCGGCTAATTTTTATGTATTTTCTAGAGACGGGGTTTCGCCATGTTACCCTGCCTTTTCTCGAACTCCTGGGCTCAAGCAATCCCATTGCTTCCACCTCCAAAAGTGCTGGGATTACAGGCATGAACCACCACACCCAGCCCAATCATCTTTTTAAAAATGAACATATACCATAGATCACCAGGTAACTGCTGCATAACCAAGTCCTGCACATTTCAGGGCCTGTGTGTGTGTTTACAAGTGCACTGTGTGGGCTAATTAGGACAACTTCATTCTGCACATTTAGTTCACGATACATCTGTGCAAAGTGAAAGATGACATAACTTTAGAAGCAGTGGAAAGACTGTATTACTCTGACTGACACGCTACAGGATGGGTGTGCAGAACTCAAGGAGCCTAAGTGTCAAGTCTGTGCCATGCTTACAAGGAAAAGCAATGATTTGGGTTCAGTCAAACATCACCCTCTCAGAATGATGCTGATAATTTGAATTTTACTGGCTTTTTTTGTAGTTACATGTGTGAACTTTATAGGAGCTAGATCAATGAGCTGACACACAGATTCATGTTCATATAAAATTAAGTTGTAATATTATAATGAAAATAATCTAAGCCAACCCAAACCATTTTTCCTTTAGAGTGGTAGTGTTCAAACTATCAGACCACGAACCACAGTTACAGAAACAATTTGCATCAAGACCCACCATATGCATACATACACCACACATTTCTGTCCCATGCTCATGCAATGAAAGTTTCCTGAAACAAAACTCCCTTATTACATGTGACGGACCGTGATATTTTTCTATTCTGTTTTGTTTTTTTAAATGCTGGCTGTGACCCACTAAATTGGTTTTGTGCCCTACAGGCTGGAAAACTTAGGCTTTAGAATGGTATTCACCACCCAAGTTTGGCAAAGATCTAGACGACAAGTAAAACTTGCAGATGTTGGCCAGGCGTGGTGGCTCACGCCTGTAATCCCAGCACTTTGGGAGGTTGAGGCAGGTGTATCAGGAGTTCATACCAGCCTGGCCAACATGGTGAAATCCTGTCTCTACTAAAAATACAAAAAAATTAGCCGGGTGTGGTGGCGCATGCCTGTACTCCCAGCTACTTGGGAGGCTGAAGCAGGAGAATTGTTTGAACTTTGGAGGCAGAGCTTGCAGTGAGCCGAGATGGTGCCACTGCACTCCAGCCTGGGTAACAGAGCAAGACTCGGTATCAAAAAACAAACAAAAAAACCTTGCAGATGTCACAAAAGTGAGAAGGATTGGAAACACAATGGGTATTAGTATTAGAGTTCAAGGACATCTTAAAAAACTGGTAGGTACAATGTTTAAGAACATCAGGCTCCATACCTAAATGAGATTCTGACTGTGTGGTTCATTAGTGGGATGGTCCCTCTTAGCCTCCTCCTAGTGCCCTCTGTAAAACAAAGGTAATGTCATCCTTCTAGGATTTCTGTGAGGCTCTAATAATTTATATCACTGCATCGAGGGTTTAAAGGCATATATGGCTTTAAAGTTTAATAAGTCCTGGCCAGGTGCAGTGGCTCAAGCCTGTAATCCCAGCACTTTGGAAGGGCAATGTGAGCAGATCACTTGAGCTCAGGTGTTTGAGCCCAGCCTGGGCAACATGGTGAAACCTTGTCTGTATATTAAAAAAAATAAGTCCTCCACTTAGGTTAAAAAACCAATCACATGCATATAGGGCAGAAAGAGCCTAATAGTGCCATGTGGAAAAGCCCCAGAGGTTTTGACTTTAAGCTGAATGGGGGCCAGCACAATCTAGATATGGCTGCCAAAAAGGCTACTGCAATTTTGGATTGCATTTCTAAAAGTTCAGTCATAGAACAAAAAAATAATATCCTCCTGTAGTTTACACACTTGGGCCACATCTGGAGCATCAGGTTCTGTTCTGAGGGACATTTTAAAAGGGGGATTTTCAGCTGGAGCTTGTTCAGAAGACAGCAGCAATGGTTGTGGTCAGGGTGCCAGAGTGGGGACATGGGTTCAAAGGGTAGAACCAAGACTCCTGTGTGGACATTTTGAGGCAGATTTTAGTTAACACAAGAGAGAACTTTGAAAAGATGAAAATCAGTTGCCTTCTGAGGTACTATGTTCTCCCTTCTCTGGAATCACTTAACCAGAGGCAGGACATGTGTCCCTGCTGGAGTCAGGATGTTGAGATGGGGTGGGAAGTTGGACCAAATGATCTTTAAGATTTTTATTCATGGCCGGGCGCGGTGGATCACACCTATAATCCCAGCACTTTGGGAGGCCGAGGCGGGCAGATCACTTGAGCTCAGGAATTCGAGACCAGCCTGGCCAACATGGGGAAACCCCATCTCTACTAAAACTACAAAAATTAGCTGGGTGTGGTGGTGCGCACCTGTAATCCCAACTACTCAGGAGGCTGAGGCAGGAGAATCGCTTGAACCCGGGAGGCGGATTTTGCAATGAGCCAAGATCGTGCCACTGTACTCCAGCCTGGGCGACAAGAGCAAGACTCCATCTCAAAAAAAAAAGATTTTTATTCACTGGAAGAAAGTGCAGTGATTTAAAATAAGTTAAAAAAAAGATTTTTATACTTCTCAGACCATGTTGCTGATAAAAATACAAGATGAGTTTGTTGCTGGCAGAACTGCAAAGGAAGGCAATGGCTCTCCCAGGAGGCTCCCCCAGGGCTCAGGTTTGCTTAGCTAAAATTAGTGAATGACTCTCTTAGACATCCTCTATTATAAAACAAGAGACATAGGATCCGCGCAGAGTGTAAATGAAATGAGACGAAATAAAAACTGGCCTAGCGTTTCTTCATCATCTCCCTCTCTGCAGTCCTTATTACCCTGGACTCAAACTGTTTGGACACTGGGCTGGGTTCTGAGTGACTCTTCAGTTAGGAGGTTAAAGCAGAATCTACTGAAGCAAGCTGCAGACTGCTAGTGCTGGACGTTGCACCATTTCAGCTTGGTTTCATTTTCCTCCCCAGCTGGTTCCTGAAATACTCCTATAGATCTCAAACCAATGTTTGCAAGTATCTTTCCTAGCGTCACTCAGAGCTTTATGGCCACAGGCTGCAGACCTGGGCAACCAAAAGAGAGACCGATCTCCCTGCCACTACAGAATTAACCACGAAAAGGAAAAGAGAGGCATTTCCCACTGATGTTTGGAAATGAAAAGTGGTTAAGAAGAGGTAGCATAGATACCTAACTGTAAGACTATGATCAAAGGCACTTTAGAACCTCATTAATTTGGAACTTTATATTTAAAATATACAATTTGGACATAAATTATGCTTAACTTTTCTTTCATACTATTTAAAGCGAGCCTAAATGGTGTTCGAAGATTGCAAAGGGACCCTTAGTCAGAATAATTGTTTTATACCACTTCCGCCATTTTAATAGTGCCACTTGGTTTTAACAGTAGTTTACATCCGGTCACTGAAACCAACACTTAACAACATAGGTAAGTGGGATTAGTGCATATTCTTGAAAGAAAAAGCTGCATTGCTTTCAAAGTTATATCATTCAGACTTTTCATTAAGTTAGGTTGGCTAAAACTTTCCCAACAGTCCCCAAGCTGGTGAAGTTTTACAATTATTTACTATACAAGCAATAGTACCTCTCTTAGGTTCCATGGAAAACTCCAGGGGCATCAAACAAAGTTTGAAGGCAGCATGGCATAGGGATGGGGTTGCAGGTGCCCGATGGGACCACACACAACATTCCTTTCCCATATTGGAAACCAATTTAATTCCAAAACCAGCAGAAAAGCATCCCCTGAGTTTCTAGACTCTTGATGTACTACTGATCATCCGCCTCTACCTCCTGTCCCCTCCAGCACAGCCTTCTCTTCCTACCCCTTTGGCCAAACTTGGTAGAAAAACTGCTGGCACCCTGCCGTCCCCTCCCTCCTTCCCTACTCACTCATTTCCCGGCAGCATTAGGACATCCACCCTGGCACTGCGCTCATGCTGCACCTGCCCAGGTCACCAGCGACCTCCTTGCTGCTCAATCCAATAGCCCCTCTGACCAGTGCCTCTTCCTCAAAATTCCCATGGATTTTCTCCCACCTCTCCTGCCACCTCTTCCCCTTGTGGGCTCCTCTTCCTTTGCCACCCTTAAATACTGATGTTCCCCAACATCTGTCCTTTCTCCTCACCCAGCACCCTTTCCCTGGGTGACCATGCCTACTCGCACGGCTTTACATACCTTCCACAGGCTGCCAACTCATAGGCCTGTGTCTGGCCCAGATCTCTGCTCCACGTGTTAGACCTGTACATCCAGCCCTCTGTGGGTCTTCCATTAGGGCTGGCCACAGACACCTGGGGCACTGAGCGACAGCTTTGCCCATTCTTTGTCCAGCCTTCTCACCCTCAGCCACCACAGGCCTTCTTCCAGATCCTTGAAAAACTTCAGTGTCTGCAGCTGTCTTTCCTTGCTTACAGCTCTTTCTGTTCTCTTCACTAGCTAAGACCTCACCCTTCAGGTCTCTGGCTGTTTGACTTTCCCAGCATAATTTAAGAGCCATTATGTAACAGGCATGCCATTTCCTCAGAGAGGCCTTTCTGGACCCCTGAGATGAGGCTAACTCCTTTGGGAACACTCACCACTCATTAACTAATCATGAGCCCAATGTATGCGAGGGCTCCCCAGGGTGGGCCATGTCTGTTTACACCACTGAACTGCAGACACCAAGGCCTGGCACATGGCTCACGGACACCTTCAGTGCCTATGGGCTGTATGAATATCCTGGGTTAAAGCAGCCTCTCTTCTGGTATCTCCAATCAGGACAAAACCTGAGTATCCCCCTCACTGCCAACCAATCATCAAGTCCTCATGATTCCACCTCATAGACAAATCTCCCTATAGTGTACCCAGGCTCCCCATCCTCATCACCATGATCCACCTGAGATACTGCCTACGGCCTCTAAAACTGCTTCCTGGCCTCTGGCCTCCCCCTTAGTCAGCCTCCACAATTTGGTTAGAAGGCTCTTTTTAAAGTGCAAATCCCATCCAGCTACTCTCCTAATTAACCCCCTCAATTGTTCCCTGATGCTCTTGTGATAAACTTATAAAGGCCAGAACAACCTGTCCCTCCCTGGTCCTCCCTCCTGACCTCTTTCCCTTCCAACTCTCCCAACACACACTTCAGTTTTTCATTTCTGGAATTAAAACACGCCACCCTGTCTCACTTGGAGCCTGAAGCACACTCTCTCCCATTTGCCCGGCCAGCTCCTGTCCTTTAGAGCTCATTTATACTCTCACTCAGCGAAAGCCTTTCCTGACCTCCTCCCACCTCAAATCTGGGGCAGGTGACCCTGCTACCTGCCAGTGCATACTCCAGGCACCCTTCGGCACTGTCCCATCAACACAGAGCTGGGAGTGTGTCCCTGTCCCACGGTCTTTCTAGGCCTGACTTGGGGAGAGCACGTAACAGGAAGAGAGACCTCTGAGCCCTGGCCACCAGGCTGCAGGCTGTTCGACTGTTCCTTTCACTGAGAATGCTACTCTTGAGACCCAGCAAATGAGAAAACGCGCCTACAGAAATACCACAACAGTAGGCTTTAGGAAGCTTTTTCTTCTGGAGAGAACTAGGCTCCATCTCCACAACCCAGGCCTTGGGGGTAACTCGGCTTTTTTTGCCTGTGGGTTCCTGCCATCGTGGGTCTGGCTTTCTTGGCTTTTTGCTATGGTATTTCCCCTGGAGGAATTTCACACTGTGCAAACAGTCTTTCTCTTGGCTATTTTGGTCAGCTCAGCTGGGCCGTAAGCCAACAAAGCAGTTTCTAAGCCCAGGCTTTTCCAGTTGCCTAGCCTGGAAGAATTCAGAGCTGGTGAGGGAAAAGCATGCCCTGGCTGGTTTTAGAGAACAAAGTTGGACCTCAAAGAAAGCTCACAAATGGGGTATGAGAATCCATTTGGATGAAGAAAGCAGCAACCTTGGTAGTGAAAGACTCCAAATTGTGCTGAATATTTCAATGAGAGGCAAACCTCAGCAATCATAATAACTATTATAAGGTGGGCACGGTGGCTCATGCCTGTAATACCAGCACTTTGGGAGGCCGAGACAGGAGGATCACTTGAGGCCAGGGGTTCAAGACTAGCCTGGGCAATACAGCAAGATGCCATCTCTACAAAAAATGTTTACAAACTAGCTGGGTGTGGTGGTGTGTGCCTGCAGTCCCAGCTCCTTAGGAGGCCAAGGCGAGAGGATTGCTTGAGTCCAGGAAGTCGAGGCTGCAGTGAGCCATGATTGCACCACTGTGCTCTGGCCTGAATGACAGAGTGAGACCCTGTCTTTAAAAAATAATAATAAAAATTTTAAATAAACAAATAAATTAAAACCATGGTAAAAGAGCCCATTAACAGTAAAACAAATTTCAATGGCTTTCATTTCAATGAGAACAACTCTGGGCCGTGGCTTGCTAATGCCACAGGCCGAAGTAAGCAAGAAGGTGAGTAAGGAATGGAGATCTTGTCTCCACATTAACCCTTTACTGAGCCTCCCATCTCCCCCCACTCCGCCATCTCAGACCCCCAGCCTCAGGCAATGACCCTTAGGTATGTCTACAATTTCATCAAGAAGTTAAAATTTCCCTCATCAGCTAAGATCCATTATGTCTCCCCTTCTCTTCAAGCAAAACTCCTTGCAGGAGTTACCTATACTTACTGTCCTTAATTTCTCTCCCGCTAGCTTTTCTTAAACCTGCTCCAACCAGGCTGCACCCTCCTCATGCATGCCACGAAAACTGTTCACACCACCAGACACCTCCATGTTGCTAAAAACCTAATGGCTACTTCTACTTCTTTTTTTTTTTTTTTTTTGGGACAGAGTCTCACTGTCACCCAGGCTGGAGTGCAGTGCCACAATCTCAGCTCACTGCAAGCTCCGCCTCCCGGGTTCACGCCATTCTCCTACCTCAGCCTCCCGAGTAGCTGGGACTACAGGTGCCCGCCACCACACCTGGCTAATTTATTTTTGTATTTTTAGTAGAGACAGGGTTTCACTGTGTTAGCCAGGATGGTCTCGATCTCCTGACCTCGTGATCCGCCAGTCTCAGCCTCCCAAAGTGCTAGGATTACAGGCATGAGCCACTGCACCTGGCCTACTTCTTTTTTTTTTTTGAGACAAAGTCTCGCTCTGTTGCCAGGCTGGAGTGCAGTGGCACAATCTCAGCTCACTGCAACCTCCGTCTCCCGGGTTCAAGTGATTCCCCTGCCTTAGCCTCCTGAGTAGCTGGGAATACAGGCGTGTGCCACCACGCCCGACTGATTTTTTGTATTTTAGTAGAGACAGACAGGGTTTCACCATGTTGGCCAGGATGGTCTCAATCTCCTGACTTCGTGATCCGACCACCTCGGCCTCCCAAAGTGCTGGGATTACAGGCGTGAGCCACCGCGCCGGCCATGGCTACTTCTTAAACCACGTCATCCGTGTTGCTCTGACAGTTGATTGCTCTTCCTTTTGGTCTTGGCTCGCTGCAACCTCCGCCCCCCGGTTCAAGTGATTCTGCTGCCTCAGCCTCCCAGGTAGCTGGGATTACACGGGCCTGACACCACGCCCGGCTAATTTTTTGTATTTTTAATAGAGTTGGGGTTTCACCATGTTCGCCAGGCTGGTCTCGAACTCCTAACCTCAAGTGATCTGCCCGCCTCGGCCTCCCAAAGTGCTGGGATTACAGGCGTGAGCCACCGCGCCTGGCCTCTTCTTCCTTGAAACACTTTCTTTACTTGGCCTCTAGGACACACTTGCTAGTCTCTGGCTAACTTCTCCCATATCTCCTTTGCTGGTTCTTCCTCTCCTCTCAAATTCTAAATGATTGGGTTGCCCCAGGACTCTGTCTCAGGACCTTTCTTCTGTCTACACCTGTTTCCTAGCTGATTTTGTCTAGTCTCGTGGGTTTAGAAACCAGTAAGATACAGATTCTATATAATTTTAACTCTCACATTTCTATCTCGACTGGTATATCCAACTGCCTACTGATAGCTCCACTTGGATGTATTAATAGGCATCGTAAATCTAACTAGCCCCAGCTGGGCGCTGTGGCTCACGCCTGTAATCCCAGCACTTTGGGCGGCCGAGGCAGGTGGATCACCTGAGGTCAGGAGTTGGAGACCAGCCTGGCCAACATGGCGAAACCTCGTCTCTACTAAAAATACAAAAATTAGCCGGGCGTGGTGGTGCCCGCCTGTAATCCCAGCTCCTTGGGAGGCTGAGGAAGGAGAATCGCTTGAACCCGGGAGGTGGAGGTTGCAGTGAGCCAAGATTGTGCCACTGCACTCCAGCCTGCGTGACAGGAGCAAAACAACATCTCAAAAAACAAAACAAAACAAAACAAAAATCTAACTAGCCCCAAACAGTGCTCCCGATATTGTCCTAATCCTGTGACTCCTTCAAAATTCGCCACTGCAGTGAATGAATAGTAACTTCATCTTTCCAGCTCCTCAGCCTTAAAACCTTGGGAGTTATCCTTATCTTTTTTCCACACCCTACACTTGACAGCAAACACTCTATCTTCAAAATATATGCCCAATCTGACTGCTTCTACCACCTCCTCTGTCATCACCTAGGTCCAGGTTTCTATCATGTCTCCCACGGATTAACCTCCTAGCTGTGCTTCTGACCTTGACCCCATCAGTCTATTCTCAACACATCCAGAGTAAGACCCATCACACTTAAATGAAACCATGTTATTTCTCTGCTCAGAGGCCCCCAATACCATCCCATCTCCCACTCAAAGTAAAAGCCAAAATCTCCATTGTGACACAAAAGGCCCCTGTGTGACCTAACCTCTTTCACCTGCCCTGTCACTCTCCCTCTCTCACTGCTTTAGCCATGCTGGCTCCCTGCTGTTCCTGAACATACCAAGTATGGCCCCTGCTGAGGGTCTTTGCATTGCTCTTCTCTCTGCTGAGTTCTCACCCTCCTCCCCTCACCCCAGATAGAAAAAGGCTCAATCTCCTCCCCACTCCTTCAGGGTTTTACTCGGATGTCACCTTATCATTGAGACCTTCCCTGATCACCCTATGTAAATTGCCACCCCCCTTTTTTTACCTTATCCTCATTTTGCCTCCTTAGCACTTCTCACTGTCTAACAAATATCTATTAGTTATTAATTGTCTCCCACTAAGATGTAAGCTTCCTAAAGGCAGGGACTTCTCTGCCTTACTCACTGATGTATCCCAGTCCCTGGCACATGGTAGGTGCTTAATAATCTATATTTGTTGAATAAGTGAATGAATAAATCCTGGAGGCTTTAGAGCAGGAGGGCCTAAAGCGAGTTTAGGAACCAAAGGAGAAAAGCTGCAGATTTGCATATCCTGGCACTAGGTCAGGATCCACTCCACAGCTGGGTTTAGCTGACCCAGACCCTGGTGGAACCCTCAACCCCACCAGTCACCTCACATGTGGGCCAGTGCAGTCCAGTCCTGCTCCTGGCCAAAAACTTCAAAGCGCACGCCTCTCATCACCACACACCAGGTACTACTGCATTTCAATGCTTCTCTCAACTGATATGCATTATTAATGCTTCTCTCCATTGACATGCATTGGCAGAGCCGGGATAGCACCACTGCACTCCAGCCTGGTGACAGAGCGAGACTCTGTCTCAAAAAAAACCAAAACAAAAAACAAAAAAAACAAAGCCAGGCACGGTGGCTCACGCCTGTAATCCTAGCACTTTGGGAGGCTGAGGCGGATGGATCACGAGGTCAAGAGTTGGAGACCATCCTGGCCAACACAGTGAAACCCCGTCTCTTCTAAAAATACAAAATTAGCTGGGTGTGGTGGCACGTGCCTGTAGTCCCAGCTACTCTGGAGGCTGAGACAGGAGAATCGCTTGAACCCGGGAGGCAGAGGTTGCAGTGAGCCAAGATTGCGCCATTGCACTTCAGCCTGGTGACAGAGCGAGACTCCGTCTCAAGAAAAAAAAAAAAAAGATAACGAAGGCACTTGAATTTGAATACCGCCTATCTGTCTCCACCCTTAATTCTTCTTTCCAAAACGTGACTGTCATTTGCTAGTTTGCATCCTGACTGCGTCACATCCCATTGTACTGGAAGGGACTCTGGAAGTGTGTGGGGGTGGGGGCAGCATAGGGTGAAGAGAACCTGATCAAAGCAGGCCCAAGAAACAGCATCAAGTTTTTTTGTCAAAGAATACTGGGCCTCAGAATTTTAGAGAACAGGAGAAAAAAAAGAAGCAAGATATACTTTTTCCCCTAAAGAATCTCTTTATGTGCTTTGGCACATTTATTTGTGAGTCACTCCCCACATTTATCCTGGGCCATGATCAGTGTTTTGTTTTTGTTTGAGATGGAGTCTTGCTCTGTTACCCAGGCTGGGGTGCAGTGGTGCGCTCTCGGCTCACTGCAATCTCCGCCTCCTGGGTTCAAGTGATTCCCGTGCCTCAGCCTCTGCAGTAGCTGGGACTACAGGCGTGTGCCACCACACATGGCTAATTTTTGTATTTTTAGTAGAGATGGGGTTTTGCCATGTTAGCCAGGCTGGTCTCGAACTCCTGACCTTAAGTGATCTGCCTGCCTCAGCCTCCCAAAGTGCTGGGATTACAGGCGTGATCACCCAGCCCGGCCCCAGGCCAGAATCAGCTTCTGAAATGAGTGGTGATTTCATTTCCCCTGAGAAGACAGGGCTGGCTTACCATTTACTTTTTTGGAGGCTGGGAAATGTCTTGGTCTGTTTTCTTCTAGGCTGATCTAAGAAGATTCCTAATTATCAATTGAGAGCAGAGATATTCCACTTCCAATTACATGGCCTGCCTGCTCACTCTTACTTCCTATTCACACTCTCTTGGAGACCACTTTGTGATTCTACCAAATTCTATAGGAGAGGTGACAACCCCAAAGAGAAGGCTCTAGAAAGATGACATTTGGAAATGTGTACGCTAGTGTCTGCTGGCTCCTCCTGAGCCATTTTTACTCTGTGAATGAGATCAAAGGCCACCTAACTGCCTAAATCACCACAAAGGGACAAACTGGTATCTCAGAGCACTCAGCAACAAAAACAAGAAAGCTAAGCCTCTGCACTGCAATGTGGCAGGGCTTCTGGCTAAGTATAGCAAGCAATTCTGATGTGGAGACAAACAGCAGCAATGGGAATGATATGCCAATGAAGGATTCCAACAGTTGGGTCTGCAAGTGTGCTTGTCCTGTGACACAAACGGCCTAGACATCTCAGCACTGCTTGGAGCTGCTCATTGGGGGAGCCTAAGAAACATCAGCCCTTTCACAACCTCTTGCTCCTGAGCAGAGCTCATCTCCCAAGAGCACATCAGCCCGCAGCCCAGTCTGATGAGAAGCACAGTATTCCCCTGTGCCAGTGGCAGCCTCAGAGCATCCTGAAAGAGCGCTTCCTAGACACGCAGTGGAAGCCATGACTTCCCCTAAGCTGCCGGTGCTGCCTCTGAACTCATGTGGAGGTTCTTTTTTCAGTGTCCCCAGAGGCAGCAGAAAAATCCGTTTTCCATTTTGGAATCTATCAAGTAGGACAAATCTGCCACCTGGGAGCATCTCCTCAAGGGCAATCTCTGCTCCCTTTCCTACATGGCCTGACAATACCCTCGAGTTAGAAATGTCCCATGTTGGCTAGGCACAGTGGCTCATGCCTGTAATCCCAGCACTTTGGGAGGCTGAGGTGGGAGGATTGCTTGAGGCCAGGAGTTTTGAGACCAGCCTGACATAGAGAGACTATGCCTCTATTATTTTAAAAAAAGAAATGTCACATATTTTTACCCTCTTCACTCATCTTTCCACCTTGCTCCAATAGATTGCTGACAGAAAAGTGAGACCTCCTCCACCCCAAGGTCTCCTAAGAGAATGCTGCTAGCCAAAAAAAGATCTGCTGATAATTGAGGAAGAGCATCTTTAAAAAGACACTCAACTACATTTCAGAAACATAAAGATCTAAGTGTTGGCTCTACAAGGGAAGAAATAAAGAGAAAGAACTTTTTTTCCTCCTACAACAGGTCTAGACAACGTCATACAAGGAGTTGCACGCATATCCAAAACAAAAGCAAGGCAAAAACAAGCAAAAAAGCAACAAATGCATTCCAAAATGATGTCCATTTATCAGCCCAGAAATGTACTGGATACTGGTTTAGTTCAGCCTGTAGGTGCTGGGAAGAAATTCCGACAAATCCAAGTCAGTTGCAAAAAGGGAAAACTCCAGACATATCACCCAATGAACTTGTAAGAAAGCATATGAGCTTCCCTGAACAGATTTTACTCCAGGTTTGCAGCCCGCAAGATTTAAGATGGGGCCATGAGGTTAAATCTTGTAAACTCAGAAGTGTTCACGCTACTGCATCCCTAAACTCTGTAACTCTCTACATACTCTTTAAAGCAGTGTTTCTCTGCATCTTTCATTCCATAGCCATTGTCCACCTGATCCAAAATATCCTAAGTTTTTCAGTGTTTGGAAGCAGGGTTTCCAATTTTTGTGTATACAGAAAAGGGGGGTGTGTGTGAAAAAATAAGTATTAGAAAAAAAACATGTTATACATATCTATCACAGAAATGAGTGGGCAAGGTTTAGAAGATGGCTGAAACCAAGCCAATACTAAGGTCTACTGGTTGGCTGCAACAAGTTTAAAATGTCTTCATAAGGGCCCTGGTTGGGCAATACTATACTTGCTGACAGTACTTGGGATCTGCCACAGACCTATAGCAAAGGACTGTTCAACTTCTCCAAAAAGCTGGTATTAACCACCAGAAGAAATAAGAAGTTCAAGGCCAAAATATCCAAATGAACCAACCACTCTACTTGCTGAAATGCCATAAAGCTTCTTTACCCCAGACATTTGCCCAAATCTTATAATTTCTTTTCTCCTCTCTGACAGGCCTCTCCAGAGGCCCAAACTTTAATAGAATCTGAGAGAAAAAAGTGGCCAGTCTATCTGCTGTCCAGAGTGATGCCAAACTCTTTCTCCCGGAGCCAGTTCTCCCCGTTGGGCAGTCAGGTGAGGATCCGATTATTAACAAACTCTACTTGGGTCTCCTTGGCAAAGAGTTTCTGGCTTCAGCAGCCTAGCTCAGGGGGGTTCATAATTATGTCAGACTCGCTTTTTTTCTTGTAGTTGCTTTTAACCAAAGAGGTTAAGCCTCTGTACAACCAAGAGGAAGAACTAGAATTAGAAAACTTACCAATCGTCCCAGCCAATGATAATCCATTTCCAACAGGTATTAACGCCTGTTAGAAGCCACTGGAACACTGACATCATCAGCCCAATTGATAGGTTGTCTGATAGATTCGCCCCCTTCATCGCACACAAGAATTTAAAACAAAACAAGACACTGCAGTTATATTCATTATTGCAGACAATGGGTTTCTTTGTGTTAGTAATTGAAATTACTGCTGTGGTCTGGACTCCACCATTATTTCCTTTGCAGCCTGTGAGCCAGCCAACACTCTAAACTTTCTAGCCCTAAAAATTGTATCATCCAGAATACCAACTCAATACAGCCCTCCACTGTGAAACTGAATGCCTTCTGGGGTACAGCATGAAACCGTTTTAGACAGTGCATGCCAGTGCACCTTGAAACAGTGTCCATCTGTAATGAAATCTGTAAACGGGAAACTTGGGCCAATTCATTGTTTAAAGCAGATCTACTGGCTCATACCTTTCTCTAGGAAACAATAAGTGAACAAGAAGTAACCTCAGAAGAAGAAAGAACTTTGGGAGAATGCACTGAGAAAGGCCAGACTGAGTCCCCTTGGATGAAGTTAATTAAGAAACAAACATGACAGGATATTGCAATCAAAACCAAGGAATGCAGTGAGGACAGGTTTCTCAGTTGCCCAGAGGAGAAAACATAGTTCCTTCTGAACTAAAATTAGAAAGCCGCTGGCAAGGAAACATAAGAAGCATGGATAAGAGGCTGAAAACCGTAAGTCAGCAATGGGGATGGAGGTGGGTACAGGAAGAGAGCGAGTATCTATTTTGTTTTATTTCTTCTGTAATTCCTTAAGATTGTTTGCGCCTGAGCTTTGGGACTGCAGTAGTCTCCCCTACGGGGCGTCAAGTAACAGGCTGGGAGCTCTGGCAAGAAGTTCTCAAACTTCTCACAATTCTGCTAAGAGCTTGCAGATATCTAGCTGGAAGATCAAGGATCCAAGTAAAAACATTAAAGGAAGGTTTTTGCCCACTCCCCGGTGAGAGGTCATCTGCCCAGGGAGTGCTCTCGTGTCCTGACACCATCGCCCGACTGGGGATATATCAGTAACCGGGCTGTCGTCGATGCCGAGCAGTGCCCATCTGGTTGGCAGCGTCCGGGTCTCAAGCGTTCCCTCGCCCCTCTCTGTTCTCCGGGGAGCCCTGAATCGCTGGTGGGCATCTACAGTTAAGAGTGCAGGAAGGCCTCTCAGACACGGGGCGAACACAAGGGCTGTTGGCTGCCTCCTCAGAGCCGACCCAGGCATAGTTCGCCCAGGCGGGAGAGCGGCGTTGAAGTGGGTCGGCACCCGTCCGAGGGGTGCCAGGCCACCCCGGTGCCCGCTCCTCTCGCCGGCCCCCGGAAGCGCCGCCCTCCCGCCCGGCGGGCTCCGAGGGGGCGGGGAGTCGAACGCCCCCTTCCGGGTGCCTCCGCCCGGCTGGCCAGCCCCGCTCCTCCTCCGGGCGGGAATCCTCCCTCCCCCGCCCCTCCTGAAGCCGGGCCCCGACGCCAGACCCAGCCCCAGGGGGGAACCCCCGGCCTCGGCTCCCTCTCCCCGCGGCCTCTGCCCGTCTTCCTGACCCTTGGGGGCCGGGAAGACCCCGCCGGCAGCGGCCGGGACCCACCGCTCATTACGACATCTTCCTCCCTGGCCTCCGCCGCCTCCGCCGCCACCGAGAGCCTGACACCGCCCGCCAAGCAACCGCCAATCCCGGAGCCCGCCACCGCCCGAGCGACGGCAGCCTTCACCAATAAGCGCTTGGAACATTGGGGACCGACAGCACTATTAACCAATCAACCAGAGGCGTCTAGAGCGACGTTGATTTGACCAATAGGTCTGTGCAATGTCACTGATGGACGGTAGAGCGCACCAACCGAAAGCCAATTGAATAATGAGTGACATGTGCATCAGCCAATTGGAGGGAGGCAAAGTCCCGCCCGCTGGGTGGTTGATGTACAGCAACAGGAAGCTGGAAGGGGAGGGGCTTAGCCGAAGAGTGCTTTTGTATTGGTCGAGGTTGACCTTCCACCCACCTCTAACCCAGAGGATGAATGATAGATCTGCCCTGAAGCCAATCAGAAGTCCTTAGGGTGAGGCCCACAAATGCCCCAGAAATAGCATATACATTGCGCCCTAAGTCCAGTCTCGCCCAGGTGTGGCAGGAGCTTTTACCTGCTCTTCGGCAGTAGCCGGCTGCCACTCAACCCCATGCCTGGTGAGTGGAAAGCCATCAACCTTTTATTTAGTCCCTCTCTCGTTGTCGCCTGGGGAGGGGCGACTTTGTACAGTGAGGCACTGGGGTCCGGCACCATAGTGGGAGTTGGGGTTGTTTACGCGACACTTCTAAGGGGATTTTCACAATCGGTTAAGCCCCCGTTAATCCTCACATGGTTATTGCGGCGACCCCCATAGCCCACGGTCCCAAACGTGTGCATCTGAATCATCCGAAGCTCTTTCTAAAGGCAGGCTCCCCTGGCCGCCTCTCCTAATCCGACTCGGTACTTCACGGGGCGTGCCTAGAATCTGCATTTTAGCAAGGGCCTCGCGTGGACAGAATTGCACGCTTGAGTTTGAGAAGTACTGCTTGGCCTCTGCCCCACTTACCCTTACCTTCTTGAGATGAGGTAAAGCACTTGGTAGGCACTAGGCGGGTAGGTTTATCTTTGCTCCCAAGTCTCTTCCGAGAACTTGGGAAGGCTGCCTAGCTTAGTGAGGGAATCCATTCTGGCTTCAGACCAGTCTGGGTTTGAAACCTACACATCCCACTAACTTAGGCAGGGTACCGAAACTCCCTGAGCTTCATGTCCTCATCAGTAAAACGAGGTTAATCACACCTACACCTTAGCGCGATGGCTTAAAAAAAAAAAAAAAAAAAACAAACAAAAAAAAACATAGTCCATCAAGAGAAATACATTTTGCATACAGACCAGTACACTGCTATTTGTATGAGAGTGTCATAAAGTTTCCGAAAACAATGCTTACTACTTGTGACGCACTGATAGTTTCTATGCTTATCCTATCCTATCTTATTCTCCTTCTTGTTGATCATGACTGGCAGTTTGAAAAACACTGCTAGAAAAGGTTGGTGTGATAATACAAAATGCAGAGCAGAATACCGGGTACACAGTAATTGCTGAATAAATGTTAATAGCCTCTTCCAGTCTTCTCCTCTCAGTGTTAGCCTTTGAAAAACAAGACTTTAGACAATAATACTCCTCTAGTAAAGATCCTTCATGGGATCCGTATCTCCTAGATAAAGCCCAAACTCCTTTCTAGGCAAAGTCCTCCCACTCTTTTTTCTTCTTAACCTCAGCATCCACCAGAGGACACACTCTTACTGGTGTATCTTTCATGCTTTATCTCCTCCCTCTACCCCCGTTCCCTTCCTACAAATCCTACCCTTTTCCCTCCAGGAAAGATTCCAGGTTCCTAAACACTTACGCTTTTTTCCACTAGTTGACTTCCTATGTGACCCTTCCCTTCTGGTAAACCCCTATGCATCCATGGCCGGATGTGTTGGCTCACACCTGTATTCCTAGTGCTTTGGGAAGCCAGAGGCAGGCGGATCACTTGAGCCCAGGATTTCGAGACCCAGCTTGGGCAACATGGCAAAACCCCATCTCTACAAAAAAAATTAGCTGCATGTGGTGGTGCGCACTTTTAGTTCTAGCTACCTGGGAAGCTGAGGTGGGTGGATCACTTGAGCCTGGGAGTTTGAACTTAAAATGAGCTATGATCACACCACTGCACTCCAGCCTGGGTGACAGAGCGAGACCCTGTCTCTCAGAAAAATAAATAAACTCCTATGCATCCTTCAAGACCCTGCTCAAAGTCTGCATACCTCACTCCTGCCCAGCCATAGCTTCTTCCTCCTCTGTGCTGCCCTGGCACATGCAAAAGAGCTTCTCTCTCACACACTATTTCCACACTTTTATTCTCACTTCTTACTCTCCTGCTAGACTGAGCTGTGGTAGAAGGATTGAGGCCAGCACAGAGGAGGATCAGCAGGAAATGTAAGGTGAGTTAAAGAATGAATATTTGCATACAATGACACCTGCATGACTTGTTTGTATAGTCCATACATTCTGTTCCCAGGCCATTTTTCAAGTTTAGATTGCTTCACTGTCAAACCAAGGACTCCACCCGGGTTCCATGACTCACCTGTATTAGGGTGCAGGGGTTTTGGGGGGAGGTAGGTGGGGTTGAATATCCTGCTGGGCCACTGTCAAACCTCTTCTGGGAGAAAAACGGGGTAGCTATGCTTCTCCTATCCTGGAGGCCCCATCATGAAGACCGCAGAGGTGAAAAAAAAAAAGTGTGCGCACACGGGGCGGAGGACAGGGTGTGAATACTTGGAAGAATTCTGCAGTAGTTTTGAATTATTTGATTGGTTTTGCCCTTTTAAAGGTCACCTTATCCTTGTTTTGTTTGTTTCTAGGCTGTCTGACTCTTCTTACTAGAGACACAGCCAAAGAAGGGAACCCTTTGTTTTTTTTTGTTGTTTTTTTTTGTTTCTTTCTTTCTTTTTTTTTTTTTTCCCCGAGATGGAGTCTTGCTCTGTCACCCAGGCTGCAGTGCTGTGGCGTGATCTCGGCTCACTGCAACCTCCGCCTCCCAGGTTCAAGCGATTCTCATGCCTCAGCCTCCTGAGTAGCTGGGATTACAGACACGCACCACCACTCCCGGCTAATTTTTGTATTTTTAGTAGAGACAGGGTTTCACCATGTTGGCCAGGCTGGTCTGAAACTCCTGACCTCAAGTGATCCACCCACCTCAGTCTCCTAAAGTGCTGGGATTGCAGGTGTGAGCCACTGCACCCGGAGGAAGGGGACACTTTCTAAGAAGAAGACCCCGTTATACTTTTGTCAGGCCCATTGGAGTCTTAGAGCTTCCTTCACAAACACCCCCGCTCCCCCAGTGACCACACAACTCCTCAGAGATTTTTTCTTTCAAGATGGCCCCTGTCTTCAACAGAGACGGAGAAGGTCAGGCAGCGGCTTGGAAATGCTTGTGCTCTCCCGGCCACACTTTATTTATTTATTTATTTAGAGACGGAGACTTGCTCCGTCGCCCAGGCTGGAGTACAGGGGCACTATCTCAGCTCACTGCAACCTCTTCCTCCCGGGTTCAAGCGATTCTCCTGCCTCAGTTTCCTGAGTAGCTGGGATTACAGACGCGCGCCACTACGCCCGGCTATTTTTTGTATTTTTAGTAGAGACGGGGTTTCACTGTGTTGGTCTGGCTGGTCTCAAACTCCTGACCTCACGATCTGCCCGCCTCGGCCTC
Organism: Homo sapiens; assembly: GCF_000001405.40. Taxonomy (NCBI): domain Eukaryota; kingdom Metazoa; phylum Chordata; class Mammalia; order Primates; family Hominidae; genus Homo; species Homo sapiens. The sequence continues at coordinate 47,892,631 of NC_000017.11, read as the reverse complement.
CCGAAGTGCTGGGATTACAGGTGTGAGCCACTGTGCCCCGCCTTTATTTTTATTATTATTTTTGAGACAGGGTCTCTGCAGCCTCAACCTCCTGGGCCCAAGTGATCCTCCCGCCTCAGCCTCTCAAGTAGCTGGGACTACAGGTGCGCGCCACCATGCCCACCTAATTTTTAAATTTTTTGTAGAGCTGGGGTCTCCCTATGTTGCCCAGGCTAGTCTCAAACTCCTGAGCTCTAGCGATCCTCCCACCTCAGCCTCCCAAAGTGCTAGGGTTACAGGCGTGAGCCACTGCACCCGGCCATGGCCACACGTGAGACTCACTAAAAGAGCTTTTAGTAAATTCTGAAGTCTGGGTCCCATCCTAGGAAATTAGAATCTCTGGGGGGCATCAGCATTAAGGAGTTCCTCAGGTGATTCCAATGGGCAGCCAAATGTGGAGAAGGACTCCTTAGCCCAAAGATACCTTCCCACTGGGGGTGCCCAAGTAAAAACAAGGAAAAGTCTGTGCCCTCCACCCCCACCCACTCCTGTCCCTCGCCTTTCTGAATTTCTCCTCTTCCTACCCTACCTGCTGCCATCTTCGCAGAGCCAGGGCCAGTGGGTGGTTCTGGCTGTGTCTGTCAACCTTAACCAGGGGCGACATCTCCTCCCTGGTGTGTCTGGAGGCAGGTTCTCTCAGTGATATTTCCCTTTTGTCTCCAACTGCTTTCAGTTTCTTTCTACTCTACATTGTCACTTTCTCTCCATTTCTAACTTGCAAAGCTACACATTCTCCACCACTAAAAACCCCATGCTTGTCTTGTCTACCATGGCACCTTCCATTCCCAGCACACTGCTTGATTATAGTAGGTGCACAGTAAATGTTTACTGACTGACCGAATGACTATATCCTTTTAACACTTCTCAGGGACTTACCCCTTCTCTTTCAGGCCCAGCTTCTTCCACTTCCACTTTACTTCTCCTTCCATGTCTACCTCTGAATCCCCTTCTTTCTTCACTTTCCTGTGCTTTTCCTGCTTCCTGACATTCTCTTTGTCCTTTTTTGCACAGGGTTGTCCTCATCTAATCCGTCAGTACCAGACAGTGAACATCTCTCCCCCAGGATGCTGAGGGAGGGTCCTGGAGGGAAGGATGTGGAACTACAGCCTCTGCTCTCAAGAAGCTCAGATCTGGGCAGGGAACATCACATACCAGGGCTGTCTGTCGGGGGGGTGGAGGGCTGGGGGAGGGATAGCATTAGGGGAAATACCTAATGTAAATGACAAGTTGATGGGTGCAGCAAACCAACATGGCACATGTATACCTATGTAACAAATCTGCATGTTGTGCACGTGTACCCTAGAACTTAAAGTATAATTAAAAAAAAAAAAAGCTTCAGATCCCTCCTGGAGCCTCCTATGAAACCACGTGGCATAACTGGTGCTGTTGGTCCAGAAACTAGAAGAATATCAGGCCAGCCCCCTTGACTCTCTGTTGGTCCTCACTCATAGCTACAACCCAAGCTTTATTGTTGGTGTTTACCTTTGAAGAGTTACAGCCGACCCAGCCTTCTAAAGACTGCTTGTTTTGCCTTAAGGATTTCCCAGTAACCTCTGCTTCTCCCCTTTTCCCCTCCTATGATTTTCTATTTTCTCATCTCTTCCCTTTCTACTTATGGGGAAATCAAAATTGCAGACTTCTTCTTTTTTTTTTTTTTTTTTGAGGTAGTGTCTTGCTCTGTCGCCCAGGCTGGAGTACAATGATGCGATCTCGGCTCACTGCAACCTCCGCCTCCCAGGTTCAACCAATTCTCTTGCCTCAGCCTCCTGAGTAGCTGGGTTTACAGGTGCGCATCACCAAGCCCAGCTAATTTTTGTATTTTTAGTAGAGGCAGGGTTTCACCATTTTCGCCAGGCTTGTCTCGAACTCCTGACCTCAGGTGATCCACCCGCCTCGACCTCCCAAAGTGCTGGGATTAGAGGCGTGAGCGACTTCTCCCGGCCCAGAGTTGCAGACTTCTAACCCGGACTCTCTCATATGCAGACCCACAAAAATATCTGATGGGACAAACACCTAGCTTGGATGAATTTGGGTAATTTTTTTTTTCCTCCTAGGGTCCATCAATGATTTCAGGGATCTAGGTTTCCTCAGTCTTCTGTGAACATGAAACATTGACAGAGGCTATAAGATGTATCTCCCTGTTACACCACACCCCTGGTGCACACATACAGACACATCTCTGTCTTCACTGCCGGGGATGCCACTCCTGACCCCTGCCCTAACTCGTCAACTTCCTCTGCCCCTGGTTCCCCTGTCCAGGCCGATGGCTCCCCACCAACTGCCATGGAATCTTCCAGCAAGGACATTCCACTCATCCTTCCCCACAGGGTTCTTCCTTCTTTGCTCCTTCTTTCTACCCCCAGTCTCCCTGGGGTGGGATCTGTGGAGCCTCAGGAAGAAAGGGCAGGGCCCCAGGTAAAAGGAGCCCTTTAAGGTGGAAGGCAGGGGTGCCTCCTCAGCCTTTGTGTGTCACCACCAGGGGGCGCCCAAGGCATTTCCAAAGCAGCTGCCCAGCGTTCACCTTACAGTAACACAGGGCGGACAGGGAGATGCAGTTTAACAAGCAGCTATTGAGTGCCTGCTATTCCCCAGGAATGGGGCCTGCTTCATTCGGAGACTGAGAGTGGGTTCCAGCCTCTACAAAGAGACTCCTTAAAAAGAGCCATTTGGGCCCGGGTGCAGTGGCTTACCCCTGTAATCCCAGCAATTTGAGAGGCCAAGGTGGGTGGATCACCTGAGGTCAGGAATTCAAGACCGGCCTGGCCAACATGGCGATACCCCATCTCTGCTAAAAATACAAAAATTAGCCAGTCGTGGTGGTGCATGCCTGTAGTCCCAGCTACTTGGGAGGCTGAGGTAGGAGAATCGCTTGAATCTGGGAGGCGGAGGTTGCAGTGAGCCAAGATCTTGCCACTGCACTCCAGCCTGGGCGACAGAGTGGGACTTCATCTCAAAAAAAAAAAAAAAAAAGACAAAACAACAAAAAAAAAGCCATTTGGGCCGGGCATGGTGGCTCATGCCTGTAATCCCAGTACTTGGGGAGGCCTAGGGCAGGAGGATTGCTTCTTGAGCCCAGGAGTTAGAGACTAGCCTGGACAACTTAAGGAGACCCCCATCTCTACAAAAAAATTTAAAAATTAGCCAGGCTTGGTGGCTCTCAACTGTAGTCCCAGCTACTTGGGAGGCTGAGGCAGGAGGATCCCTTGAGCCTAGGAATTTGAGGCTGTAGTGAGCTGTGTTTGCGACACTGCACTCTGCCCTGGGTGACAAAGCAAAACCCTGTCTCCCTGTCTGAAAACAAAAACAAACAAACACACACATTTGCCTCTTCAAGGAATTGGTTTCCTACCAACCAGCTCCTCTTACCTCCCCGGGTAGCAGCATCTTCTCTCTGCCTCTGCCCCTCCCCTGCACTCCCCTGCTCCCCACCTTTCCCGACCCCATTGACCACAGCTCCATGTGGTGCCCAGTCTGCTTCTCGTAAGTCCCAGCTGCCCACTGCAGACTAGAATTGTCCCCAGGGACAAAGGGAGGCTGAGAATGTCCCTGGCGAGGCACTGCCCTCTCTCCCTCTGCCCGTCTCCCTCCTAGGCCCTCACTTATGTCAAAACCACATCTCAGTCCCATTGCTAGTCTCCTGAGGGTTCCCCAGAGACCCTGAGTGTGGAGGGTGTGGGTTCAGAAGGACCAGGGCTGGGCTCAGGAGCAGCACTTGTCACCTGAAAGCACTGACCTGGCTGGGAGAGACTCGGGAAGTGGGCCATGGGGGCGATAACAATAACAATAATCATATTAATAATAACACTGGGGCCCACAAAATGGCTGTGAAATGCCCGCTAATGATCCCTTATATTTATAGATCTCCTTCTCCTAGACACTTCAGAGCCATTGCCCAATTAACCCCCCTAGATTCCCTAGAAGGGACAATTAACCCCATATTTTATGGCTGGGGAAACCTAGGCTCTGAGAATGTGATGGAGTTGGCTGAGGTCGTCCAGTCCATTAGTGACAGCAGAATTTGTGGAGCAGCCCTCTCTCGTTCCTTTTGTCTACATCCACATGCACTTATGCTGGGCGTGGTGACTCATGCCTGCAGTCCCACCAGCACTTTGGGAGGCTGAGGCGGGCGGATGGCTCGAGCTCAGGAGTTTGAGACCAGCCTGGGCAATATGGTGAGACACTGTCTCTACTAAAAATACAAAAAAAAATTAGCTGGGCATGGTGGTGCATGCCTGTGTTCCCAGTTACTCAGGAGGCTAAGGTGGGAAGATCACTTGAGCCTGGGGGGCAGAAGTTGCAGTGAGCTGAGATCGAACCACTGCACTCCAGCCTGGGAGAGAGAGCAAGATCCTGTCTCAAAGAAAACAAATGGCTGGGCCCAGTGGCTCATACCTGTAATCCCAGCACTTTGGGAGGCCAAGGTGGGCGGATCACCTGAGGTCAGGAGTTTGAGACCAGCCTGGACAACATGATAAAACCCCGCCTCTACTAAAAATGCTACTAAATCTCTACCATAAATAAAGAAAAATGTTTTCTTTTTCTTTTTTTTTTTCTTTTTGAGATGGAGTCTTGCTCTGTCACCCAGGCTGGAGTGCAGTGGCACCATCTTGGCTCACTGCAACCTCTGCCTCCCAGGTTCAAGCAATTATCCTACCTCAGCCTCCTGAGTAGCTGGGATTACAGTCATGCGCCACCATGCCAGACTAATTTTTGGTATTTTTAGTAGAGACGGAGTTTCTCCGTATTGGTCAGGCTGGTCTCGAACTCGCGACCTCAGGTGATCTGCCGGCCTCGGCCTTCCAAAGTGCTGGGATTACAGGCGTGAGCCCCTGCGCCCAGCCCCAAGAAGGTGCTTTTTTCATTTTTTTCTTTTTTTTTTTTGAGATGGAGTTTTGCTTTTATCATCCAGGCTGGAGTACAGTGGCACGATCTCGGCTCACGGCAACCTCTGCCTCCCGGGTTCAAGCGATTCTTCTGTCTCAGCCTCCTGAGTAGCTGGGATTACAAGCGTCCGCCACCACGCCCAGCTAATTTTTGTATTTTTAGTAGAGATGGGGTTTCACCATGTTGGCTAGGCTGGTCTCAAACTCCTGACTTCAGGTGATCCACCTACCTCGGCCTCCCAAAGTGCTGGGATTACAGGTGTGAGCCACCTCGCTCCGCCAAAGGTGCTTTTTGCTAATCTGAACTCGGGCATGTAAAGTGGGAATATGCTCTGTTTGAAGCAGGAGGGAGTAAAGTTACCTAATCTAAGAACTTCCTTGTTATATAAGGTTATGCAGCCTAGGCAACGTAGCCAGATGCCCCATTTCTACAAAAAAAAAAAAAAGTAAAAATTAGCTGGGTGGGTCGGGCGCGATGGCTCACAACTGCAATCCCAGCACTTTGGGAGGCCAAGGCAGGTGGATCACGAAGTCAGGAGTTCGAGACCAGCCTGACCAACATGATGAAACCCTGTCTTTACTAAAAATACAAAAGTTTGCCAGGTGTGGTGTCATGTGCCTGTAATCCCAGCTACTCAGGAGGCTGAGGCAGGATAATTGCTTGAACCTGGGAGGCGAAGGTTGCAGTGAGCCGAGATCACACCACTGCACTCTAGCCTGGGTGACAGAGCAGTGAGACTCCTGGAAAAAAAAAAATTTAGCTGGGTGTGGTGGCATGAGTCTGTCGTTCCAGCTACTTGGGAGGCTGAGGTGGGAGGATCACTTGAGCTCAGGGGGTCGAGGTCACAGCAAGCACTGATGGCTTCACTGCACTCCAGCCTGGGTGACAGAATGAGACCCTGTCTCAAAAATAATAATAAAATTTAAAAACAGGCCAGGAGTGGTGGCTCACGCTTGTAATCCCAGCACTTTGGGAGGCTGAGAATGGCGGCTCACCTAAGGTCAGGAATTCGAGACCAGCCTGGCTAACATGGTGAAACCCCATCTGTACTAAAATTACAAAAATTAACTGGGCATAGTGGTGAGTGCCTGTAATCCCAGCTACTTGGGAGGCTGAGGCAGGAGAATCGCTTGAACCTGGGAGGTGGAGGTTGCAGTGAGCCGAGACTGTGCCACTGAACTCCAGCCTGGGCGACAAGAGTGAAACTCCGTCTGAAAATAAAAATAAAAATTAAATTAAAATAAAATAAAATAAAAAGGTTGAGCGGGTGTCTTATGCCTATAATCCCAGCACTTTGGGAGGCCGAGGCAGGCGGATCACGAGGTCAGGAGATCAAGACCATCCTGACTAACACAGTGTAACCCCGTCTCTACTAAAAATACAAAAAATTAGCTGGGCGTCGTGGTACGCACCTGTAGTCCCAGCTACTCCGGAGGCTGAAGCAAGAGAATCGCTTGAACCCAGGAGGCGGAGGTTACAGTCAGCGGAGATTGCGCCATTGCACTCCAGCCTGGTCGACAGAGCGAGACTCAGTCTCAAAAATAAATAAATAAAGTGATGCACTGGAGCAGGTGACCAATGGGGCAGTGAGGCAATGGGGACAATATGAACACAGGCCTGGAGAGAAGTTTCTGAAAGGCTTGGATGCTGGGGTGTGAGGGGGTTCTGCGTGGGTGGGTCCCTGCATTGAATGAGCCGCCGTGCACACCAAGGTAACCATAGACTTGCCTGCCTTTTTCAAGCAGCTGGTTCTTCTCGCAGGGCCCCACCCACCAGCTCCACTCCTGACTCTTCTTCTCCACTCCCACTCTGGCCTCTGACCCATGCAGCCTGGGCCTGAGATGGTCCCTCCCCAAGCTCCTGGTTTCACCTCTGAAACTCCAAGGCTCCACATTGCTGAGATTTTACTATGGCTCCCAGCTGGGTCCCACCTTTGATCTGGCTTCAAAAAATAAAAAGCAGTACCAGGAGAGTAATTTTCCCGACCTGCTCGGGAGGAAGGCAGGCTGGAGGCAGGTCCTGACCAGCCCGGCCCACTCCTGGAGCCTGGAGTCAGAAGCTAGTGGCAGAGGGGGCAGGGGACAGGGGAGCAAAGCCACCTTTCCTCATTAACTTCCTCCCCTTCCTTTCTGGGGCACTGACCTGTCTCTTCCTTCCCTTCCCAGCCTGCCAATCAGCAGGGAAAAGGATGATACAGCTGCTTCCCCCACACCCCTCCTGAGGCTCTCCCCACTCAACCTCTTGCCTCTTGGGCAGCAGTGCCTCAGTCCTCTCTCCACACTGTTCCCCTGGCCTGTCCCTGGGGGGTGGGGACCGAGCACTCAGGGTGGGGCCTGGTAAGGGACAAGTCTGTGCCCCCTGGCTGAGCACCTGAGACATTACTCAGTTGGCTGTCTCAGCGCCAGCTCTGGTCTTGAGGGACTGGACTGAGGGGTGGGAAGGGGAAGGTCCAGCTTTTTATGGGCCTTCCTGCCCACCCCTCTCCGTGGTGCTGCAAGCCCTGGCCCAGGATTTCCGTCTTTCAGCAGCAGCACCTGCCCCTCCCAGTTCAAAGGCTCTGGCTCCTCACCTGTTCTCAGGGTGCTTGCCTGGTCCTTTTAAGTGGTTAGCAATGCACCCCACCCCCACCCTGCTGAGGGTCTGGGCTTCTCCGTGCAGGTGGGGGACCAAGGTGATGGGGCACAGAGTCCAGAAGCGGCAGAAACACCCTTCAACCAGATGAGCTGTCCCCAGTAGGCACAGGGCTACCGCCCTTCCTTTCGGTGGGTAGGGAAGGAGCTGGGGTCTGGCCCTAGAGAAAACTGGCAGCTGGGTTTGGTGGAGCAAGGGCAGAGGGCATGGGGCTGGGGCCGGGCACTTTCCATTTGAGAAATTCCTGTCTCAGCTTTTTAGCTCATTGACTGAGATGAGAGATGGCTGCTAAGCACAAGGGACGTTCTGTTTTTCCGTCTTTATTTTCCTATCCTTGTACCCCGTCAGGTAAGACTCCTACCCACATGCACATTGTGAAAGCATTCCCTAAATATTGGAGCTGGCAGAACCCACTCACTGCCCCCTTCCAGGCCCCTGGGCTTGTCAGGGGTTCTGGCCACTGCTGTGCATTCCTTGTCTGGGCAAAGGAACAGTGAAAGCCCGAGCCCCACTTTCTCCAGGGGGAGGCCCCTTCTGGAAGTTGCCCCACCTCCACTCTCCCCTCGCCTTGCCCTAGGCACCTCTCCCTGACCTGGGGGCAGAGAGGAGAGCTCGGGGAGGGGGAGGAAGTTGGGAGCCACCTCGTCTCCAGGTGGGGCGGGGTCCCAGCAGCGATAACCATCTTCTTGGCAGCTCCAACCTGTTCTATTGGTATTTTTTTTTTTCCTAGAGGAGAAAGGTGAAGGCCTTGGCGGGGAGTTATTCTGGCTCTGAAGTGTCCTTGCAGCTCCCCAGGCCCCTGCAGGCCTTGTGCAAGAGCTGTAAATCTCTCACCACCCACAGGCCTGGGGGGGCCTGCCGCTGGGACTTTCATGTCCGGAGATTTTATGCCTTTGCTCCTCTGTTGGGCTCCATAGCTCCTGCCTGGGGCCTCTCCCTAGCCTGTAAAAATCCAGTCCCATAAATCTCTGCTGCCCCCCAGGAGCCAAGCAGAGTTCTTCCCACTCCAACTCCCACTCATAAGCATCTCTCCCCTCAAGAGACCACAGTGAAGTGGCAAGGTCGAAGCAAAAGGTTTCCAAGAAGGGCAGCAGCTAAATGGGGGTCTTCCTGGGACCTCCTCCGGCATCAGTCTCTGCTTGGGTGGGATTGGACTCTGTAACTGAATGGTCTGTTTCCAGCTTCAATGCTGGAGGGGCTTCTGGGGGTCTCTGGTGGGGAGGCCCTTGGCCTCCACTGCCTATTAGTATCCACCTGAGCCTCCCGAGACAGGTGGCTGTCTGTCTGCCAAGCCCCCAGGTGCATTGGAGGTGGCAGGCAGCCCAGTGACTATGCTGCTTTCCTGGATCAAAATGGGAAACCCAAGGAAAGGGAAAGGCATAACAGTGGCTGAGGCCTGGAGGCTCATGGATGGACTGCACGGTCCAGTGGATTCTGGGGTAAAACACAGTGCTTAACTTCTTAGTCTGATGGGGGAGACTGTGCACTCGTCCAGGACCTGGGCATTGAGAAAGGGGCCAGATTGCCGGCACTGGGTAGGACTCAGGGCAGGGATGATACTGTGCCTGGGAACGTCCCATTAGAGAAGAGGAGCACCAGACTGGCTTGGGAAGGAGGAAGAGGCGAGAGCTGCAAAGGGAGCAGGGTGTCCCCAGCAGAAAGAACAGTTTGTTCACAGGTTCCTAGGAGAGAGGATGTGACCTGGGTGGGGGGACGCCAGCATGTTTGCCAGGAAGGTGAGGAGCCTGGCTCCACCCTTCCTGGAAAGACATGAGAAGGAGAGAGTGGCCTTCATGCTGAAGGTGGGGAGAGGTAAGGTGGGCGGTGGGAGGGAGAGCTCTATGGTGGAAGGGCTTGAGTGGGATGCAGCTGCTCAGGAGAGAACCCAGGCCAAACTCTCACTGACCCTCCTGGCCTACTGGGATCTCACTGCCAGATGAGCAGACATTGGGAAGCCCAGGATCTCTGTTCAAAAGTCATCTCACTCACCCACCCGCATCCCCGCCATGTCCAGATTCTGACTTGCATCCCATCTCCCCATGCCCACTGCCAGGCTGAGCTACTGCTCATGGCTACCATTTATTGAGTACCTACTGCATGCCAGGCACTGCTCCAAGCTCTTTACATGCGTTGACTCATTCAAGCCCATTTTCCCTATGAGATAGGTCCTATAATCAGCCCCACTTTGCAGATGAGAAAACTGAGGCATAGTGAGCTTAAGTAACTTGCTCAAGATCACACCACTGGCTTCACAGTCAGGATTCCAGCCAGGCACCTGGCTCTAGAGCCCATGTCTCCACCTCTGCCCTCTGCTACAGAAGAGGCTTCACCACCAAGGCCCGGGGAAAGGGTGTCCTCTGTGCCTCCTCCCAACTCCTTCAGAGGCCAGTGGGGTTGGCCCTGGACATTTGGAGAGAAGCCTGCCAGTTATCCTCTTTCCACAGGGAGGGGGCAGTTGTAGCCTAACGTTCTGGTGCTTTCTAGGGGTCCTCTGCCTTTTGGGGTATGCTCACCTCAAAGGCAGCATCAGGGACAAGCTCCTGATTCCCACGGGGTGCCCTGCTTCCGCTAGTGCCCAGCAACCATGGGGAAACTGGGCAATAGCAAAAGTGAAACTGACTCAGCCGGTTTCCCACCCCTGCCAAGGGAAATGGGGAGCAGCCTCGGCTGGACAACAACCAATTAGGCACTTTTTATTGCCCACGCTGTCATAATCCTCAGAGCTTGGCTACGATGAAGGAGAGGAAATAGGATAGGATGGAATTCCAAGATGCCTTTAGAGTTCATCCCAGCCATTCCCCTGCTTCTAGATGGGAAAGTTCAAATACCATCCACAAGAACTTTCCTCCAAGTGAGGCCCTTAGCCCTGGAAGTCAATAGGCCTTTGCATCTATTGCATCTAACAAGAATCATTCAACCTCATAGAGGGGTTTTCTCCTGTCCTTTGCTCCAGCGACTCAGGGAAGACGAATCTTATTTGTGTTTTTTCCCAGGACACGGTGGGTGGGGAGCTAGGCTCATGCAGTCGTGAAGACCTCTGGTACCACCTGGATGGTGGCATTAGGGATCAGGGAACTACTGATTTTTCAAGTGCAATCTGACTCCTCTCTCAGACTAGCAATTCCCAGAGGACAGAGGTCTTGTCTCCTCCCTCAGACTGAAAGCTCCTGGAGAAACTGCCTTCCCTCACTTCCCTCTCTTGTCCCCTGCCCCTTCTCTCAGTTGCCCAGGGCAGAGCTTTGTCCACAGAGGGCCACTCCTGCTGTGCATAGAACCTTGACTGTGTCGGTGACTCAGAGGGGGTTACAATCTGATTGGGAAGTGCTACCGTGGTCTGTCGGTGCCTCCATTTCCTCTTGTGTAGAATGGAGTTGTAATGAAGATTAATTTTTTTTTTTTTTTGAGACGGAGTCTCGCCCTGTTGCCCAGGCTGAAGTGCAGTGGTGCGATCTCGGCTCACTGCAAGCTCCACCTCCCGGGTTCACGCCATTCTCCTGCCTCAGCCTCCCGAGTAGCTGGGACTACAGGCGCCCGCCACCACGCCCGGCTAATTTTTTGTATTTTTAGTAGAGACTGGGTTTCACCATGATAGCCAGGATGGTCTTGATCTCCTGACCTCGTGATTCGCCTGCCTCAGCCTCCCAAAGTGCTGGGATTACAGGTGTGAGCCACCACGCCCAGCCATGAAGATTAAATTTTTAAAAAGCATGTGCCTGGCTCGTGGTAAGGGCTCAGTAAATGAGAGCTTTTATTGCCTTCAGGACAGCTGGCGCCCCTCCTAGCTTTCTGCTTATCAGAAATCAGGATGGGGAGATCCAGCAGCCTAAGCTTAGAAAGGTAGCCTTCAAAATGAGAATCACAGAAGCCAGCCAGCCTAGCAGCCCTATGCGGGTCTCGGGCTGAGACCCTGGTGGACAAGTGAAGTCCATTATCTCCAGGAGGTAGCAAGGAGATCAGTAGTCAGCATGGGCAACCTCGGAGATCTTCAGCAGACAGGGTGGCAACGAAGATGGATTTCAAGTTAGGACCCAACTGCCAAGGCAGGGCAGAGCAGACAAGGGAGAGTACATTTCGTTGCTTCATAACACCTGGGAGGGGTATGGTGGTTCCTTTTCCAGGGTGCTGGTGGTCTTAAACCTAAAAGAGATGTTCATCAGCATGCTGGGGGGTTGTGGCAGAGGCTGGGGGAGGGATGCAGTGACTTTTCCAAGATCACGGATTCCATAATCACCTGAAAGAAGGGGAAGGGACAGAGAGAGGTGAAAAACACACCCAGGCTGAGCAAACATCCACCTTCCCTGTCTTTTTTTTTTTTTTTTCTTTTTCTGAGGCTGAGTTTCACTCAGTCGCCCAGGCTGGAGTGCAGTGGCATGATCTCAGCTCACTGCAATCTCCACCTCCTGGGTTCAAGCAATTTTCTTGCCTCAGCCTCCCAAGCAGCTGGGATTACAGGCGCACGCCACTATGCTGGCTAATTTTTTGTGTTTTTACTAGAGACGGGGTTTCACCATGTTGACCAGGCTGGTCTCGAACTCCTGACCTCATGTGATCCGTCCGCCTCGGCCTCCCAAAGTGCTGGGATTACAGATGTGAGCCAACGCACCCGGCTACACCTTCCCTGTCATGGGCAGACATACACCCCTGGGTTCAGAGTGTGTTCGTGCATGGATGGATTCAGGGCACAGAAGGGGACCTAGAGGTTGGCAGCTGCTGTGAGGAAGAGGAGACATTGTCTCCCCAGTTGGTTCTGTCCTGAGTAAGCACCCTGGATGAGGCTGAGCAGGTGACACCTGGCATGGAGCCAGGCCCTCAGGCGAGCAGGGTGGGCAAGTGGGAGGAGGGGAAGTGCAACAGGACTTTATAAGAGATGAGGCGGACCCCTGCATCCTTCTGCCTTGGGCCTCCAAGGAAGGAGCAAGTGCGAATGGGGAGGTGGGGCAGGAGGAGGGATTCTGAAGCTCTCTGGAAAATCCTGAGTGTAGGGGAGAATAACTCACTCTTCTTTTTCTCAGCATGGACTTAATAAGTCATGTCCCAGCCTGGGCAACATAGCAAGACCCTGTCTCTACAAAAAAAATAAATATAAAAATTATCTGGTGTGGTGGCGCGTGCTTCTAGTCCTAGCTACTCAGAAGACTGAGGCTGGAGGATCGCTTGAGCCCAGGAGTTTGAGGATGCAGTGAGCTATGGTCATACCACCGCACTCCAGCCTGAGCAACAGAGTGAGATCCCAACTCAATAAATAAATAAATAAAATAAAATCATGTTCACTGCTAAATATATACAATTGTAATTGGCCAACTAAACAAAAAATAAGCTGGGTGCAGTGGCTCACGCCTCTAATCCTGGCACTTTAGGAGGCTGAGGTGGGAGGATCACTTGAACTCAGGAGTTTAAGACCAGCCTGGGCAACACAGGATGACCCCATCTTTACATTTTTTTTTTTTTTAATTAGCTGGATGTGGTGGTGTGCGCTTGTAGTACCAGCTACTTGGATGGCTGAGATGGGAGGATTGTTTGAGCCCTGGAGGTTGAGGCTGCAGTGAGCTGGGATCACACCACTGCACTCCAGCCTGGGTGACAGAGAGAGACCCTGTCTCAAAAACAAAAAAAAACAAAAAAAAACAAAAAGAATGGGAATTCTTTCCCTTATGCTTCCATGTTTCCCTGACTTCCTTTGGGTGATCTGTCTACTTGTGAAAATCTTTCCTGAGCGGAAAGGTGGATGGACCTCCCCTCTGCCACCTCCTCCCCTGCCAGCAGTCAGCTTCCTGTGCTCAGTGCAGGGAGCAGATCTAGAGGAGACCCTGTCAGGGAGCAGTGGTTAGATAGGGGAGGCGTAGTTCTTGACCACAGAGATGTCTCAGCCTGAGTGGGAAGACAGAATACATCCCTGATTCATCAGCAGAGACCAGAAACAAGGGCAGACAGCAACTGAATGGAATTATTGAGGTAGTGCTGGGAGAATGGGAAGAAGATACAGGGAAGGGGCTGAGTGGAGTTATTGGGGGAAAGCTTTCTAGAGGAGAATCTGAAATTGATTTGGCAGGGGATTGGGGGAGAGGCTAGTAAATGCCATTTACCCCCAAACTATGCCCATTCACCGGAGGAAGAAACCACCTAGGACTTCACTGTAAATCTGAGCCAGGATTGCAAATCACCCCCTTTTCCCCAGGCTCGGGTTGTGTGCTCAGATAAGGTGCCAACAATGGGGCGGGGCCATGGGAGGGGGAAACATGGGCTCCCTGGCCCATGGATGACCCAAAGTCGCTTAAATGAAAAAGAGAGGGGCGAGTTGAGCAGGTCCCAGTCTGGGTCTGGCCACTGTGAGTCAGGAAGCCGGGCAGTCTGATCCCATGAGCCAAATCCCTGAATCTCTGGGGCTTTAAAGGCTCTGAGTGTCCGGCCTCAAAGCCACCGACAGGTATGGATCTGCCCCCTCCCTGACCCCCTCTGCTTTCTGCCCTTTTGGTGCTCTCTGACCTCTGACCCTGGGGCCCAAGGAACCCATTCTGTCTGTAAGGCTGAGTTCAGTTCTGTCCCCATGCAGAGATTTGGGGTAGACCCAGGTAAAGATGGCAGAATGAAGGGGTGCTGGCAGACAGACACAGGGCAGGGAGAGGGAACTGAAGGAATCAGGGAAGTCAGAGAGCCCATGTTTCCCAGCTGATGGGAGGCGGGGCAATTCCTGGTGGCCCCTCCAGCAGGCACAGTGAAATTTAACCCTTCATTGGAGGGTGGCAGGAGGAGGTTTGTGAAAGTGTGGATGGGTAAGGAGACGGTGGAGGTGGAGAAAATGGAGCAATTAAGATGGGTCCCCAAAGACCCCTTTATTTGAGTGCTAATTGCTGTTAGAGGAAGTAAATTTGAAGGAAGTATCAGGAGGCAGCACCCTTCAGCTCTGGGTCTGACCCCTTAGGGACATCATGGGGTCCCCCATCAATCCCTGCTCTGGATAGACCCAAGTCGGGGCAGCCCAGGGTGTCTCTTCAGGGACTTCAAAGGCCTTGACTTAAGAAGTCTTCTCAAGGGGAAGGACACCCTGTTTTGTTGGGGGAGAGAGAGAGAGGGTGTCTATTGAGCCTCTGGACACTCTCCTCTAGCCCATGGGAACTGGCACTGCCTGACCACCTAGGGGAGGCTTGGAGCCTGGCTGAGCCCCAGTCTTAGGAGGGAGGGAAGAGGGTGGCGAGGGAGTGGGATGTCTCTTCCGCCTGGTAGATTAGTGACTCTGAGACAGGAGAGGGCCTGTCACCGGGCCCATAAATAAAGCAGCCGAGTCTCTCCCTCCATCTGTGTTTATCTGTCTGGCCTTGAGTTTCCGGGAGAGGAGATGTCTCGGCACCCCCAGCATCAAACACCAAGCGCTGGAGGGGAGGAGGGGCAGTCTCCCTCCCTTCGCCTTCCCTCTCAACCTCTATTCCTGCTTCCTCAAATCTCATCCTCTGAGGCCCTCCCTCTTCAGCCTAGACACTGACTCCAGGAAGCCCTCTGAGACCAGGGGGTCGGGGCTACAGAGTGGGGAGTGTGGTCTGGGGTCTCTGCCACCTTTTCCCATTAGTGCCCACCCTTTGTAGACTGAGGAGAAGGTGCCTTGGGGCCCAGAGAGAAATGAAAGGTGGGAATCAACAGGGTGCTGGGAGGCCTCTGTGGAAGACCCTCTGATCCCAGGGAAGGGTCCAGGGAAGCCCCCAAGTGATGGTGAAGGGCCAGGGGGGACCTGCAGGCAGAGAGAGCCTGGTGGATCCCCAGCCCCTCTCAGGGCATGGCAGGCCATGAGGAGAAGACCCTGCCTGTCACCTCCTATCCTGGCTAACTCTTCTTGACAACACCCTCCCTCCCTCCCTCTTTCTACCTCCGTGGATCCCTGAAACTCCAGGCTGTTCTTAGAACCCAGGACCTGCCACCAGGGCTTTTCAAAGTGTGGTCACCAGACCACCTACAGCTACATCACTGGGAAGGGGAAGGGGAAATGCTTGTTTCTTTTTTTTTTTTTTTGTTTTGAGACAGAGTCTTGCTCTGTAACCCAGGCTGGAGTGCAGTGGCACGATCTTGGCTCACTGCAAGCTCCGCCTCCTGGGTTCATGCCATTCTCCTGCCTCAGCCTCCCAAGTAGCTGGGACTACAGGTGCCCGCCACCACGCCTGGCTAATTTTTTGTATTTTTAGTAGAGATGGGGTTTCACCGTGTTAGCCGGGATGGTCTCAATCTCCTGACCTCGTGATCCGCCTGCCTTCGGCCTCCCAAAGTGCTGGGATTACAGGCATGATCCACCGCGCCCAGCCGGGGAAATGCTTGTTTCAGTGCAGATTCCTGGGCCCCCATAGACTCACTGGATCAACAGAGGCTTGAGGACTTGGGTTTTTGTTTTCTTTTCTTTTTTTTTTTTTTTTTTTGAGACAGAATTTCACTCTTGTTGCTTAGGCTGGAGTGCAATGGTGCGATCTCGGCTCACTGCAACCTCCACTTCCTGGGTTCAGGCAATTCTCCTGCCTCAGCTTCCCAAATAGTTAGGATTACAGGCATGTGCCACCACACCTGGCTAATTTTTGTATTTTTAGTAGAGACGGGGTTTCGCCATGTTGACGAGGCTGGTCTCAAACTACTGACCTCAGGTGATCTGCCCACCTCGGCCACCCAAAGTGCTGGGATTACAGGCGTGAGCCACCGCGCCCAGCTGAGGACTTGGGTTTTAATGGTCATCCATGGTAATGCGGGTGTAATTCAAGTTTGAGAAACACCTATTTTCCTACATGAAGCCAGCCACTCTTGTTCACCCCATCCCCACTGCTGAGCTCGGGGCCCAGGACATAGTAAGTGTTCAATAAACATCCATTGATTGAATGCATTTCTAGACAGTGTCTATTCCTTTTTTCACTCCAGGTCTTCTTCTCTTCTTCAACCACCTCGAATCTACCAGAGGATCCCAAGTCCCTGTTTTCTGCTAAGGTGATAATTCCAGAATATGTCAGCCAGACCCACAGTGACACATGTCTTTAAACAGAACATGGTACTCACAGAAACACTCTAATGGTAGGGTTTTTTGGCAACAGGGCAGGTTAGTGGGGAGCTCACTGTGACAGGGGAGGCTCCTCAGTTCTTCTCAGAGTCCACAGGAACCACCTGCTTCACTCACCCTCAGGGAATGATGGTGGGGTGCAGGGCTCCTGTGCTGAGGGCAAGGAGTGTCAGGACCCAGGGAAGGGGAAGATCAGAGAGAAGGAAAAAGATCGAAAGTGTGTGAAAGAAGAGCCACAGTTAAAGGAGGTCTAAGGGCAAAAGGAGAGCACTGTTACACAACTCAGGTCAGTGGCCCTGGAAAGTTTTCAGAGAATCAGGCATCCCAGCCAGGAATGCACAAGCAAGGAATGCACTTCTCTCCACCCTCGGTTTCCCTGAATGTCCATCTCAGGAAAAAGAGGTTCTTCCAGACGTTGATTCCTCTCCTGGCATCAGGGCCATCCAGCGTTGCTGCTTCATTGCCTCTGGTTTGGATTGCATTTGCATTAATTTGCTTGGGCTGGACCAACAAGTATATGCAAATGGATATGAAGTGGTGGGTTCTCAGGGCAGGGAGTCTCCCTGAGGTGAAGATGGAGACCTGGAGGAGGGAGGCACCGGGAGTTGCTGGCGCTAGAGGGGGCCCCCCAGGCTTGCTTTGATAGCCTCTCTGGCTCAGAGGGGTGAGGGCAGCCTACGATGTTAACAGCCCTGGCACTGCAAGCCCCAGGAGGCCTTGGGGGGGACTGCGGAACAAAGGACTCAGGCATTCTGAGGGTGGCAAGGGCAGCTCTGATGGTATAGGGCAGATGAGCAGGGTTCTCAGGCCCCCCCGGGGAAGCAGGGAGCCTGGGAGCCAGCCCCAGGAATGCAAGGAGATGGCAGATGGCAAATACTTGCCCTGAGGCCCTGGAGAGGGATGAGGGTGGTAAGAAGCTGGGAGAAGAGGAGGAGGAGGCAGATGCCAGGCCAGAGTTTCTGAGAAGAGAAGAAGCCGGG
The DNA here is from genome assembly GCF_000001405.40 of Homo sapiens. Classification (NCBI taxonomy): domain Eukaryota; kingdom Metazoa; phylum Chordata; class Mammalia; order Primates; family Hominidae; genus Homo; species Homo sapiens. The sequence goes on along the minus strand of NC_000017.11, from coordinate 47,875,078 downwards.
TGGGAGAGGGGAAATGACAAAGCTGCCCCCCTGGTGGTGGCAGGGGCCCGGAAAAGGGGGCTGAGGGGGAGCTGAGAAAGCAGTCAGTGAAGACTTGGGAGAGGCAGCTGTCTAGGCCCCTCTCCCCTGTGGAATGGCTCCTGCTGACCACAGGTTTGGGCAGGTGGAGGGGGCAGAGTCCTCAACTTTAGGGAAAAGTATTAATGGTAGACACACAGTCCCACCCTAATGGGGGCTCTCTGGCCTCAGAGAGCTACAATATACTGGAAAAGATGCAGCCTGTGTTCTTGCGAAGCCCCCAGTCTAACGTAAGAGATAGTCTCTGTCTCCATCCTGGGTGCAGGTGGGGGCACAATGAGGATCCCACATGCACTCTCCAAATTACTTAGGAGCTCTCCCAGCCCATATCAGCAAGGGCAAACGTACAGGACCAGTGAGCCCTTCCTAGATGGAGAGAACCCCAACATCAGCAGCAACCAGAGGTCAGCAGGGCTAACTCAGTGAGGCCTCCTGAAGGGAATTGTTTTTTCTTCTTTTAGAAAGGAGGTCTTGCTCTGTTGTCCAGGCTAGACTCGAACTCCTGGGCTCAAGCAGTCCTTCTACCTCAGCCTCCCAAATACCTGGAATTACAGGCATGTACCCCCTGCCTGGCTCCTAAAGTGAATTTTGAGGAAGATTTTGAAAATGAGGCTGGGTGTGGTGGCTTACATCTGTAATCCCAGCACTTTGAGAGGCCAAGGCAGGAGGATCACTTGAGCCCAGGAATTCGAGACCAGCCTGGGCAATATAATGAAACCCAGCCTCTACAGAAAAAAATTTTTAAAATTAGCCAGGTGTGGTGGTGCACGCCTGTACTCCTAGCTACTCAGGAGGGTGAGGTGGGAGGATTACTTGAGCCAGGGAGGTTGAGGCTGCAGTGAGTTATGATTGCTCCACTGCACTCCAGCCTGGGTGACAGAGTGAGACTGTCTCAAAATAACAAAAAAGAAGAAGAAGGAGGAGGGAAGGAGGAGGGAGGAAGGAGAAGAAGAAGAAGAGGAAGAGGAAGGAGGAGGGAAGAAGGAGGGAGGAAGGAGAAGAAAAAGAGGAAGAGGAAGAAGAAGAAAGAGAGGAAAGGAGGAGGGAAGAGGGGAGAAGGGAGAAGAGAAGGAAGAAGAAGAAGGAAGAGTAGGAGGCGGAGGAGGAAGAAGAAGAGGAGGGGGAGGAGGAAGAAGAAGAGGAGGAGGAGGAGGAAAGCAAGAAGGAAGGAAGGGGGGAGGGAGGGAGAGAGAGAAGAGAAGAAAAGAGAAAAGAAAAGGGGAGGCCAATGGCTGGGGTTCATCCTATGTTGGCCTGAGGCAGAGAGTGGTGAGAGCTGGGGAGGATGACAAGCAGAGCATTTGGCTCAAGGACCCTTGGCAGCAATGCGGGATGGCCCTGACGCAGGGAGGGGCTCAACTCGGGAAGAGCCTTTTTTCCCAGAGATAGCCACTTGATATTCAGAGAAATTGAGGCTTGGAGAAGATAAGTAACTCTCTCAAGATTACCCAGCAAGTTAGAGGCAAAGCTGAGACCAGAGATCAGATTTTAGGACTCCCAGTTCTGTGCTCTTTCCCCTCCCCCAGCTGGCATGCTGTTAACCTAGGGCTGTTGTCAGAAGCTTCCAGGAGGCCTGTCATTCTCCAGGTGGGCTGTTAGGGCAGGGGAAAGTACCTTAATCTCTTAAGGCCTCTTTTTCCCCATCTGTACTTTGGGCTCTTTCATCTGAAGAGGGGAAAGTCCTTTGCAGATGGGTCCCAGGTGAATCTAAGGTATTGTAGGACTTAGTTTTCCTGTAGGGATGGGTGGGTGGAAAGGGAGAAGGAGGCAAGCAGAGGCTGGGGGTCCTCCAGCTGATCAGGCCTGGCCTTCTTCCAAATATGCTTGATTTGACGATTTTTGAAGGGGAGATAAAAGAAGATGTATTTGCATTTGGTTTGCATAGCAATTGTGTGAATTCCAGGTCTAGGCCAGAGCTCTGGAATCTCCCTGGCTCCTGCTCCCTCCTCTGTGGTTTCCCCACCTGCCTGAGAGCCTCCCGGTTGCCAGTTGTGTGGCCACAGCTGGAGAAGGGGGGTTCAGATGTTGGCCACTGGCTTCTCCAGGACCCAAAAAGCCCCTTCCGCCCTCTCCAGCCCCGGTCCCAGGACATTCTCGCTTCCCTGTGGGGTCCCCAGGAGGTCTCCTGGATGCCTTGTGGGAGGCTCCGGGCTGGCTGAGGGCCGGCTCTAATCAGGCTGGGGCCTCCTACGGCTCTGCCTTCCCAAACAGGGACCTCCTCTAAGGGTAACCCAGCGGGAGTCCCTCGGGGCCCTGCCCTTGCCGCCGGGGGGCTGGTGAGAGGGGTCTCTGCACCCCACCCTCCGCGTCCTCAACGGAGGCTGGGTGCTCAGCTGCAGTGGGCCGGCAAAGGGCTGTCCCCTCCCACTGGAGCCAAATAATTGCCTCTTGCTTTGTTGTGTGGTGTCTGGGGCCCGGGGCCTCTCATTTGTGGGGACGTGCTGTGGCGAGAGCCTCCCTGCTAATTACCCTCCTCCCCATCGCCGCCGCCGCCGCCGCCACTGAGCCTCCTGCGTCCGCTGGGCCTTACTCACCCCCGCCCGGCCTGTAGCTCCCCCCACGGCCCAGACGCAGGGAACTCCCCTCCCGGGTCCCAAACTGTCCTTTCCCGGCAAACAACCTCGCTGGCTTCCCCCAACACGCCTGCAAGCCGGCTCCGGGAGGAGCAGACCCTGCCGGGGTTTGTCTCGGGGAGAGAGACCTGAAAGGATATTTCTGGTTTGGATACATCCCCAACCCGGACCTCTGCCCGAGAACCGATCTGGGATTGGGCTCTGGGCACGCGCCTGCATTGTGCAACATCTGGACAGGGGTTGCACCTGTTGGGACTTGTTCCCAGTTGAGGTTGGAACTACCTGCGACCCTGATACCTGGGAGAAAACACCCCATGATAGCTTCTCTTTTTTTCTTCCCCTTTTCCTATTTTTCAACCACTTGTTTACCTATTTGCTGTAAAGGAAATGAAAGAGAGGGAGACAGAGAAATAGATTGGGCCTGAGACAAACCCACACCCCAACGAATCAAACCTAGAGAGGGGATCCCAAGAAAGAGCTACTCTTCCAGCAAAGAAACAGACCAGAGGCCGGGCGCGGTGGCTGACGCCTGTAATCCCAGCACTTTGGGAGGCCAAGGCAGGTGGATTGCCTGAGCTCAGGGGTTCAAAACCAGCCTGGGCAACATGGTGAAACCCCGTCTCTACTAAAAATACAAAAAAATTAGTCAGGCATGGTGGCAGGCACCTGTAGTCCCAGCTACTCGGGAGGCCGAGGCAGGAGAATCGCTTGAATCCGGGAGGCAGAGGTTGTGGTGAGCCAAGATCACGCCACTGCACTCCAGCCTGGGTGACAGAGCAAAACTCTGTTTCAAAAAAAAAAAAAAAGAAAGAAACAGAAACAGAGACCAGATGGGGATACAGAGGCAGGAACACATGCTATGCAGAGAGTTGGAGGCACAGAGACAAAAAGAGAAATGGAGAGGTTTTCACTTATCTTAAGTGGAGACGAAAGAAGACCTAGAACAAACAATTATAATCACAGAAAGCAAACTTCTCATTCTTATTAAATCTTGAGTAATTCTTAAGAAAATGGGCCAGTGAGGTTGAATGAAGACTGGACTTGGAGGGAGAAGTGGGGACAGATAGTAAGAGGTATTGGTATGAGCCAAGACTCTTAAGTTATGAACAGACAGTCACATATCACAATGGTTTGCACACAGTAGGTGCTCAATAAATGATGACAGATGCAGGCAGATAGCTGACTCCTCTCTTCTAGGGCCAGAGCTGAAAGCTTAAATGATAGTAATAGGGATATAGGATGGGCTTCTGGAGGAACTTTCCAAGTGTGGGCACCATTCATTCATCCAGTAAACATTTATGGAATGCCTACTGTGTGCCAGACACTGTTCTGGGTGCTTATGATACAATTAGTGAACAAAACAAAAATCCCTGGAATACTCGATCGAGGGTTATGAACTCCACCTGCTAGAAGGAGGGTCAGAAGAGAAGAATCCCTCTTCTCAGCACATTTTAGGGGAGCTAATTAGGGAGGATGAGTTTGGGGGCAGGGAGTATGAATTTTCCAGAAAACTAGGGAAGGTGAACCCCAGACTCTAGGTTATAGAGCCCATCAAACCAGTGGAGAGAAAGTTGCCAGTGGGACATCACTGAGTTCAGCGCAGGAGGAGGTGGATGTTCCTGAAGTCACACAAAACCGGCAGAGTTTCATTCTCTGGCGTGGCTGGGGGTTCTGGGGTGCCAATTAGGAAACCCGGATGTTTAGGATCCCTTCCCAGCTGGATACCCTATGTCAAGGACAAGTACCTCCATGTGTTCATGCTTGGGTGGTGAAGTTCTTTGCAGTGAAAACCCAGCAAGCTTAGGACCCCGTAAACTGATCTGATCTCTCCCTGTCTCCAGACAGGTCAGTCTTTAAATAATCCTGGCTTTTGTTCACCCCCTCCAAGGACTTCTTACCACCCCAGTTATCAGGAAGTCCAGCTCAAAGCCCTCTCCCTCAGTGGCAGGAGGGGAAATCAATGCCTCCTGCCTTTTTCCTGGGTGGAGAGAAAGAAGCAGGGATGTCATTTGATGAGGTGGGGACCAGCAGCTTCTTCACAAACACTCTCCACCCCTCCAAAGCTATCTCTTTTAGACCCTGAAGCAGAGGAGGGAGATGAAAGGGACAGAGCTGACCACGAGAGGTGGAGAGGGTAGGACCCTGACTGGGAACAGATTTCAGGAGCAGATAGTGGGGGTAGGGCAGAGGACAGCAGGGATCCCAGTTATCTCATTGGTTCCCTTGGCATCAAAGCATTCATTGGTTTTTAGCAAAGTGAAATAGGTTAGTGTGTCTGAGGATTGCAGTGGGGATGGGGGTAGGGAATAGGGTGTATCAATGTGTTGGCTCTGCACAGCCTCCTGTCTTTCTTCCCCCTACACACACACAGTCCAGAAATTCTCTGAGAATCTAGCCTCACCAGGGCTTCATTCTGGAGCAAACTCTTTGATCTTCCAACTGAGGAAAGAGACAAATGTGAGAGCCCCTTAAAGGAATCATAAGACAAAGTATTGGCTTGATATGTAAAAATGTTTAATGTAAATGTTTATTGAACTATGAAATGCATATAGAAAAGTGTTATAAATATAGAACATACATAAATCATAAGCACAAAACTGGGTGAATTTTCACAAAATGAACATACCTGGGTAACCAACACTCAGCTCAAGGAACAGAAGGTTACCAACACCCCAAAGCACCCATTATCCCACCTTCAGGTTATTAAACCCCCCAAAAGTAAGGAATCTCTATTCTGACTCCAAAGAGTGTAGATTAGTTTTTCTGGCTGTTTTTGACCTTCAAGTAGGTGAGATCATGCACTGTGTTTACGCCTTTAGAGCCAGCCTCTTTCACTCTGAGTGTCCGTGAGATTCGTCCTTTGCTTGAGTTTGAACCCAACTGCAATAGGAGGGACAGGATGCATCAGGATTATCCCCCTTTGGGTGTCAAACTCAGGCTCTCCTGAGATCCCTGTCAGCCCCCTTTTCAGAGTTTGGTGTTAGCACCCTCAATTTGCTGTACCTCCAGACTCCCCAGATCCCAAACAGGATGAGGACTGGGAGATCCTGCCCTCTTGGTCCTCCTATCCAAGCTAAGATCGCTGGTCCCAGACCACACCCCTCCAAAGGGATTCCAGAGGAAGTCCCCAACCTGGGCGGGGTTAATTAGATGGTGCTTTGAGATCTCAGGATGAAAGGACTGCCTAGGGCCATTGTCCTTGGCCTCCTGTCCAGCTTGGCAGGGGAGGGGAGGCAGTACCCTGTCCCTTCAGGCCCAAAGGATGGGGCATTAGTTTATTGGGAGTGGCACTGCCAGGCTCTGGAGGACTCTGTTCTGAGAAGCTCCTGCTCATAGAAGCAGGGAGCCCAGGGCCAAGATATGGGGGAGTGGGGAGTCAAGGGCTCACGCCCCTGGGGTCTGCCTCCCCGCCTCCTGGGCAGCACTCAGACAGCCCGGCTCTGGTGCCGTGTGTGGTTTCAGGATAAGCTGCCGATGCCACCCAGAGCGCCCTGCTGACAGACAAGGATCTCACCTGCTTTCAAAGACGCCCTTTCATCTGCCAGGGCTAATTACACCTGCAGAGCGGAGAAGAGGGCACTGGAGCCAGCCCCCTCCTTCTTCCCCCATCCCGCTCCCAAGCCCCCTACCTCAGGAACCCTTCTCCTCCCTCCCCTCTGCCTGTTCCAAAGCTCCGTGGCAGCCTCAGCACCTGCCAATTATGGCTTCTCTAGTGACAAGTGGCCCTGGCTCCTTGGAAGGAGGGTGTGTGAGAGCAGAGGGCTTGAAGATGGGTCTATGCGTATGCATGATGGTCGGGGTTAGGAGGGTCTGGCTGGCATTAGGAGGCTACTAGGGAGTAGGTGAGGGCCTCGTGAGTGTGAAAGCTCTGTCCCTTGGTGGAGGTCAGGAGCACTTTGGCTCTGATGTAGGCAGCTCTGGGTTGGCTGCCCACGTATGAAAGTGGGAAGGCTCAGTGCCCCCCACTGGCTGTGTAGGCAAGTGGCTTCCAAGACTTGGGTCGTCCCCATGGTACTTGATGCTTTTTCCTCTTCCAGCACTTCGAGTGCTGCTTTGCAACACTCTGCTCATGTGACTGAGTCTCCCGCCACCTTGTAAACACATGTGTACAGGAGGCACCATGTTGGTCCATCTTTGCACTTCATTATCATAGTATTTGCTCACTGCACACACTTGCCCGAATGGGAGTGGAGAGTGTGTGAGGGACCACTTGGGTGAAGGGGATCCCGGGAGTGTTTGGGGGCCTGTTGGCATGGCGAGGCTCTGTGCTGCAGTGAGTGGGGTGTGCCTGCTCCAGTGGTCACTGTGGGCTGCTGCGGCCACAGTGTATGCCTGCACTGGGGTCTGGATGAACCTCTGGGTAAGTGATGACCTAAGAGGATGTGTGACTGAGTGAGGGCGTGTGTGCATGTGTGTGCGCATGTGCATGCTGGTGGAGGCTCTATGTGTGTGGCTGCATGTCATGCTCTGTTCGGGAGGAACTATATCTCCCTGTGAGGGGTGGTTGGGGGACACACAGGCAGTGTGGCTGTGCTTGAGGATCTGCCAAAGGCTTCCAGTGGGGGTGAGATCTTTAGAAGGGCAGATGAAGTCTTCAGACAGATTCTTCCTTCCCAGGCTCCTCACCTCAAAACTGGGAGAGAAAAAACAGTAAGAGCCCATTTTCTTCCCCAGAATGGGGCAAGCGAGAGGGAGCTACACCATAACCACAGTGCCTTACTCCGCTCCTGGTCCAAAGGAACAGATGAAATGCCAGCAACAGGTTTCCACGGAGGCCCAGGAAGCTGAGTGGGTCCATGGGGGTGGGGGTGGGAGGATCGGAGCCTCCACTGACTGTGTGGCCAAGTGGTGGTCTACCCTTGCACAAGAGGCGTGATTCCACACTTTCTGAGATCATTACGGGTTCTTCACTCAGTCTCTTAATGTTCCTGCCACCAAAAAGCAAATAAGTTTTGGTGTCTAACCCAAGTCCTCTAGAGGTATTTCAGGCCTAGCCAGGGCCCTGCCCTCCCACTGTCAGAATTCTTAGATAGACACGAAGAATTGACAACCAGGACCCTGGATCCTCAAGTCAGGGTCACTGACATGATGGTTTCTCCACTCTCTCTCTAAGCCTCATTGCTTCTCTTCACCCTCCCACATCCCCTCTTCTGACCCCGCCTGTCTCTGGGAAATGTCATTCCCTGAGCTCCTCCTGACAGCAGGTACTTCTGGCATCTAACCGACTTATCTCATGCTCTCAGGCCCTGTTTGGGGACTGGTGCAGGGGGACCCTCACTGGGGCAGCGCGATAAGACGGGGTCTGACGGCCTGGCTGAGGTCATCAGCCGCCGAAGTACGTCAGCGATGGGTGTGTACGTCCCAGCCGGCCGCACAACCTCGCTTTCATCCTTTGTTCCTGCCAGCCCGGCCCATTCCCACCACAGATTCTCAGATTCCCAGCGTGGCGTGTCCGATGAGCAGGAGTCTTCGCCTGGACACGATCCTCTCCTGGCCCTGCCCTCTGCTCACCTCCCCCTCCCTGTCTCCCTCCCAGCCACTTTCAGAGGGGCAGTCGCTTTCCATCTCCCCACTGCCCTCTCCTTGCCAAGCCTCCAATGGCCACCAGAGGAATTGTGATTGGACACAAGGGAGAACATTTGGGGATGTTGCCAAGCGGGAACTTGGCAGGTGGTGGGTCCCTCTTTCCAGAGTGCCGATCAGCGGGTTGGGTGGGAAAGAAACATGCGTGCCTGGGGGAAGATGGGTGGGCAAGGCGATTTCTCCATCTCCCATCAGGCCGCGGATGCGATCCCAGAGCCTTTGTTCACGGTGGCTGTCTGGCTACTCCGGTCCGGCAGCCAATCCCCAAACATTTCTACATTCACCCTGGCTTAAAACTAGGTTTCCACATCACTGGAATGGTTGTTTGTATTTGGCCCTCCCATTTGCCTGCGTCATCTCTGGCAGGGATTTGAACCCTATCTCCTGGCTCCCAGCCCCTTCCCAGGCATCACCATGGCCCCCAACCTGGGCCCATCTTCCTCCTTGTCTCCAGGCAGTCCGTGGCTTGGATTTTCTACTCCATACCCCTCCTCACATCTTCCTTGACCTCATTCTCCAAGAAACCCTCTCAGAGACCCCTCCCTGGCCTTGCCTCCACCTTTCTTCCCTGCCCTCCCTCTCCTCATCCTGATACCCACGTTCTTTCCAGCCAGAGTCTTCCCGTTTCTCTTCTCTTCTGGGTGCTTGTGAATGTCAGGTCTGTATCCCCTCCCACCCCAGTTAGGTGCTCCTCAGGGACAGGAACCTTTATATTTCCCCCAATTCCCAGAAAAGCCATGAGACCAGAGCTTGGAGAAGTGAGGGAGAGGAGGAGGGCAATTATCAGGGGAGATGATGAAAAATTGGTAAGAGCTGAAGCATAAAGATGAAGCATGTCTCCCCTGAGCCCTGGCCTGGTGATCAGTGTAGAGAAGAGAAAGGAAGAGCTATGAACATTTAGTGGGGTAGATGGGGTGGGGAGAGAAAAATTACCCATCATTCCTCTTGTGGGTCTGAAGGGAGGTCCCCTGGAAGTTTTTCAAAGCGAAGACCAGGAGAGGTGAAATGGTATGTTTGGGGCAGCATGGGGGCCTGATGACTGGGGATGGAGGGAACCCACTGCACCAGCTCTTCTTTCTAGACTTTGCCCCTAGGGATAGCAGCAGCATTTGGATGCTGTTTGCTCACTGGAGCAACCCAGTGTCATAAAGGTGCTAACAAAAGTCCCCAGGCACCCTCCGATCCTGGCCTGGAAGAGAACCCACTGGTTCTTATCCTGGATCTGCCATTAATTAATTTGCTGAGTGATCTCTGGCAAGTCTCTTAACTTCTCTGGGCCTCCCTTTCCTGTCCTCACCCCTCAACAGCAGGAACAGGTGCCTGAGGGGGGAGGTGGAGCCTTCCCCAGGGTGGCTTGGAGGCAGGAGGATGGAGGAGGGTTGGACCCTCTCAGAGGCTCTTTCGGTCCTGGTGGTTGGAGCCAAGCGGTACCTTCTTGGACACTTTCCCTGGTCAGTCGGGGAGGTTGACAAGGGGGACACGGCGCCGTTTCACTCCTGAGAGGAGCATGAATCTATCCAAAGCTTCTCTTCCTACTCCCCCTCAGGATGGCTCCCGGAAATCCCTTTTGCACCCTGGGTCCCCTCCCCTAATGTTTCCCCTCCTCCTGCACAAGAGCAAGAGCACACCCTTAGGAAAGAGACTAGCCCAGCACTCCTGATGAGCAATAATTTGTTTTATGACAGAAAAGGAAATTGTCTTCAGTTTCACAAGAGCGAAACGAATTCGTTTGAAGTAGTTTGCCCTGCGGCAGGCAGGAGAAGGTTTCTCTCTAGAGCTTGCTTTCGCTCTCCTTCTCTCCCCCTCTCTCCCTCTCCCCTTCTAATTACTGCAGCTTCCAAGCTGTTGGCATGAGTCGATGCCAGGCTGTCAGATGCCAACTGCCCCAGGATCTCATCTCTTGGGTGTGGATAGGGGGATGGAGCCACAGGAACAAGGTAGGGTGGCTCTCAGTTCAGCCTCTGCCATGCCTGAAGCCTTACCTGGCACCATCAGGTAGAGAGGAGGAGGGCGGGGGCAAAGAGCAGCAAGACAAGACCCAGGAGAGCAATCACGTCCAGGGCACATCCCGGGCCTTGGAAGACCACTGGCACCTTCGGTGCCCAGAGAGGGCCTGTTAGAGGCTGGGGGGCTTTCCTGTAAGAGCTGCCCATATTTCTCGAACAGCCTTCCTTCTTCATTCTCTGTGATTGCAGCCTGGAAGCTGGAAGTCCCTGTGGGCATCTGGGCAAGGAACTGGACCATGACCACCTACTGGTGTCCAGACTCAAAGATTCGGCAGGGTGCCGTGGCTCACACCTGTAATCCCAGCACTTTGGGAGGCCAATATGGGAGGATCACTTGAAGCCAGGAGTTTGAGATCAGCCTGGATAACACAGCGAGACACCCATCTCTACAAAAAAAAAAAATTAAAAATTAGCTGGATGTGGTGGCGCACCTGTAGTCCCAGCTACTTGGAAGGCTGAGTCAGGAGGATTGCTTGAGCCCAGGAGTTAGAGGCTTCTGCAAGCTATGATGGCGCCACTGCACTCCAGCCTGGGAAATAGAGTAAAATCTTGTCTCTTAAACAACAAAAAACAAAAACAAAAACAAAAACAAAAAAAGGAAAAAAGACTCAAAGACTCATTCAGAGGTGGACAGAATGGAATGGAGAGGACAGCACTTGTGGATAATCAATGCTCTCATTAAGAAGTCCAGTGTAGGCCAGGCGTGGTGGCTCACGCCTGTAATCCCAGCACTTTGGGAGGCCAAGGTGAGTGGATCACCTGAGGTCAGGAGTTCGAGACCAGCCTGACCAACATGGTGAAACCCCATCTCTACTAAAAAAAAAAAAAAAAAAAAAAGCCAGGCGCGGTAGCTCATGCCTGTAATCCCAGCACTTTGGGAGGCCGAGGCAGGCTAACATGGTGAAACCCCATCTCTACTAAAAATACAAAAAATTAGCCGGGCTTGGTGGTGGGCACCTGTAGTCCCAGCTACTTGGGAGGCTGAGGCAGGAGAATGGCGTGAACCCAGGAGGCGGAGCTTGCAGTGAGCCGAGATCGCGCCACTGCACTCCAGCCTGGGCGACAGAGCGAGACTCCATCTCAAAAAAAAAAAAAAAAAATACAAAATTAGGCGTGGTGGCACATGCCTGTAATCCCAGCTACTTGGGAGGCTGAGGCAAGAGAATTGCTTGGACCCGGGAGGCAGAGGTTGCAGTGAGCGGAGATGGCGCCATTGCACTCCAGCCTGGGCAACAAGAGAGAAACTCTGTCTCAAAAAAAAAAAAAAAAAAGAAGAAGAAGTCCAGTGGACCAGTGGACTGAAAAATCATGGGACCCTCCTATGCCCACTTAAGGGCCCCCTTCCTCCCTCCCTTCCTTCTTTCTTCCCTTCCTTCCTTCATCTATTCGTCCTTCCATTAACTTATTCAACAAACTTACAAAGCACTTATAGAGTCCCAGGCACCATTCCAAGCACTGGGAGTAGTGCAATGAACGAAACCCCCTGCCTCCATGAAGCTTACATTCTAGTGAGGATGTTAGCTTTGGGGGAAGAGGCTGTACCAAGCACATGCCTGGAACAGGGAAGGAGCTTAAAAATATCTGTGGAATGAGTGACTAAATGCCCAGAATGAATCAGAGGTGACACTGCAAATGTTCAGCTGGTGGGTAAAAAAGAATGACTTGCTTAACCCATTCCCTGCCATGCTCCATCCCATCCTCCTTTCCTGCCCAGAGGGCCCTCCTGCTGTGGTCCAAGGGGCAGCTGGCTGTGCAGAGAGCAGGCAGACACCAGGCTCCAGGACTGCCAACCTGGCACCGCTGCTTGGCGCTGGGCGCCCTCTAAAACAACAAACTTCGTGTCTCTAATTTGGCACTTCCTGTTTATCTTTATATTATCTCCTGTCCTTGAAGCTCACAGGCTCAATCAAGGATAATGCAAAGGGCCAGAACTTTGGGGACTCAGAGATGGAAGAGGCAAGGGTGCCCTCTCTGCCAGGGTTCTAGGCTGCGCCCACAGGCACTGAGCAGAGGTCTGAAGTCCAATGCTCCAGGCACTACAGGAGGCTGAGTCTCCTCTGCACCTACACAACAGGAAGTCCCACATGCTGGGTTCTAGTTGTCCCAGGTTCATAGATCAATGCCACTTTTTCCCCTCTACGAATCTTGGTTTTCTGAACACCACAGAATAGGAAGGATTCAGCAGGAGAATCCCCTAGCTTCACTGCTGTCTCTTTCTCATCCGCACATGGCTTGGAATCACTTCTTAATGAATGACTTAACTCCTTTCACAGCCTTTGAGAAATGGATCTAACTCTGGGTGCTTTACCTTTTTTTTTTTTTTTTTTTTTTGAGACAAAGTCTCGCTCTGTGGCCCAGGCTGGAGTGCAGTGTTGCGATCTCAGTTCACTGCAACCTTCACTTCCCAGGTTCAAACGATTCTCGTGCCTCAGCCTCCCAAGTAGCTTGGACTACAGGCGTGTGCCACCACACCCAATTTTTTTTTTTTTTTTTTTGAGACTTAGTCTTGCTCTGTCACCCAGCCTGGAGGGCAGTGGCACGATCTCAGTTCATTGCAACCTCTGCCTCCCAGGTTCAAGCAATTCTTCTGCCTCAGCCTCCCAAGTTGCTGGGATTATAGGCACCCGCCACCAGACCTGGCTAATTTTTGTATTTCATAGAGATGGAGTTTCACCACGTTGGCCAGGCTGGTCTCGAACTCCTGACCTCCGGTGATCCACTCATCTTGGCCTCTCAAACAGCTGGGATTACAGGCATGAGCCACCACCATGCCAGGCTTTTTTTTTTTTTTTCTGAGACAGGGTCTCATTCTGTCTCCCAGGCTGGAATGCAGTGGTGTGATCATAGCTCACTGCAGCCTTGACCTCCTGGGCTCAGGTGATCCTCCTACCTCAGCCTCCCAAGTAGCTGGGACTACAGGCACCCTCACCATGCCCAACTAATTTTTGTACTTTTTGTAGAAATGGGGTCTGGCTATGTTGCCCAAGCTGGTCTTGAATCCCTGGGCTTAAGCAGTCTGCCCACTTTGGCCTCCTAAAGTGCCAGGATTATAGGTGTGAGCCACCGTGGCTGGCTGCCTCAGGTTTTGTTTTTTTTTCCAGACGGAGTCTCACTCTGTCTGAGTGAGACCCAGGCTGGAGTGCAGTGGCATGATCTTGGCTCACTGCAACCTCTGCCTCCTGGGTTCAAGCGATTCTTGTGCCTCAGCTTCCCAAGTAGCTGGGACTACAGGCGCGCACCGCCATGCCTGGCTAATTTTTGTATTTTTGGTAGAGATGGGTTTTCACCATGTTGGCCAGGCTGGTCTCGAACTCCTGACCTCAAGTGATCCACCCACCTCGGCTTCCCAAAGTGCTGGGATTACAGGCATAAGCCACTGCGCCTGGCCTTCAGGTTCTTGAATCCATACTCTAGGCACTTGAAAGATGAAGCTTCCTCTAGACATTGAAGTCCGCCTGGGATCAGCTGACTCTTGGAACCAAGTGAATGTGTCCACTATGCTGGGCATCAAGATGGCTGCCCTGTGGGTGGTAGGATCAGGGCAGATTCCAGACAGGCCCCCACCCCGGCCAGAGGGGCAGCCTCTGCCACCCCCAGAGCTCCAGGTAATAACCTACGGGCCACACCAGGCTCGCCAGCACCTGAGCCACCGGCAGCAGATAATGACGGGGGAGCTGGGCAGTCAGAGCCAACCCCTCAATCAGGAAGCAAATTAAAAAGGGGAGGAATCTCCCAGACAGACCACAACAATGAGACCGGCCCCCTTTCCAGGGCACTGCCCTCCTTCCCCCTACCCGCCTGATTCCGCCTGCCAGGTCCTGATACCCAGCCTCCTCTCTAATTCCCCTCTCGTGGGATCCTGCTGGAGGTTCTCTGGATGACCCTGGCTGCGGGTTGGTGGCCGTGCCCAGCTGACCAGGACACAGGATACTGGGCCTCTTATGGAGCCTTGTCTGCCACCCCTGACCTTGGATTCCTGACAGGGCACTGGGCACAGTGTCAGGGTGAAAGAGGAAGGGTCAGGGCATGTTTTTGATGCAGTGTCTTGAAGGCCATGAGGCCAACTCTCAGTGATGTGACAAAAGGGATTTATTTATTTATTTATTTATTTATTTATTTTAACTTTTTTTTTTTTTTTGTAGAGTCGGAGTCTTACTATGTTGCCCAGGCTGGTTTGCAACTCCTGGCCTCAAGTAATCCTCCCGCCTCCGCCTCCCAAAGTGCTGGGGTTACAGGCATGGGCCATTGCACCCAGCCGACAAGGGGATTTATAGAGAACTCACCAACCTCTGACCTGGCAGCCCCTTGTCCTCTGCAAAGGGTGTAAATTCAATCCAGTGCAACATATATTTATTGCACACTCAGTACTAGTTGCTGTATAAGATGCTGGGGGAGATTCAAAGATGAACAGAAATTTCCAGTCCCTCAAGGAACTCACGATCTTACACATGCACACAGCTAATTGTATTACCCATCAGAGAATATTAAACGCTCTATATTTTAGAACTATGGGAGCACAGAAAAGTACAACTTGAAAAACTGGAGAAGGCTTTAGAGAGCATGGGGACATAGGAGTTGGGATTTAAAAGATCCATAGGAGCTCATCAGGCAGAGAAATGGGGAAGAGCATTTCACACATGGAACAGTGTGGGGCGTGAAAATATGTGGACGGTAAGGATGGAGTAGAAGCCTCCTGGGGAGTGGGAAGGGATGTGGCTGGAAAGGGAGGCTGAGGCCAGATGGGGAATGGGGCTTCAATCCTAGGCCTAAGAGTGTAGATTTTCTCCTGTAGGTAATGGGGGGCTATTGAATGTTTTTGAGCTGAGGCACGACATGACTGGGATCTTTCCACCCTTGTAAGAAGTTTAAATTCCTACCGAGGGACTGAGGGGATTCTGCTTTTTCTGCCTCTGCCTGTCTCCGTGACTGACACCCAGCCAGCCTTTTCTCTCGGCTCCACTTACCGCCCTTGCTCCTTTGCCCCAAACCTCCAATTCCTTGTTCCAAGCAGGGTGACAGGGTGGGGAGCTTCACTCTCCCTCAGCCCTCACTCCAACCCTGCATGTCCCAGATACTCTGTGGGTCCTTCCACTTCCATCACACAACCAGGGCCAGCCAGGGGGACAGTAGGAAGCTGTGTGTGCTTACTTCATGGATCTTTGGGTTTTAAGTTCCCCGACCCAGGCTTCTGCCTTCACTGATGCCCTCCCCAAGCTGAGGAGCTTCTGGAAGCTTGGATTCTGGGGAGCCCTTTCTCTAATTCACTCAGCTGTGGCTTATCCATCCCTTTCTCAAAGAAAGGCTCTGGCCTGAGGACCCTGTGGCATGAAAGGATAGAGTTCTTGCCCTCAAGGATTCAACCAGTAGAGAAGATAAGAAAACAAGCCCATGGAAGCAGAGCATGAGGCAATAAGTGCTGAGGAAGTTCAGAGGAGCATGCCAGTGATGTGCGGATAAGAGAAGCCTTTGCAGAGAAAGCCGCCTATGTGCCAGCCAGGAGCTTGAAGGATAATGTGCTTTCCAGAGGCAAGAATGGCTGGCAGGGGTGGAAATGATTTCGACAAAGGTAGGAAGGCTGGACATGTTTGGTGAACATTAAATCCATTGGGCTGAGCTGGGCTGTAGGGTTTGTATGAGGACCAGCGGGAGAGAAGACTGCGTAGGTGAAGTGGGAGGGTCCTGGATGACACATTTAGCACTGTGGAGCCACTGGATGTGTTGGAGATGGGAAGTGCCAAGATGGAGTGGCACTTTAGGATGATTAGGCCAGGCATCATATCTCACGCCTGTAATCCCAGCCCTTTGGGAGGCTGAGGCAGGTGGATCACCTGAGGCCAGGAGTTCTAGAGGAGACTGGTCAACGTGGTGAAACTCCGTCTCTACCAAAAATACAAAAATTAGCCAGGCATGATGGTGGGTGCCTGTAATCCCGGTTACTTGGGAGGTTGAGGCATGAGAATCACTTGAACCCAGGAGGCTGAGGTTGCAGTGAGCCAAGATGGCGCCACTGCACTCCAGTCTGGGTGATAGAGGGAGACTGTCTCAAAAAAAAAAAAAAAAAAAAAAAAAAAGATGCTTCATCTGTCATTAATTAGGTGCAGGAAAGCTTAGGTTGGTGGGTACAGAAGTGGCATAGGAGACCTGAAAATTAATCGAGACAAGTAGTAATTTTTGTCAGCAAGTTGACACTTCCACAGAATTTCCACAGACCAGTGCCCATTTCCACCTCATTTGTCAATTAAACAAATATTTGTAAGATACTTGCTAAGTACCAGACACCATTTTAGGCTCTTTCTTCATCATCTTCCCCTGCCCTAAGATAAAAAGATGAAGGTAAACTCTCACCTGCACACACTTGGGAGATCTTACTTAGCCCAGCCTCCCCCTTGCAGCCTAAGCGAATCCAGTAGTGTCTGCCTTTGGAGCAGGTATATTGAGAAAAATCAGAGAACTACATGCAGTAAGGATTTGGGGGACAGTGAGGTAAGCAAGCTTAGGGGTGGGAGGAAGAGTAGCTTGGAAAGCAGAAAGCAGTTGGTGGGTGGGAAAAGGGAAGTTGACAGCTGAGTGTAGGGGAGCCCTGGGATCTTTAGGGGAGGGAGGCTGGGCAAGGAGGAGAAAGATGGAAGGAAGAACAGTAGGAGATGGGCCTCTGGGGCTGAGGATGGGGGCCGGAGGGAGGAACAAATTAGAGAGCTGAAGAAGGAAGTAGAGTCTTAGCAGCTAGGGGCGGGAGGAGGAGGTGGGAGACCGAGAGGCGAGGGCAGAGGAAATAGGCCCAGGCACTGGAGACGAAAGTCTGGGAGTCTGAGCCGCTGAGGAGCCACCTGGAAGGTGCAGGCAGCGGCAACATCAAACCTGAGATCCGAGGGCTGGCGCTGGGAGTGAGCTGCTGGAGTTGGGGGAGGTGGCTCGTGTGGGGGCCAGGGGGCGGGTAGGGGAGCTGAGATCAAGAGAGAGGGGCTTGAATTGAATCTACCCTCAGCCCCACTGGGTCTTCAGCTTCCTCAGCCCCCTCCCCTCTTCTGGCTCCAAAGGCCAGAAGCCAGGACTCTGCAGTCCCGCCCCCCACTCCAAGCTACAGGCCGCATGGCACCCACCCATAGCTTTCCCAGCTCCTCTCTCCCGCCCATCACTGGTGTTAGGAAAACACATTGTCTGGAGGTGCGAATAGAGGAGGAAAGGGGGTCTCCTGCCAGGTAGGGTGCTGGCTGTGTTCATTGCTGTCCAGGCAGGGTCTAAACACACCCCTGACTGATCCAGAGGCCAGGGGAAGGTGTGTGGGCCTGAAGGTCCAGGTTGAGGGCTGGGTCTTTTTCCTCTCCCAAACTCCCCCCCAACCCCAAGATTCTCCCATCTTTTGGACTGGACCTGCTACCTAAGCATATGGAACCGATTGAAAGAATTTGTATGCTCACCTTATAATTTATGCAAATCAACTCTGTAATTAACTATAATTTGGAGGCATCCTTTGGTATTTGAGACATTTATCCATGAGGAAATGCCCTAGTGATAATGCTCCCGTATTAACATTATTTACTCCACCTGTGTGGTCTCCTCAGCTTGTTTCCCCTCCCCACTCTGATTTTCTGTGCTGGAAGGTGGGGAGGGACAGGGAAGCCCCTCCCTGGAGCCTGCCTCAGTCCTGATGCCTGGGTTCCCCCAGGGGGTTGTGCTGGCCCTGTCCTCCCAATTTTGCCTAAGATTGAAGAAAGAGGTCCAGCTCTGCCTCCTAAGCCCTCTAATACTCTATTCTCTCCTGCTTGATGGGTGGCTTTCTGCTGAGCTTTTACCTCTTCAGGGCCTCAGTGTTCTCATCTCTGAAATGGGGAGAGGAAGGACCTGTCAGGGCCTTTATGGGATAATTGCTGAAAAGTTAATGAAGAGACTGGGAATCCCCAGTCTAGAGGTTGCTGAGGGTATAGGGGAGGAGCAGGAGAAGAGTTTTGGGTAAAGACTCCCTGGCTCATCCTGGGAGGGAGGTAGCATGTAAGTCTTGGGGTACTGGGTTCTGGTGTGTGTAGAGGGGGTACAACTGCTCCTGTCCTCTGCCAAGGGCATTGGGCTGTGGTCAAAAACAGGATGTCATCCCGTGAAAAGTCCCCAGGCCACTCTCCTATGTGGGTCAGAGTTCACAGCTTCAGTGAGCTTTGGGAAACAAGTCTTACTCTTCTGTTTCATCTCCGTTCTCCTTCCTGGTCTTTTGTCCATCTCTGCCCTGGGACATGTTTGTGTTAGCCAGTATACCTAAACTTACAACCACCCTAAAATTAGGCTCATATAAATAGAGATCTGGGGGCTCCCCCTAAATTCACCTTCAGGCCCCTTCTCCCTTTTCCAGGCCACCTTCCTACCCTCTTCACCCTCCTGGAGTTCCAGGAGTCCTGAACTGTCTGTAGCAGTTCTTGGCTGGACTCTGCCTCTGGTCTTTCTGGTCTTAGGTGACCTCTTGTCCATCCTAAGCTTCCCCACTCCATCCAAAGTCAGGGAAAAGGTCCTCCCTTCCCATTTGACAATGAGAGATCCCAGGTCCAAAAGATAGATTACACTGGGTCCTCTTGGGGGATCCAAGTTGGGAAGTGAGTATGTAAAAAGAGGATGAAAAGGGAGCGAGAGAAATTGTGGCTCAGAGAGGCCAACAACACTGACATGAAGCTCTGCAAGGAGGAACTGACTTGAAGACGTGTGGTGTGTGTGTGTTTGTTGGGGGCATGAGCCCTTCAGGTCTCAAAAATGGAACTTCTTTCTCTCTTACCAAGTCCATGGAGGAAAACTCAGGAAGAGGGGATGGAATTTGGAGAGTTCCAGCTATCCCAGCTCTCCACCCTAGCAATGCTGTCATTTCCTCCATCCTGCAAGAACCACTTTGTCCCTCTCCCACTGCCCAGCCAACTCTGCGGAAGGAAGGAAGTGCCCCCAGCCCCCACTCCCAGCTGAAATCCTCCTTTCCTGGCAGACCTCACGGACTCAGATCTCACCTCCTACCACTCCCCTAGGAGAGCTGGGGGCCACTGTTTCCTGGATTATCCTAAAAGCTTCTGAGGCCGTGAGGACTTGGCAGCATCCCTGCTCCCTCCTTCACCTCCCCCTTTGGCACTGCCTGTCACCTCCTTTATAAAGCCTGGCTCTTTTATCACCGCCACTTGGCCCTCACTGCCGCCGCCAGCTCTGGGCTCCATGGACTGGTAAGAGAGGCTGTTCCCTGTCCAGTACAGGGGACCTCCACAAAGAGGATCAGGTCTCCACTCTAAAGTGGGGGTCATAGAGAAGGGTCTGGTTCTCTCTGAATTGGGAAGGGGGAGATAAGAGGGAGATCTTGGTGGGGTTTGCATGGAGAACTAAAGGGATCCCTTGGAGGTCTTTTGACTGGGCTGGGGTAGTCAGCCCAGTGGAGAAGTGGGGTAGGGATTCATAGCTGGGAACTTTATTTCGAGAGAAAGGAAGGGCAAATAAATGTTAATAGAAATACAGGGCACACACACTCACTGCCCTGAATGACAGAACACCTGCAAGGATAGTAAGGGAGAAACCACTATCCACATCCTATGGGGAACTGCATTTACGGTGGAGGAGAGAAGACACCCTACACTCAAGCCCACAGGTACACACAGGCATAATATGTACACACATTTGTAGATATACACACACCGACATACAGATGCACTATCCTCAGGTGGGTTCATCTTCTAGACTGAAAAGCGATGGTGGTAGCTAGGGATTTTGAAATTTATAATAAAATTAGTGTCCAGCATTGTGCTTGGCCTTAAGTAGACCCTCGATAAGTGTTTGTTGAATGAAATAAAGGATGAATGAAAGAAAACTATTTGACCCCAGCTTTAGGCTCTATCTGGTTTTCTAAGAATCAGGAGAGTATGGTGGGGAGAGGAGGGGAAATAAGGAATATGTTGGCATCCAGGGTCATCAGCTTGCAGGCTTGGAAGTGCAGCCCGAAGGTGGGAGTGGGAAATGGAGGAGAGGAGTGAGTGAGAAGAGGAAAACAGGACCAGACTCTGGTCTGGTCCCAGCTCTGCTTCTAACTTGCTACTAACGTCCCTGTTTTGGGGTTTGGTTTCCCTACCAGTAAAACGAGGGCTTGGACGAGACAATTTGGGGCTAGACCAGCTTTGATATTCTCATAGTGCAATCTCTACAGGACAGTTGAAGTTTGGAAGGGATCACAAGTGTAGAGTCTGACTTGTCTCAGCAATTCAAGATGGGATCAGTTTGTCCATTAGACTCAAGATAGGAGATGGCTTTGATCTAGGGATTCATTTAAGAATGCTGTTTCCTCCACCTTCAGGCTCTAGGGGAGCCAGACTTCCAGGGTCATCAATTCTGCCATATTGAGGCCAGATGGACTAGTAGGCAGAATACAGGCTTTGGAACCTGAGAGATCTGAACTCAGTTTCTTCTTCTGTCTTTTAACAACTCTGTAATCTTGGGTAGATCATTTAACTTCTTTGATCTTTGGCTTCCTCATCTGTACAACGGGAATAATAATAATTACTTTGCTGCATGCCCATGAGAATTAGAGATATTTGTGTAAAGCATCTGGAACATAGTAGGTGCTCAGTAAATAAATGCCGTTTGTGATAAACACGCAGACTAATGAGATTTCTCCAGGTACAAAGTGGATCACTGACTATAGATGAAGCTTGAGAAGAAGAGGGGTGGCAGGAATGGGGGTTGGACACTTGCAGGGGAAATCTGACTATTTATTTGAGAGAATGAGGAAGAGCAGCAGAAATGGCCCAAGTCCAAGACAGATCTCAGTTTATACAGGAGATGTGATGGGCTGTGTTGTTCAATTTTGAGTAGCAATAAGTATATGGGCAATGGGCTGTGGTGACCTTGCTCATTAAGTTAACATCAGACCATGCGCCGTCATTCGGTGGGAAAACATTTAGCAAGTGGGAAACCAAAAGGGCTGGAAGCAGAGGACTGCAAGTAGAGGGGGACTGGAGGAAAGATAGTGCCAGTACCCTGAGTGAGCAGCAGAAACCTAGGCAGAGCAGGAAATCAGAATGGCTGGGAGTTTCCAGAGACAACTGCATTGTTGTTGAATTTCCTGCTGATGAGCTGCAGGCAGATGGAGGGTCTTTGCTGGTGGAATTCCAGATGGCTACAGGTCTGGTTGGATCGGGGCAGGGCTAAAGGGGGCCTAGAGTGAAAGTAGCAGGGAGTGTCTACCATCCTCGGGCTGAATCCCTGTTGCTTTCCAGGGAAAAGGCAGAAGGGGCCAGGAAGAGAAGGCAATCTGATGCCTATAAATGGGAGGGGAACTTGGTCCCCTACCCAGAGTCAGACCCCTGCACAGGCTTTAGCACCTTAGGAACAGTAGATGCAGCACCAGCAGGCAGCTTGGAGGAGGAGGCAGGAATGCCCAGAGGTCAAATCAGGAACCAGAGTCCCCCACTGGGGGCTCTGTTTTGGACCTGATGAGTGTCTACTCCATTCCAGAGGTAGCTGTGAACTAGGATACAAACCCAACTGGCCAGGATTTGTAGGCTGAATGGATGGAGACAAAGCTGCGTTGATGAAGAGGATTGATTGTCAAATTAGCCATGGCCACAAAGATCCAGAGCAGTTCCTGTGAATCCACATCCAGAGCCCCAAGTAACAAGAAGGCAAAAAGCAAACCCCGACTGATCAGAAATCTCAATCCCCCGATGTCAGGCGGCATCTCCGGCTTCCAAATACCTGTCACTTCTCTAGCTTGGTGGCTGCTTTTACAGCATTTCACCAAGGAAGAAACTGAGGCTTAGAGGCACCTGACCTGCCAGGGTCAGTTTAGCAAGTGCAGGGCTGGGGCTAGAATTTAAATCCGTCAACTTCTAGTCCACAGGTCTTTGTGCATACACCTTAATCCAACCAATATTTACCTGGAACTGACTTATTTAATAATTATAACAAGGATATCTTCCATTTACCCGGCGCTTACCAGGGGCCCCTTGGGCTAAGCATTTTTAGGCATATCAATTCCTTTAAGCCCCCAGGAGACCCTACCAATGTGTACCCAGGTTGTCCGGATGAGGGAAATGAGCCTTAGAAAAGAGGGAGATGCACAGATGAATCCGACGTCGATTCTGGATAAGAACGTGTGCGTGTCTGAGGGGTACCATGCACATACGCATACACACATGGATTGATTTTCACCCCGCTTATGCACTCGGTTTAGCTATTTTTGAGTTACAGTTTGAGTGTGTCCCAAACGGGCATGCAGGACAGGTAAACCAATGGCGGGGGGGAGTAGGGGCTGTAGAGGCGAGATTAAATCAGCCTAAATTCAAGTATGAAATCGACTGTAAAGAGGAAAACGAAATTTTAAAAAGCCGACGGCAAAGCGCACAGAGGAGACGAATCTGAAAAATGAAAGAAATAGGGAAATTAATCTGCATTCCCCTGTGAAAAAAGGGGTCACATGGAGAGATCAACACTGCGGCATGGGAGTGAAGCATGGGGCCACCTCAGCGGCCAGGCAGAAGAATGCGTGGGTGGAGGACGGAACTTCCCTACCCACCGGTGCTTTGCGGGTCTCGGAAATGTCGACCCATCCAGATCTTGAGGGAAGTTTTTGTGAGCTCCGCGAGCGCGCTGAAATTTTACCAGAATATTGCACTGGGCATGTGAATTTTTCTCAAAGGAATCCAAGACCCCTCCCCAAAGTTAAGAACCTTGGGTTTAGTTATTCTGGTGAGAATTAGAAAGGAATGGTGGCAAGGGATAGCTCAATTCCTTCCAGAAGTGTCCCTTCCCAGGGCCATTCAGGCGCCTGCCCATTCTTCAGAACCGGGTGCTCGGGGGCGAGGGTGTGCGTAGGCTGAGCATTTCCCGAAGGACAGGAGGGCGAGGAGAGGCGAATTTGAGAGGTGGATTTCTTAGGCACTGGGGTTGCTACCTAAGGGGAGGGGCAGAGTGACAGCTGCTGGGACCTGGGACCAGAGTAGGGGGGAAGCAGAGACCGGTGGTGGGCAGAGGCTGGGAGAGGGGAGGAGAGGAGGTGGTCACCCAGAAAGGTCAGAGAGGGATACCCCGGAAGGGAGAGGGAAAAAAGGACGGGGAAGGGTGGTGGTGGAGAGAAGCGGCGCGGGGTGCGGGGGGTGAGGCAGGGCAGGGGACGGGGGTCGGGGGTCGGGGGAATGGCGAAGGAGGGCAGCCAAGACAAATTTCACACGGCCTAGGCCTAGAGGCGAACTGGAAACATACTTGGCGCTCAATCTTGTTTCCTTCTTTCCTCCCAGTTCCGGGGCAGGGCTGTCCGTTCAGAGAGGGTCAAGGGCCATCGAGGCAACCTAAGGGTTGCTGCCTAAGGGTGGCTCTGTCTCACCCCCAGGACCTGCCCCCTTATCCATTCCCCCTGGGTCTTAGTCCTGCGTCCTCTGCTAGACCGAGCTAGCTCCAGGGCAGTTTTCCACCCGGCGGGGCGGGTCTTAGAACCTGGGAATCACCCCACCCGGGCCCCTCTCCCTGGGAGTGGAGGGGACCAGGGAGGAGCGAGGGAGCGGGCGGCGCACGCCCTAGTTATCTTTCCTCCCCCACTCCCGCCCACCCCCTCCTCGCGGCCCTGGCTGGGCTCCGGTCCAGCCGAGCCCTCAAGGGTTAAAGGCGGCCGCAGGTGAGGTGGGCGGGGCCGCGAGTCCGGGGGAAAAAGCAGCGCTGGGGAGAGGATGAAGGCAGAGAGCGCGGGTGAGTCACGGGCGGAGCTGGCCTTGTTCGCTCGCTGGCTCCTGCCCGCCCTCCGTCCTCCGCCCTCTCGCCAGCGCTCACCTCCGCCGCCTGCCGCCTGCCGCCAGCCGCCGGGTCTGGCTCGCCCTGGGCTCCTGCCCCTTACCGCTGGAGAGCTCGCCGGCGCACAGGGCCTATGAGCGACCGTCAGTAGCGCACCAGCCAGCCGTGCCCGGAGCCCGCCGCAGCCTCGAGGTAGGAGCGCGGGTCGGGGTGGCCAGGGGTGAGCGCTACGGAGATTGTCTCGAAAAAACGCACTCCGAACGCGCCCCAGCCTCCTATGGCCTTGGGAGCGGGGTGGTCCTAAAGGATCTGAGAGGTTAGAACCCCGATGGAGGGAAAACTGGGCGGACGGGAGAGACTGGAGGGACCGAGGAGGCTGGAAACCGGGGCAACTGGAGCGACTGGGACAACCAGAGGACCGGGACATTGAGAACTGGGAGTACTAGCCGGTGATCCAGAGAGGCAGAGCCGAATGGGGCATAAGGGTGCACCGACTTGCCTTCCCACTTCGGGGAGCGAGAAGCCTGCGATGTACGCTGTGCTCTCTCCTTTCCTGAACTCTTTCTAGGCCTGGAAGTGAACCGGACACATACTTGGCACTCAATCCTGTTCCCTTCTTTCCTCTCAGCTCTGGGGCAGGTGGGTCAAGGACCATAGAGGCAACCTAAGGGTTGCCACCTAAGGGTGGCTCCATATCACCCCCAAGACCTGCCCCCTCCTCTATTCTCCTGGGTCTTAGTCTTGCATCTTCTGCTAGACTGAGCCAGCTCCAGGGCAGTTTTCCACCCAGTGGGACTGGTCTTAGAACCTGAGAATCACCCCGCTTTGGGTTTCTGAAATCTTGGTAGCAGGCCATTGCATCCCAGGCCTGGGCTCTCCAGCTCTCTGCCAGGAGAAGCCACTCTGGAGCCCAGATTATCCTAGCCTTCCCATCCTCCAGCCCCTGGGGCAGTTCCCAGGCACCAAAAGCTGTTAGGGTCCCTGGCTTCACAGCTCCCGCTCAGCCCCTTCTGTGCTGCCCCACCCCGGCCTGGGGCTCCTTTCCTGCAACTTCACCCTGTTTTCCTCTTGTGGTGAGGCAGCCGGAGCCTGAGTAGGTGCCCCCGTCCTCCTCTCCCTCCCTCTCCCAGGCTATCAGTGCCACCTCCCTGGTCCCAGAGGCAGGAGATGGTAGGGTCAGCTAAGCCCTGCTGTAGGAAGGAAACAATCCTGCCCTAAGTCACTGGTCTCCTCCCCCACCAGTAGAGAAGACCCAGGCACACAAACCTGCCCAGCTGAGGCACCAGGGCTTCCAGGCCTTAGGGAGAGGTGGTGAGAAAAGAGTGAACTTCAAGCCACAGATATGTGGTTGAGAAAGCGTTGGGGGTCTTTAGCGTTCTAAGGGTCTACAGAAAGATTGGTTTACAGAAAGTAACAGACTGAGAGTCCAGGAGTTAGGAGACCTGGTTTATTGAATGAATAAATGAACATCCTTGTCCAAGTCACTGTGCCAAGTCATTCAGTCTGCTTCCTTCTCTTCAAAATAAGAAGATTGGCCTGGAGCAGTGGTTCTCAACATTTGCTGCATATAAGAATCTTCTGGTGGTGGTGGGGAGCTTCTGAAAAATGATCCATGCCTAGGATGCACTTGCTTATGTCATCTTTTTGGGCAATTCTTGCTCTTAGGTTCTGTGGTTATGACTTCTCTTGTTGCCCTCCTCTTCCTGCACTCTGACCTTGTATCACTTAAAGGGGTGCAATTGTATCTTCCAGAGCTTGCTGTCAAGCTCTTCTCTGGGGAAGCCATTCCCTCCCAACTTTCTATCTGGGCCTCCCCTAGCATGGAGAGGAAGATGGGTAGCAGTCAGAGAGTTGCCTGGCACTGGTATGAGTCAAGAGAGGGATGGAAATTTGGTTTTCTCTGGTGGGGGTATCTCCCAGATTCCAGGGGTATCTGGTGGCCAGAAAGCTGCTCCCCAGGGAGGTGAAGTCCCTGCTTGAGGGAAGGGGGTGGGGGCATGTGAGTCGGTTTAGTGGGCCCGATGTGACCAGGCCAGGCGGGGAGCAGCGTAGACGGTGAAATGCTTTTCATTACTGAACATGCTTTGGGAATGGCATGAGAACTCTTTCAAAGACTCAGGACCCGTTTGAGGCTTTATGAGGGGCAGGTCACCTGAAGCTTTGGGTTTCAGAAATAGACCATCCCCTCTCCCATCTGTATCCTGAGTTAAACTGGGGAAGCTGAGATGTGTCTAGATCCTCCATTTGGGCTGACAGCAGGTCTGCAGGGGGAAAATGCCACTGCCCCTTGTGTTGGCCTGGGCAGCTGGGGTGGGGATGGTTCTAGCACTGTGCTGTAGGTGTATCTGACCTACCATCCTGGGAGTGGCCCAACTCTAGGGATGAGCTGGGTCATACGGCAGGGATCACCCAGAGGAAGGTAGACCTCCATCATCCTCTGTGCTTGGATGAGAACCTCACATCTTGGACCCTTCCTCGCACTCCCGAATTCTCTAAACTCATCTCTAGTCCTCGTTCAGAGGTGCATCCTTCTTTTACACCTGGGGCCAGAGAGGAGGACCTGGGTTAGGAGGGAAAGTGAGCTGGTTATTTCCCTTACTTTTCTGCTTCTTCGCCTCCTTTAGGTCCCGTCTGAGGTGCCCCTGACCGTCCCTGCCCTCACCCCACCCCGGATCCCGGCAATGCTAACCGCTGTCTGCGGCTCTCTGGGCAGCCAGCACACGGAAGCGCCGCACGCCTCCCCGCCGCGCCTCGACCTGCAGCCTCTCCAAACTTACCAGGGCCACACGAGCCCTGAGGCCGGGGACTACCCCTCCCCGCTGCAGCCTGGAGAGCTGCAGAGCCTCCCGCTGGGCCCGGAGGTGGACTTCTCGCAGGGCTATGAGCTGCCAGGGGCCTCCTCGCGGGTAACCTGCGAGGACCTGGAAAGCGACAGTCCCTTGGCCCCGGGCCCCTTTTCCAAGCTCCTGCAGCCGGACATGTCACACCATTATGAATCGTGGTTCAGGCCGACTCACCCAGGCGCGGAGGATGGCTCGTGGTGGGACCTTCATCCGGGCACCAGCTGGATGGACCTCCCCCACACTCAGGGCGCGCTGACCTCACCTGGCCACCCGGGGGCGCTTCAGGCGGGCTTGGGGGGCTACGTCGGAGACCACCAGCTTTGTGCCCCGCCACCCCACCCGCATGCGCACCACCTCCTTCCAGCTGCCGGAGGGCAGCATCTCCTAGGGCCGCCCGACGGGGCTAAGGCCTTGGAAGTAGCCGCCCCGGAGTCTCAAGGGCTGGATTCCAGCCTGGACGGGGCGGCGCGTCCCAAAGGCTCCCGGCGGTCGGTGCCCCGCAGCTCAGGCCAGACCGTCTGTCGCTGCCCCAACTGTCTGGAGGCGGAGCGACTGGGGGCTCCATGTGGGCCCGATGGGGGCAAGAAGAAGCATTTGCACAACTGCCACATCCCGGGCTGCGGGAAAGCCTACGCCAAGACGTCGCACCTGAAGGCGCACCTGCGCTGGCACAGCGGCGACCGTCCCTTCGTGTGCAACTGGCTCTTCTGCGGCAAGCGCTTCACGCGCTCGGACGAGCTGCAGCGCCACCTCCAGACCCACACCGGCACCAAGAAGTTCCCCTGTGCAGTCTGCAGCCGCGTCTTCATGCGCAGCGACCACCTGGCCAAGCACATGAAAACCCACGAGGGCGCCAAGGAGGAGGCGGCTGGGGCGGCCTCGGGAGAGGGCAAGGCCGGCGGCGCAGTGGAGCCCCCCGGGGGCAAAGGCAAACGCGAGGCCGAGGGCAGCGTGGCTCCCTCCAACTGAGCTCCTCAGTGCCGCCTCCCTGCGGGTATCCCGGGGGGCACTGGATGCGAGCCCCCAGGTCTGACGTCCTTGGGGGTGGCTTGAGGAAGAGGGGAAGGTGCGTATTTATTCAGGGAGGAGGAAAAGTGGTGCAGGGACAGGGAGATGGGGCGCTAGGGGTTCTTAGTCTCTGGGGCTACTAGGCAGGATGAATTTGACTGGGTCGGTAGGAGCTGCGCAATGCCCCTCTGTTCTCCCCTGCCTCACAGTTTCCCTCGCCCCTGGGCTGGGGGGTTGGGGTGGGACACCCGTACCGCGGCTGGCTGGCGGGGACAGGCTAGAGGAGACAGCAAGTCCCAGTCCCCGGAGCAGAGAGAAGTGGGGCCGGCCCGGGGCGCTGGTGGTGGCTGTCTGGACACGTCCTTAGCGCCTGGGAACCAGGACATAAAAGCGCCTCCGGAGCCGCCCTGCGGCGGGGTCCCTTTCATCCCACTTAAAGTGCTTCTGCCCCTAGGGTTTCCGGAGGGAGAGCCGAGATGGGATGGGGGAGCCTGGGGGTCCCCCTTGGCAGGGGTGTCTCTTTCTGGTTTGGAGGGTTGTTGCTGTAAAAATAACTCCTTTGATGAGCTTCCTTATTAACCCTTTCAGACCCAGTCTGTTGGAGCCATGAAGGAAGAGGGAAAGAGGGCTGCCATTCCTGACAGCCTCCCAGCCAGGGCTGGCGATAAAGGACCGAGATAGATGGAGGGGGCGAGTAGGGAAGTCCTCTTCTAAAATGAGAGATAGGGATTTGGTGGGGTATGGAAGGAACTAACCCCTTCCCTCTCCACCTCTGATTCAGCCCTTAATTCTTGGTCTATGATAAATAAAGTTCAGTAGTCTCACATTCCCCATCTATTACCCTAGGTGTGTTTTCAAGGCAGCCAGCGGTAGAATCCATGTAGTTCCCACCAGTTGCCTTCCCCTCAGGGATGGAAGGAAGAGGGTTTCTTGGGCTGGTTGAGGGCAGATTGGGGGTGTCTCATCAGAGGGACCTCCACTGGTTCCCACTCAGAGTGGAGGCCTGCAGCCTACCTGACCATCTCTTTAGCTGTCACCAAGAAAATAAACCCCACTGTCTCTCTAGCTTGGCCCTTGTCTTTCCCTTGCCCCTGCCATAGCATGTTCATTAGGGGATTCCTTCCTCCCCCTCATCTCACAGGGGAAGGGAGAGGAAAGAGTTGTTCTCCCACTGGAAGGGGTTCTGCCTTCTGAGGTGACATCCAGGAAGCTGTCCCCATTCCCTTCTCCTTTAGATGCTAGAAACACATTTTGATTCTGATCATGGGGTGGGGGAGAGAGGAAAGGAGGGAGGGGAGAAGCCCAGCAGAAGCTGAGCCAGGCAGAGGGGAAAGAAGCTGATATGAGGAAGGGTCTGACAGGCCACAGCCCTTGCAGCCGGAGGGCTTTCCCACACTCAAGAGAGGGGCCTTACAGTCCCTCTGACACCCCTCCCCCTTCCCCTCGCTCCCTTTCTTCACCCGGAGCCCTCTGCAGAGATTAGCTGTGTATTGATTTTTAAGTTATAAGCAAAGGGTATTTTATTTAATATTAGGTTATGTGTGTGCATGTTGTGTGTACCTGTGTGCATGTATGTGTGTTTCTCTACTGAGCCTGGGGTCTCTAGCCAGGGAGACCCCATCTTATTCACCATGTCCAAGATCCTGGGATCTGGGCCCAGCATCTCTTCCTCCTTTGTAGATGCTGGAGCCCAGCCAAGGTCTGGGAGCTATATGGGAAGTGGGGGCTGGGATCTGGGTGGGAATATGTGTTTGTATACAAAGGGGCCCTCCTTAAAAGGGACAGGATGACCTTCCCGAGGAACTCATTGGCCTGGGGTAGTTTAAGAAGTAATGTTCTTTCTTTCTTTCTCTTTTCCCTACCTCCTGCTAACCCAACCAGAGATCCCCTTCCTTGCTGAGAGGGTTGGGGGCAGGAGGAGATTTGGCAGTGCCTGCAGGTTGCCTGGCCAGGTGGAGAGGGGGAAAGAGGAAGGGCACCGTGGGTGTAAGATGCCTTTCTCCTCCACCCATCGAAACCAGCCACCCCTTCCCTGTGCCACCAAGACAGCCTTTTCCAGTGGCCATCCTAAGGGGAACTCCCAAATGGGTGTTGCTGGTGGACACAGATGCTCCCCCCAATGGAAGCCCCAAGCTCTGAGGTATGCGGGTAGAGGCTTTGGATAGGTTTTCTTCTGCTCCCCTCTTTTATAGATCTAGGCTGCTTGGCTGCCTGTCTTTCTAGGCAGTCCCCCTAGAGGAAAAATGTAGGAATTTATTTTTTCTTTAACTGCTGTGAACTCACTTTGAGGGGGTAGGAGGAGGGAGAAACAGCCTGTGTTTTTTATGCAATAAAGTCATCAACTACATCATGCTTCCTTTGTGTTCCAGCTCTGTTTCCTTTTTGACTCAGTGTCCCTCAGCAGTGAGGACCAGGTCTGGGCCACAGAGTGGGGTGGATGCTTCCCAGTGATCCTGCAGCCCCTTGGAAAGCCTCATGTCTATTGAGTTGGGTTGGAGCTGGGGTCTGATCCTGCCCCAGAGGTGGCTGGTACAGAAGGAGGGAGGTTCTTCCTCTGGGTTGGTACCCGGGCTGTCCCTCCCTGGTCTCATACCTGTGGTTATGAGAAGTTTCTAGATATCTCTTTCCTCTTCCACATACAAGCCCCTTCTTTCCCTTCCCCTGCTAAGAACACTGGTTCCCTCTTTCCCAGGCACTGGCTCCCTCACTCCATCCCCATAGAGGGTGCATGTCAGTCCATCCCCTGCCTGTGACTGAGCTGGGGGTGATTGGCAGTGATTACTTCACCCAGGATGATCCTTATCAGGGACAAGGCGATGAAAGGCAGCCGAGCTATCTGATGGGCTCCTGCCCAGCTGGAAAGTATGAGGGAAAGGCTCCTACTGTAGCTCACAGCTAGAGACCCACCATGGTTACACAACCACAAGGCACACAAACATACCCGCACTGGACCCACGTGCACCCGCCCCCAGAGATATGCAGAAATATCTATCTGTACACATCTTCCCAGGCCTCCCAGTGCTTGATACAAAGTTGGTGCCTAATTCACATCAAATGAGTAGAAAGCCTCATGATTCCAGAGCCCCAAAGCCAGGAAGGTTGACAGAAGATAGGTTTTGGGCTCCAAGGGGGCTGGGGGGCGGGGGTTACTATGTTCTTTCACCTTCTCATTCTACCTTTTTGCCAAAAGTATTATTTTCCCCTAGTGGGATTTCTAGATCCACCACTCTAACCCTAACCCAATTTCTCGAAGCCAAATCTGGTACTCAGGCTGGCCCATCCCATAACTTAATTTGGGATCCTGGGGTCACAACCTTTATGGCTACCTTAGGATAGGGGCATCAGAATGAATGATTTAGGGGTTGTAGAGGAAACCAGACTGGTTTGGGGCCAATTGTTTTGTTTCCACCTGCTGCTAGATTTAGAAGGCTGGGAGGAGGAAGGACAGGTGTGTTTTCCTAAGACCTTATGCCAGCCCCACTCCTCCAGGTGCCTCTTTTGTCTTCCTGGTTCTAGGGGAGTTAGACCCCAGGAACTTGGTGAGTCCCCTCCTCCTTTACCCCCATCGCTGCCCCCAGGGACAGGAGGGCAGCTGTGCGGCCGGCTGGGCCTGTCTGGGCAGGGCTGGGGCCACCCCTCCTCCCCATGCAGCTCCTCCCGCTGACCTGCATTCTTAGCAGGGGCCTTTGGTGGGGCTCTGACACTTGCTTCCTTGCTGGAAATGCTGCCTGGCTGGCCTGCCCCCCATCCCCCCCACGACGGAACCCAAAGCCACCTCTGACCCCCCTCAGATGGGGTGCCTGGCAGGAGGATCATGGATGGCCCAGGAAAGGGTTAGGGAAATCAGAACATCTGGGCTGGCTCTCTGGGTTCCTCTCCTGGGAAGTGGAAGTAGAATCTACTCCTAACCTCTAGGGTGGGTGAATGAAATAAGAAATGAGAAAGTGACAGAGAAGAAGACAGCCTGGAAACTGCAACCTGGGGGTGCGCTGTGGCCTCTCTCTGCCTCTCCTCCTGCCTGTTTCCGCCCCACAGTGGGAAGCCGGGAAACTGCAGGAGATGAACCCGCCTTCCTGCAAGCTGCTTCAGGTGCCCAGATTTCTCAGCACGCAGCTTCGATGTTTGCTTCTGGAATGACATTAATTGGCAACCTCACAATCCCTCCCCGACACTGTATCAGAAACAGCCTTCACCTTCCCATTAATCCTAGCATGACTGACCGCCAGCACCCTAGCACAGTAGGCTTGAAAGAAGGCCAAACTCCACTAAAACACTGTTAGAATTGTTTTCTTTCTTTCTTTCTTTCTTTTTTTTTTTTTTGAGACGGAGTTTTGCTCTTGTTGCCCAGGCTGGAGTGCAATGGCGCGATCTCAGCTCACCGCAACCTCCGCCTCCCAGGTTCAATCGATTCTCCTGCCTCAGTCTTCCCAAGTAGCTGGGATTGCAGGCATGTGCCACCACGCCTGGCTAATTTTGTATTTTTAGTACAGATGGGGTTTCTCCACGTGAGCCAGGCTGGTCTTGAACTCCCAACCTCAGGGGATCCGCCCACCTCAGCCTCCCAAAGTGCTAGGATTACAGGCATGAGCCACCACACCCGGCCCACTGTTAGAATTGTTAAGCAAATACAGTAAAGTCAGAGGATACAAGGTCAATGTACAAAAGTCAATAGTGTTCCTATACACTAATAACAAACTATACAAAAAAGAAATCAAGAAAATAGTCCCATTTACAATAGCTACCAAAATAATAAAATATTTAGGAATAAATTTAACCAAAGAGGTGAAAGATCTGTACTCTGAAAATAAGATATTGATGAAAGAAACTGAAGAAGACACAAAGACATGGAAAGATATTTCATGCTCACGGATTGGAAGAATTACTATTGCTAAAATGTGCATACTACTCAAAGCCATCTATAGATTCAGTGCAACCCCTAGAAGCAGATAACCTGCAGCATCTCCCCTCTCTCCATTCTGGAGGGCTCCACAGAGCAAAAGGGTGTAAGATGCATTTGTCTTAATGATGGCTATGGAGAGATGGTTTGTAGAGAAAAATGAACTGAAAATCAAAACATTTGGGATCAGAGTGTACCTCCACATGACTGTGTGTCACCTTTGGCCAAGACTTCTTTGTGGTTTCAGTTTCACTACAGGTAAAGGCACCAAATCTTTGAACTAGAAAGTTCTAAATTTCCCTTTAAAGCGATCTTCCTATGGGTTTGAGCACTATCAGACAGATAGGTCCTCTGGGATCAGATGGGTTTTGTGCACACTTTCCCTTATTTATTTATTTTAAGAGACAGGGTCTTGCTCTGTCACCGCGGCTGGAGTACCGCGGTGTGATCTTGGCTCACTGCAGCCTCAATCTCTCTGGCTCAAGAGATCCTCCCACCTCAGCCTTCAGAGCAGCTGGGACTAGAGGCACGCACCACCACGCCCAGCTAATTTTAAAATATTTTCTGTAGAGGCGAGGTCTTGCTGTGTTACCCAGGCTGGTGTTGAACTCCTGGGTTCAAGTGATCCTCCCACCACCGCCTCCCAGAGTGCTGGGATTACAGGTGCGAGCCCCCCGCACCCAGCCTCCACCACTCTCGTATTCTGTATCTTATTCCCCTAGGCGCCTCCAGCCTGGGATTGCGCCTCTGGGATTCAAACCAGGACTCAAGTATCTGAGGTTCTTCCTTAATCTCCAGATGTCCCAGCAGTCCCCTTTCTCTGACAAAGTCTCCCTTTTCACGCGGGATCCTTTCCACCCCCAGCTCCAGCTCCCCGCAGTGACTCCGTGGGGTTAGCAGCCTTTGTCAGGCCTCAAATGGGCGCCTGGGTAGGACAGGGAGCCAGGTGGGACTCGCAAGGCCGCTCTGCTCCGGGAAGTGGTGCAGGCGCGCGCCCTGGTGGAAAACGGCGGAGCTGCAGGCTCCGTTCCGGCTCCGACCCCGAGGCCGAAGGCCTTCCAGGTCACCTGAGAGTCTCCGCCCAATGGGGCGGCCCTGGCCAGAAGCGGAGGAGGTGGCACCCGGGACCGAGCTGGGGTCTTGGAGGAAGAGAGGGTGAGGGGAATACAGTACTGGGGGTGAGAGAAGGGTTGGACAGAAGAGGGTCGGGTATCTGGGCATGCGCAGGGCCGCAGGACTCTTGGTGGGGTAGCGAGGGGGACGGTCCCACGACTGCTCCGAAGGGCCGGGACTCCCAGTGGGGGCGGGACCCCCGGAGTGCCCGCCTGCGGACTCCCAAGCCTGGAGCCTGGGGAGAGGGTGGGCACCTCCGTTCCCGCACACCCGTCCATGGTGTGTGCGCCGAGCGTCCAGGAGCCACGGCGGTGTCTTCCTTGCGCGTCTTTTACACGTGTGGGGGTAGGCTGCTCCTCGGGGCTGAGCCGTGGCCAGGGTTATGGAGAGGCCCGCCTCTCCCCAGATGGCGTCGTCGAGCCCTGACTCCCCATGTTCCTGCGACTGCTTTGTCTCCGTGCCCCCGGCCTCAGCCATCCCGGCTGTGATCTTTGCCAAGAACTCGGACCGACCCCGGGACGAGGTGCAGGAGGTGGTGTTTGTCCCCGCAGGCACTCACACTCCTGGGAGCCGGCTCCAGGTGGGTTAGACTTTATGGGGTGCTGGGAGGTGTGGCAGATCTCTGCATTCTTTTAAGACCTTCTTCCCTGCTCCCCACACCTGGGAGGCTGCCAGAAGTAGTGGAAGAGCATGAGCTTTAGGTCTACCAACCTGGACCTGAGCTCATTATGTAGCCTCAGTCTACCTCAGTTTCCTCTTCTGTAAAATGGGAATGAGACCTTCCTCAAAGGGATCTATAAGGTAATTGGCAGAGTGCCACACTCGAGGGGCCGCCCCTCTATGAGTGGACGCTTCCTTTCTCCTCCCTCACCTCCAGTGCACCTACATTGAAGTGGAACAGGTGTCGAAGACGCACGCTGTGATTCTGAGCCGTCCTTCTTGGCTATGGGGGGCTGAGATGGGCGCCAACGAGCATGGTGTCTGCATTGGCAACGAGGCTGTGTGGACGAAGGAGCCAGTTGGGGAGGGGGAAGCCCTGCTGGGCATGGACCTACTCAGGTGCAGACCCTGCCCTTCCTCATCTGCCTGACACACCAGAAATCTAGGGGCTGAGTTTTGACCTGGGCCCATCCATCCCTCCCCCAGCCTGGTTCACAGGGGCCTCCTCCTCTCTGCAGACTTTGCCCTTGTGCCTTCGTGAAGAAGGCTGCAGCAGCAGCCACCTTTGGGCCTCTCCTGGCCCAGAAATAGAGCAGTGGTTATTTATTTATTTTCAGTTGAAATCTTACATAGAGTCCCAATTTATAAAACCAGTAATAGTGGATGGAGCAGCTCTGGGTGGAGAGAGGTTAGGGGCTCAGGACACTTCTCTCTCTGAAACTGTGTTTCAGGCCTTTTCATGGAACCCTCAAAGCATAGCACATGGAACCAGAGCATTGAAAGCCACTGGCATAATTGCATTTGATACGATCAGTGCCAGCAGATTTGCTGTGTGACTTGGGCCTATCACCAAACCTCTCCGGGCCTCTTCTGTCCCCTGGAGCTTCTGCCACCAGCCATTGATCCCTCTGTCACCCTTCTGTCCCTTGGCCCTCTCTTTTGCCAGGCTGGCTTTGGAACGGAGCAGCTCTGCCCAGGAGGCCTTGCATGTGATCACAGGGTTACTGGAGCACTATGGGCAGGGGGGCAACTGCCTGGAGGATGCTGCGCCATTCTCCTACCATAGCACCTTCCTGCTGGCTGACCGCACTGAGGCGTGGGTGCTGGAGACAGCTGGGAGGCTCTGGGCTGCACAGAGGATCCAGGGTGAGGTGTTCCCTTTCTCCCAGCTTTGGGAAGTGGGAGAGATGGTAGGGGCAGGGAGGGGCCCGATCCAGGTGCAAGCCTGTCAGGACATCCAGGGAGATGGGAGATGAGCCCACTTGGGAATTCTCCTCCCCTTCACTTGGTTAAGTCTTCCGTGTGCTACAGCCTGTTGCTTCCTCTGGGAAGCCTTCCTGGACTTCCCTGGGTGGTCAGGTTTCCTGCTTATATGCAAGCAGGTACTTCTTTTTCATCGCATTCAACACAGTTGCATGCTTACATTTATCTCTGTGATTATTTTGTCTGCCTCCCCCACCAAAACGTAGGCTCCATGAGGGTAGGTAGTTCTCTTCTCCACCATGTTCTCAGCACCTCGCCCAGTGCCTGGCATAGAATAGATGCTCAATGGTAAATGAACCACTCCCCGATCTCCTCCACAGAGGGGGCCCGCAACATCTCCAACCAGCTGAGCATTGGCACGGACATCTCGGCCCAACACCCGGAGCTGCGGACTCATGCCCAGGCCAAGGGCTGGTGGGATGGGCAGGGTGCCTTTGACTTTGCTCAGATCTTCTCCCTGACCCAGCAGCCTGTGCGCATGGAGGCTGCCAAGGCCCGCTTCCAGGCAGGGCGGGAGCTGCTGCGGCAACGGCAAGGTTAGTGAACGGTGGAGGGGGCTGGGGGCCAGGAGGGCCACAGCAGTGCCAGCCACTCTCCCCTCCCACAGCTTCCCCCTCTACTCCTTGGCAGGGGGCATCACGGCAGAGGTGATGATGGGCATCCTCAGAGACAAGGAGAGTGGTATCTGTATGGACTCGGGAGGCTTTCGCACCACGGCCAGCATGGTGTCTGTCCTGCCCCAGGATCCCACGCAGCCCTGCGTGCACTTTCTTACCGCCACGCCAGACCCATCCAGGTGGGAAGAATGAGGGTGGGGAAGGCTGGGGAGAAGAGAGGATCTGATATATCTCCGTGCTTCCATCTGTGCCCCTCTAGGTCTGTGTTCAAACCTTTCATCTTCGGGATGGGGGTGGCCCAGGCCCCCCAGGTGCTGTCCCCCACTTTTGGAGCACAAGACCCTGTTCGGACCCTGCCCCGATTCCAGACTCAGGTAGATCGTCGGCATACCCTCTACCGTGGACACCAGGCAGCCCTGGGGCTGATGGAGAGAGATCAGGTATCCCCCAGGGAGTAGGGGCTACCTTGAGGGGATGATAGACCTCCCCCACTCCCAGTGGGACTCTGGAAATATGAAGGAACTAGGGAGTGGAAGAGATTTCAGAGCTGGGGAGAGGAGTTCCTCCCTTCAAAGCCAGCAACTGCCTTTGGGGAATGTCGGGGGGTATCTCCTTTCTCCTGCTTGTGTGAGGTGGTACACAGTCCCCCCTTCACCTGGCGGGAAGCCTGTCCCGGACAGACTCATCTCAGCTTTCCCTTGGGGCAGGATCGGGGGCAGCAGCTCCAGCAGAAACAGCAGGATCTGGAGCAGGAAGGCCTCGAGGCCACACAGGGGCTGCTGGCCGGCGAGTGGGCCCCACCCCTCTGGGAGCTGGGCAGCCTCTTCCAGGCCTTCGTGAAGAGGGAGAGCCAGGCTTATGCGTAAGCTTCATAGCTTCTGCTGGCCTGGGGTGGACCCAGGACCCCTGGGGCCTGGGTGCCCTGAGTGGTGGTAAAGTGGAGCAATCCCTTCACGCTCCTTGGCCATGTTCTGAGCGGCCAGCTTGGCCTTTGCCTTAATAAATGTGCTTTATTTTCTCTTCAGTGAACTTTATCCCAGGACCAGTGGGGGTGGGAGAGCCAAGTGAGGCCCAAAGGCAGCTGTGGGCTGGCTGCGGGGCCTGTGGTTGTGTACTCATTCCTATGAGTGGGTGAGTGATGGGGACTGGGCAGGAGGACAGGGAGGGGACAGGAGCTGGCTGCTGTTGGGGATGACTAGGACCACAGCTCCTTGGTCCTTGGCTTGGACCGGGGAAGGGCACTCGCTAGGGGTGGCAGTGAGATGGCATGCCTCTTCCATGAGGTGGTGCCCGCTTCCTGCCCAAGTGGGAGCCAGGAAGCCAGCGGGGGCCTGAGGCATGCCTGCCCTGTGGGTAGCTCCCGAAAGATTCCAGACTCGCTCTTTAGAATCAGGTGGCTCACTGAGCTCTGTATTTTGTTTCCTGGAGCTTTCACTGGTTTCTTCCCCTGAGATACCCCAAGTGACATGAAAAGCATACTCAGGGCCTAGAGACACTTTACTGGGGATGGGCTTCTGTCACAGGTCAGAGGTCTGAGAAGAGGGGCAGGCCCCACTCCTCTCCACTAGTAGAGAAAGGTTGACAGAGAATCATTTCTTGCTTCTCTTGGCCGTAGTTTTGGTTGTGCTGGGGGCCTCAGCCACAGAGGCCTTGGGGGCTGTGGCTGCTCGTGCCCCCTTCCTTCCCCAGAAAGAGCTTTGGTGGCCCCTGGGAATCAGACTGCATGGTTTCTTGGTGGGAGAGGAGGCCTGGGGTGAGGAGACGGCCTCAGGGACTGTCTCCTCCCCTTGCGCAGGAGTGGCAGAAGGGCTGCTGTCCCCAGCCATGGGCACCCCAGGTAGCAGGGGCAGGTCGGTGAGGGTGGGCTGCATCTCCATCCTCAGCAGGTGCTCTGTCAGGGCCGTCTGTTGCCGGTGCTCCCTGTGCCTGCTCAGCTCCTGCTCCAGCTCCTTGAGGAAGCCTGGGAGGGGCCGGGGGTGGAGGGTACAGGGTGGGTGGAGCCCTGGGCTCAGCAGGAGGGTCCCTGGGCTCAGGGAAGTCTCTGGCTGGCCCCTTGTCCCTTGTGGGAAGGAGCCTGAGGCTGGGGCCCAGGACTGACACCTGGCTCTGGCCCAGATGTTGATCTGAACTTGGGGCTCCCCTCCCCGGACGCCACTGCCACCTTAGCTTCCCTCATGTCCCACAGGGCAGAGGTGGGCTCTGGGGAGGCTGAAAACCTTGGAAAGCAGGGTCACCTCGTTCTGAGCAGAATGGGCCACTCAGCTCTGGGAACTCCTCATCGCTTGAGGCTTCATCCTCCTCATCCGAAATCCAGCGCTCCACCACAGGCTGCCCGTCCAGGTCCAGGAGAAGTGGCAGGGCTTCTGTCACCAGCTCGCTGCAGAGCAGAAGGAGCAGAGGTTACCCAGGAGGGCACCCTGGCGTGGAGGATGCAAAGACACGCACCACAGCACTCACACCCGGAGGGGTGGTGGCTCATGAGCTAGGTAGGAGGTGGGGGAGAAGGTGTCATGGACAGGACCCCAGGTTTGCAGGCTGAGAGGGGTCTGGGCTGAGTTAGCAGGTAGAGCTCAGCCATGACCTTTCTTCCCACCCTCCACTCCTTACCGGTAGCCATCCTGGTTGGTGCAGCTGTTTCCAGACAGGTTGAGGATGAGAAGGCTCTGGGGGAACTCATCTGCACACAGCAAAGAGAGAGGAAATGGGGTTCTCACTTGATCTTAGCCAAAAGACCATGAAGCGATGGGAATGGGGTTCTCATACCCACTTTCTAGTCCAAAGCCAGTACCTCTAGGCACAACCCCTTGAACTCCCTGAGGATGAAATGTGGACCTGCAGGGGCATGGCTAATAGAAGCATGGGCAGATGGGTGCAGAGGGGAGGGCAGGCCCCACAGGGGATGTGTTTGGTGAGCCAGGGCGAGTGGGTTCCTACCCAGCTTCAATGTTTCTATCAGGTTCTCAGAAAGGTCCAGAAACTGGAGGCATGGGAGGTCGAGGAGGTTTTCCACCTGCCTGATTTGGTTTCCTGCCAGAGACAGGAAGCTGTAGGGGAAGGAAGGGGTACAGAGGCAGAGCTGAATCATGGAACAGCTGGAAGAAAAGAGGAGGGCACCTGACACCGGGGCCCCTGGGCTAGGCAGCTGATGACCAGTGGGGACACATGGCCTTCTGGGGTGAGGGAGTAGATCTAGGCTTGCTGGTCCTTGACTGACAAGGACCCAGGCTTGGAGAAATCTGAACCAGTTCTTTGGGATATGGCTAGGTTCCCCCAACCCCTCTTCCCCTGCCTGAGCCCTGGCACCACATACCGCAAGGAGGGGATGCAAGCCAGGTTCTCAATTTGCTGGATCTTATTCTGCAAGAAGAAACCGAAGTGGGGAAACCAAGCTGAGATCAGATGCGTCAGGGGCCCTTTACGGGGACAAAGCCCCAAGACCATGTCTACTCTGCAGCTGGAGATCTGGCACTTTGGGAATGATCACCCCACTCCTTGAACAGGTTGCCACTACCTTAAGAAAGATGATTTTCTTTCCCCATGTGGATGGTTAAGGGTGTAAACCTGGGGTATCTAAACCTGACTACGTATACTCTTCTGATTCCACAACCAAAGAGTGACCTGGGAATCAGAAAAGGAAACTAAGAAGCCACCAGGAAAACGGAAAGGGCCTTGGTGGTGGCTTGCATACACAGAGAGAACAATGAGCATACAGGAACTTGACGGTTAAAGTTTCTATGGGGAAAGTTGAAGCGAGCTGGGAATACTCAACCAGGGGAAGGCTGAAGATCAACCAACCACCACCACCACCACCAAACAGCCTTCAAGTAGGATCTGAATGATGTACAGGAATCTTCATAGTTTCCTCTTCTTCAAAACAGGAAATGGGCTGGAGCTATTTAACGTGAAAGATTTAGAGTAGATGCCAAAAAGAACTTCTAGATCAAGAGAAGTGCCTAAAGAACAGTGGAAGGAGCACAGGTCATGTTCAGGATCTATTTTGAGGGAATTAGTTTTTCAATTCAGGACCCTATGTCATTCGTCTGGGAATGGTTTAAATGAAGGTCTGCCTGCCTGAACACCAGGGAATGGGCAGGATGACCTGGTTGGCTCCTTTCAGATGAGACAGATTAGGTCCACAGGGGTCAAGGGGAGGGGAAGGGTGGAGAAAGAAGTTACCCCTTGCAGATAGAGACTGTGAAGATTCTGGAGGCCTTCTAAGTTCCTGATAGTAGTAATCCCCTCCCGGTCCAGGCGGACAGTCTGCAGTTCATCAAGAGTGTGAAACCTGGGAAAAGAGTCAGTAAGGGTGGTGTTAGAGCACCACTCATGTGGTCTCTTAGCAGGGAGGATGGGAGACGGAGGAGGGAAGGGGTTTCAAGGAGGGGTAGTTGGCTGAGTCATTTTAATCAGATGTGAGAAACATCTTGACATCTTGAGGTGGTGTCTAGATCATGAAACCGGCTTGACTTGCAGACTCGTATCTCTATTGTTAGCACTGGGAAGGGTGAGAGAGAGGAGTAAGGGCCCTCTGGGAAATTGGGGGATGGCAGCTTATGGTTTCTGGAGAGATTCAGAGGCAAGAGAAACCTTCCTCTGGCCAGCTTGGATGGTGGAGGCAGGGGTGGGACAGAGATGAGACACTGCAGAAAGATCCTTCCTCACCTTCCTTTTGAGTCGTTCATGGAGAAAAAAGCACTTGTTCCATCCACCCATTCATTCATTCCACAACATTGCTGAGTGCCTACTAGAGACAAATGACAGAGTCTCTGCCCACCACTAATAAAGAAGCAGGGCAGGCTGACCATGGTGGCTTACCCTGTACTCCCAGCACTTTGGGAGGCCGAGGCAGGAGGATCGCTCGAGCCCAGGAGGTCGAGGCTGCAGTGTGCCATGATTATGCCACTGCACTTCAGCCTGGGTGACAGAGCAAGACCCTATGTCATAAAAAAAAAAAAAAAAGAGGCTGGGCGAGGTGGCTCACTGTAATCCCAGCACTTTGGGAGGTCGAGGTGGGTGGATTGCCTGAGGTCAGGAGTTCAAGACCAGCCTGGCTAACATGGTGAAACCCCATCTCTACTAAAAATACAAAAAAAATTAGCCGGGTGTGGTGGCGCACACCTGTAGTCCCAGCTACTCGGGAGGCTGAGGCTGGAGAATCGCTTCAACTCAGGAGGCAGACGTTGCAGTGAGCCGAGATCACACCATTGCACTCCAGCCTGCGCAACAGAGTGAGACTCCGTCTCAAAAAAAAAAAAAAAAAATAGGAAGAAGGCCAAACATCTATGACAAGTGGATAACAGAGGCAAGTACAGGGGAAAGGAAGAAGGAGGAGGAAGAAGGGAAAGAAGGAGGAAGAGGAAGAAGAAAGAAAGAAAGAAAGAATAAGGCCAAACATCCCTGACAAGTGGATAACAGAAGCAAGTACAGGGGACAAAGGGAGTACATAGGCTGTGCACTAAATTCACAGTAGGAGGAATCAGGGAATGCTTCCTAGAGGAGGTGACAGATGAGTAGGCATTAGCCATGAAGGTGGGGGGATATGGGGAGAAGGCATTTCAAGCAGAAGGAATAGTACATGCTAATACAGCCCTTCCGAAACTCCAATATGCCCATGCAGATTCTAATTCAGTAGATCGGGTGGAGGGGCTGAGATGCTCCACTTCTAACAAGCCCCCTGTGATGCCAATGCTGCTGTCCTACCCCTGCACCCCCTCCCATCCACACATACTCTGAGTAGTAAGGTACTAAGGTGTGAGTACACAGTGTGGGAAATTGTACACTTGTGGAGAGTGGCCAGAAATAAGGCTGAAAAGCAGAAGTCAACTCATGCTTAGGCATTGGGATTTATTTGGGAGGAAGTTTCTATCAGTGAATGCCTGATTAGATTTGTTATTTAAAAGGATCACTTTGGCTACTCAGGAGGCTGAAGTGGGAGGATTGTTTGAGGAGTTCAAGACCAGTCTGGCCAACAGAGCAAGACCCCATCTCTAAAAAAGTAATTAAAAATACTTTACTTTTTGTTTGTTTTAGAAATAGGGTCTCACCCTGTTGCCCAGGCTGGCATGCAATGGCATGATCATAGCTTACTGCAGCCACAGGTACCTGGGTTCAAGTGATCCTCCTGTCTCAGCCACCTAGGACTACAGGTGTGCACCACCATGCTCAGCTAGTTTATTTTTATTTTTTAGAGATAGGATTCTGTCTCTATTGCCCAGGCTGGTCTCAAACTCCTGGGCTCAAGTGATCCTCCTGCCTCAGCCTCCCAAAGTGGTGGGTGTGTAGGAGAGAGGTGAACACGGCCTTATCTAAGACAGTTGAGTGAGGATGGTGAAAAAGAAATGGAATTATTTTGAAGAAGGGAAAATCAGCTGGGCATTACCACTGATTGAATGTGTGGAGTAAGGAGAGAAACAAAGATCAGTTGACAAATCAGTACACGTCAGGGACCTGGTCATCCTGAGTGTTTCAGCCTTCTAGCACCCCTTTTCTCCCCCATGCACTCACATCTT
This sequence comes from Homo sapiens, assembly GCF_000001405.40. Lineage (NCBI taxonomy): Eukaryota > Metazoa > Chordata > Mammalia > Primates > Hominidae > Homo > Homo sapiens. Next base: position 47,832,200 of record NC_000017.11, on the reverse strand, counting down.
CTCTGACAGTTCCCCATCTTCAGGGAAAGTCAAGTTCCGCTTAGTGATAAGGGCTTCAGTGATGCAGACGCCCCCTTCCTCTGGACCCTGGGCTGACTTCCCTGTGAAAAGATGAGTCCAACTGTGACACTTCCTCACTCTTGGAGGCCTTACCCCGCTGTTTTCCAACTGCTCTACCCACCGTCCCACCTCCCTACTCACCTCCAGACATGATCTAAAATAAAAGGCTGCTGGTCTGAGGCGGGAGAGGAACGAAAAGAGAGGTCTTGGCGGCCCCTAAGGATGGCAGAACTCAGGATGGCAGGAGGAGAGAGAAACTCAGAGACTTAGGAGAGGAGGAAAGGGGGTTGATTCAGAGAAAATTGCTGGGGTGAGGTCGAAGAAAACAGTAAATTGATGTGAAGGGTCTGGAGTTTGAGGGGTGTGGAGGGGCTTTGCTGGCAGCAAGCTGGGGTGTTGTGGGCAGGAATGGTTGAGAAAGGAGCAGTTCCTAGGAAGCCGGAGTCGTTGCTAAGAGACTGGACGCCGAGTGGGGAGGTAAAGGCGGGCTCCGTTGGCCCGGCCTAGCGCATGCGTCTTACGGCTACAGCCGGCGGGTACGCCCACTGCTTCCGGCCCCGGGGTTCGCTACCCCACAATCCTTAGCTCTTTCCGTCTCCACTCGGCTTCCGTCCATTCTTCCGGTGGAGATGGCTGCGGCCGTGGCGGGGATGCTGCGAGGGGGTCTCCTGCCCCAGGCGGGTAAGGAGTGGCCCAGGTCCTCACGGCGTGTCTTGCGGCCGCTCTCTAGTCCTCATCTGCCCTCCTCTACTACTGATTCTTCCCATAATCTCTGACCCCAGCTAGATCGCTGGCCTCCTTACCCCGTCCAGTTCCTTGTGACTCGACTGGTAATCACAGCAACAACGTCCAGATGTTGTCTGTCTCCAGCGTTTCTTTTGCCTGGACCACTCCTCGCCCAGACCTTTGCATTATGTCTCCATCTTAATGTGTCAGTCTAAATGTCACCTCAGGTCTTCCCTTGACTCCTTAGCCCCGTCGCAATCTGTAATTTTGCATTTGTTTAGTTGCTTGTTTCCTCTATTAAACTCCGCAAGGGCAGAACCATGTTCATTCAGCATAGCCAGCAGGTGGCATGGTGCTGGATGTTAGTAAGCGTGCGGTAGATATTTGTTTAGTGAATGGATTTGAGCACTTAATATAGGCCAGGCACTGTGATAACTATTTTTATATGTGTTAGCTCATTTAAATCTTTTAAATCATTTAAATCTAAAGCACCCTGTGAGAAAGACATTCGCATCTCCTCTTTACAGACGCAGCAACTGAAGTTCAGACCAGTTGGGTGGCCAAGGTCACAGCTAGTAATTGGCGGAAGAGAGATTAAAATCCAGTTTCGGCTGGGCGCGGTGGCTCACGCTTGTAATCCCAGCACTTTGGGAGGCTGAGGCGGAGGGAACACCTGAGGTCAAGAATTTGAGACCAGCTTGGCCAACATGGCGAAACCCCAACTCTACTAAAAATACAAAAATGAGCCGGGTGTGGTGGCGCGTGCCTGTAGTCCCCGCTACTCAGGAGGCTGAGGCGTGAGAATCGCTTACACCCAGGAGGCAGAGGTTGCAGTGGGCCGAGATCGCATTGCTGCACTCCAGCCTGGGCAACAGAGCGAGACTCCATCTCAAAAAAAAAAAAAATCCAGTTTAATTTGATTCCAAAGCCTGCCTGCAGTCTTAACAGTTAGGTTTTGTGGCTGCTGGCAATAAGACCTCTTACCCCAGCAAATATCCATACTCTCTGACTGTTAGAGCCGCCTTCTATCTGGACCTTTTTCTGAGGTCACATCCCAGTCTTGGAAATGACTGAAAGTGGGAAGTTCTAGTCTTGGCCCTTGTGTTGAGGATTAAGTGGTCACTTTGTCTCAGGGCTTTTGAGTGCCTCCCTTGTTTTCTGTGGGGTGCTCTGTAGCATTATCTGTAAACAGGAAGAGAGGAGGAAAGAGAAACTTGTCTGAGAGCTGTGAGAATGGTGTAACATTTTTTTCTCCTCTTCAAATCATAGGACAGGGTGTCAGAGCAGCGGTTAGAGTGGTGGTTTTCAAACTTTAGCATGCGTCAGCATCACCAGGAGGGCTTGTTAGAACACTATTTGTGACCCGTCTTGGTAACATAGTGAAACCTGGTCTCTACAAAACAAAACAAACAAAAAACACTATTTGCTAGGCTCCACCCCAGAATTGCTGATTCAGTAGGTCTAGGCAGGGCCTGAGAATTTATGTTTATTTTTCTTTCTTTCTTTCTTTTTTTTTTTTTGAGACAGTCTTGCTCTGTCACCCAGGCCGGAGTGCCGGAGTGCAATGGCACAATCTCGGCTCACTGCAACCTCTGCCTCTTGGGTTCAAGCAATTCTCATGGCTCAGCCACCTGAGTAGCTGGGACTACAGGTGTGTGCCACCACGCCTGGCTAATTTTTGTAGTTTAGTTAGAGACGGGGTTTCACCATGTTGGCCAGGTTGGTCTTGAATTCCTGACCTCAAGTGAGCTGCCCACCTTGGCCTCCCAAAGTGTTGGGATTACAGGCGTGAGCCACCACACCCAGCAAAATTTCTAACAAGCTCTCAAATGATGCTGATGTTGCTGGTTGGGGTGGAGGTGGGGCATACCTTGAGAGCCACTAGATTAGACCAGGGGTTGGCGTATTATGGCAGGGCCAGTCACTGTGTTTTATAAAATTCTATTGGTACATAGTTTCTGCTGTCTCTTTAAATATTGTCTGTGGCTGCTTTTGGCAGAGTTGAGCATTAGAGACAGATTACATGGGCCCCAAACTTAAAATATTTACTGTTTGACCATTTTAAGAAAAAGTTTATTTAACCTTATCCCCTTTTTCTTTCTCTCTCTCTCTCTCTCTTTCCTTCCTTCCTTCCTTCCTTCTTTTTTTTTCTGAGACGGAGTCTTACTCTGTGCCCAGGCTAGAGTGCAGTGGCATGATCTCGGCTCACTGCAACCTCCACCTCCCGGGTTCAAGCGATTCTCCTGCCTCAGCCTCTCAAGTAGCTGGGATTACAGGTATACACCACCACACCTGGCTAATTTTTGTATTTTTAGTAGAGATGGGGTTTCACTGTGTTGGCCAGGCTGGTCTCAAACTCCTGACCTCAAGTGATCTCGCCCGCTTCGGCCTACCAAAGTGCTGGAATTACAGGTGTCAGCCACCACACTCAGCCCCCACTTTTCTTAATGTGTTCAAAATATTTTCTCCTTTGTTCTCATTTTTTTCTCACATTTCTGCACATTGAGAAGAGCTAGAGAAATGGTAGCCTCAAGAGATTAAGTAATTGACCTCGGGTCACTTACTGAAAGAGAAGCTTTGGAAATTCAGGACTTTTGTCAGACAATTCCTTGTCCCACTCTTGTGTTGAGTCTAGCTCTGTGAGCTGTGCTTTTCTCTGCTAGAGGGTGTGTTTTTTCTCCATTTGGGATAAACTAGGGCCTCCAGGAGGTTGCCTCTAACCATGTTGCTATATGCCCTCCCAGGCCGGCTGCCTACCCTCCAGACTGTCCGCTATGGCTCCAAGGCTGTTACCCGCCACCGTCGTGTGATGCACTTTCAGCGGCAGAAGCTGATGGCTGTGACTGAATATATCCCCCCGAAACCAGCCATCCACCCATCATGCCTGCCATCTCCTCCCAGCCCCCCACAGGAGGTAAGGAGGAATTTGGGTACATGTCACTTGGTGGTGGGATGGTGGATTAAAGTAATCTTGTCTCTGGCCATAGTGAAGTAGGACACTCAGCCATTGTCATGCACGTCATTATTTCAGTTTGACTGCCTGATCCAGATATTTTAAGATGAAATCCGCACTTGATTCTGTATTGGCTTTTGGGCTCTGGATTGGGTGGGCCTCCTGAATTTCCTTCTTGTCTCCAAAAATGTGTGTGTGAGAGCTACCCTAGCAGGTGGGGCTGGGGAGAGTATCTCTCCAATCTTTTTTTTTTTTTTTGAGATGGAGTATCGCTCTTGTTGCCCAAGCTGGAGTACAATGGCGCGATCTTGGCTCACTGCAGCCTCTGCCTCCCAGGTTCAAGTGATTCTCCTGCCTCAGCCTCCTGAGTAGCTGGGATTACAGGCATGTACCACCATGCCTGACTAATTTTTGCATCTTTAGTAGAGACAGGGTGTCACCATGTTAGCCAGGATGGTCTTGATCTCCTGACCTCGTGATCTGCCTGCCTCGGCCTCCCAAAGTGCTGGGATTGCAGGCATGAGCCACCCTGCCTGGCCATTTTTTTTTTTTTTTTTTTTTTTTTTTGTGAGACAGAGTCTCTGTCACCCAGGTTGGTGTGCAGTGGGACACTCTTGGCTCATCGCAACCTCTGCCTCCTGGGTTCAAGCGATTCTCTGCCTCAGCCTCCTGAGTAACTGGGATTATAGGCACATGCCACCATGCTCAGCTAATTTTTTGTATTTTTAGTAGAGATGGGGTTTCGCTATGTTGGTCAGGCTGGTCTCGAACTCCTGACCTCAAGCAATCCACCTGCCTTGGCCTCCCGAAGTGCTGGGATTATAGGCATGAGCCACCGCGCCCAGCCAAGTTTCTCAATTTTAAACTAACACTGCAAAAGAGTTATATTTATGATTGGCAAAATAATTCAACATGAGTACAGTGTCAGATTGATAATTGAAATAATTTTAGCAATATTATTGTCAAGCACTGTTGACTAGGGCAGACTGCAGGCCTGTTTTCGGGGGAGTGGATCTGAGCATCCTCAGGTTTGAAAAACACTGCTAAAGACTGCAATTATCTAATGAAAGTGAAAAGGTTAGAGTAGTGGGAGATGTTACATGTCTCTGAGAGTCAGAGGCCCAGTTATCCTACTTGTTCCCCGATCTTTTGCACATCTGGACATCACTGGAAGCCCTAGAACCTACCACAGAGGGAGCAACGTTGCCAGGAGAAGTGGCAGCTGATGTACCCTTGGTCATTGCTTTCCAACTTCAGGAGATAGGCCTCATCAGGCTTCTCCGCCGGGAGATAGCAGCAGTTTTCCAGGACAACCGAATGATAGCCGTCTGCCAGAATGTGGCTCTGAGTGCAGAGGACAAGCTTCTTATGCGACACCAGCTGCGGAAACACAAGATCCTGATGAAGGTCTTCCCCAACCAGGTAGGGAGCAGGCCCCTTGGCATGGGTTGCCCATCTTCCCCCCACCCCCACCAGACTCAGACCTCACCATCTGCTCCCCAGTGATGATACTTCTTACTCCTCCTCTCCATGAGTCACCCTCTAATCTGGTGTCTAACCTATGATTAGGGGCTGAGAAGACCCTTGGGTTGCACCCTCAGCCTAATGTGGCCCATGACCCACGAGGTAGCTCTTCCTCCCACTTGTCCCCGATAAGCCATTTTTCCCTGCTGTTCCCAGGTCCTGAAGCCCTTCCTGGAGGATTCCAAGTACCAAAATCTGCTGCCCCTTTTTGTGGGGCACAACATGCTGCTGGTCAGTGAAGAGCCCAAGGTCAAGGAGATGGTACGGATCTTAAGGACTGTGCCATTCCTGCCGCTGCTAGGTGAGCAAGCACCCCTGCCAGTTAGGGGTGGGGTGAAGAGGGGCCTGCTGCCATCTGCTAGGCTTGTCTTGGTAAAACCGTGAACGTTCTTGGAGAGAGCATCCTTTCACGGATGGAGCCTGAGTAAACAGCACATTTATTGAGGGCCGACTGTCACTCCCACACCTGTGTTGTCTCACTACCCCAGGTCACTTCTGCACTGGAGGGAAGACTAGGAAAGGCAGACATGGAGCAGGGAGAGAAAATTTAGATACCTTGAGTCTAACAGTGGGGTAGTAGGTGCTGAAACCCTCACAGATGAAGATATTTAATACAAGTAGCCCAAGTAAAGGGTGCCGAGGGCCAGTGACCAGTGTTTCCCAGACTCCCCTGATGCTGACTCACTTAAGGGGCAGAGAATACTGCACATGTCCTTGGAAATCCAGATTTCACAGGTCTCTGTAGGGAGGGGGCGGGACAGGAATCTGATTTTTTTTTTTTTTTTTTTTTTGAGATGGAGTCTCACTCTATCACCTAGGCTGGAGTGCGGTGGCACAGTCTCAGCTCACTGCAACCTCTGTCTCCTGGGTTCAAGCAATTCTCCTGCCTCAGCCTCCTGAGTAGCTGGGATTACAGGCACCTGCCACCACGCCCAGCTAATTTTTTTTTTTTCGTATTTTTAGTAGAGATGGGGTTTCACCGTGTTGGCCAGGCTGGTCTTGAACTCCTGACCTCAGGTGATCCGCCACCTCAGCCTCCCAAAGTGCTGGGGTTACAGGCATGAGCCACCGCTCCTGGTGAATCTGTGATTTTAATACCCCCTCAACACTCCATGATATTTATTCAATTTTTTAATTGTAAAATACACACAAAATTTACCATCTTAACCATTTTAAATGTACAGTTCCGTGTTAAGTACATTCATAATGCTATGCAACATCACCACCATCCATCTCCAGAACGTTTTGTCTTCTAACAGTGAAACTCTACACCCATTAAACAATAGTTCCCCGTTACTTCCCTCCATTCCATGATTCAGGGTCTCACTCCCATTGCCCAGGCTGGAGTGCAGTGGTCCGGTCATGGCTCACAGCAGCCTGGACCTCCTTGGCTTAATCCATCCTCCCACCTTAACTTCCTAAGTAGCTGGGACTACAGGCGCATGCCACCATGTCCAGCTAATTTTTGTATTTTTTGTATTTGTATTCACCATGTTGCCCAGGCTTGTCTTGAACTGCTAGTTTCAAGCAATTATGCCACCTTGGCCTCCTGAAGTGTTGGGATTACAGGCGTTTTCCACTGCACCCAGCCTGATTCTTTGTTTTTTTGAGACGGAGTTTCGCAGTTGTTGCCCAGGCTGGAGTGCAATGGCGTGATCTCAGCTCACTGCAACCTCCGCCTCCCAGGTTTAAGCGATTCTCTTGCCTCAGCCTCCCAAGTAGCTGGGATTACAGGTGCTTGCCACCATGCCTGGCTAATTTTTGTATTTTTAGTAGAAACGGGGTTTCACCATGTTGGCCAGGTTGATCTCAAACTCCTGACCTCAGGTGATCCACCGACCTTGGTCTCCCAAAGTGCTGGGATTACAGGCTTGAGCCACCGTACCCAACCTCATCCTGATTCTTTTTTTTTTTTTTTTTTTTGAGACGAAGTTTTGCTCTTGTCACCCAGGCTGGAGTGCAATGGCACGATCTCAGCTTACTGTAACCTCTACCTCCCGGGTTCAAACGATTCTCCTGCCTCAGCCTCCCGAGTGGCTTGGATTACAGGCGCTCGCCACCATGCCTGGCTAATTTTTGTATTTTTAGTAGAGACGGGGTTTCTCCATGTTGGCCAGGCTGGTCTTGAACTCCTGACCTCAGGTGATCTGCCTGCCTCAGCCTCCCAAAGTGCTGGGATTACAGGCATGAGCCACCACACCTGGCTGCCTGATTCTTATTTACAAGGAAGTTTAGGAAACACTGACTTAATAGGGGTCAGGGCCAGGTGGATATATTAAGAGTTTTCTGAGGGAAGAGTGAAGAAGTAGGGATCGATCCCAAGCAGAGTGGGTGTGGTGTGGGGCACAGTGGAACCCAGGTCCTGGGGAAGGCAGGATTTTGAGAAGGGCAATGGAGAGCAAGTTACTAGGGTCAGAATATTGTTTTCAGAGAAGAAAGGCAATCTGCAAGGAGCCTAACTGACCCTGTGTTCTTCCAGGTGGCTGCATTGATGACACCATCCTCAGCAGGCAGGGCTTTATCAACTACTCCAAGCTCCCCAGCCTGCCCCTGGTGCAGGGGGAGCTTGTAGGAGGCCTCACCTGCCTCACAGCCCAGACCCACTCCCTGCTCCAGCACCAGCCCCTCCAGCTGACCACCCTGTTGGACCAGTACATCAGAGAGCAACGCGAGAAGGATTCTGTCATGTCGGCCAATGGGAAGCCAGATCCTGACACTGTTCCGGACTCGTAGCCAGCCTGTTTAGCCAGCCCTGCGCATAAATACACTCTGCGTTATTGGCTGTGCTCTCCTCAATGGGACATGTGGAAGAACTTGGGGTCGGGGAGTGTGTTTGTCACTTGGTTTTCACTAGTAATGATATTGTCAGGTATAGGGCCACTTGGAGATGCAGAGGATTCCATTTCAGATGTCAGTCACCGGCTTCGTCCTTAGTTTTCCCAACTTGGGACGTGATAGGAGCAAAGTCTCTCCATTCTCCAGGTCCAAGGCAGAGATCCTGAAAAGATAGGGCTATTGTCCCCTGCCTCCTTGGTCACTGCCTCTTGCTGCACGGGCTCCTGAGCCCACCCCCTTGGGGCACAACCTGCCACTGCCACAGTAGCTCAACCAAGCAGTTGTGCTGAGAATGGCACCTGGTGAGAGCCTGCTGTGTGCCAGGCTTTGTGCTGAGTGCTGTACATGTATTAGTTCCTTTACTGCTGACCACATTGTACCCATTTCACAGAGAAGGAGCAGAGAAATTAAGTGGCTTGCTCAAGGTCATGCAGTTAGTAAGTGGCAGAACAGGGACTTGAACCAAGCCCTCTGCTCTGAAGACCGCGTCCTGAATTTCTTCACTAGAGCTTCCTCATCAGGTTACCCAGAAGTGGGTCCCATCCACCATCCAGGTGTGCTTGGATGTTAGTTCTCCACCCTCGAGGTGTACGCTGTGAAAAGTTTGGGAGCACTGCTTTATAATAAAATGAAATATATTCTACTTCCTTTATTTTGTGGTTTACACGGTTGTCCTCCCTCTAAACTTACTCTCAGGGGCTTCTCTGTCATCTGACTTTCCTCACTCTTGCTTCCCTTCCTAGGAAAATCCTCTTCCCCTATACCTGTTCCCACAAATGGCATCCCGCGCATGCTTGCCCTATTAAAGGCAGCTGACAGCTGTACCCACTAGCTAACGTGTCTCTGGTGGTTCTGGACAAAAGGCCTGCGGGAAAACTAGGATTCTCTATTAATGGGGAATTCTGAGAGCTCTAGGGTAGGAGGCCTCATGCAAGTCTTCATGAACCAGAAATTCCTAATAAAGGAGACGGGATGCTTAACTCAGAGTCCACCATCATCCTTGACTGGAGCACATTCTGGGTGGATGCAGGGGTGACCCGGGGAAGGTGGCTGTTCAACATTCCTTCTCGGACTTGAAGCAATGCCACCGCTTCCTTAGTCTTGGACAGGCACTGTCTGGCAGGGATGACCTGCAGCAGCTCTTTTGTGGCCTGGGCCAGGACCAGCTTCCCCCAGTGCCTCATCCTGTGCTGTATGCCCAGGGATGTTCAATCACTGGGAAGTGGCTTAAAAGGCCCTTGAGGCTCCTGGATGCCAGAGCTTGTCTGGTCAGTGCTGCCCAGTGCTCCTGTCCCTCCCAGAACCCTGCCAGGTGCTAACAACACCCTCCTCCTGGGGTGGCTGGAGCAGCACTGAGGCTCTGAATAAAGGCAAGACAGTGGGTGTTCCCGAGAGATATGTGAGACCCTGAAACGTAAACCAAGCTCGGTGAGGATGAAGTGGAAGGGATAAGTGGCCCATGTCACTTTTGGGGTCAGAGAAGAAACTTGAATCACATCCTTCACCTGAGGCCCCACCTACTTCTTTCCAGAAAACTTAGCTGCGCTTGAAACTGTAGGTCTATGCCACATTCATTTGAATGAATTTTAGATCTTTGTTAAGAGCCGATTTTTCATTAGAATTGAGCAGCTGGGCACAGTACTCCAGCAGAAGGGTAAAGGGAAGGGAGGGGACCAGCATTGCAGCCCTTTTAACGGCAGCTGTGACTGCCCCAGGCCTGCTCCTGATCAGAGACTGCAGGCTGTGGGGTGTCTTCATACACACAAGCACTTTCAGATCTCCATGGGGCCTGACCTAGTGGGGCATCACCCCAGTGAAGGGCCTCAGTGTGGGGACTGCTGGCTGTCCCTTTCCTGGCTTGACTGCCCCTGCTGACTGTGCTCTTGGCACTCTCTTATGGTCCCAGAGGGGGCATCTGTCCCTCCACCATCAACCTGATACTTTTGCTGGCTCCAAATTTTGCAGTCTATTTTCAGATGTAAAATGAGAGGCGGGGGGCGGGGGTTAATTAGGAATTGGCCTTGGGTACTAACAGGGTCACTGCCATGCTAGTCTGAATAAATCCTTTATCACCACTGGCGTACAGCCAACAGTTCCCCAGTCCTCTGATCTATCTGGAACCATGCCCAGCAGGGACTGTGCCCCCACTCCCAAGCCACATCGATGCTAGGGCAGTCTGCTCAGCCCTGAGTCCTCCGGGGAGCAGGGGGGCAGAGCTGAGCGGCTGCCCGGAGCTTGGCGGGAGGAGGGGACAGGGGAGAGGGAGGTGGGGAGATCCGGCTAGAGGGGAGGCTCTGACATCTCCTTCCTTCCTGGTTCCTGCAGCAGCTGCTGCCACTGCTCAGCGCGGTGAGGAGGGAGCCGGTGACTCGGAGACGGTGACTCAGAGGCAGAGCGGCGCAAGGGCCAAGGAGTACTGGCGTCCATGGACCCTGGGGTAAGGGGGCTGCGTGGCAGCAGCTGACATTCCTGAGAAGAGCTTCCTCCCACCTGAAGCTGGTGGGTCTGCTCCTGAATAGAGGTGGAGAGGGGGCACCCACCTGGCTCACCTAGACCCTTCACCTGCCTACCGATAGAGCCTCCCCCTCTACCCACAAGCAGTGAGGGGCCAGGATCCCCACAGGGCCGGGAGAAGGGCCCAGAGATACCTGAACACCGGAAGAGTTTGAGAACTTTCAATGGCTGAATGCAGGAGTTTCCTCCCAGGTCAGCCTCTTGCAGCAAGGGTCCCTCTGCCCCAACCTCCTGGGCACCCGTTCCTGCCACATCCCTGTCCCCTCTGGGCCTCAGTTCCTCAGGTGCTTGCTAGCTCCATTAGAAGATCTGGGCTGCTTCCCCCACCTCAAACCAGCCTCGCCCCTCCAGTCCCCTCCCCCGTCTCACACATGCAGAGCCTCATGCATTATTGATCTCCCGGTGGAGCCAGGATGGCCAGGGCCAGTGCCAAGGGTGCCTGTGGGCACTGCTGCAGGACCTGTGCAGACCTGGGCATGTCCTGGGCCCCCTCTTCTCTCATGAAGTATCTCCTTTAGCCCAATGTCCTGCCCTCTCTGGGTGGGTGGCACTTCTCAGAGCCCCAAGGACTGTGAGGGTAGACAGGGGATGGTGAGGCTTTAGGGGGTACTGAGGGTCCAAAAAGGGCATCCTAGGGGCATGTTTGGTGGGAGGAGACATGGGAAAATGGGGGCTATCTCAGGCCTCAGTTTCTCCAAGCACTAGATAATATGGAGATTAATTGGTGGGAGGCTGGGGAGTTTTCTGCAAGATCATGGCAGAGAAGTCTCTGAGCTACGGTGGCAGGGTGGAGGGGTCCTGAAGGCAGAGGCAGCTGGATTGAGGAGGTCTCGCTTGTCCAGTCTCTGAACCCCTCTGTCTCTTCTTGGAGCCTCTTCTGTCACTCCCTTGCTTCACCTCTGAGCACTCCCAGGGAAGCCTCTAAAGAAAGCACTGAATGTTTCTTGGAGCCCCAGAGTATGTGCCCAAGGCGGGGCTGGGCATATGTCTTGTGGTTTTCCCTGGGCACCTGCCCGTCTGCTGTGTGCTAGTTCACTCTCAGGGCAGTGTCCATATCAGGTGAAAATGGGTGGGGTCGGGACAGAGGGGCAGACTTGGGAGAGGCTTGGCAGGTGAGCAGAGGGTATGTTGGGGAGCCCTTATCTCAGAGGGTGTGGGAGGGGCTGGAGGTGGGGAAGGTGATAGCAGAGTTTGCGTTAAGGGGGTCTTTCTCTTGCTTCAAGGACCCCGTCAGGAGCAGGTGACATCCTTCCCCTTCCACCCTGCTCCCTGCTCTACATCCCCAGCAGGGAGTGGCCTCTCCCTTCTCCATGGACTTCCAAGAGAGGGACCCGCCCTTCCTGCCTGAGAGCGCTCAGTCCTCAAAGCCCAGCAGTGCTCAGCAGGTCAGAGAGTGGGAAAGCGGTGGTGGGTGGGCCAAGCTGGAACCAGACAGGGAGGGGCCAAGGCGGACGTCTCACCAGTGCTCCCCTCCCTCTGTCCTGGACTGCAGGCCTCTGAGCTGTGGGAGGTGGTGGAGGAGCCTCGGGTCAGGCTGGGGACAGAGGGTGTCATGCCTGAGAGGCAGGAAGGTCACCTGCTCAAGAAGAGGAAGTGGCCTCTGAAGGGCTGGCACAAGGTAGGGTGGGCAGGCAAAGGGAGGGTCCAGACATGGGGGGCGGGGTGGGAATGGGGGGCAGCTGCTGGGCAGTCCAATGGTGTTTGCATGATGAGAAGGAAAAGAAAAGCTAATTTGTGTGGTTGCCTTCTCCCTCATGCCCTTCCTCTCGGCCTCCCGGGTCCTGTCACTCCTGGGCAACATCACAGAGATACTTTGTGCTCGAGGACGGGATCCTTCATTATGCAACAACCCGGCAAGACGTGAGCCCGGGCAGTGGCTTGGGGTTGTGGGAGGAGTCTGGCCCCAGTATGCCCTGGGCAGGCATGGGGTATCTGGAATCGACCAGAGCAGGGTCTGAATCCCAGGTCCACCACTTGCTGAATGTGTGATCTCGGGCAAGTTACATCCCTGGGCCATAGCTTCCTCACCTCTAATGGGAGAGCACCATCCCCCAGGTGCAGAGCTGTCATGGTAAGGGAGGTCATACGTACAAGGCTCTCTGGACAGGGCAGAATAAGTGCCCAAGAAATGGGGGCTTTACCACCCTCATCCTGGTCCCATTCTCAGGCTGGGAACAAGGAACTGAAGGCCTGGGTACCCAGGATCTCTCTGGGAGGGTGTTGCCTTCCACAACCCTGCAGACCCCTGAGGGTGGGAATAGTTTTTCTTGATCTGTGACTTCTTAGAGACCAAGATGTGACTTGACGTAGGGGAGCGTTCTGCACATGGGAGGATGATTGACAAGTCTCTACTGATAGTGTGACTTGGACATGAGGGTGAACCTGCCACCTGGCCCTTGAGCCTAGAATGGCATCAGGGAGATGGTGGCTCTATGGCTCTGAGAGCCTAAAACAGGTCCCCTCTCCCTCTACCAACACTTCACCCCCAGATCACCAAGGGGAAGCTCCATGGCTCCATCGATGTCCGGCTGTCGGTCATGTCCATCAACAAAAAGGCCCAGCGCATTGACCTTGACACTGAAGACAACATCTACCACCTCAAGGTGACATCCCTGGGAGGCAGGACGTGTGTTGGCCCCCAACCTGACAGAGGCATTGGAACACACAGGGGCAGGGGCTGAGGGTCTGTGGAACTCAGGGTCTGTCTCTGAGTTTGACAAAAAGTAAGTTTCCATCCTGTAAAAACAGCCAAGGGCAAACCTGCACTTCTTGGTTGTTGTATGGACAGGCACAGAGCTAAGGGCTCAGACACCTGGGCGCCTTGCGCTCTGTCTCCCTGCAAGTGAGCCTTGCACAAACCAGGCTCTGTAAGAAGAGACCCTGCTTGTCTGGGGACCAGAGCCCTGACTTCTTGCTCTTGGAAAGTGGTCCCTCTCTTCAGATAGCCCTCCCCCTCTCCATCACTTCTGCAGATCAAATCCCAGGACCTATTCCAGAGCTGGGTGGCGCAGCTGCGTGCCCACCGCCTAGCCCACCGCCTGGACATGCCCCGTGGCTCACTGCCCAGTACTGCTCACCGGAAGGTAAGGTGGACCCTGGGGTGGGGGCAGGTAATGTGGCAATTCAGGGGCAAGGGCTATGGAGAACTGTGAGACCCAGGGAGGTGGGCATCATCCTTCCTGACCCTGGGCTCACCCCACAGGTTCCTGGTGCCCAGCTTCCAACAGCAGCTACTGCCTCAGCCCTACCTGGGCTTGGACCGCGGGAGAAAGTGTCTTCCTGGCTGAGGGACAGTGATGGGCTGGACCGCTGCTCTCATGGTGAGGGGCCCTAGGCGCAGCACCTCCAAGGGTAGGCCCCAAGCTGGCAGGTCTAGGAGGGGAAAATGTTACCTCCATCCCTGCCTCAGGGAGCCCCAGTTTAATGAGACAGCCTCTGCCTCCAAGGAGATCCAGTCTACCTGGGCCCTGTCTAGGGGAGTCCCAGTCTTACAGAGGAGTAAGAGTCTGCCTGGGCACATAGACAGACGTGGATGCAGGGACAGGAGTTGTGACAAAGCAGATACTGAGTGCCCACACAGGGCAGGGGCCTGAGGAGTAGCGCCAGGGAAGGGGTGTGCTCTAGGAAAGGGTTCCTGCAGTAGGGTCTGTGAAGTTGGCCTGGAGGGAGAAGTGTAAACCAAGTAGAGAGAGAGAGAGGGTGAGCACATCCCCAGTCTGCTCAAAGGCAGCAAAGGTGAGGCATGGTCTAGAGACAGAGCAGAAATTAGGCTTCAGACCCTCCCAGGAAACCAGGGGGCACCACACCAACAGGGGTAGCGACCTGAGCTCTTGAACAGGGAACAGGGAGCAGTATCGGGATCTCCATGAAGTCAGTGTTGGGAGAGTCATGTCCTTGAGGCTGGGTTCGGTGGCTCATGCCTGTAATCCCAGCACTTTTGGAAACCAAGGTGGGCAGATCACCTGAGGTCAGGAGTTCGAGGCCAGCCTGACCAACATAGTGGAACCCCATCTCTACTAAAAATACAACAAATTAGCCAGGCATGGTGGTGCGCACCTGTAATCCTAGCTACTCGGGAGGCTGAGGCAGGAGAATCACTTGAACCTGGGAGGCAGAGGTTGCAGTGAGCCGAGATCACGCCATTCCACTCTAGCCTGGGCAACAAGAGCAAAACTCCGTCTCAAAAAAAAAATGAATGGTGTTCTTGTTCTTGTTCTTTTTCCCCGCAGAGCTCTCTGAGTGTCAGGGGAAGCTCCAGGAACTACACAGGCTCCTCCAGAGCCTGGAGTCCCTGCACCGAATCCCCTCAGCCCCTGTTATCCCCACACACCAGGTAAGATCCAGGGGTACACACAGGGTCCTGCTCAGGCCCCCGATCCCATCACTTCCCCAGGATGGGTCCTATTCCTCCTACATCGCTGCAGTTTCCTGGAGAGCCATGCATCGCCTGGTTTCCTCCCCACCCCTTACCCATGTCCAAACTGTATCAAGATTGTCTCTGTTCCTCCATGCCCATGCCTCTGCCAGGGTGGCTGTCATCTTCCACTGGGATGTCAGTTGTCTCTGTCGCCCTGCCTGAGCGGCCGCATCCTCTGTGCTGGGTAATCTGCGCCCTCCTCCATGGCGCAGGAGGCCGTCTACCTCTCCCAGGCTGTGATGGTTTCTGCCCCTTTTCCCCACCCTGTGAGTAAAATTGCCCCCACCTTGACTTGCCAGGCCTCAGTGACAACCGAAAGACCCAAGAAGGGGAAACGGACAAGCCGCATGTGGTGCACCCAGAGCTTTGCCAAGGATGACACCATTGGACGGGTGAGGTCGGGCATGCACCTCACGTAGCTGGGGCAGGATGCTCTAAGGAGGCCGGCCCCTTCAGCCCTTCCCCTTCACCTACAGGTTGGTCGTCTCCATGGCTCTGTTCCCAACCTGTCTCGCTACCTGGAGTCTCGGGACTCCTCGGGCACCCGTGGGCTGCCACCCACAGACTATGCCCACCTGCAGCGCAGCTTCTGGGCCCTGGCCCAGAAGGGTAAGTGCCTGCTGGGAGGGGCTGGTGGGGAGCGGACAGGAGCGAGCGAGGACTCTGATGGTCTGCCCCACTCCCTGTAGTGCACAGCTCCCTCAGCAGCGTCCTGGCCGCCCTCACCATGGAACGGGACCAACTGAGGGACATGCACCAGGGCTCAGAGTTGTCAAGAATGGGGGTGAGGCCTGGGGGACAGGGTGACTGGTGCGGGGAGAGGGCTTCAAGCTGAGGACTGCCAGCCTGGGGTCCGATAGCAGATCTGGGTCAGGGTGGGGGGTTGGCAGAGGCAGTCTCTGCAGAGATGCGGCAAGGTGGGGAGGACCTCATCCTCCTGGCACCGTGTCCCTCACCCTCTCCCTGCAGGTCTCTGAGGCCTCCACTGGCCAGAGGCGCCTCCACTCACTGTCCACCTCCTCCGACACCACGGCGGACTCTTTCAGCTCCCTCAACCCTGAGGAGGTGAGGAGCCAGGGTGGGCTGTGGGGGCCGATTCTCCTGTGCCTTCTCTCCCAGCGAAAGCCAAGGCCCAGGGCAGTGGGCAAAGTTGGTTTTTAGTCCCAAAGACAGCCCAAAAATCCTGGCTCCATTGTCTTTCCCATAAGGTAAGCGGCAGCCCCATCTCGATCATTGTGTAACAACGTGCAGGGTACTTTTACTTTTAATTCGGGGTCCTCTGATGCAGTGATTCTCACCCTCAGCATAACAAAACTGAGGCTCAAAGGATCTAATGGGTGGGCTCAGGCTCCTGCAATTATAGACGGGCTGAACTGAGACTCGGGCTCTGAGCACAGACGCTGGGGCTACGTTCCACGGGTTCAAATCTGGCTCTCCTGCCTGCCGGCTTTGTGATCCTGAGCCTCAGCATTCCAATCTGCAAAGTGGGGGTGATAATTGCACCTACCTCACAGGGTAGGTGTCAGGATTGAATGGGTTAGTGCACACAGAGGGCTTGGAGTGGGGCTCAGGGTCAGTGCCAGGAAGTGTAAACAGTTATAATGGAGCCTGCGTCCCCTCACTCCCAGGCCAGGGCTCATTTTACTATGCCTTTGTCCCGCTCTCACTCCTCTCTGCCTCTTCTGCTCAGAAGGTGTCTGACTCAGCAAAAGTGCCCGGTTATGCCTCCCTCTCAAGGGAACTGTCAGGCAAGCGGGTGCCCTGCTTGATCCCCCCGGCTTGGCCCCGGAGCCTGACATCCATCTGGCTGCTCCCACAGCAAGAAGCTCTGTACATGAAGGGGCGCGAGCTCACCCCCCAGCTATCGCAGACCAGCATCCTGTCCCTTGCTGATTCCCACACGGAGTTCTTCGATGCCTGCGAGGTTCTCCTCTCCGCCAGCTCTTCTGAGAATGAGGTGAGGGAGGAGAGAAGCTGGCAGTGAGGCGGGGTAGGGGGGACCTTGGGAACAGAAGGGTGGGGTCCACAGAGACCATAGATTCCTCAGCCCCTTCTCACCACCTCAGCTGCTATCTCTGGGACTATGTCCAGATCAGCTGAGTTTGTGTGGCCCAGCTCAGAAATCTCTGCTAGGGACTCTTCTCCTAGAGGAGTGTGACATTTGTATCCCCATTGGGTTCTCCTGAAACTACTGCCATAGTTGCAACCCCGGTCATCTTCCTATGACCCTGTCTCAGCTTCAGCACTCCCTTGATTCCCTCTTCCAAAACCCTGACCCTCAGTAATCCCCAACTTCCCTTCCCTCTGTGTCCCATCAAGTCCCTGAGCTTTTTCCCGCCAGCCACAGGGCCCGGCCCTCCCCTTCCCAAGGTGGCTGGGCACACTCCGTGATGCCAGGCATCCCGGGGCAATGTCTTAGGGCTCAGAGTGCCCCCAATACATTCTCTTCCCCTTCCCACCAAAGGGCTAGTTGGGCAGATTCTTGCCAGGCCCTGGGCACTGCCCAGCTGCCCGGGGGAGGCCCAGTCTGCCCGGCCTGTCATCTGTCCTGGCCCAGGGCTCAGAGGAGGAGGAGTCCTGTACCAGTGAAATCACCACCAGCCTGTCTGAGGAGATGCTGGACCTCAGGGGAGCTGAGCGCTGTCAGAAAGGTGCCAGCTGGGTGGGCAGGCAGGGAGGGGTGGGAGGCGGGTGGAAAAACAGGGTTTGTCCATGGCCCAGGCCCATGCAAAGGCCATCCCTTGTGGTGACTGATGGGCTAGTGGCTTTGGATGCTGACCCCAGGAGCTAAGGAAGGCCAGGTCATGAACTGGGAAATGTTCCAGGAGCAGCTCTGCTGGGGTGGGCCAGGCTCAGGCCTTGGGGCTGGCCTCTGTTGCAGCAGGCTTGCCTAGGGCCTTGGAGGGAGGCAAGAGATCCCACTTTGCTGCTTGTTAGCAGTGTGGCTCTGGACCTCTCATTTTACTTCTGAGAGCCTATTTCCTCATCCATAAAATGGGCTGGATAATCTGCACCCTGACCTCTGTTTCTGTGTTTATAAAGGGAACAAAAGGCAAGGGTGAGGACTCGGGAGGGGCTCCTGGGGTGCAGGGTTTCTGGCAGTGGGAACTGTCTGCCCCTTTGCATGGCTCCCACCCCTGCCAGCCAACTGAGTCCCTGGGAACTTGTCAGCAGTTAGAGCCCCAGTCACCCTGCCCTGCTGTGAGTCGAGACAAGGGCTCAGGGGCGAATGTCCCAGGGGCTTGGGAGGCAGCTGGGCCCTGGACTGGGCTGTGGGCTTGCCATGTCTGGGATGCCTGGTGCCCAGATGGAGAGTGACATGGCAGGGCGGCCCCAGGGGGGTGTGTTCCAGGGAGACCCATGGGGCCACCCCGCCGTCGCTGCCTGCCGGCGGCCAGCGGGCCTGGGGCTGACGTGAGCCTGTGGAACATTCTGCGCAACAACATCGGCAAAGACCTGTCCAAGGTGTCAATGCCTGTGCAGCTCAACGAGCCGCTCAACACTCTGCAGCGGCTCTGCGAGGAGCTGGAGTACAGCAGCCTCCTGGACCAGGCCAGCCGCATCGCCGACCCCTGCGAGCGCATGGTACCTGCTTCCTGTCCTCACGCCCAGCCCAAGGCTGCTTCCTTCTCCCTGGGATCTTTTCTCCCAGAAAATCCTGGCTGGGCTGTTCCTTATTGCTGAAGTTCCACCCCAAGATCCCATACTTTGCTTGCTTGGGGTGGCGGCCCCGTCCTCAGTACCCTGCACCTTCCTTGCCCCCCACAGGTGTACATCGCAGCCTTTGCTGTCTCGGCCTACTCCTCCACATACCACCGAGCCGGCTGCAAGCCCTTCAACCCTGTCCTGGGGGAGACCTACGAGTGTGAGCGGCCTGACCGAGGCTTCCGCTTCATCAGTGAGCAGGTATGGCCTTGGGAGAAGAGGGCTGGCCTTGGGTGTCTGGGGCAAGGAGGGACCTGGGCTTTGGGACCAGAACTGGGGCAGAGGGACCAGGGCCTGGGAGAGGAGCGTGGGCAGTTGGCTCTGTGCCGGGCTCTGCGGTGCTCCTGGCCCACGTTCTGAGGTCCAGCCATTGGATCCCAGGAGTTCCACCTGGGGGCTCACGCTTTAGGGGGCAATCTTGGGCTAGGATGAACTGAAGGATGAATTGGAGAGAGCTGGGAGTACAGGGGCTGGGGAGAATGGGATGTTCCTTCTAGATGGTGTAGAGGAATGCATGGAGCAGGCTTGGGAAGGTTAGAGATGGGGCTGGAAGACAAGGTGGGCCAGATGCTGAGGAGCCCTGCCAGTGAAGGGAAAGAGGCCTTGGGCTTTTGTATGTGTGTTTTTAAATCCTGAAGGCATTGGCACCATGGAGGATTTGAGGCAGTGGAGTGGCTGCTGAGAATCACAGTGTGCAAAGCACACCCGGGTGGTGTGTGCCTGGTTGGCGGAGGCCGACAGGGTGCATCCTGTCATCTCTGTAGAGCTAATGAGTCCCTGCACTTAGGCTGTGGTGTGTTTGGTTCAAGAGCTGTTTATGTGCTGCCCCGGACAGGGGCTGGTCCTCAGCAGCGTACTCTCCCGTGTAGGGGATGGGGAGGCTTTTGTTGAGAGGGAGAAGTCTGGGCGGCCTGGTCTGGGGAATTCAGTGGGTGCATGGTGGTGCCAGTTAGTGAGGTGGACAATGTGTGTGGGAACACACTATGTGGGCTCGACTTCCACAGGAGATGGCCAGGAGGCTCTGGAGTCGCTGGCCTGGAGCTCCTCCAAGAGCACCAGGTGGCACTAACAGGTCAAAGAGTGGCCAGCTTAGAGGGAGGAGGACATCAAGGGAGGACTGCCCTCGGGAGGACTGCTCGCAGTGTCTAGGGAGGAGGGCAGGCAGGAGCGCTGGGGGCCCCGAAGGGGAGGGGTCGCGGGTCCCTGGGACCTGAGGGGTGTCATCGGCTTCCTGCGTGAGGAAGGTTCCCGAGACAGGATGGGGACAGAGACTGGATTACAGAGGGTGTAGAGTGTAGGTTTTATGAAAAAATAGAGAAAAAAGCAGACTATTTTCCAAAAATTTTACCATGAGGGACAGAGGAGAGAGAAGTGGCAGTTGGTGGGGGATAAAGGTCGAGGCAGTTTGTGTGTTTGTTTGTTTGTTTGGATTTGAAGTGTTTTTGGAAACATGGTGAAGATTGACACAGTACACTCGTGCGTACAACAGAAAATAAGCCTCCCTCCCATCCCAACACTCCGAAGGGACTACTGCTACCAGCTTTTGGGATTCCTCCCAGAAATGTTTTACGCATATGTGAACAACGAAGTGTGTGTCTAGAAGAGAAAGATTTACTATTTTTTAAGGTGGAAGAAACAGACAATCTTTATATTCAGAGAGAAAGAGAAATAAAGAGGGAAAGACTGAAGGTGCAGAAGGAGGAGGAGTGGGCAGCCTGGGGGGCATCAGTGGGAGCAGGCTGACTGCCGCCAGACAGAAGGAATCGCCCCCCTGACCCACTTCTGTTCTGCCACAGACTGTGGGAGGCGAATGAGGTTCGAAGGGCCTGGCTTGTGCCTGGGTCCTCAGAGGAGGATTGGTGAGGGATGTCAAGGCCCCAGATACAGGACATTGTAGATTTAGCAGTTTCTTAGTGTGGGTCGTGTCTGTGTTTTGGCAACAGAGTCAGAGCCAGGGATGCACAGAGGAGGCCGGTGCTGGCATTTCTGGCAAGTGGGGGAGGTGGCTGAAGGTATTAGCTGAGAGTGCTGTGAAGGGCAGGATGGGGCTGGCAGACCATGGGAGGGCAGTGCAGTCGGGGACCTGGTCATCTTGGCTGGAGCTGTGGGCGACAGGGAACGGAGAGAGAGGCAAGGCAGGCAGGCTGTGGGATGTTGGAATTGAAGGCTCCAGATGTGGAGCCATTCCAAGTGGGAACAAGGCCAAGTGTTTCCAAGGGTGTGGGGTGGAGGTTGCAGGGCGATGATCAGCTTTGGGGTGGGGTGGGGGGAGATGGTGGGGAAGAGGGTCATCAGCAAGGGCTGGGTTTCAGGCAGGGCATGGGGTGGAGGCCCCACCCATCACTGTTGCGGGGAACTTTTCAGGCTTGAGCAGGGGTTCTGGAGGACGCCATAGACAGGGCCAGCCAGGGGAGCTTCTGAGGAAGAGCGAGTGAGAAGGGAGAACATAGGGGCCTCATGGGAAGAAGGGAGGATGATGGGTTTAGGAGGTGGCCAAGGGTGATAGGGACAGGAAACCTGGAACCAACTGGTCTTGTGGTACTTAGGGGAACTAGGGGTGGGAATAAGGGACTTTGGGGTAGCCTAATGGTGCTCGGGGACAGCCTCAAGATAACTTCTTTGCTCACCAAGGTCTCCCACCACCCCCCTATCTCGGCCTGCCATGCAGAGTCTGAGAACTTCGCCTTCTGGCAAGGTGAGGAGTAGAGGGCAGGGCCGGGGTGGCCCTGGGCAAAGGGAACACCCTCTGGCCTTATCTCTGTTGTTCACTCTCCCTCCCCTAATCCAATTCCAGATATGAAGTGGAAGAACAAGTTCTGGGGCAAATCCCTGGAGATTGTGCCTGTGGGAACAGTCAACGTCAGCCTGCCCAGGTGGGATTCTTAGACTCTCAGCAGCCAGGCCAAGCCACAGGCAATCCTTCAGGCTGGAGGGGGCGTGGCCTTAGGGACAGGATAAGGACGGGATAGGAAGGTCTGGCCTGAAGCTGCTTGCAGTGGCGTCAGTGTCTGTAGGTTTTACACCTATATTTACAGCAGTTGCCAATAGAGAAAGATGAAAAGCCTTGGAACGTAGTAGAGCTGGAAGGGCCCATCGAGGTCATCTGACTCAGCGGTTTTCACACTTTTTTGACCATGACTCACAGTCTCACAGTCAGAAATGCCTTTGAGACTTCAAGCCAATGTGTACACATACACACACACAGAAACCTAAATTGATCTCAGGACTCAGGGGTCACAGACAAAATTTGAAAAACTCTCATCTAGCTAATTTTACAGGCAGAGGTCTGAAGCCAGAAAGAAAAAGGGTATTGAAAGTGGTCTGGGTGTTGTGGTAGAGATCCTGGATTTTGGAGTCAGAAGCCATGAGTTCTGCCACTCAATAGTGATGCAAATTAGCACCAGCCTGTAGTCCCAGCTACTGGGGAGGCTGAGGCAGGAGAATTGCTTCAACCTGGGAGGCGGAGGTAGTGGTGAGCTGAGATTGCACCACTGCACTGCACTCCAGCCTGCCTGGGCAACAGAGCAAGACTCTGTCTCAAAAAAAAAAAAAAAAGAAAAGAAAAGAAAAGAAAAGAAAATAGTGATGCAAGCAGCAAAAAGACTTGACACTTCAGAGCCTTGAGCCTGCTTGCCTGTGACATGACAGTAAGAAGTAATACCCAAGAGAGGTGAGGATTAAGCAGGATAACGGATGTGAACGTACACACGGTTCCTGGTGCCCAGGGGCAGGACACTTTGTGTATTTTCATCCCTGTTGCTCAGGCACTCAGGGGCTTTGTAGATGAGTGGAGATGTTTTCGTTGAATACGTTCTGTGAAGGCCACTCTTCCTTGTGAATATAAGTCATCCTTCACTGCAGAACTGGAGTTGGGACCCCAGGGTTCCTGTCACAGGCCCACATGACCTGCTTCAGCAAGACAGGAGGCCCCTGACTCACTTGTTCCCTGGGGCCAGCCAGCTGCCCTTCCATACCTTGTCTTTCTCAGGTTTGGGGACCACTTTGAGTGGAACAAGGTGACATCCTGCATTCACAATGTCCTGAGTGGTCAGCGCTGGATCGAGCACTATGGGGAGGTGCTCATCCGAAACACACAGGACAGCTCCTGCCACTGCAAGATCACCTTCTGCAAGGTGTGTGTGCCACCCTGACCCTGCCCATCCATCCCCGGCAGCCTCTGTCTCTGGAGGTCACCCTGGCTAAGGGGGAGGGGACACCTCCCTAAACCCTGCCTTCCCCACCCCAGGCCAAGTACTGGAGTTCCAATGTCCACGAGGTGCAGGGCGCTGTGCTCAGTCGGAGTGGCCGTGTCCTCCACCGACTCTTTGGGAAGTGGCACGAGGGGCTGTACCGGGGACCCACGCCAGGTGGCCAGTGCATCTGGAAACCCAGTAAGTGGAGGGGTCACAGAGGGCTGGGTGAGGCTGGAGCAGCTCAGGCATGGTGCACCTGCCCCAGCCCCTTGCCTTCCCCCAGACTCAATGCCCCCCGACCATGAGCGAAACTTCGGCTTCACCCAGTTTGCCTTGGAGCTGAATGAGCTGACAGCAGAGCTGAAACGGTCGCTGCCTTCCACCGACACGAGACTCCGGCCAGACCAGAGGTCAGTGCCGGATGGGTGCCGGCCTAGAACCATCTAGTTCACTCCCTCCACAGAGTACAGAGCTGGGGCTTTGTCCTTCCTTCACTGAGTGGCCTCAGAGAAGTGGGGCTTGTCTAGAGGACAGAGTTGGGCAGAGACAGAGGCCTTGGGTTTGGGGGCCCCTGCAGATGGGCAGTTCCCCTGAGTTTGATCTGGATCCTCAGGTACCTGGAGGAGGGGAACATACAGGCCGCTGAGGCCCAGAAGAGAAGGATCGAGCAGCTGCAGCGAGACAGGCGCAAAGTCATGGAGGAAAACAACATCGTACACCAGGCTCGCTTCTTCAGGTGCCTCGGCCTCGCCCTCCGCCCTGGGTCTCCCCATGAGCCCTGCTTGGAGCAGGGCAGGTGTGGGAGGCAGCACCTTAGGACCCTAGCCTGCCTTCTAGATGTTCACCCCTCACTGCCACCGCCTTCTCCCACCAGGCGGCAGACGGATAGCAGCGGGAAAGAGTGGTGGGTGACCAACAATACCTACTGGAGGCTGCGGGCCGAGCCAGGCTATGGGAACATGGATGGGGCCGTGCTCTGGTAGCCCTGGCCCCGGGGGCAGGAGGCTCTGGTTCCTCACTCCTCCTGCCTCCACCCCCTACCATGGACACATGGGTGAGGCCGGGCTCCCCGCCTCACTGCCCTTGAGACCAAAGGGGCAGCCCTGGCCCTCCCTCCCCTCTGCTGGCCAGAGGGTCTGCATCTCAGCCCACCCCCAACCCCACCGTTTGGGGTGAGAAGCAGAATCTGTGCTTCCCCAGTCTCCTTGCCCCAGACAACCAGCATGTAAGACCCTTCCCGCTTCACCATTCCGATTCCTGTCCCCTTTGGGGTACTTGGGGGAGACTCTGGCTCCCAGGATCTGTTCCCTATTTCAGTGCCTTCCTAGGACACAGGGGACTCCTTGACGCTCCCCAGGCTTTCTGTGCCCAGGCCTCTGTCCCCAGCGGTGAGGTTGCAGTGAGTGAAGGAGAGGAGGTGATCTGTTCTCCCTCCCCTTCTGCCCATCTCCAGCATCTTCTTCCCCTTCCCTGGCCCTGCAGGGCCTTCTCCAGCTCCCTTTGGTTAGTCCCTGGCCATCCCTCCTGTCCTGGATCCCTTCTCCCTAACTGCAAAATGCCTGCAGCTTCCAGCTCCTTCGTCCCTGATCCTCAAGCGGTTCCCTCCCGTCTCAGCTCAGCGGATCCCCCAGAGTGGAGGAGGCCTCTCCATGAGGAGGGGAGCAGCCCAAGGCACCTGTCCTCTGACCCACCGGCAGCGAGTGCGCAGGTGTGAGTGTAAGTTCATGTAGGAGAGTGTATGCGTGTGCGCCTGTGCCCTGCTTGCAGGCAAGCAGGGCTCCCTCATGTAGCCCCGCCTTCCCCCTGCTGGGGGTCCACCACATCGCTGCTCTTTCTCACAGTCTGCCTCTGATGAGGGCGAATTGCTATGACATTCCAAGCTCCAATAAAGACTGTCCCAGACTTTGGCCTGTGACCATTCATTGAAAAACATGTGGGCTCATGGTCAGTGGAAAGCCCTCTGCCACTGTCATGGGTAAAATGAATTGTGTCCCCAAGAAACGTTTCTAGCCCCCAGGCATGTGCATGTGACCTTAGTTGCAAATAGTGTCTTTGCAGAGACAAGTTAAAATGAGGTCACATTGGATTTGGGTGGCCCTACTCCAGTGACTGGTCTCCTTATAAGTAGAGAGAAATTTGGGCACGCAGACGTACGCAAGGGAAGACAAGTGTGTGAAACAGACACACGGGAGTCGGCCACGTGGAGACGTAGGCAGAGATGGGAGCGATGCATCTGAAAGCCAAAAGTGCCAAGGCTGCTGGCAACCACCCGAAGCTTGGAGAGAAACAGAGAGATTCTCCCACTGAGCCTCAAGAAGGAGCCAACCCTGCTCACACCTGGCCTCAGCTATGAGAGAATACATTTCTGTTGTTTTAAGTCACCCAATATGTGGTGCATTGTTACAGCAACCTCAGGAATTGAATACAGCCACCACTAACCTGAGCCAAAAGCCCAGAGGCCATCTGCCCTCCCGCTTGATGCCCTGTCACTTCTACCCCAGGTGTCTCTCTGCACTGGCCCCTTCTCTCCATTGCACTGGCTAGGCTGGGCCCTCATCAACACTT
Organism: Homo sapiens; assembly: GCF_000001405.40. Classification (NCBI taxonomy): domain Eukaryota; kingdom Metazoa; phylum Chordata; class Mammalia; order Primates; family Hominidae; genus Homo; species Homo sapiens. The sequence continues at coordinate 47,806,708 of NC_000017.11, read as the reverse complement.
GTCTGGACTATTGTGGTGGCCTCCAGGGTGGTATTTCTTCTTCTTCTTCTTTTTTTTTTTTTTTTTGAGACAGAGTTTTACTCTTGTTGCCCAGGCTGGCGTGCAATGGCGCGATCTCAGCTCACCGCAACTATGCCTCCCCGGCCCAAGCAGTCCTTCTGCCTCAGCTCCTGAGCAGCTGGGATTACAGGCATGCATGCCACCATGCTTGGCTAATTTTGTATTTTTAGTAGAGACGAGGTTTCTCCATGTTGGTCAGGCTGGTCTCAAACTCCCGACCTCAGGTGATCTGCCCGCCTAAGCCTCCCAAATGGCTGGGATTACAGGCATGAGCCACCGCGCCTGGCTTCCAGGGCGGTATTTCAAGAGAAAATGTGACACCTCATGTCTGCTTAAAATACATCCCCTGCTTCCCAGTGCCTAGAGGAAAATCCAAACTCTTCAACCGGTAGAAAAACCACATGGCCCCTGGCCCCCTGTCTGGCACAGAGTGCTGGCCCCCACACTCAGCACCCTAAGTCAGGTCTGTGCTAGTACTCCACTTTGACCCCCCAGGATCAATGAGTGTTCAAGGGCGGAAGGGAGGGAGGAAGAACAGGACCAGCTGCCTTTCCTCCCCGCTGCCCTCGCCCCTGGGGCCAGCTCTGATTCTGAAGCTGTGTGATCTTGGTCAGGTTGCCTTCCCCTTCTGTTTAGAGGCTTCAGTCTCTCATTTGGCTCCTTTTGTGTCTTAAAGAAGAACATCTGTGAGGTGACCCAGGCTCCTCATTTCATTCGTTCTCTCTTAACCCCTCTCCCCCACTCCCACCCCACCACCTGCAGCAACAGCGACCCCAGTCCTGCTCTGGTCCGATGAGTGTCCCAAGAGGAAGTCATGCTTTCTTTGGGGGGGTGGCAGAGTGGCAGGAACAGAGGGGACCCCTGAGCTACGACAGCCCTTCGCATTGTCATCTTTTTCTTCCTCCTCATCCCCTGCGGAGGAGCAGTGGTCCACATTTCCAGTTTATTTACAGAGAATGTCAAAGTTAAAATGAACACACTTGTCCTGTCACCACATGCCAGAAATAACCTCAACCCATTCCAAAAAAAGCCAAGGCCCTCACACATTCAGGATATTTTTAAATAGCATGTGCTGCCCTGCTCCGGGCCCTTTCCCCTCAGAGCACCACAGCACCTGACCGACCAGCCCGTAACAAACTGCCACGTATTTTAAGAACCAGAGTTTAGGCTGGGCACGGTGGCTCACACCTGTAATCCCAGCACTTTGGGAGGCAGAGGCGGGTGGATCACGAGGTCAGGAGTTCAAGACCAGCCTGGCCAAGATGGTGAAACCCCATCTCTACTAAAAATACAAAAATTACCCAGGTGTGGTGGTGCACACCTGTAATCCTAGCTACTCGGGAGGCTGAGATAGGAGAATTGCTTGAACCCAGGAGGCAGAGGTTGCAGTGAGTCGAGATCGTGCCAGTGCATTCCAGCCTGGGCAACACAGTGAAACTCCATCTAGAAAAAAAAAAAAAAAAAAAAAAAGAGAGAACCAGAGTTTAAAAGAGACCAAATTCCCAAGTTATTTTTTCAGAGGAGACAAAAAAAAAAAAAAAAAACTCAAAACTCCTCTGCCTCTGTGGCTGTGCCCTCTAGACCAGCATCCTCCCCCAAGTCCTTTCCCAGGCACAGCCCAGGTGCCACCTCAACAGCTGGAAGTGGTGGGTAAGGTTGTTTTTGCTTCTTCTGGGGCCCAGCAGATGAGGGGGCAGTCCCATCTGAAGGACTGTGGTCTCAGAAATGTTCCCCATCTGGCCAGGGCTTTGTGGGTCACCGCTGATGGGAGCTCAGGCCAGGCTGAGGGGAGCCTGGGGTTCTGGCCCCAGTCTGTGCTCCATGGACAGAGTGTGAGGGGCCCACACCAGCCAGGGGTTCAGGGAGCGGTGCCAGCTCCTGGCTGCCAAGAATCCCAGGGTGGGGTGCTCAAGTCACTGATCTGAGAAGGGAATGGTGGGCCCCCTTCTCAAGCCTGTCAGCCTAGTCCAGATGTCCCACAGGAGTACTCATTACCACTGGGTCGTGGGGAGCCAAGCACAGACCCAGATCTCCTGCCTTGGTTGGAGGACATGGTGGGCTTGGGACAAAGGGGAGAATTTGGGGGCTTAATGGCCCTTGACTAGGCTTGGAGTGCAGTAGTTTGGAGAACCAGGGATCCGCTTCCCTGGATGAGCAAAGGAGGATGGAGCTTGGACAGCAAGGGAAATGGTCAGGCCAAGCAATGCTGGCAGAGGGAGAGGAAGGTAGGCAGGAGGTGTCTCAGTCCTCATTTTGCCTCTTTGGACCCTCCACCCCCAAACTGCTCCACCCAGAGGGATTTAAGTAACTTTAAAAAATTTTATTAATCATTATTGAATAGCTGATAGGGACACCTAGGTTGGAAGGAGCAAAAAAAAAAAAGTCAAATATAAATAAAACCCCCAATTCCTTGCATCTTCTGAATAAAGTGTGTGTGTGTGTGTCTGTGTGTTTGTGTGTGTGTGTGTAATAAACAGAGAAGGGAAAGAGTGCTGAACCAGGTGAGAGGCCCAGGCATTCACATTCCCTCCATGAGGTCAAAGTGGAGGGGTGTTCAGGGCAGGAGGAGGCTGCTGGGCCAGCACTGTGACTCCCAGCTTCACCTGGATGGCATGCAGCCCAGGGGGATGTGTGCAGGGGAGTCCCACCCTCCCTGTTTCGGGGAAAATGAAGGTAGTGGGGACAGTGGTGGGGTAACCCCCAGCCCCTGACCAACACCTGCTGAGAATGCAGAGATCTTACGTCCGACCTCAATTCCACCGGCTCCAGTCTGCCCCTGGAATGGTGCACAGCTCTCCTATTCTACGCTGCCCTGGTCTAGTCCCAGTTCTGACACAGGCATTTTAAAGATCCTGGATTACATTGCCCGGCCATATCCAATCTCTTTAGGGAATGCTCAAGGGACCTTGCCATTGGGTCATTAGTTTAATGGTGTCTCCTTACTGCAAAGGACACGTTTTATAAGTGATTTCCCCTTTTAGAGACCCTCTAGTACTAGCAGGGGTAGAAAAGGAGGAGAGGCTTAGCACTCTCCCCCTGGGACCCATCTCTGTTCCCCTTAAGGTGGTCAGGGAGGGCAGTGTAGGACTTCAGAGAGACATTCACAGGCTGGCCTGGGCCAGGTCTCGCTCATCCAATGACCTATTTCTGGTACAGACACTTAACCAGATCACCTGGCCTTATGTGGTGGACCAGGGACTGGTCTTCCTGATTCTTGCCACACATACCCTCATCTTCTCCTCATCTGTACCTTAAGAGGCATTACCGTCAGAGGGGAACACTGAGAGTTATCAAGATCCCGACAGGCCAGAGTCAGGTCTGCATGGGACTCAGGCAGGTGGTTCCAGGGGCTGGGAGAGCATGGCTCCACGGTTGGGGGTTCTAGAGCACTACTCGTGTCTCTCTCTCTCTTCTTTTAGAGACAGGGTCTAACCCAGGCTGGAGTGCAGTGGCACGATCATAGCTCACTGCAACCTTGAATACCTGGGCTTCAGCAATCTTTCCGCCTCAGCCTCCCAATTAGCTAGGACTACAGGCGCACATTACCACATCTGGCTAGTTTTTTTTGTTTGTTTATTTAATTTTTAGTAGAGATAGGGTCTCACTATGTTGCCAAGTCTGGTCTCAAACTCCTGGGATCAAGCAACTTTCCAGCGTTGGCCTCCTAAAGTGCTGGGATTACAGGCGTGAGCCACCTTGCAGGGCCCACGTCTCATTAACACATGTCATCACATGGTGCAAAGTCTTCAGGTTGCTGAAAGATGCCTCCAGGCCCTAAGGTATGTGGAGGGGTGGCTTTGATGAGCAAGTCCAAACCATGGGCACTATGGTCCAGGATGCCAGGCCCCTGGGGATGTTGGGCCTTGCTGACCCCTAATATGAGAGGCCCCTCAAAATGAAGCATCTGTCCAGAGGAGGGTAGGTGGGTGGGCTGGGCTCTGGGAGGGGTGTGGGTGAAGAAGAGATTGGAAGGGCCGGGGCAGGAGCAGGAAGAAGAGAGAAAAGCCTGAGAGTCAGCCACAGTCTGTCTAGGACGAAGGTGGTGAGATTCTCCAGGCATCCTCAAGAGGGCACCCCGGGCTCTTGAAAGAACCAATTTAGTCTCATCCCAAGCCCCACCTGACAGCTGACAGGTGGCTGCACCACCATCTGCGTGGAGTATCAGGCCTCCAAGGATGTGGCCCTGGCTGGACCCAGCCCAGCAGTGATCAACAGCAGCAGCAGACACTGTTACAGCCGCATTCCTATGGACTGCCGGCCATCCCTGCCTGCCCATCTTCATCTTCAAAGAGAATGCACAAGTCAGGAAACCCCTGTTCTGGGAGACCCAGGTGTCCCTAGCCACTCCCAAAAGCTGCCCAGATGGTCTGGGGGAAGGAGGTCAGGCCCCCTTTGCTGGTGCCTCTTCACGTCCAGGTGACATCCCTCCCAAGGACAGCTGGCCAGGACACCCCTCCTCCAGAGCCCTCATAAGATGGTCTTTTCCCTAAGTTTCCACTAGAACCTCTCCTGCTTCTGTCACCCCAGAGCCCGTCACACACTGGGATGGGAAACCCTGCATTTAGTTCTGTAGGCTAACGTTGGGTGAAGTGTGTGTGTGTGTGTGTGTGTGTATGTGTGTGTGTGTGTGTGTGCGCGCACACATGGTTTGAAGGAGGGAGTGTCCACGGTGCCCTCCTGGGAGGGATGAGAATGAGGACAAGAAGGAAGGGAGCTATTGAGCCAGTGCCAGTTTAGCAGAGAAGCCTTGGGTTCTGTGGGAAGCCATCTGACCTAGGACCCTGAGGAGGGAGGGCGAAGGTGGGAGATGCGGAAGGCAGGTCACATTGGCCTTCCCTCCCTTCTCCTCCATTTAGCAAGATGTTACAGGCCCAAGAGAGACACTCTCCTCCAAGCTGGGCCTAGTGGGCCGCAGCCCTCACAGGCTGGCACATTCACCTCCCACCACCTCCCATGCAGCCTGGGCGGGGAAGAGCCCTGGACCAAGAGCTAGGAATCCTGAGTTTTGGCCCTGGCTCTGTCATTTATTCCTTTCACCTCCTGAGCCTCAGTCTCCTCCTTTGTAGCTTGGGGATGATGCTGCTGGCCTTACCCCTTCACCGGTGTCTTGTTTGTCATAGGACAGAGAGGACTGAGGGTTGTTTTAGCTGTGGAGCACAGGACAAGGGTAGCTTCAGATGACCTGGGCCAGGGTCACCACCAGCTCTGCCACTCCCACACCTGGGGGCCTTCCCAAGGCAGCAGCAATTCCCCCTGAGAGAGACAGAAGCAGAGTTTAGCGTGTGAACCTGCAGACACCAATTGGTGCCTTAACTCTCCTGAGACTTTTGCCAAAAATAGGAGGATGCAAAGTGTCTCCCCAGAAAGGCTGGGGGCTCTGCCATTGGTCAAAGGGGAGGGGACTGCACCCCTTATCTCTGTGGTCCCTCTCACCATCAATTCCTGAGACAACTGAGCATCCTGTGTCTGTCAGGTGACTGATCCCCCTCCCCAGTTAAGGAGGCTCAGGCTGTGGGAAGCTCACACACAGGAGAGACATCTCCAGCTACAAGGGGGCAGAAAGTTCTGGAAGGGCAGGAAGTCCCAGGCTGGCAAAAATACAGGTTGAGGGGGCAGAAATGGCACCTGCCCCCAAGTACCACACCTGGGACCGACATAGGGTGGCCCCAGGATGGGATGTGGCCGGGGGACACATGGGTCCCGAGGTGCCTGCAGGCAGGCGGGTGTGAAAGTCAGCCTCCCAGGAGCAGATGGGACAGAGCCCGGCCACCCAACCAGACTGGCTCAGGTGCAGCAGGCCCAGTGGCTGTGGGGCAGAGCCTGAGGACCAGAGATGCCCAAGCCGGAGGGACGTGCCATGCCGCAGCCTCGGTCGCCTGTGCCTGGAGCGGCGAAGGCCCCACAAGGGTATTTTATTTTCAAATACCTTTGCATTTCTTGAATAAACCCACCTGGTCATGAGGTATTATCGCTTTTATGTGTCACTGGAATCAATTTTCTAATAATTTACGTGGACTCTGCATCTATGCTTATGAAAGAAATTGGACACTAATTTTTCTTTCTTATAATATTAGATTTTTCTGTAAACGTTTTCCTGGCTTCACAAAAGAGTTCAGAGGAGTTCCCTCTTCTTTTTCTATTTTCTTGAAGACTTTGATTATATTGCTGATATTTCATTCTAAAATGTGAAAATATTCACACCTGTAATCCCAGCACGTCTGGAGGCTGAGGCGGGAGGATGGCTTGAAACCAGGAGTTCGAGACCAGCCTAGGCAACATAGTGAGACCTTGTCTTAATAAAAAAAGAAAAGAAAGAAAGAAAATATTCACTATAAATCAATCTGGGCCTTTATTTGAGGAAACACTTTGAATAACAGAGACAATTTGTTTAACAGATATTGAACTATTCAAGGCTTTTACCTTTTCTTCTGCCAGTTTTGGTAAGTTTTTGGTTTTTATTTGGAAGAGTGTGTCCATTCAAATTCAAATAGTCAAATTTGTTGTTAAGTTGAACTTCTTTTAATGCCTGTAGGATCTTTTGTGATTATCCTTTTTCATTCTTGATATTAACAGGGATTTTAAAAATCTCACACTTAACCTGAAATGAATTGATTTATAATATAATCTAAATCATAGTAACATTTGCACAGTGTAAAATCCTCTTCCTGTCAAAGAAAACTAGGACAAAACTCTTTTAAGGGTTTTCTATTTTTAAATTTACTTTTACATTTATCATACATATGTGTGTGTTTTAAAACTTATAAAATATGGCTGGCCACAGTGGTTAATACCTGTAATCCTAACACTCTGGGAGGCCAAGGTGTCAGGATTGATTGAAGCCAGGAGTTTGAGACCAGCCTGGGCAACATAGCAAGACCACTCTCAATGTAGTTGTTTTTTTTTTTTTTTTTTTTTGAGACAGAGTCTCACTCTGTCACTCAGGCTGGAGTCCAGTGGCACAATCTCGGGTCACCGCAACCTCCACCTCCTGGGTTCAAGTGATTCTGCCTCAGCCTCCCAAGTAGCTGGGATTACAGGCACTGCCAGCATGCCCAGCTAATTTTTGTATTTTTAGTAGAGACAGGGTTTCACCACGTTGGCCAGGCTAGTCTCGAACTCCTGACCTCGTGATCTGCCTGCCTCGGCCTCCCAAAGTGCTGGGGTTATAGGTGTGAGCCACTGAGCCTGGCCTATCAAGACTACTATCGATTAACTAAAAATAATTTTCAAAAAATGTTAAGTGTATAAATTGCTTATTATAAAAAACAATGGTTCTTTGCTTCATTCTTTCTCAGCCCCTTTGTCATTCACCCCAAACCCTTTCAGCTATTTTTTTCTGGTATTTCCTCCCTATATAGGAATACCACACTCCTCCTGATATTAATGTCTTGATTTATCAGTTTTAAGCAATATTATTAATAATTGATCTATTAAGGAAGATGAGGATTTAGCACTCTTACACTAGCCGTATGCTCGCTTCATCCCCATTTATCTTCTCCATATAATTATATGATAATTTTTGGTTAAAACAAAACTCAGGGCCAGGTGCAATGGCTCACGCCTGTAATCCCAGCACTTTGGGAGGCCGAGGTGGGTGGATCACCTGAGGTCATGAGTTTGAAGCCTGCCTGGCCAACATGATGAAACCCTGTCTCTGCTAAAAGTACAAAAAATTAGCTGGGCGTGGTGGCAGGCACCTGTAATCCCAGCTACTTAGGAGGCCGAGGCAGAAGAATTGCTTGAAGCCCAGAGATGGAGGTTGCAATGAGCTGAGAACACACCATTGCACTCCAGCCTGGGAGACAGAGTGAGACTGTGTCTCAAGAAACAAAAAAACAAAAAATAAAAACACAAAACAACATTCAGTGTTTATCTTACTGTGACTATGTATGAAAGTGCACTTCCAGCTTATCATTTACAATTATCACCGTATGCTGGAGGTGGCACCCATGCCTATGGTGTTGGGGAAGGCAGGAAAGCTTGAAAAAAGGAGGAGCAGGGCAAAGGTTGTGGTAATGATTTAGGTCAGATTTGGTGAGGACAGCCACCTAAACCAGTTAGGAGCTGGTTCAGCTTCCTATAACAGGAAGAGTAATTCCTGGGTGATAACGCTGACTGAGTTAATTTAGGGGAATAATCCATAATCCAGTGTCATAAAATTCCTCTTGCTTGAGCTCAAAAAAAATTTCTGCAGCCCAGAAATCTTCCTGAGACTTTGAGATATCCAGAGAAATACTCCATGGGAGAGATCCAGGCCTTGATAATGTTTCTGTTTATTCCCCTGATTGATTTTTTTTTAATTGAAAGAGGCCAGGTTGGGCTATAACTCTTCTGAGGATGTTGTTGGAAATACTTTTTTCCCACTATTTTCTCTCTGCCATTTGTGGTGAAGGGGTAACAATGAAAACTGGGATCTTTGTCCAGGATTGGGTGGAGAAGGAAGGCCTAATCACCCAAGCCCGGACCTAGTACAAATTCCTTGACTCTCACCTTGGGAAAAATCCAGAACCAGCAGAACCAACAGGTAAGGGCCTGGAACAGGGTTGCAGAATCCTGAGGCCAGGAAGGAGGAGAAATTATTTTGACCTCAGGGAAAGGGAAGGTAACAGAATACTTGAAATGACCGTGATCTGTCCAGGGTGCTGATTGGTTGGACCCATTTAAGGCTAATTATGAAATTGGCTCCCATGGCCTCTTGACTTCTGGTCTCAAGGAGAACTTAGGGTCCAGATTCTTCTCCTCCCAATTCAATTAACTCAAAGACAGCCTGTCTTGAACCCAGTAGACCAGGAACCCAGTAGACCATGTGTGTTAGTCCACTTTCATGTGGCTGATAAAGACATACCTGAGACTGGGCAATTTACAAAAAAAAGAGGTTTAATGTACAGTTCCACGTGGCTAGGGAGGCCTCACAATCATGGCGGAAGGCAAAAGACACTTCTTACATGGCAGTGGAAAGAGAAGAGAGCTTGTGCTGGGAAACTCCCCGTTTTAAAACCATCAGATCTTGTGAGACTTATTCACTATCATGAGAACAACATAGGGAAGACCTGCCTCAATGATTCAATTACCTCCCACCTGGTCCCTCCCACAACACGTGGGAATTCAAGATGAGATTTGGGTGGGGACACAGCCAAACCATATCACCAGGGAAACTTGAAAAGAGTTAACAAAGCTCAAAAAGAAGCACAACTAAATAATACTTTGTTGAAGGATATATGAATATTGGATTAAGAATTTTTTTTTTATTTTTTTGAGACAGGGTCTCATTCTGTCACCCAGACTGGAGGGCAGTGGCACTATCTCGGCTCACTGCAATCTCGGCTCACTGCAACCTCCGCTTCCTGGGTTCAAGCGATTCTCGTGCCTTGGTCTCTTGAGTAACTGGGATTACAGGCACCCACCACCATGCCCAGCTAATTTTTGTATTTTTAGTAGAGACAGAGTTTCACCATGTTGGCCAGGCTGGTCTGAAACTCTTGACTTCAAGTGATCAGCCTGCTTCGGCCTCCCAGAGTGCTGAGATTACAGGTGTGAGCCACTGCACCTGGCCGGATTAAGAATTTCTTAACAAAGAAATAACAAACTCAGGCCGGATGCAGTGGCTCACACCTGTAATCCCAGCACTCTGGAAGGCCGAGGTGGGTGGATCACGAGGTCAGGAGATCAAGACCATCCTGGCTAACACAGTGAAACCCCGTCTCTACTAAAAATACAAAAAGTTAGCCAGGAGTGGTGGCAGGCACCTGTAGTCCCAGCTACTCGGAAGGCTGAGGCAGGAGAATGGTGTGAACCCTGGAGGCGGAGCTTGCTGTGAGCTGAGATCGTGCCACTGCACTGCAGCCTGGGCAACACAGCGAGACTCCGTCTCAAAAAAAAAAAAGAAAGAAAGAAAGAAAAAAGAAATAACAAACTCACAATTCAGGATAGTAGTAAACTCTCGGGGAGACCTAGGGGAGACCAAGGGATTTGGAGAGGGAAGGAGTACACAGACAGATGCAGAATTATTGGTACCGTTTTGGTCTTAGGGTGTTTGATTCACAGGAATTTATTTTAATATTATAATTTATATCCCAAATATATGCCACAAATCTTATTTTATATGCATCAAAAATGCAAAATAAAAGATAATAAAGATATATAATATACCTCAAGGGAATCTCAAAAAGAATTAAACCTAGAAATGTGTTTATCTGGTACTGGAAAAATTGGGCCACCCAAAGAAATGAAAACTATCGCTCTCTAATCCTCACATCCTTGGTTTGTTACTGTTGAAAATATTTAGATTGGTTTTTGTTTTTTGTTTTTTGTTTTTGTTTTTGTTTTTGAGATGGAGTTTTGCTCTTGTTGCCCAGGCTGGAGTGCAATGGTGCGATCTTGGCTCACTGCAACCTCTGCCTCCCGGGTTCAAGCAATTCTCCTGCCTCAGCCTCCCGAGTAGCTGGGATTACAGGCATGTGCCACCACACCCGGCTAATTTTGTATTTTTAGTAGAGATGGGGTTTCTCCATGTTGGTCAGGCTGGTCTCGAACTCCCGACCTCAGGTGATCTGCCCGCCTCAGCCTCCCAAAGTGCTGGGATTACAGGCGTGAGCCACTGCGACAGGCCTATATTGTTAATTTTAGTAACACGTTCATATTGAAAGTGACATTTTGTAAAATAATATAGTACATTATAGACTAATCTAGAAATACAACTTTGTCACTCTCTCATTTTATGAAACTATTTGATCCAAATTTTTCCTTTCATATCCCTTTTATTTTCACTGCTAGGGCTGTTTAAGCTCTTCTATCTCAGCTATTTGAGAATAAGCAATTTTTACATCATGTATGGTGGTATCCCTGGAAATTTTATCCCAAGACACCCATTTGCTATCTGTAATCTTTATAACATAACCACCTACTGTATTTCTTTTAAATTTTTATGAAAACATTATAAAATAACATTATAGAGGGAACATATAATAAATCCTCATATTTCCATCTCCTAGAATGAGCAATCGTCAAACATTTGCCCCACTTGCCTAATCTGTTCATTCTGTTTTGTTGTTTTAAACTCCAGACCTCACATCTTTTCAACCCTACATATTTCACTATTCATCTCTAATATGTGGACATTTTCTTCAGAACCACAGTGCCAGTATCATGCCTTAAGAAAATAACATTCTTTGGCTTTCTCTAACATCTAAACCATTTTCAAATTTTCCCAAGTGTTCCAAGCATATCTTTTTATAGTCAGTTGGTTTGAATCTAGATCTGGTTAAGGTCTGCAGATTGTATTTGATGACGTCTCTTAAATATCTTTTAACCCAGACTATCTATCCTCTCCTCATCCTCCTTCAAACTATTGTCTTGTTGAAGAAACCAGGCCGGTTGTCCTGTGGAATGTCCCATAGTCTAGATTAGCCTGTTTATGCCTTTGTGATGGCATTCAACTTTTCCTTTACCCTCTGTATTTCCTGAGAACTGGAAGTTAGATCTAAAGGCTTGATTCGATTCAAGTTTAACTTTTCTTTTGGATAAGAACATTTCTTTCAGAGATAGTACTAAGTACTTCACATCATGCCACCAGAAGGCACTGAATGTCAGGTTGTCCCATTCTTAGTGATACCAAGAGTGACCTGTGGCTTCAGTTGGTAACATCTTGAAGCCTCCATTATAAAGCTACCCATCAACCTTTCTGTTGCCCAGGCTGGAGTGCAGTGGCACAATCTCTGCTCACTGCAGCCTCAACCTCCTGGGCTCAAGAGATCCTCCCACTTCAGCCTCCCAAGTAGCTGGGACTATAGGCATGCACCACCACACTCGGCTAATTTTTGTATTTTTTGTAGAGACAAGGTTTTGCCATGTTGCCCAGGCTGGTCTCAAACTCCCAGGCTCAAGCGATCCACCTGCCTGAACCTCTCAAAGTGCTGGGATTACAGGCATGAACCACTGCACCTGGCCCCAACCCTCTTAATATATAGAAAAATGCAGAAATGCGGAGAGGAGAAAATAATCACTCATATTCCTGCCACCAAAGACAATGATAAATGCTGTCTTTTGATGGGTTCCTCCCATTTAGTGCATTCAATTTTTTCCTTGCTGTGGTCATACTGATGCAAATTTTTATAAACCACATAAGCTCTTTCAGGCATGATTAAAACTTTATGAACATCAGTTTAATTGCAGCAAAGTACTGACTGTCAGCCATTAGTAAAACTTTTGAGCCTGAGGTAAGGTTGGCAGGTAATAGGAAATAGACTCGATTTCCTCCCGGATGGAGGGGTGGGTAAGCATGGAGGGCTCTGCTGCAGCGGGGCAGCTCCACTCACCCCTGCCGGTCCCTTGGGATTAAAGCCACACTCACTGCTTTCATCCGCTCATGGAGAGAATGGGGGCCCTTCGACACAGAATCCCAATTTTAGAACTGTATTTCATATAATAAATGCACAAATGAGAAGGAGGTATTTATTGTAGCATTGTTTGTTGTTGTTGTTGCTGTTGTTTTGAGATGGAGTCTTGCTCTGTCGCCAGGCTGGAGTGCAATGGTGCAATCTCGGCTCACTGCAACCTCCTCCTCCCAGGTTCAAGCGGTTCTCCCTGCCTCAGCCTCCCAAGTAGCTGGGACTACAGGCACCCACCACCACACCCGGCTAATTTTTGTATTTTTAGTAGAGATGGGGTTTCACTATCTTGGCCAGGCTGGTCTTGAACCCTTGACCTCAGGTGATCTGCCTGCCTCGGCCTCCCAAAGTGGTGGGATTACAGGCATGAGTCACCACACCTGGCCTAGCATTGGTTTTAATAGCAAAAACCTTAATATCCCATATGGGAATAAGCGAATAAATAACACAATGGAAATTCTAAAGCTACATTAAATATGCATAGAGAACGGTGTTCATATAAAAACTACAGATGGAACACATGCATGTACTTTTGTCTCCTGGCCAAACACAACTAAATAAGATCAAATGGATTAACTTTAGCATTATTTAGAGTACAGTGATCTTACAGCAAAATTCTTCCTTTTTAGAGGACAATTCTATTATTTTTGACAAATGCACACAGTTATAATCCACAATCACCCCCAAATTCTCTTGTGCCCTTTTGTTGTCAGCTCCCTTCCCCACCTCCAGTTGCTGACACCCACTGATCTGTTTTATGTCTCTAAAGTTTTCACTATTCCAGAATGTTACATAAATTGAATAACACAATATATAGCCTTTTGAGTCTGGCTTTGGTCAGTTATCATACTGCATTTGAGATCTATATCATCGTGTGTATCAATGGTTCATTTCTTTTTATTGTGGAATAGTTTTCCATTGTATGGTTGTATCATAGTTTGTGTATCCCTTCACCAGTTGAGGGACATTTGGATTATTTCCAGTTCTTGGCAATTATGAAAAAAGCCACTATAGACATCCATGTCCCAATTTTTTTTTCTCCCTCTGTCACCCAAGCTGGAGTGCAGTGGTGCAAATCTCAGCTTACTGCAATCTCTACCTCGCAGGCCCAAGCAATCCTCCCACCTCAGCCTCCCAAGTAGCTGGGACCACAGGCGTGAGCCACCATGACTAGTTAATTTTTGTATTTTTTGTAGAGTCGGGGTTTTGCCACGTTGCCCAGGCTGGTCTCGAGCTCCTGAGCTCAAGTGATCCGCCTGCCTCAGCCTCCTAAAGTGCTGGGATTACAGGTGTGAGCCACCAAGCCAGGTCCCATGTACCAATTCTTGAGTGAACCTGTTTTCTTTTACTTGGATAAATATCAAGGAGTGAAATTGCTGGGTCTTATGTTAGGTGTATATTTGACTCTATAAAAGTTGTTAAGTGTATGTTTAATTTTATTAGAGACTGCCAAACAGTTTCCTAAAGTGGCTGTACCATTTTGCATTCCCACTAAGAACATATGAGAGCTCCAATTGCTCCCCATCTTCATCATTACTTGTTATTGTCAGGGCTTTAGAGTGTTTGTGTGTTTGTTTTTACTCATTCTAATAGATGTATAGTAGTATCTCATTGTGGTTTTCATATGCATTTCTCTAAAGAGTAATGATCTTCGCATCTTTTCATGTGCTTATCATTAATGTATCTTTGCTGAACCACCTGTTCAAATCTTTTGTCCATTTATTATTGGATTGTTTGTTACTTATTACTGAGTTTTAAGCATTCTTTATATATTCTGGGTCCAAGTTCTTTATCAGATACATGTTTTGCAAATACTTCCTCCCAGCTTGTGGTTTGTCTTTTTATTCTCTTAATGTCATTTGAAGGGCAGAAATTTTTAATTTTGATGAAGTCCAATTTTATCAATAGTTTCTCTTAGGGCTCATGCCTTTGGTGTGGTATTCAAAAATTTTTTGCCTAACTGAAAGTAAAAAATATGTTATACGTTTTTTTCTAGAAGTTCTATAGTTTTACATTTAAGTCTATGATCCATTTGGAGTTAATTTTTATAGTAAATTATCCTTTAGATAAATACAAAATGTAAAAGATATAAATTTTATCTTGAATATCAGCCATTTTTACCACTCTTCATTTCTTTGGGTAGAGCCAAGGTTCTGTCTGGTTATCACATTCAAAGTGTCCTTTTAACAAGATCTTTGTAGACCTTAAAAGGAAAAGGAGGCCAGGTGCGGTGGCTCACACCTGTAATCCCAGCACTTTGGGAGGCTGAGGCAGGTGGATCACTTGAGGTCAGGAGTTCAAGACCAGCCTGGCAAACATGGTGAAACCCCATCTCTACTAAAAATACAAAAATTAGCCGGGCGTGGTGGTGTCACCTGTAGTCCCAGCTACTTGGGAGGCTGAGACAGGAGAACTGCTTGAACCCAGGAGGCGGAGGTTGCAGTGAGCCGAGATCACACCACTGCACTCCAGCCTGGGTGACAGAGAGAGACTCTGTCAAAAAAAAAAAAAAAAAAAAAAAAAGACAACGGCAAACACAGTGATTGAAATAGGAGGCTGTTGTGGAAGCTGGAAACAAACAGTGGGTGATAACAAACCTAAAATAACTGACTCTGACACGAGCAGTGGAGAAGGCACAGTCAGAACTCTGCTTTGCACATAACTCCCTAAAGACCCTGGTATATGAGGTACCAGGTACTTCTGGAAGTGGAGAAGAAGGTAGGGTTAAAAGAAAAAAAAAAAGATTGTTTAAAAGCCTATTTAAGAAACAGGTACATTCTCAGATTCTCTTCCACACTCAACACAGCTGGGCAACTTCCCCTTCCAATTCCCAAAAGATGAAGGTTTATTGTGGAGAGGTTAAAATAAACAGTCTCTAGGCTGCGAGATGCCAGATGCAGCCGAGGGTTGGGGCTACCATTCAGGAAACAGGGGGACAGGGAATCTTTACAAGTTAAAATTCGAGACCACCCTTCCCAAACCTCTTCTTCCACTCAGCACCCAGACCCTGCCCACATTATTAAACCCCATAGGGGAGGGGTTTAAGAGTCCTTCTTACAGAATCAGACCAGCTCATGAGGAAAAAACTCTGAAGGGTTCCCCCTAAAAGTTCCAGTCAGATCACTACAGTGACTCCATTGTGGGTAAGCCCAGCCATGAACTCAGCCAGCCTTGTAAGTGTTTAGTGCCTTGTTCTCAAACAGGGGCAGACAAGGCATTCCCAGAATGACAGCAGATCACCAAGTGTGGCTTGTGACATTTCAAATGGGAGCAGGCTAGAAGACTTCAGAAGAGATTTCTTCAGAGAAGTTAAAATTGACTGAAAACCTGAAACATCTAAAGAAACCTTATAATGTGAAAAATGGGACCCAAAATAAACACAGTGAAAAGAGCAACTTGGAGGAAACAGAGACATCCAGGGAAAAGAAAATCTCACTAACGCTGAGATTAGATCAAAGAGATTAGGTCAAATATGGCATTCAAGAAACAAGATAGAATGTTATTTTTAAAAAAGAATCTTCAGAGAATAAAAATATTCTCTTGGAAATTGAAAACAGGATAGCAGAAATTAAAATTTCAGTAGGAGTTGGAAGATAAAATTAAATCTCTTAGAAAGCAAATGAAACAAATGGAATGGAAATGGGAGAGAAAAGACAAGAAAATTACAGGACCAATCCAGAAAGTCCAACTCCTGACTTTCCCACCCCTTCTCCACTTAAGAAGCCCGGGGCTGTGGGGAGTTCCTGCCCCACCCATCTCAGACACAGGAGAGACATCTCCTTCTACCAGGGGCCCGAAAGTTCTGAAGAGCAGTAAGTCCCAGGATAGCAAAGATGCAGGTTGAGGGGGGCAAAAATAGGCACCTGCCCCCAGGCCTCACCTTGCGCGCACGCTCTGGGATGGACACAGGTGGCCCCAGGGTGGGATGTGGCCGGAGGACACGTGGGCCCCGAGGTGCCTGCAGGCCGGCGGGTGTGGACACCAGCTTCGCAGGAGCAGCGGGAGCAGAGCTCGGCGCGCTCGCGTGCAGCGGGCCCAGTGGCCGCGGAGCGGAGCCCGAGGACCAGAAGACGCCGGAACTGGAGAGACCCGGAGCGCCTTGGCCTCGGTCGCCTGTGCCCAGAGCGGCGTGGGTCCCCGGGCTCCCCCAGAGCTGGCGGTCTTTGAGTGCACAGGGAAGGCGCAGGGTCGGCGGCTGCGCTCAGACTCGGTCTCCTGCTGGCGGGAGAAACGCAGAGGCGACCGGGGAGGGAGGGCGCAGCGAGCCTGGGGCCGGGGCGAGGGGCAGCCGCATCACCGTGTCCGCGCTCCGGGCACACGTGCGGGGTCCCCTCCCCAGCACTGCTGGACCGGGGAGGTGGACCCCAGCCTGCACTCCTCCTCCTGGAGAGAGCAGGCCCGGGACACCTCCACTCTTGGACGGCCTCCCCACATCCTCTACCACTTCAGTATTTCCTCGGCAGCGTCCAGAGGGAGGGACGCGTTGAAGATGCCTGGACGGAACAAAGACGCGCCGGCTGCTGCGAGGAGGAAGCAGAGGAGGAACTGGCTTGAGGGAGGCGCAGAATTTTGGAGTGGGGGACGTGGTTGAAAGTACAAGTAAGGCCGGGCGCGGTGGCTCACGCCTGAAATCCCAGCACTTTGGGAGGCCAAGGCGGACGGATCACGAGGTCAGGAGATCCAGACCATCCTGGCTAACATGGTGAAACCCCGTCTCTACTAAAAATACAAAAAAATTAGCCGGGCATGGTAGCGGGTGCCTGTAGTCCCAGCTACTCGGGAGGCTGAGGCAGGAGAATGGCGTGAACCCAGGAGGCGGAGCTTGCAGTGAGCCGAGATCCCGCCACTGCACTCCAGCCTGGGCGACAGAGCGAGACTCCGTCTCAAAAAAAAAAAAAAAAAAAAAAAAGAAAAGAAAACTCACCCGTCGTAGTACAAAGACAGTAAGTAGCATCTCCGTTTATAGAAGGAGTTAGGATACAGAAGATAATGAGTAAAATGAGATTTAATAAGATAGAATAGACAAATATTGTTGAGCATCTTTTCATGTGCTAACTGCCATCTGAATAGTATGTCTTTTTTGGCGAAGTATTGTTCAAGTCTTCTGTCCATTTTGATGAAGCCCAATTTATTCATTTTTAAATTTTACAAATCAAGATTTTGGTGTTGTGTCTAATAAATCTTTGGCTAGCCTAAGACCACAAAGATTTTCTTCCAGGTTTGTAGTTTTACATGTATGTCTACGATCCATTTGAGGAAATTTTTGAATGTGGTTTTTCTTTTCTTTCGTTTGTTGCACGCAGATACCCACACTTTTTAGCATTTTTGATTAAAAAACTATCCTTTCCCCCCTCAGAATTGCCTTTATGCCTGTGGGGAGTTGATCTATGTCTGGATTCTCCAATCTGTTCCACTGATTTATTTGTTTATATTATGACACTATCACACAGTCTTGATTGTTGCAATTTTATGTATAATGTCTAATCAAGTAGTGTAATTCCTCCAACTTCATGTTTCTTTTTCAAAATTGTTTTGGCTAGTTTCGAGTACTTTGAATTTCTATATAAATTTTAGAATTGGCATGTGATTTTTTCTACCAAAAAAAATGCCTGCTGGGATTTTGGCTAGGATCACGTTGAATTTATAGTTCAATTTGAAGAGAATTAGTGTGGTAACAATATTGAGTCTTCTGATCCATATGCATGGCATATTTCTGTGTTTATTTAGGTCTTTAATTTTTTTCAGGAAGTTTTATAGGTTTCAGTGGTGTGTAGATCAAGCACATCTTTTGTTCCATTTCCCCAAGTATTTCATATTTTAATGCCATTGAAGATGGGATGGTGTTTTTGTTTTATTATTTATGTATTTATTTATTTATTTTGAGACAGACTCTTGCTCTTTTGCCCAGGCTGGAGTGCAGTGGCGCGACCTTGGCTTACCGCAACCTCCATCTCCCAGGTTCAAGCAATTCTCCTGCCTCAGCCTCCAGAGTAGCTGGGACTACAGGCACCTGCCACCACATCTGGCTAATTTTTGTATTTTTAGTAGAGATGGGGTTTCACCATGTTGGCCAGGCTGGTCTTGAACTCCGGGCTTCAGGTGATCTGCCTGCCTTGGCCTCCCAAAGTGCTGGGATTACAGGCATGAGCCACTGCACAAAGATGGTGTTTTAAAATTTTTCAACTTCCTTCCTTCCTTCTTTCCTTCCTTCCTTCTTTCCTTCCTTCCTTCTTTCCTTCCTTCCTTCCTTCCTTCCTTCCTTCCTTCCTTCCTTCTTCCTTCCTTCCTTCCTTCCTTCCTCCCTCCCTCCCTCTCTCTATCCCTTTCTTTCTTCTTTCTTTCTTTCATAGGGTCTCACTCTTGTCATTTAGGCTGAAGTACAGTGGTATGCTCTTGGCTCGCTGCAGCCTTATGGCAGCCTTGACTTCCCTCACTCAGGTTATCCTCACACCTCAGCCTCCCACAGGTGTGTGCCATGCCCAGCTAGTTTTTTGTATTTTTTGTAGACAGGGTTTCGCCATGTTGTCCAGGCTGGTCTCAAACCCCTGGACTCAAGCAATCGGGCTGCCTCGGCCTACCAAAGTGCTAGGATTACAGGTGTGAGCCACTGTGACCAGCCACAATTTTCAATTTCTGATAATTCATTGCTGGTCTATAGAAATACACTTAATTTTGGGGCTGGGTGCGGTGGCTCACACCTGTAATCCCAGCACTTTGGGAAGCCGGGGCAGGCAGATCACATGAGGCCAGAAGTTTGAGACCAGCCTGACGAACATGGCGAAACCCAGTCTCTACTAAAAATACAAAAATTAGCCAGGAGTAATAGCGCACACCTGTAATCCCACCACTTTGGGAAGCCAAGGTGGGTGGATCACCTGAGGTCAGGAGTTCGAGACCAGCCTGGCCAACATGATGAAACCCCATCTCTACTAAAAATACAAAAAATTAGCTGGGCATGGTGATGAGCACCTGTAATCCCAGCTACTCGGGAGGCTGAGGCAGGAGAATCGCCTGAACTTGGGAGGTAAGGTTGCGGTTAGCTGAAATCCCACCATTGCACTTCAGCCTGGGCAACAAGAGTGAAACTCCATCTTAAAACAAAAACAAAAACAAAAAACAAAAAAGAAACATTTTAACAAAAACAAAGCAAGATACCTTTGCTAATACCTTCATTTTTCTGTAACATATTTCATAAAGATAGCACAAATTTCTGAGGGTGTTTTAACATACTGTTCCATTCCAAAATTGATAAATTCAGGATTATATACTTTAAAATAGAGATTAGGTTTCTGGTTCCTGCCAAAATGTCAAATTAGCTTCACTAGCTCCTTCCACAACTTCATCAACCTTGGATTCTAAAGGGAATGCTTACATTTCCCCATGTAGGATGGCATTTATTATAGGATTTTTGTAGACATATTTTCTCAAGTTAAGAAAGTTCTCTTTTATTCTTAATCTTCTAAGGCTCGTTTTTTAAATCACAAATTAACATTGAACTTAATTTCTTTCTGCATCTATTGAGTTGATCATATGTTTTTTTTCTGTTAATCTGTTAAAAGGATGAATAACTTTTATACCATTTTATCATTTAATTAAGTTCTAAGTACTTTAAAATTTTCACTGTGCTTTCTTCTTTGACCTATGAATTATTATTATTATTATTTAGTGTCTCGCTCTGTCACCTAGACTGGAGTGCAATGACATGATCACAGTTCACTGCAATCTCAAACTCCTAGGCTCAAGGGATCCTCCCACCTCAGCCTCCCCAGTAGCTGGGACTACAGCATTATGCCACCACACCCAGCCAATTTTTAAATTTTTTTGTAGAGACAGGGTCCCACTTTGTTGCCCAGGCTGTTCTTGAACTCCTGGCCTCAAGCCATCCTCCCACCTTGGCCTCCCAAAGTGTTGGGATTACAGGCGTGAGCCACCATGCATGGCCCTGTGAATTATTTAGATCTGTTTTCATTTTCAAATATTAAATTTTAACATAATTGCATTATGGTCAGAAAGTAAAATGTATATAATTCCTGTTCTGTGAAGTTTGTTGTAACTTTCACTTTTTCCCCAATGTACAATTAGGTCACTGCCTATCAATCTCACTTTTTTGTTTGTTTGTTTGTTTTTTGTTTTTTCAAGCTTACTCTAAAATATGATTCCCAGGACCCTACATCCCAGTGGGAGATTCGAAAGGTTAGTGCAGCAGTCTAGCTGAGGTCAAGATGGGAGGCCTCCTCATGGAGTGATTTCACATGATCCTAATGGGGAACCTTCTCAAATTATTGACCACTAGGCCATATGTCATAATTAGCTCCCTATCAGTCTCCTCTGCTCCAAAACTCTTGCAGCCTCCAGCACCATGGACAGCGGAAAGCGCTGACCTGGGGTCTACAGTGCTTTGGATTCCTCACTGTTGTACTTGCTAGGACCTCATCCAAAATCTTTGCCTTTGAACCTGGGACTTCCTAGAGAAAGTTTCAGTAAAAGTTTCAATTATGGCCAGGACTATATTGCCTCTCCTGGAGCTGACTGTCTTCAAAGAGGTCTTGACTCAGCGTTTATTCTCCAAAACAGATTCTCAGTCCCATGGAACCTCCATGGGATATGGGAAGAGAACGGTGTTGGACATCTGGGACAGGGTGTTGATGCTCCACTTCTCTGTGCTGGGCCTGGTCTTCTGCAACAGCAAAGATGAGAGAAGCCTCTGTCTCATTTCTTCTACCCTCTTCCAGACAATTAGGTCACATGGTTCCTCTACCAGTCATGACTTTCCTGATGGGGTGTGAGCTATGCCTTATAAGGGTCTTTATAAACCTAGCACAGTTTAAGGGACATCTGTAGTCTGCTCTGATTAGTGATCCACTGGCCGAAAGGTAGGAATTCTAGGAAAGCTGCTAGCATAATACAGGGATGTCTAAACCCTTGTATTCCTAAAGTGATCAAAACTAAAAATAAAAACAAAATATGTCTCAGTACTGAAATGATGGAGGGTGACACCCACAAATCATACACAACCAGAGAGGAGCTCCTCATGGGTCGAATTCACATCAGACTGTGGTGTGTGGCAAAATCAACCTCCCTGCTTTATACAAGACACACACACACACACACACACACACACACTCACACACACCTTTACCAAGAAAATGTCAGAATATATAGGAATTAGAAAGAGGAAATTCTGGTTTATCTTCACTATCAGCTACTTGCTGGTAAGGCTGATGCTGATGAAATGGGCTTTTGAAGATTTACGAGCACTCTGGAACCCCTTTCTAATGCCATAGCTCATCTGTTTTCAGTGACAGATGCAAATTGGTGGTGTAAGATGGACCTACAGAGAAGGAAAGATATCTCTTGTCTATGCGCAGATCTTTCTCTGACCTTACATCTCATTAATATAGACACTGGGCATGGTGGCACACATCTGTAGTCCCAGCTACTCCAGGAGGCTGAAGAGGGCCAATTGCTTGAGCCCAGGAGTTAGAGGCCAGCCTTGGCATTTTAGCAAGACTCTGTGTCTCTCTCTTTTTTTTTTTTTTTTTTTTGAGATAGACTCTCGCTCTATTGCCCAGACTGGAATGCAGTGGCATGATCTTGGCTCACTGCAATTTCCGCCTCCTGGGTTCAAGCGATTCTCCTGTCTCAGCCTCCCAAGTAGCTGGGATTACAGGCATGCGCCACCACACCCCGCTATTTTTTTAAATATTTTTGACAGAGATGGGGTTTCACCATGTTGGCCAGGGTGGTCTCAAACTCCTGACCTCAAGTGATCTATCCGTCTTGGCCTCCCAAAGTGCTGGGATAACAGGCGTGAGCCGCTGCGCCCGGCCAAGATCCCATTTCTAAAAAAAAAAGAAAAAGAAAAAGAAAAGAAAGAAAAAAAGAAAGAATAGGGACTGACACTGGGCCACAGTTTCCTGAGGAGTTGTTAGAAGTGAAAATAAGAGCCAGAATAATCCCAAACCTCCCCCACTGTCCCTGTGGTATGAGGGGCTGGGGAAGATGCGAACCTCATCCAGAGAGGACCGTGAGGAAAGAAGTGTGTTCAAAGAGAAGTACATGTCAGATAAGTTACAGGGACAGCAGAAGGCCATTGTGTGTACAAGCTGGGGAAGGAAAAATTTTTTACATCTTAGAATGGAGGTTCTACCTGCCTCTGTGGAAAGGGGTGTTTGTATGAGATGGAAGAAGGATGTGTTGGGAAAATGGGAGCCAAGTGCAGTAGGATGGGAGTTGCTACTTGAGACAAGGAGAGATGTGATTTGGGGCATACTGAATGGGATGTGAAGAGGACATGGAAGAAATTCACCTGTTTTTATGGGGTCTGCACACTTGGGGATGGCAAGGGTGTGGCCTGTAAGGACCCTACCTCATGGGTCAGGAAGGGTACTCATGGCCAAGTTCAGGTCAGCTTACCATTCCATGACATTTTCTTACAAGACAACATGATGGTTTTTCCATTGAAGGAGGGGCTGGGAAAAGCCACAGGGAATGAAGTGATGTTCACAGAAGGCAGGTATCAGAAAATCTTGTCTTCAGTGTCTGTTCTGTATTTGCAGACCTGAGACTGGGGAATGGTATGAGCTGAAAATGATCTGCCCCTGGAAAGCTGGGGCAGGAGAAAGACCATCCTTCCAGAGACAGGGGATTGATAAAGAGGCTTAAAACGGTAGCAGGGATGATGGTCTGTTGGTTTGCTGGAGAGGCGGTGGGAGAGAGGGGTTGAGGAAGAATAAAGGTTTCAAAGCCAGGTACCATAGTACATGGCTGTAATCCCAAGTACTCGGGAGGCTGGGCAGGAGGATCACTTGACTGGCCTGGAGTTTAAGACTGGCCTGGGTATCATTGTAAGACTCTCAAAAAAAGAAAAAAAAGAAAGAAAGAAAAAGAAAAAAAAAGCCAGGCATGATGGCTCAAGCCTGTAATCTCAGCACTTTGGGAGGCCAAGGTGGAGTCTCGCCAGCATGGCGAAACCCTGTCTCTACTAAAAGTACAAAAATTAACCGGGTGTGGAAGTGCGCACCTGTGGTCCCAGCTACTAGGGGTGCTGAGGCAGAAGAATTGCTTGAACCCGGGAGGTGGAGGTTGCAGTGAGATGAGATCGCACCACTGTACTCCAGCCTGGGCGACAAAGTGAGACTCCATTTCAAAAAAAAAGAAAGAATCTTTTCATGTACACTTATATGGCAGTACGGTATAGACCAGCCCCATGAGTCTTCATCCTGGAGAAATCAGCCTCTCCCCAGATAAGGCAGAGAGAGAAAAAAGTCTCTTGTCGGGTCAGATAAAGGAATCCCCCAGGCTCTCCCTTCAAAACCACCCCCATCCTGACACCATCTTATGTGAGGTATTTTAGGGACCTTTTCTCAGAGCTCTAGCTTTGGTGACCTTGAGGATTGGCTTTTTTCCACTCATTGTAATGTCCTGGTGATTCATTGAGTTGTGTGTGTCACAGTAACCCGTTCTGGTGTGTGTGTGTGTGTGTGTGTGTGTGTGTGTGTGTGTTGTTTGTTTGTTTTTTGTTGTTCTTTGTTTTGTTTTGAGACAGCGTCTCACTCTGGTGTCCAGGCTGAAGTGCAGTCATGCGATTTCCGCTCACTGCAACCTCCACCTCCCCAGCTCAAGTGATTCTCCTGCCTCAGCCTGTTGAGTAGCTGGGATTACAGGCGCTTGCCACCACACCCGACTAACTTTTGTATTTTTAGTAGAGACAAGGTTTTGCCATGTTGGCCAGGCTGTTCTCAAACTCCTGACCTCAAGTGATCTGCCTGCCTCGGCCTCCTAAAGTGCCGGGATTACAGGCGTGAGCCACCTCACCTGCTGAACCCGTTCCTTTTTACTGGGAGTGGTATTCCATGGTGTAGATGAACCACAGTTTGTTCATCCATTCACTCATTGAAGGACGTTTGGGTTTTTCCTAATTTGGAGCTCTTATAAATAGAGCCACTATGAACATTTGTGTACAGGCTTTTTTGTGAACAGAAGTTTTCATTTCTCTGGGATAAATGCTGAGGAGTGGAATTGCTGGAGCATATGGTAAGGGTATGTTGAGTTTTATAAGAAACTGCACAACTGTTTTCCAGTCTTTGGGCTTTCTTATTTTTCTTTTTTGTTAATTTGTTCATTTCCTCTCAGGTGATTCCAGGGACAGTGATCTTTGATTTGATGATCACTGACAGCTCATCTCAGGGATGTAGTCAGTCTTAGAAGTGACAACCCACATGGAACTTTGTTCTGGTTTTTCCAGGTTTTCCAAGCAATTTGCTTTTGTTGTCATATTAGGGTAAAGTTATCCTTGTTATAATTTCACTTAAATGTAAAAAATATTATATAAGTCTTTCAAAAGTTTTAAGAACATAGAGAAATGAAAAACATGAGCCCCAGCCCATAATCTGCTACTGATTTTTTCTTGGTTAAGTTACTGAATTTCTTTGAACTTCACTTCTTCTTCAGTAAACCAGGGAAGAGTATTTACCTGGGAGGCAATTATAAACACTAAAAAAGTAAAAAGCGATGTAAAATGCCTGGGCCATTGTAGGCACCAAACAGAACATAATTGTTGTGATAATGATCAGCTTCCTCAGACTCCTGATTTAATTCTATCTCCATGTAACAGCTGAGCATTTAATTAGCAGCAGACTGAGCTGAGATGCGTGGTCACCTACCTAGAGTGAGTAAGACCTCACCCTAGGGGTTGGAAGGAGGATGTCAACCATAGCCTCAAGTGTCAGAGCAGAACTCCCGGGCAGGAAACCCACCCCATTGGACCCACAACTGTTAATATGCGACATGGAAAGCATCTCTACAGCACGGTCATGGGTATCATCTAAAAGTCCCTCAAGTGACAGCCCCTCACACAGGTCCTTGGGGACAGTCCAGGGTGCGATGGCCTGGGGGTATTGTCCTTCACGGGTGACCCATGCATGGTCCAGCCTTCCTCAGGTCCCGCTTCATGATCTCTCCTTTGAACCACAGTCATCTTAAATGGCCTGGGATCTTTGCCCACTCATGGTTCTTCTCAACTAGCTGCTTGGGTTGTTGGAATTTCCTCAGCTCTGGGGGTTGGCATAGAGGAGGGTCTTCTGCTTGAGGAGGGCAGAGGAGGCCTCTGGGCTCTCAGACTAGTAAGGGAGGGCCTGAAGGGTGGTGGCCCAGCTGTGTGCAGGAGAGCAGTTCAGCCCAACAGAGCCAGAGCTGTTCGGATCAGGTGGCCCATGTCCAGGCAGGGAGGGTCCCTTTAGTTTGCTGAGAGAGTTCCCTTGGCTTGGAAAGCCGTGCACCCCAGGCAGGCCGAGGACCTGCAAGTCTTTGTTCCAGGTTCTGCCAAAGAGGCCAGTCCTTCCCCTGCGACTTGGGTCCCCTGTCTCCCCAGAATCATGGACCTTAATGGCACTGAGATAATGACTTCCACCCAATCTACACGCCCCCCCCCCCCAACTCTGGGGTCTCCCCTCCAGCACTCCAGCCTCAGGAGTCTGGGGACCTCTCCTGATAGGCACTCACAGGGAGTATGCCAGGCTCGCATCACTGTGACCACTCCTACCGACACAGCGACACAGGGACACTGCAAGTCCGAAGAGGCCTTCAGTCCCCAGCTTTTCACACTCTACTCTCCTTCCCAGTTTGATCTGATTCGTTGTTGTTGTTGACAATTAATGTGTGTTTTTCTTTTTTTCTTTTTTTTTTTTTGAGACGGAGTCTTGCTCTGTCACCCAGGCTGAAGTGCAGTGGTGCAATCTCCACTCACTGCAACCTCTGCCTCCCAGATTCAAGCGATTCTCGTGCCTCAGCCTCCCGAGTAGCTGGCATTACAGGCACTCACCGCCACGCCCAGCTAATTTTTGTATTTTTAGTAGAGACGGAGTTTCACCACATTGGTCAGGCTGGTCTTGAACTCCTGACCTCAAGTGATCCACCCGCCTTGGCCTCCCAAAGTGCTGGGATTATAGGCATGAGCCACCACACCTGGCCAAATGTGTGTTTTTCACAAAATGATGTATTTAATTTTAAAAAGAGAAAGAAGGGGTTATAAGTGTGATCTGCTGTTCCTTGCCATATACATATATATACAAGAGTATGTCTACCTCACAATGCACACAGGAAAATCTTGACCTCTTCCTGGAAAAATGAGGGCTCTGTCACCTCCGGGGAGTTTACAAAGAGTGGAGAGAGACTTCAGTGTTCTTTTCTGGGTCCTTTAGGACTGGTTATATCATTTACAAGGAGCTGGTACTTCTTTTGGAATAAAAATAAATTTGAGAAAAAAAATTCATAATATTTCACCCAATGGTTCTTGTCTTAGTTCTTATCCTAAAAGAATAGGCATATGTTGGCACAGATTCATGTGCAAGGATGTTGGCTGTGGCAAAATTTAGAGACTATTTAGAGATTGACAATCTAACCTTCTATCAATAAGGAATTGACTAAATAAGTTGTCATCTACTCTTCCAATTAAATATAATATGGACTTTAAAAATCATGCTTTTATAAATTATTTGATGATATGGGAAAATGTTCTTGATATAATGTTGGTTTTTTTGTTTTTTTTTGTTTGTTTGTTTATTTTTGAGACAGGGTTTCACTCTGTCACCCAGGCTGGAGTGCAGTGGTGTGATCACAGCTCACTCACTACGGCCTCAACCTCCCAGGCTCAAGCGATCATCCCATCTCAGCCTCCCAAACAGCTAGGACTACAGGCACACACAACCACACCCGGCTAGTTTTTGTATGTTTTGTAGAGACGGAGTCTCCCTATGTTGCCCAGGCTGGTCTCAAATTCCTGGACTCAAGCGATCCTCCCTCCTTGGGCTCCCAAAGTGCTGGGATTACAGGCCTGAGCCACCGTGACCAGCCAAATTTAAATACAGTGTGATTTTGTATATATTAATTTAATATTAATAAAGACAATAAGATTGTCTCTTGGTGATAACATTAGGAGCAATTTATAATTTTCTTACTTTTGTTGTAAATTCTCAAATTTTCTAAAATTGACTTTCATCACTTTGATCTGCAAGAAAAAAACAACAGTGATCAAAAGAAATGCAAAGGAGCATTTGAGCCTGGAAAGAGGCCATTGGTCCTTGACCCCTCCTAGCCATAAAAAAGGATGAGTTCATGTCCTTTGCAGGGACTTGGATGAAGCTGGAAACCATCATTTTGAGCAAACTATCACAAGGACAGAAAACCAAACACTGCATGTTCTCACTCGTAGGTGGGAATTGAACAATGAGAACACTTGGACACAGGGCGGGGAACATCACACACCGCGGCCGGTCTTGGGGTGGGGGGCTGGGGAAAGGATAGCATTAGGAGAAATACCTAATGTAAATGACGAGTTAATAGGTGCAGCACACCAACGTGGCACATGTATACATATGTAACAAACCTGCACATTGTGCACATGTACCCTAGAACTTAAAAAGTAAAAAAAAAAAAAGGGTCTAACCCTCCTTCGTCTAATCCAACCACCTCTTGATCCTCAATACTTTAATTGAGGGGACCTGAGGTGCCTTTTCTGTGGCCATCCTATAGCCTCCTCAGCCTCTTCAGTAGCTAGGGTGGTAGAGGGCCACCAAGATGACGGCTGCCAGGGACCTGCTCTCTCTGCGGGTCCCGCCGCGCCCCTCGTCACTGTTGGTGAGCGGAACCCCGCTGTGTGCGGACGGACCACGAATAGACTCTGCTGCCTCCCTGGCCCCCGGCCCGGGTCCCAGCCGGTCTTCCCCGCCATTGGGGGACTGAGTCCGAGCGCTGCTGCGAACCCTGCGCCTTCTCCGCGTGCTCCGAGCCCGGCAGCCCCCAGGAAGCCGAGAAAGGCAGCGGACTGGTCCGCGCCGCTCAGGGCGCAGGCCATCGAGGCCAAGGCGCGCCGGGTCCCTCCCGCTCGGGCGTCTCTGGTCCTCCGGCTCTGCCCCGTGGCCACCCGGCCTGCTGCACCGAGAGCCCCGGGCTCTGCCCCGCGCTGCTCCTTCCTGCAAGGCTGCTGTCCACACCCGCCGGCCTGCAGGCGCCTCGGGGTCCACATGTCCCCGCCACATCCCACCCCTGGGCCACCCGGGTCGGTCCCAGAGTGTGCGCTGAAGGTGATGCCTGGGGGCAAGTGCCCATTTCTGTCCTCTCAACCTGCATCTTTGCCAGCTCTTCTAGAACTTTCTGGCCTCTTTTAACCACATTGTCTTCTGTATCTGAGGTGGGTGGGGCAAGACTCCCCACAGCCCAAGCCTCTGTAGCTGGAGAGGAGGATTAGTCAGATGGCAGACACGGGATGGTGCTCTGTCCCAGGAACTGATGGCGAAGTAACCCTGTCTTTTAAGAGAGTGATGGTGGACCTTAGACTCCACTAAGGGTCTGCTCTGCTCCTGCCGCAACTAAACTGGTAGGTAATTTTAGGAACTATGGTTCCCATCTACAGTTGGCAGGGCCCTTATCCCCGCTCCCTTCCAAACTCTGATTCCATCATCCATGAGAGCCAATCTGCCATTGCTGGGGCTGGATGGTGTCATATCCTTCCTTACAGATGAGGAACCTGAACCTCAGCGGGGCGATGACAGTGCATGACAGAGCAGGCCTAGAACCCAGGCCTCCTGAAGAATTCAGTGCTCTTTCCTCTGCCCCTCACTCCCTCTACGCATGTGAGAGCTGGGAAAGGAGGGTGAGGGGTCAGGAGTGACTCCGCTACGTCTGGATCCCTGCGGGCTGCATCCCCACAGAGCCCAGCTTCAGGGAGGTGGCCTGGGCCTGCATTGTAGGGAGGGAGGGTTGCGTGACCTCTCTTCTGATCTTCCACCTTCTCTCCCGCTTCCTAGGTACACGCCAGAGCAGTGGCGTCCCTTGTCACTCATGAGTTCTCTGCTGAATTGGGCAGTGGGCCTAATCACCACCCTGTTCTCACCCCAATCCTCACCCTCTCTGCAGGACACAGGGATGTCTCCCATCTCCCCACCTCACTCCCATCCCACTAACAACTCTCTCCCAAAAACCAGAGGTGAGGGCCAGAGCTAGACCCACATGACCTAGCCCAGACCATGGTCAGGCTCAGGTAGCTGGGGAGGCAGGAGTGGTTGGGGAGAGGTCTGTGGCTGCTTAGGGGCCAGATCACTATGAGGGCCCAGTGGGTGAGGCTGGTGGAGGGGCCTGACTCCCAGGGGTGGGCGTGGGGGAGGGAACAGGCATAGTTTTCCACAGAGAATGTGACTTTCCCTCTCCCCAGTGTCCTGGGGGACAGGGCTAAAGGTTGGGGATATCTGTGTCTCTGCGGGATAAGAGGTGGTGTGTATTGGGGTGCACACAGCCTGAGTTAGGAGATGCTTCTATATGGGTCATTTGCCATCACTAGGCGGCACCTTC
This sequence comes from Homo sapiens, assembly GCF_000001405.40. NCBI lineage: Eukaryota > Metazoa > Chordata > Mammalia > Primates > Hominidae > Homo > Homo sapiens. The sequence continues at coordinate 47,776,916 of NC_000017.11, read as the reverse complement.
AGCCATCATCACACATTTGTGGCCTGATTCTCACTGACCTGCTTCGATAGATACCCAAGTAGAAGAAAAGGCAATGAGTCCTACGAGGCTCTTCATCATAGTGAAGTGGGTGCTTTGGGGAGATTGGGGAGCCCTCTTGTGGATGCTTGAGGAATTTCACTATGTCTTTTCCATCTTCCATGCACAGTCATGCACCGCATAATATTTGTCAAGAATGGACCGCATAAATGACAGTCGTCCCATAAGATTATAATATGGTATTTTTACTGTGCATTTTATATGTTTAGATACACAAATACTTACCATTGTGTTACAATTGCCTACAGTATTCAGTGCAGTAACATGCTGTACACGTTTGTAGCCTAGGAGCAATAGGCTATGCCGCATAGCCTAGGTGTGAAGTGGGCTATACCATCCGGGTTTGTGGAAGTACACTCTGATGTTCCCACCACAATGAAATCACCTAACGACGCATCCCTACCCGTCATTAAGGGACACATGACTGCAGTTTCATAACCATTTCCATCCCACCCCCACTCTGCTCATGGGCCCATTGAGTGGTCTCTTTATTAAGGACAAAAAGAATTCATGGGTCCCAAGATTAAGTTTCAACACAGGAAACCCTATTATTGTATATATAAGCAACTAATAGCAGTCATTATGTGCTTTAGAAATAACTCTTCTTCCTCACAAGCTACCCTGTGAGGTAACTACTTTTATCATCCCTATTTTACAGATGAGGAAATTGTGGGACAGAGAAGTTAGGTGACTTGCCTAAAGCTGCACAGCTACTCTGGATTCCAGATTCTCTGCTGTTAAGCACTCCACTATACTGCCTCCCACTGGTGTGGGAAGGCTCATACAGTAACACAGTCACAGCCAGGGACTTGAGTGCATGCAACAGAGAGAATTTTCCCAGTCCTCTTCTCTGACTTCCCCAAAGCTCCTCCAGCACCTCCCCAGGATGTCTCTGTCCTGACACATGAATGGAGGGTCAGGAGACCTCCTAGAACCTCCCCTCTCTTTTTGTCACATCTGGTGGTGGAAAATGAGGGAGGAGACTGGGCTGCTCAAAGCTCAGAGACTCTCAGGGAGAATCAGGGTACTCTAAGTTAAATGGACCCATCATCAACTGTACCAGAAGCCAGTGTAGACACGGGCTAGTCCGATGAGGTCCACAGTGTCTTTCTGCTCTCCACCCTCTTGGCATGGAGTGGGTCCTGATGGATGATCATAAGACTTGCCTCTCTTCTGAAACCTGAAACCTGGGGGTGTGCAGGGTCAGAAGAACTCCCTTTCCACCATTTTATAGAGAAGGAAATGAAGTCTCTTCCCAAGACCAGTCACAACATGTGTTTGTTGACAATATACTATGAGTGCTGGGAGACAGGGCTACAAAGGCAGATAAAGAACATGCCTCTGCCCTTGAGGGACCCTGCATAGTAGAGGAAGGACAGATGAGTAAGCAATGACTGTGATTTCATGTGATGGGTTTGCAGTGGGGGGTGATTACTGCAGAAAAGGGGGCTGAACTATGCTTGGGTGGGGCAGGAAAGGCTTTTGAGGAGATGCCCTTGGGATTGGTCTTGGAGGGTGGGTCAGGATTAATCAGCTAGGATAAGAGCATCAATGTGAGGCACATGCAGCCATCTGAAACAACAGGGCAAGTTCAGTGACCTATGTGCAAGGAACTGGCTGGAACAGAGACTGCCTAGGAAGAGCATGGGAAATTTGCTGGGGAAGTTGAGGTCAGATCACAAAGGTCTCACTTGCCATGCTGCAGAGTTCAGACTGGAGACTGCAAGTGCAGGCAGGGGGTAGTATCAGCCTCTTCAAAGAGCATAGATGAGGAGGTCTTGCTGCACCACCTCAGAGGGTGGGAGAGAGGCGCCTGAGATGGTTCACTTAGTTTATGAGTGTTTTCATTAGATTTGTGTGGAGTCCTCTATTAGTCAGAACTCTTTTAGTTACAGGCAGCAGAAACCCACTCAAACCAACTTTAAGAGGGAACTTGCTGGCTCACACTGGGAGGACACTGTACTCTAAGAGTCTAAAGGGCTGAAGGAGGGCAACAGGCACCAACAGGACTGGAACTCAGGACACAAGGCCACCAGGGCTCCATCCTTGCCCATGTCTCATCTCCACTTGTGTCTGCTTGCCTTTTTTCTACACACCGACTCCCTCCAGAAGGCGGGAAGATGGCCACCTGCAGCCCCATGCCTATAACATCTCAACTAGCAATCCCAACATGAAAGGGACCTCCTTCCAGTGTCTGTAGGGTAATTCCAAAAAAGAATCTGATTGGTCCTGCTTGGGTCACTGATACCCATTGGTCTAACCACTGTTGCCAGGGACATGAAAAACTGATTAACCCAGCCTGGTCACATGCCCGCCTTTGCAGAGGAGGTGGAAGTAGAAGACAGCACCACAGCTCAGCTCCTCAGGACCATGTAGAGGGAGAGAGGCAGTTCCTCAAAGAAATGGGGGTGCAGTTATCAGGAGGTGCACAAAAAATGGGCTGGACAGCAAACCATAGAAGCTGCTACCTGTCGGGTGCCTGTAATCCCAGCTACTCGAGAAACTGAGGCAGAGAATTGCTTGAACCCAGGAGGCAGAGGTTGCAGTGAGCTGAGATCACACCACTGCACTCCAGCCTGGGCGGCAGAGCGAGACTCCGTCTCAAAACAAACAAACAAAAAAGAAGCTGCCACTTGTATGTGCCAGATGTCCCACTATAGCTGGAGATTCGAAAATGAGATCCAGTGTCTAACTTCACATAGTTCACAGTCCCAGTGAGGGTTCAGATGATTAGAAAGTATACAGTGATGGGCCGGGCACAGTGGTTCACACCTGTAATCCCAGCATTTTGGGAGGCCGAGGTGGGCGAATCACCTGAGGTCAGGAATTTGAGACCAGCCTGGCCAACATGGTGAAACCCTGACTCTACTAAAAATAAAAAACTAGCCAGGTGTGGTAGATGCCTATAATACCAGCTAGTCGGGAGGCTGAAGCAGGAGAATTGCTTGAACCCCGAAGGCGGAGGTTGCAGTGAGCCAAGATTGCGCCATCGCGCTCCAGCCTGGGTGACAAGAGAGAAACTCTGTCTCAAAAAAAAAAAAAAGGAAGTATACAGTGATGATGGGGCACAGGGACTCTCCAGACATTGGGAGCCCAAGAGAGGACACCCAACACAGACTGAGGCAGGAGGAAACCAGGAAACGCTTTCCTAAAAACATTGTCCCTCAACTGAGTTATGGAAGATGAATGAGAATTAGCAAAGGAAGAAGAAAGTTCAGGGAGGGACAGTAACATACAGAGGTATAGACCTCAGAAATGGTAGGTTCTGGCTTGGGATAAAGGGCAAACTTGCCCAGTTCCTTGAGACAGGGACAAATGGGAGGTTCAGCTTGAGGTGAGAGGCACTGGAGAGTTGAGATTGGCACATGGGGGGGATGGAGGTGCTTGTCGGTCAGTCGGGTGGAGATACCCAGTGGATGACTAGATAATTTTGTACCTTAGAGGTTGAGAAAAGGGATTAAGCTGTGGAGATAAATTTGGGATTCATCTCACGGGCGGTAGCTAAAGCCACAGGAGGATGCCATCACTCAGGGCGAGCCAGAGCTGGAGGACATCCACGTTCACTGAGCGGCAGACACAGAAGGCAGGCGAACGACGGAGTCTGGTGGGGAGGACAAGCACCACGAGTCAGTGGCGAATGGTGAGGAAATGGTTTGTGCTCCCGCATCCCAATTGCTCTGCATAAGTCATTCTCTCTCATTTGAAGACTTCTAGGAGGAAAAAGAGATGACCTACAAAGGTAAAATGAAAATCAGATTTTCAGTTGACATCTCATAAGCAACACCTGATGCAAGAAGAAGGAAGCGAGCTAGGCGTGATGGTGCACACCTGTAGTCCCACAGCTACTCGGGAGGCTGAGGTGGGAGGATCATTTAAGCCCAGGAGTTCCAGGCTGCACTGAGCTATGATTGCACCACTGCACTCCAGCCTGAGCAACAGAGCCAGACCTTGTCCAAAAAGAAAGAAGGTGGAGCAAAACCCTCAAAGAGTATAGGGTGCATTAAGACTGATAGTTGGCCAGGTGCAGTGGCTCACACCTGTAATCCCAGCAGTTTGGGAAGCCAAGTCAGGTGGATCACCTGAACTCAGGAGTTCGAGACCAGTCTGGCCAACATGGCCAAACCCCATCTCTACAAAAAATACAAAAATTAGCTGGGCATGGTGGTGCATGGCTGTAATCCCAGCTACTTAAGAAACTGAGGTAAGAAGCCCTTGAGCCCAGAAGGTGGAAGCTGCAGTGAGCAGAGATCAAGCCACTACATTCCAGCCTGGGTGACAGAGTGCGACCCTGTCTCAAAAAAACAAAGAAACACAAACACCTGATATTTGGCTGGGTGTAGTGGCTCACACCTGTAATCCCAGCACTTCAGGAGGCTGAGGCAGGAGGACTGCTTGAGCCTGAGAGTTCAAGACCACCCTGGGCAACATGGCAAGACCGTGTCTCTACAAAAAATAAAAATTAAAAATTAACTGGGTGTGGTGGTGTGCATTTGTATTCCCAGCTACTTGGAGGCTGAGGCAAGAGGATCACTTGAGCTCAGGAAGTTGAGGCTGCAGTGAGCCGTGATCAGGCCACTGTACTCCAGCCTGGGCAACAAAGTGAGACCATGTCTCAAAAAAAAAAAAAGAAAAAAATCAGCTGGGTGCATGGCCATCCAGAATGAAGGTTCCACATCCAGGCTTCCATGAAGCTAAGTGTGGCCATGTGACTAAGTTCCGGCTGTCCCTTCCTTCTTTGCACCTTCCTCCATCCTGCTGCCTAGAAAGCCAATATGAGGGCCGGATGCGGTGGCTCACGCCCATAATCCCAGCACTTTGGGAGGCCAAGGTGGGCAGATCATGAGGTCAGGAGTTCGAGACCAGCCTGACCAACATGGTGAAACCCTGTCTCTACTAAAAATACAAAAATTAGCTGGGCGTGGTGGTGCGCGCCTGTAATCCCAGCTACTCAGGAGGCAGAAGTGGGAGAATTGCTTGAACCCGGGAGGCAGAGGTTTCAGTGAGCCGAGATCACACCACTGCACTCCAGCCTGGGCAACAAAGCGAGATTCCGTCTCAAAAAAAAAAAAAAAAAAGCCAATATGAGGCCATCCTCTTGAACCATGAGGAGAAGGGCCACATCTTAAGTGTGACACACTGGAAAACTGGGAGGAAACTAGTCCCCTCCAGTCTTTCACAAAAGAAAGAAATAAACTTCAACTTGTTTAAGCCACTGCTATTTTGAGTCTCTTATTTATAGCTAACCTTAATCCTAACTGATATTGAGAGGAAATTATACCCAGCCAAACTATCAATCAAGTATGAGAATAAAACAAAATCATTTTTGTACAGGCAATGATCCAACAAGAAGTCAGGAAATAGATGTTGAAATATATTATTTAAATTTCTAAAAGTAAATAATAGAAGAAGAAGTAAATAAATATGTGACTGGCAGGGACTGAAAGAAGGAAGCAGAGAAAGCAAGCTAAATTCATCACCTTTCATTACATGGAGTCAGAAGCTACTGTTTAAACTTGATGGATTAAGCACAGAGATAGAAGCATATTTTCTAGCATCATGGAAGTACTATCAGGAAAGCCAAAAAGAGAAATAGTTAAAAATAATTACTTCTGGGAATGGGCCTCAGAATTGATAGAGGGAGACTTTTTCAATTTTACTCTCTTCTATGGTTTAGATGTATACTTGTATTTGTATGTATACAGGGAAAGCACTGGAAGATTCACACCTAATTCTTAAAGGTGTTACTCTCTAGAGAGTCAGAGTGGACCTAAAGAGGGAGGGTCTGGGGACAGACTCAGGTTTCACTTTGTAACTTTCTATGTTGTTTTGTTTTATAAAAATGAGCACTTAAGGCCGGGCACAGTGGTTCATGCCTGTAATCCCAGCACTTTGGGAGTCCGAGGTTGGTGGATCACTTGAGGCCAGGAGTTCAAAACCAGCCTGGGCAACATGGCAAAACCCCGTCTCTACTAAAAGTACAAAAAAATTAGCTGGGTATGGTGGCAGACACCTGCAGTCCCAGCTATTTGGGAGGCTGAGGCACAAGAATCACTTGAACCCGGGAGGCGGAGGTTGCAGTGAGCCAAGATCACGCCACTACACTTCAGCCTGCGTGACAGAGCAAGACTCTGTCTCAAAACAAACAAACAAACAGCACTTAGGATTTTTGTTTTAAAAAAAAAAGTAGTGTATATTTTTAAAAAGGAAGGGGAGAGGAGGGAAAGTAACAGTCGTCCACAGTCTAGAAAATTCACTCCAGGTGGGAGGATAGGACCTGCAAGAACTCACTTCCCTGGCAGTGAAATCAGTTGTTTCTTAGCAGATCAGATTGCCTTGATTGTGGCCACTGCCTAAATTTACCTCGTCCTTTGCCCTCCATGGCCAGACCTAGGAGGAGTTTCAAGTCCTCAAGTACCCCACTTCCTGCTGGCATAGAGTGGGAATGACCTCAGGGCTGAGCCATCGGAGGCCCCTATTTGCCAGGCCTGGGATTTCTCTAGTGACACAACTCCCTTAAATCCTAGCTGACTGTCTGCCATTTCAATTCCTGGGGATACCATGTTCAAGGAACCAATGCTAACAATTTTGCCCAGTTATGAAATTTGACTCTGAACCTGCCTATGGTGGTGCCTGTCTCCTAGAAATAGGCCTGGAGGCTCTGACGATGCCATCTAGGCCTTAGGTTCAGGTTCTTTCTTAGAACATCTGGGGTTCACTTCCCAGCATCCGTCTGGGATTGAGACCTTGAATTTCCTTTGGGGAACCATCTCCCCAGTCCCATTCTCAGACAGGATATTTAATCTGGGATTGTTTCCACTCCCAAATCTAGGATGTGCCACTCAATATATTCCCATCTCCCAGTCAAAATGATTGCTTAGGGATGGGCACTTGATCTACAACGGCCCGGAGTGAATCACAGGACTTTTGCTGGGTACACTGTGAAATGGACTTGCTCTTTCTTGCTGGTATCAAATAAGTCTATAGCCCCAGGAGCTGCTGAGACTCCAATAAGGGGAGGGCTGCTGGGACTGCAAGGCAGTTTATTCGACACTGTGCATGTAGAACAAAGAGATATAAAACAAAAAATAAAAACAAAACAAAAAATAGACTATGGGTATAATAGATCATTTCCTCTGATGACTCCTAACTTGAGCATAGAGAAGAAAATTCAGCTTTTGCAGTTACGCACAGCACACAATTGTCTCTTGGTGGTATTAGATCATTGGCCACAGATAGATTGAATCTTTCTTAACAAAGCTAATTATCCAACCTCCTTGGATGGTCCAGCTTAAAAGAAAGATTTTTATTATCTTGTAGCACTATATTGAAGACCACAGGAAGTAAATTATGTTCAATATCTAACATTTTCCATCAAGTCCACCAATAATTTCGGCACTTTTGGCCACATAATCTGACTCCCAAGGTACAACAGGAAATGGTTAACCCAGCTGATCCACTACCATGAGAATAGCTACCTTCCCAGGATGGAAAGAGGGAGTTTTCATTGCATTCCACACTACTTGTCCAGGTTCACTTTTCAAATTGCTTACATCACCCAACTTCTGGTACCAGTTCTGTATGGTCAAGATTCTTTTAGTTGCAAATAAACAACCCACTCAATTTAAACAAAAGGGGACTTACTGTGTCATGAGATGGGAAAGGCAGGAATATATTGGGAACAAGGACCAAATACTGCTAGTTTATCTCTCTCTCTATTATCTTGGTTTCCCACTTTGTGTTTCAACCTCATTGTCTCCTAAATGAGAATGGGTTTCTCCATGCAATTAGAGGACGCTGGCTACCAGTGGCATCCAGGATGGTACCTGAACACCATAACTAGGGGAAAAAATAAGCCTTTTTTTTTTATATCAACTGCAGCCATAAAAATCCCAAGAAGGGTTTTGATTGGTTTGTCTTGGGTCATGCGCCAACCTTTCATCCAGGAGCATGGGACGCTATGATTGACTTGTACTGTATTGTATATGCACTCCTGCAGCTGTTACCAGAAATGTGGGGGAAGAGGATGCTTAGTAGGGGGGAAAAAAGCGACTGGAAGAATTAATGAAAAGACATAGTAAAGTGGCCAGATATAAGATGAATATACAGAAACTAATGACTCTGTAGACATTGACAATTACTGATTAGAAATAGCTAGTTAATAATATCCCACTTCCAATTTAAAAAAAAAAAAAAACCTGTGATGATATAAGAATCTATCTAACAAGAAATTTAAAAAAACTATGACTTTTCAAAGTTGGACATAAAATACAGGAGTAATAAATATAAAGAGTCGTTGGTATTAAATGGAATGACTCAATATTCTAATGCAGTAGATATACTCCTCCAAGGCCTGGCACAGTGGCTCACGCCTGTAATCCCAGCACTTTGTGAGGCCAAGGTGGGCGGATCACCTGAGGTCAGGAGTTCAAGACTAGCCTGGGCAATGTGGTGAAACCCCGTCTTTACTAGAAATACAAAAACTAGCTGAGCATGGTGCTGGACGTCTGTAATCCCAGCTACTTGGGAGGCTGAGGCAGGAGAATTGCTTGAGCTGGGAGGCGGAGGTTGCAGTAAGCCAAGATCGTGCCACTGCATTCCAGCCCGAGTGGCAGAACAAGACTCCACCTCAAAAAAAAAATATACACTCCTCCAATTAATCTATAAATTCAATATATTCCTAATCAAAACTCTAATGGGATTTTCAAAAGGGGGATTTTAAATGCTGAGTCCAAAGTTCTTCTGGAAGATAAGTACGTGAGTATAACCAAGACCATTCTTTCTCTTTTTTTGGATGGAGTTTCACTCTTGTCGCCCAGGCTGGAGTGCAGTCGCGTGATCTTGGCTCACTGCAACCTCTGCTTCCCGGGTTCAAGCAATTCTCCTGCCTCAGCCTCCCAAGTAGCTGGGACTACAGGCGCATGCAACCATGCCTAGCTAATTTTTTTGTATTTTTAGTATAGACGGGGTTTCACCATGTGGGCCAGAATGGTCTCAATCTCTTGACCTCATGATCCACCCGCCTTGGCCTCCCAAAGTGCTGGGATTACAGGCGTGAGCCACTGTGCCTGGCCTACATCAAATTCCCAACTCCGGGTCCGTGGCCTGTTAGGAATCAGGCCACACAGCAGGAGGTGAGCAGTGGGCAAGCCAGCAAAACTTCATTTGTATTTACAGCTACTCCCCATCACTTGTTGATGCACCTCCTGAGCTCCGCCTCCTGTCAGATCAGCAGTGGCATTAGATTCTCATAAGAGCGACCTACATACGCGAGGGATCTAGGTTGCATGCTACTTATGAGAATCTAATGCCTGATGATCTGCCACTGCCTCCCATCACTCCCAGAGGGGACAGTCTAGTTGCAGAAAAACAAGCTCAGGGCTCCCACTGATTCTACATAACAGTGAGGTGCATAATTATTTCATTATATATTACAATGTAATAATAATAAAAATAAAGTATACAATAAACGTAATTTGCTTGGATCATCTTGAAACCATTCTCTGCCCCAGGTCTGTGGACAAATTGTCTTCAACGAAACAAGTCCCTGGTGTCAAAAAGTTTGGGGACCACTCTTTTAGACAATAGCCATTCTACTGTAGCTAAATATTACAGAAAAAAAACTATGGCTCAACTCCCAAACATGCCAGCAAAGACCAAGTGAGGAGTCTAGACTTCCATCTTTGCAAGGCTGTAGTGAGGAAATTGACCCTCCCTTCCCCCATTCATCCACCCAGTGGAGCAGTGTCAAGGGAAGGCAGAGTAAGGAGTAAGGACTTTCATCTCCAGTGAGGGTAGTTCTCCCCGCAGTGTCAATAAAAATGATGTGGAGGGCCTTGCCTTCTACCCCTGTCTGGCAGTAAAGAGGTGAAGGCACCCCTTTTCTTGCCTTGGTAGCATCAAAGAAAGCCAGCTAAAATAGAAGGTTTAAATAAGATCAAGAGTATCATATTACTCAAAATGTACACATTTTGGTAGAAAATCAATTGCCATATGAAGAACCAGGAAATTTTCAACTGAATGAAAAAAGAAAACTGATAGATGCCAACATTGAGACGACAGGCATATTAACATTATCTGACAAAGATTTTTATGCAGCTATGATAAAAATACTTCAGTGAACACACTTGAAACAAATGAAAAACTAGAAAGTTTCAGCAAAAAAATAGAAGACATAAAGAAGATCCAAATGAAAATTTTAGAACTGAGAAATATAACAATCAAAACAAAGAACTCGGTGGATGAGTTCAACAGTAAAAATGGAGAGAATAGAGGAAAAATAGTAAACTGAAAAAAAAAGGAAAATAGAAATTACCCAACTCGAGAACAGAGAGAAAATAGACTAAAACAAAAAAAAAATGAACACAGTCTCAGGGACCTGTGGAGCTATAACAAAAGATCTAACACTCTTGTCATCAGAAGTCCAGGAGAGGAGAAAGAAAGCAAGGTTTTAAAAGTACTTAAGGGCTGGATGTGGTGGCTCACACCTGTAATCTCAACACTTTGGGAGGTGAGTCTGGGGAAATCACTTGAGCCCAGGAGTTTGAGACCATCCTGGCCAACATGGCGAAACCCCGTCGCTAGTAAAAATACAAAAATTAGTCAGGGATGGTGGCGTGTACCTGTAGTCCCAGCTACTCTGTAGGCTGAGGCAGGAGAATCACTTGAACCCAGGAGGCAGAGTTTGCCGTGAGCCAAGATGTTGAAATTGCGCTACTGCACTCCAGCCTGGGTGACACAGAAAGACATACCCAGATCAACACATTCAATACAAACAATACCTTTAAAAAGAAAGAAAGAAAGAAAGAAATACCTGAGGCTAAGCTCAGTGGCTCATGCCTGTAACCCCAACACTCTGGGATGCCAAGGCAGGCGGATCTCCTTGAGCTCAGGAGTACCACACTGGCTGGGTAATATGGCCTGTAATCCCAGCACTTTGGGAAGCCAAGTGGGTGGATCACTTGAGGTCAGGAGTTCATACCAGCCTGGCCAACATGGTGAAACCCTGTCTCTACAAAAAATACAAAAATTAGCTGGGCGTGGCAGTGAGTGCCTGTGATCCCAGCTATTTAGGAGGCCGAGGTGGGAAGATCGTTTGAGCCTGGAAGGCAGTGGGAGGTTGCAGTGAACCATGTTTGTGCCACTGTACTCCAGCCTGGGCGATGAGACCCTGTAGGGGGAAAAAAAAAAAGTACTTGAAGAAATAGTGTCTGAAGACATCTCAAATTTGGCAAAAGACATAAACCTACAGGCTCAAGAAGTCAAGTGGATCCCAAATAGGCTAAACTCAAAGAAATCCACACCGAAACACATCACAAACTTCTGAAAACTAGGCAAAGCAAAAGACTTTAAAGCAGTGAGAGAGAAGTAGTATCTTACCTATAAGGGAGAAACAATTTAAATGACAGTGGATTTCTAATCAGAGACTAAGGAGGCTAGAAGGAAGTGGCATACTTTCCAGATGTTGATAGAAAATAACTTATCCGAGAATCCTACGTTCAGCAAAAATACCCTTCATGAATAAGAGGTTAATCAAGACATTTTCACATGAAGAAAAACTAAGAGACTTTGTTGCCAGCAGGTCTACCCTTAAAAATGGCTAAGGGAAATTCTTTAAACAGAATGGATATTATAATAGAACATCTTGGAACATCAGGAAGAAGGGAAGAACATGGTAAGCAAAAACATGAATATATTTAATAAACTAACTTATCCTCTTGATTTTTCTAAATTACATTTGATGGTTGAAGCAAAATTATAAGGCTACCTGGTGTGGTTCTAAATGAATATAAAGGAAATATTTAAGACAATTATACTAAAAATGGGGAGAGTAAAGGAACTTAAAGATAAGGGTTTTTTTTTTTTCAAGATGGAGTTTCACCCTTGTCATCCAGGCTGGAATGCAGTGGTGTGATATCAGCTCACTGCAACCTCCGCCTCCTGGGTTCAAGCGATTCTCCTGCCTCAGCCTCCTGAGTAGCTGGAATTACAGGCATGCACCACCATTCCTGGTTAAGTTTTTTTTGTTGTTGTATTTTTAGTATTTTGTATTTTTGTATTTTTTGTTTTAGGCTTTTGTCATGTTGGCCAGGCTGGTATCAAACTCCTGACCTTAGGTGATCCTCCCACCTCAGCCTCCCAAAGTGCTGGGATTACAGGGGTGAACCACCATGTCCAGCCAAGAAAGATAAGGTTTGTATGTTTCATTCTAACTGGGAAAAATTACATCAGTAGAATGTGATTAGATTGATAGATAGATAATATAATAGTGAGAGTGACTATTTTAAAAACTATACAAAAAGATATACTCAGAAACACTATCAAAATGGAATTCTAAAATATGTTCCATTGAGCCACAGGAAGGCAGGAAAAAGAACAAAAATGAGAAACAGAGAGAATAATCATAAAACAAGAACAAATACCCACAGGTTTAATTCCTAACATATCAGTAATTCCATTAAATGTAAATGGTCTAAATACACATATTAAAAAATGGAGATTGGCAGAGTTTATAGAAAATAGGACCAAATTATATGCTGTCTAAAAAAAACTTACTTCAAATATACAGTAGTCCCCGCTTATCTGCAGGGGATATGTTCCAAGATACCCAGTGGATGCCTGAAACTGAGGATAGTATCGAACCCTATATATATGATGTTTTTTCAGTCTGATAACCCTCAAGACTGACTACTAAGTGACTAACGGGCAGGTGGTGTATACAGCATAAATACACTGAACAAAGGGATGATTCACATCCTGGTGGAAGACAGAAGGATGGTGAGAGAGCTCATCATGCTACTCAGAATGATGAGCAATTTAGAATTTATTGTTTATTTCTGGAATTTTAAACTTAATATTTTTGGACCACAGAAAGAAAAACTACAGATAAGGGGGCACCACAGTAACTGTATAGGCAGGTTGAAAGTAAAGGGATTTTTTTAAAAAGATATATCATGCAAATATCCATCAAAATAAAGCAGGGGTGGCTATATTATTATCAGATAATGTAGACTTCATTTTTTTGTTGTTGTTTTTTGAGACAGAGTCTCACTCAGTCGCCCAGGCTAGAATGCAGTGGCATGATCTTGGCTCAGTGGAACCTCTGCCTTCCAGGATCAAGGGAATCTCATGCCTCAGCCTCCTGAGTATCTAGGATCATAGGCATGCACCACCACATCCAGCTAATTTTTATAATTTTAGTAGGGACAGAATTTCGCCATGTTGGCCAGACTGGTCTTAAACTCCTGGCCTCAAGGAATCCATCCGTCTTGGCCTCCCAAAGTGCTGGGACTACAGGTGTGAGCCACTGCACCTGGCATGGGTAAAGTAGACTTCAGAGCAAAGAAAAGTACCAGAAGCAGAGAAAATGAAAGTCAGTCTCTCAAGGAGACATAGCAATCCTAAATTGTATGCATCAAACAACAGAGCTACAAAATATGTAAATAAACTGATGTTCAGAGCTGTCCAACAGAGAGGGGAAAATTGATATAACTGAAAGGGGAAATAGACAAATCCACAATTATATTGGAAACTTCAACACCCCTCTCTCATCAATGAACAGGACAATTAGATAGAAAATTAGCAAGTGAGGCCAGGTGCAGTGGCTCATCCCTGTAATACCAGCACTTTGGGAGGCCAAGGCTGGCGGATGACAAGATCAGGAGTTCAGGACCAGCCTGGCCAATATGGTGAAACCCCATCTCTACTAAAAATACAAAAATTAGCTGGGCATGGTGGCATGTGGCTGTAGTCCCACCTACTCAGGCAGCTGAGGCAGGAGAAGGTGGGGGTTGCAGTAAGCCAAGATTGCACCACTGCACTCCAGCCTGAATGACAGAGCTAGACTCTGTCAAAAAAAAAAAAAAGAAAAGAAAATCAGTAAGTGTACAGAAAAACCTAACATCATCAACCAACAAGAACATTACAATTGAAAACAGCAGGATGAACATTATTTTCAAGTGCCCACAAGATACATACCACATCCTGGACCATAAAATTATCTCAATAATTTTTTTTTTTTGAAACAGAGTCTTGTTCTGTCACCCAGGTTGAAGTGCAATGAAGTGATCTCGGCTCACTGCAACCTCCGCCTCCCAGGTTCAAGCAATTCTCCTGCCTCAGGCTCCCAAGTAGCTGGGATTCTATGTGCCCACCACCATGCCCGGCTAATTTTTATATTTTTAGTAGAGATGGGGTTTCACCATGTTGGCCAGGCTGGTCTTGAACTCCTGACCTCAGGTGATCTGCCCACCTCGGCCTCCCAAAGTGCTGGGATTACAGGCTTGAGCCACTGAGCCTGACCAACAATGTTTAAATAATTAAAATTATATAGAATGTGTTCTTCAATCACAATGGAATCAAACTATAAACCAATAATAGAAAGATAACAAAAAAATCTCAAACACTTGGAACTAAACAATACACTTCTAAATAATCCACGGATCAAACAGAAAGTCTCAAGGGAAATTTAAAAATACATTCAACTAAATAAAAATGCAATATCAAAATATGTAGGACAGACATATGAAACAGTGCTTAGAGAGACTTTTTTTTTTTTTTTTTTTTTAAAGACAGGGTCTCACTCTGTCTCCCACACTGGAGTGCAATGGTGCAATCTCAGCTCACTGCAGCCTCCACTTCCTGGTCCCAAGCAATCCTCCCACCTCATTCTCCCGAGTAACTGAGACTACAGGTGCGTACCACCACACCTGGGTTATTTTAATATTTTTAGTAGATATAGAGTTTCACCATGTTGGCCAGGCTGGTCTTGAACTCATGACCCCAAGTGACCCACCCACCTCAACTTCCCAAAGTGCTCAGTTCACAGGTGTGAGCCATAGGGACTGGCCATGAGAAATAAATATATAGCACTAGATACATATATTAGAAAAAAGGAGGCTGGGTATGGTGGTTCGTAGCTGTAATCCCAGCACTTTGGGAGGCCAAGGCAAGCAGATGACCTGAGGTCATGAGTTCAAGACCAACCTGGCCAACATGGCAAAACCCCATCTCTACTAAAAATACAAAAATTAGCTGGTCGTGGTGGTGTGTGCCTGTAATCCCAGCTACTCGGGAGGCTGAGGCAGGAGAATTGCTTGAACCTGGGAGGCAGAGGTTGCAGAGAGATTATGCCATTGCACTCCAGCCTGAGGACAGAGCAAGACTCTGTCTCAAAAAAAAAAAAAAAAAAAAAAGGAAAAGTCTCAAATCAATAATCTAATCTTCCTCCTCAAGGGCCAGAAAAAGAAGAGCAGAATAAATGCAAAGCAAGCAGAAAGATAAGAGCAACTGTCTATTAAATTTAAAACAAAAACAAAAACAATAGAGAAAATAAATGAAACAAAGAGCTAGTTCTTTTAAAAATGAATAAAATTGACAAACCTCTAGCAAGACTGACAAAGAAAAAAGAAGACTCAAGTTACCAATTGCAGGACGAAAATGGGGTATTGCTACAGATCTCCAGACAATAAAAGGAGAATAAGGGAATGTTATGAATAATTATGCATATAAACTTAGTAACTTAGATGAAATGAACCAATTCCTCAAAAAGGAAAATCTACACCCAATATGAAACAGACAATTTGAATAGTCCTGCAACTATTAAGTAAATTGAGTTCATAATATAAAACTCCCAAAAATGAAATCTTCAGGCCCAGATGGTTTCATGGGAGAATTCTATCAAATGGTGAAAGAATTAACGCCAATTCTGGCTGGGTGTGGTGGCTCACACCTGTAATCCCAGCACTTTGGGAATCTGAGAAGGGCAGATCACCTGAGCTCAGGAGTTTGGGACCAGCCTGGGCAACATGGTGATATCCTGTCTCTACAAAAAAATACAAAAATTAGCTAAGTGTAGTGGTGTGTGCCTGTAGTCCCAACTACTCGGGAGGCTGAGGCAAGAGGATTGCTTGAGCCTGGGAGGTGGAGGTGGCAGCGAGCCAAGATTGTGCCACTGTACTCCAGTCTAGGTGACAGAGTGAGACCCCCCCGTCTTAAAAAACAAAAAAAAAAACCTAACACCAATTCTGTATAATCTCTTCCAGAAAGTAAAAGAGCAAGAAATACTTACCAATTCATTTCAAGCCCTAATATATCAGTAATTCCATTCTGATATGTTAAATATAACATGTCAGATATGTTATCAGATATCAGATCATCTGATATGGGCTAAATATAACAATTTTTAATTGGCAAATTAGCAGAGTGGATGAAAAGTCATGATTCATCTGTATGCTGTCTACAAGAGACTCACTTTAGATGTAAGAAAACAAAGAATTTGAAGGAAAAAATATTCCATGCAAGTCGTAACCAAAGGAGAGCTGGTGGTTATATTGTTGTCGAAGCAGACCTAACATTTTTTAAAAAGATTATAACAGACAAAGGACATTATATGTTGATAAAATCCTCAGTTACAATTATAAACATAAAAGCCCCTAATAACAGAGCCCCCAAATACATTAAGAAAAAATTTGATAGAAAACAGATTAATAGGTAACCTACAAGCATCAAAGAGGGGGTGAGATCTGGAGGGAAATGGGTGTCATTATAAATGGGCAATAGGATCCTTGTGGTGACGGAAATGTTTTGTATCTTGACTGCATTAATGTTGGTACCTATGTTGTAATATTATAGTTTTGTAAGTGTTACCACTGGGAAAACTGGATAAAGGGTACATGGGATTTCTGTATTATTTCTTAAAAAAAAATTTTTTCATTGATGTTGTTGTTGAGATGGAGTCTCTGTCTGTCGTCCAGGCTGGAGTGCAGTGGCGCAATATTGGCTCATTGAAACCTCCACCTTCCAGGTCCAAGCGATGCTCCTGCCTTAGCCTCCTGAGTAGCTGAAACTACAGGTGTGCACCACCATGCCCAGCTAACTTTTGTACTTTTAGTAGAGACAGAGTCTCTTACCTTGCCTCTCAAAGTGCTGGGATTACAGGCATGAGCCACTGTGCCCAGCCTCTGTATTATTTCTTACAACTTTTTGTGAATCTACAATTATCTCAAAGTAAAATGTGTCATTTAAAAAGTGTATAATTGGCATAGTAACAGACAAATGAATAAAAGGAAAAAATACAGACTCATACCTATGTATACCTTGGAATTCAAAATATAATAATGATGGCATTGTAAATAAATGGGTAATTAATGGACTAACCAATAAATGGTGTTACTAGAGGATAATGACACCTCTAGTAACACCATTTGTTGTTGATAGGATAATGACTATCCATTATCTCTAATGTAGATATTTTCCTTGACAACTTTGTGGGAAAGAAGACAGGTTAAGCTGCTGTAACAAACGGACCTCAAAATATAGAAGCTCAAATAAGAAATATGTGTACTTTTTTCCTTGGAGACTTTTAGACTTAGGGTGTGTAGGTGGCTCACCTGTGGGGACAAGCAGAGATTATTTATTAGTCAAGTGTCCCAATCTTTGAAGATATGACATGAGTCTCTGTCTGAATTTTGTTAACAATCCCTCTTACTATCAAGTTGGTCAGAAAGTTCTAGCTGGACAACAAGGCAGACTGTGCATTTTAATGTAACTGAACATTAGACCCTCAAACAACATGGGTTTCAACTGCATGAGTCCACTCATGCACAGATCTTTTCCAATAAAAATTATACCAAGTGTCCCAGCCTTTCCTGCCTCCCCTTCCACCTCCTCCAACTCTTCCACCTCTGCCACCCCTGAGACAGCAAGACCAACCCCTCCTCTTCCTCCATCTCCCCAGCCTACTCAACAGGAAGATGATGAGGTTGAAGACCTTTTTGATGATCCACTTTCACTTAATGAATAATAAATATATTTCCCCTTCCTTATGGTTTCCTTAAGGACATTTTCTTTTCTCCAGTTTACTTCATTGTAAGAATATAGTATATAATACATATAATATACAAAATATCTGTTAATCAACTGTTTATGTTATTGGTAAGGTTTCCAATCAACAGTAGATAAGTTTTTGGGCAGTCAAAAGTTTATGCAGATTTTCAACTACATGAGGGTTCAAGGGCCCACTGAGTGTGTATATAGATATATATGTAAATTTGTATGAAATAAAGAGTATAGACAAATTAAATGACATCATGAGAAAGCAATCAGCCAGATCCAGAAAATGGGATACTTCTCTACAGAACAGCTGATTTGGCTACTTAAAAAGTCAACAGCATTTAAGAAAAAGGAGAGGTAGAAGGACTATTCCCTATTAAAAGAAGGGGAATAACAATGAAATATCAGATATAGACTTTGTTTGGAATCTGGGCAAACAAATCAGTTGTGGAAGACATTTAGGGTACAGTGAGGTAAATATGGATAAGGACTCAATAAAAGAACATACTAGAAATTATTTTTGATTTTGTTAGGCATGATAGTGGCATTGTGGTTATGTAACAAAAATGCTCTTGCTTTTAAGAGATGCAGATTGAAATATTTGGCAGTGAAATATCATGATATTAACAACTTAGTTTAGAATGCCTGAAAAAATAGACAAAGCAATATGGCAAAATGTTAATAATTGTTAAATCTAGTGAATGTTTTGTATGCTCAAAATTTTTTATCATAAGTTTCAAAAGAATGAAGTTGTCACTGAGTACAGCACCCAGGAGAGACTCTGTGGCCCTGGTGATGTTCAAGGGCCTCCTTGGAGAGTGTTGTCGGCTCTCTGCCAGCTACTGTCGGCCTCACAGGCTTGGTTCCCATCTAGGTGAATCCATTTAGACATCTCCCTTTTTAAAAGACGGTCCACTGTTACTCCAAAGTCAAAGCATCCATCTAAAATATATGCCCACTGCTTCTTCACTGATCTGAAATCCTAGTATTGAACATGAGAAGCAAACAGGGCTTGGCTATGACCCTCCACTTCAGACTATGATTGTGGTCCTCACACCCGGCCAGAAGCTTCAATTGTTCCCTCCCACTTTGAACTCCACAATTGGAAATGGGCTATAGGCAGAGCTTTGTGAGCTTTTGCTACTCATGTGGAACCTACACCAATACTTCAGCAAGACCTAGGAATGGCAGGGTCAACCTTTGATAGGTCAGAAAATAATTTACACAGGGATAAAATGAGGATGTGATCTCTGTCTCTCCACCCCCACAGCTTTTCGTTTTGTTTCTTAACAGTGTGATATTAGTTTGGGATGAGCTGGATCCATGTCCTCCCACTATAGGAACAGACTGTGCAGCATCTTCATCCTCTTACTCACAATGATGTGATTTGCTTATTATGACTGGGAAGGGATGTCTTAATTGAGGTTCTCTTAGTAGTTCCAGACTCCCACTCCAAACTAAAGGAAAATTGTTATCACCACATGGAAGTGACTCAAGGGACAAAGAGAGGAAGTTAAGTAGAACTTTAAAGGGAACTGGAACCAGGAAATTCTCTTTCACCCTTACTCTCATCTTGCTATCACTCAATCTCTTCTTAAATTTTATTCCTCTGTCTCCTTGCATATCTTCTTCTACTCCAACTCCACGAACCGTATTCTCTGCCTCTTCATATACTTGGCTGACCTGTTGCAATGCAGTGCAGACAACTGAAACTCAAGCACCACCCCAAAGTAACTAATGACTCTCAGCCTCAATTATTTCATGTATCAATGCACTTTCAATCAGTTATGATGCGGATGAGGTGGGGCAGGGTCACGTCATATAAACATGGCCTTCCGAGCCTTACCCCTGGAGGGAGGAGGGTGTGGGTGAAGTTTTCAGAAAGGAGGAGTATGCCATATAATATCTATTATTTTGCCCAAAAAAGGTTACAGTTGGACTATTTTTTGAACTGATATATAGCTGGTAATCCCACATAGTCAGTTACCTCTTCAATTATATTGACATGTTTAAGACCCACCCAAAAAATTTCAGGTAACTATTCAGCATATTAAATGAAATAAAATAAATCTATTAGGAGAAAACTGAGATACAAAGATACAAGGCCAGGATGAAGGAAAAATAGATGAGATAAGACAAAATTGAAAACAAAACTAAAATCCAATGGCAGAGCTTAAACTTTCAATGAAGACTCTAAAGAGCACACTTGAACTGGGGGAAAAACCAAATCAGTGAGGTGAAAGGCCATTTTGATATTGTGTGTGGCTGAACATGATTCAGCCATGTATCCGTGCCACAATTTCTTTTTTTTTTTTTTTTTTTGAGACAGAGTCTCGCTCTGTCGCCCAGGCTGGAGTGCAGTGGCGTGATCTCGGCTCACTGCAAGCTCTGCCTTTCAGGTTCACACCATTCTGCTGCCTCAGCCTCCCAAGTAGCTGGGACCACAGTTGCCCGCCACCACGCCTGGCTAATTTTTTGTGTTTTTAGTAGAGACGGCGTTTCACCGTGTTAGCCAGGATGGTCTCGATCTCCTGATCTCGTGATCCACCCAACTCAGCATCCCAAAGTGCTGGGATTACAGGCGTGAGCCACCATGCCCGGCCCACAATTTCTCTTACATCACAGAAGAATACTTGTTATATTAGGATATGACCACAGTCAGTTGTGTTTTTTCAGATGTTTTCTGAAGCAGTTCCTGCATCCCTTTTCCCTATCTGGAAAAACCAGTGGTAATCTAGGTATAAGTAGCTTAGGCAGGCTGGGATTTTTTCTGTTTGTCTGACTGAGAGAGTCTCACTCTGTCTCTCAACTTTAGTGACACTAATGCTAATAAGTCCTGATAACCCAATACCATCAGACCAGCCCCCAACAGTTACTTTTATACCCAGCTGTTTATAACTCTTGCCATATAAACTCTTACAAAATATGGCATATTAAGAGATAGCTGTAACCACAGACACTCAGAAAGGCATTCATGTAAATCATAAGTACAGATATTTATCCTTCTGGATCACTCTCTCCTTAGAAATTAATCTTCAGCCATCCCCAAGTTAATATGCCACTACTAAGATAACTTTGGAAATCTCTCCCAGAGGACAGAATATAAAGTCAAAAAATGAAAACTAAGTAATAGGAAGAGAAACAAAGGCCGGGTGCAGTGGCACACGCCTGTAATCTCAACATTTAGAGAGGCCAAGGCGGGCAGATTGCTTGAGCCCAGGAATTTGAGACCAGCCTAGGTAAAATGATGAAATTTTGTCCCTACTAAAAACACAAAAATTTAGCTGGGCATGGTGGCATGTGCCTGTAATCCCAGCTACTTAGGAGGCTGAGGTGGGAGAATCACCTGAGCCTGGGAAGTCGAGGTGGCAGTGAGCTGTGATAGCGCCACTGCACCCCAGCCTGGGCAACAGGAGTGAGATCCTGTCTCAAAAAAAAAAAAAAAAAAAAATGTCGGGCGTGGTGGCTCACGCCTGTAATCCCAGCACTTTAGGAGGCCAAGGCAGGTGGATCACAAGGTCAGGAGATGGAGACCATCCTGGCTAACATGGTGAAACCCCATCTCTACTAAAAATACAAAAAATTAGCCAGGTGTGGTGGCGTGGCGGGAGCCTGTGATTCCAGCTACTTGGGAGGCTGAGGCAGGAGAATGGTGTGAACCCTGGAGGCAGAGCTTGCAGTGAGCCGAGATCGCGGCACTCCACTGCACTCCAGCCTGGGCAACAGAGTGAGACTCTGTCTCAAAAAAAAAAAAAAAGAAAGAAAGAAAGAAAGAAAATGGAGAGAAACAGAGGGTTGAGATCTAGTCGAAGAGTAATGAATGTCTCTGAAAAATAAATACTAGCTGGATAGGAGGTAATCGGAGACAAAATAGAAGAAAACTTGTCTGAAATTTGGGGGTGTGGGGTAGAGAAAGAAGAAGGCCAATCCATGAAGGCTGAAAAAATGTACCAAGTTCCATTCAAAATTGATGAAGAGTGTTTAGGTTAAAATTTGTATATTTGGGCCGGGCGCGGTGGCTCATGCCTGTAATCCCAGCACTTTGGGAGGCCGAGGCGGGCAGATGACAAGGTCAGGAGTTCGAGACCAGCCTGACCAACATGGTGAAACCCCGTCTCAGCTAAAACTACAAAAATTAGCCGGGCATGGTGGTGCGCACCTGTAATCCCAACTACTCAGGAGGCTGAGGCAGGAGAATCGCTTGAATTCAGGAGGCAGAGGCTGCAGTGAGCCGAGATTGCACCACTGCACTCTAGTCTGGGCGACAGAGCGAGACTCTGTCTCAAAAAAAAAAAATTGTGTATTGGTTACTAAAATGATAATATAGGAATTTTTCAAATGTATGAAACCACAGGAACAAAGAGAACAGCAGAGGAAAAGGAACCAGACAATACATTTCAACAAGTTTTTGGAAACTAGAAAGCAGACGGAGGAGTAGTGCATGATTAAGCAACATGGAGCTATAGCCCACAGTGTCTACAAACAGGATTAACAATGAGTGAACTGATTTAGCCCGAAAGAATGCTTAAGAGGCTCAGAACTTGGCACAGTGGAAGCTGGGATTGAGGCATGGTACTGACAATTGGTGGATTGGCTAAAAGTCTGAAATCAGATGTATCAAGATGCCCATGACTGCTTCCCGCCCTGAGCAACAAAATAACTATTTCACTACCACTACCACCTAGAAGTATAGAGTGTCATTCTAAAGAAAATGAAAGAAAAAGACATGGGACTTGGGGATACCAAAGACAGTGTCTAGGAAGGGTGAGGCAAAGCTGGAAGAAGAAAATGTAAGTGAAAGCTTGCAAAAGAAAAAAATTAGCCCCTCGGTTTCTCTTCTCATATTTCACTCCTACAATATTCTCCAGTCAGCTGGTAAGAAATTTGGAAAAGTCTCTTTAGGAGAACTCATATCTCTACACACTAACATTGTGGGGGCCCCAGCCTAATAAATCAGCTCCCAGTGGTGTGGTAGTAAACCAGCTCTCTGGGAGGAAGTATGCTCTTGCTTGAAGAATTTTTTGGCCAGGAGTTCAAGACCAACCTGACCAACATAGTGAGACTTCATCTCTAAAAAAAAAAAAAAAAAAAAAAAAAATTAAAAATATGAAAAATGTTTTTTAAAAAGGAAGAGAAACTTTCTTTCTTTTTGAGACAGTGTCTCACTCATTCGCCCAGGCTGGAGTGCAATGGTGCAATCTTGGCTCACTGGAACTTCCGCCTCCTGGGTTCAAGCGATTCTCCTGCCTCAGCCTCCTGAGTGACTGGGATTACAGGCATGCATCACCACGCCCGGCTAATTTTTGTACTTTTGTAGAGACAGAGTTTTGCCACGTTGGCCAGGCTGGTCTTGAACTCCTGACCTCAAGTGATCTGCTCGCCTCAGCCTCCCAAAGTGCTGGGATTACAGGCATGAGCCACTGAACCAGCAAGGAAGAGACACTTTCTAAGAATGAAGAACAGCGTTTCTGGGTTGATAGTTCTCATTGGGTGTGCCAGAATAGCAAATGAAAAAGGGCTTCAGACCAAGGTATATAATACAGAATGTTTAAAACACTGGGAAGCAAGAGAGGATCTAAAAACCTACCAAAAAGGATCATGAATCAAAATGGCATCAGACTTCTTAAGAGCAATACTAAAAACTAAGTGACAATGAAAAAAATGCTTTAAAAATTCTGTAAGTAGGGCAGGTGCGATGGTTCATGCCTGTAATCCCAGCACTCTGGGAGGCCAAGGCAGGTGGGTCACTTGAAGCCAGGAGTTCGAGACCAGCCTGGCCAGCATGGTGAAACCGCATCTCTACTAAAAATATAAAAATTAGCCAGGCGTGGTGGCGTACACCTCTAATCCCAGCTACTCCAGTGGCTGAGGCAGGAGAATCACTTGAACCCAGGAGGCAGTGGTTGCAGTGAGCCGAGAGGGCACCATTGCACTCTTGCCTGGGCAACAGAGCGACTGAGACTCCATCTCAGGAAAAAAAAAAATCTGAGAGTACTATCATACTGGTCTTTAAGAAAAAAAATTCTGAGAGAAAGTGATTTCAACCTAGACTTTTATACTGGGTCAAGCTATCACTCACATGTGTAAGTAAAATAAAGACATGTTAAATACTCAGAAGTGTTATTGCCTAAAGACTCCTTGAAGATTTTCTTTAGCAAAATTTAATAAACAAAGAAAGAAGACCACCAAGCAAGGAAGAAGGCAAACCCACTATCATTGAGAATCAGAAGAAACAACAGATTTAGACAACAACCCTATCATCACCCCCTACAAGGACAGCAGATGTTGAAAATACAGAATAGCTAGGTATAGAATGTTTACAAAAACAAATAATGCAATTATAAGGATAAACATGGTTCACACCTGTAATCCCAGCACTTTGGGAAACCAAAGTGGGAAGATCGCTTGAGCCCAGAGTTTAAGACCAACCTAGGCAACATAGCGAGACCCTGTCTCCACACACACACAAAAAATTTCTTTTAATTAGCTAGGTATGGTCGTGCATGCCTGTAGTCCCAGCTACTCAGGAGGTTGAGGTGGGAGGATGGCTTAAGCCCAGGAGGTGGAGGTTGCAGTGAGCCAAGAAAGTGCCACCGCACTCCAGCCTGGGCAACAGAGCCAGACCCTGTCAAAAAAAAAAAAAAAAAAGACACCCATCTGATTGGAGTCCTAAAGGATGAAATTGGAGAGAATAGAAAGAAGCAATATTTAAAGAGATGATGACTGAGAATTTTCAGAGCTCATGAAAATGATGAATGCAAAGATCCATGAAACACAATGTATCCCAAATAGGATAAGGAAAAATAAAATCATGCCTTCTCACATCGTAGTGAATCTTTAGGGCATGAATATAAATAGAAGATCTGGAAAGCAGAGAAAAAACACAGAAGACCTAACAAAGAATGATAATTAGAATAGCAGCAGATCTCACAACAATGAAGCCAGAAGACAGTGGAATTACTCATATAAAATGATAAGAAAAGGCTGGGTGCAGTGGCTCATGCCTGTAATCCCAGCACTTCAGGAGGCCAAGGCGAGCAGATCACTTGAGGTCGGGAGTTCAAGACCAGCCTGGCCAACATGGTGAAACCCCATCTCTACTAAAAATAAAAAAAAAAATAAAAAAAATTAGCCAGACATGGTGGTGGATGCCTGTAATCCCAGCTACTCAGGAGGCTGAGTCAGGAGAATCACTTGAACCTGGGAGGCAGAGGTTGCAGTGAGCCGAGATCGTGCCACTGCACTTCAACCTGGGTGACACAATGAGTACGACTTCACCTCAAAAAAAAAAATAAATAAATAAATAAAATACTATTCACCCAAAATTGTGTATTCAGCAAAACAATCACTCAATACCAATAGGGAAAATGATAACATTTATAAGAAACAAGCCCAGGGGAAGTTTACAAAGAGAACTTCTCTAAAAGAACTTATAAAGGATTTAAAGATATAGGTAAATGATCCCCCAAAAAAGAGAAATGCAAAAAAGGGAAAATGAACAAAAAGAATGGTAACATAAAGGTAAGTCCAGACAAAGCATAGTCTCAATAAAATAATAAAGGAGTCTAATTTTTAGGGGTTAAAAAAAGAAAGAACTGAAATGAGTAAGTTGAGAGGAGAAAAACATGAATGAAAAAAGGTTATTAGAATGGCTACTAAAATGATAATATAAGAGTTATCAATAAGTCAGAAGAAGGAAGTAAGTTTTTATTAGTAAGTCAGAAGGAGGAACAGTAAGTCAGAAGGAGGAAGATCAGAATTAAAGTGATCTAAAATTATCTTACTGACGAGAAGGGAGGATAAAACATCATTCATTATTAAATATACTTATTAAAATGTATAGATAAGCCACTAAAATAAATAAATTATAGAAATGCAAACAAGTAAAAGGAAAAAAAAGTGTAATAAATAGGGGAAAACTGAGCTGAGCATGGCAGCTCACTCTTCTAATCCCAGTGCTTTGGGAGGCCAATGCAGGAGGATCACTTGAAGCCAAGAGTTCAAGAGCAGCCTGGACAATATAACTAGGCCCTGTTTCTACAAAAAAAAAAAAAAAAAAAAAAATTTTAATTAGCTAGGCTTCATAATGTGCACATCTGTAGTCCTAGCTATTTGGGAGGCTGAGGCAGAAGCATCACTTGAACCCAGAAGTTCAATGCTGCAGTGAGCTATGATCACACCATTGTACTCCAACCTGAGTGACGGAGTGAGACCCCATCAGAGGTGGGGTCAAAAAATAGTGAAAGAAACCATCCCCCAAAAGACAAAAAACCAGCACTTGAGGTTATGACCAGTCGAATAAGATAAGGAAAATAAATTAGAAGCATAATGATTAGAAACAAGGAAATAAAACTCTCATTTTTTTTACTCTCTTTTTTTTTTTTTTTGAGACAGAGTCTCGCTCTGTCACCCAGGCTGTAGTGCAGCGGTGCGATCTTGGCTCACTGCAAGCTCCGCCTCCCGGGTTCATGCCATTCTCCTGCCTCAGCCTCCTGAGTAGCTGGGACTACAGGCGCCCGCCGTCATGCCCGGCTAAAACTCTCATTTTTTCAAATAATATGATTGGCCACAGAGATAGCTCTAAAGAAGTTATAGGAAATTCCCCCAAAATAATAAAAGACTTTAGCAACATGGCTGGATCTCATGATCAATATACAAAAATCAATTGTAATTCTGCAAACTAGTAACAAACAGCTAGGAAACATATATTTTAAAATATGCCTTTTACAGAGAAAAAAAGAAATACCCAAGAATAAATTTAACAAAAGATATAAAAGTCCTACACCTACAAATTGGAAAACTTTGCTAAAGAACCTTAAAGATGACCTAAATAAATGAAGAAATATCCCATGTTCATGCATAGAAAGACAATATCACAAAGTTATCTCTTCTCTCAAATCGAACAATAGATTTAGTCCAACCTCAATAAAAATCTCAGTCTGGTTGTTATGAAAATTTCCAAGTTATTATATATATCATATAGAAGGGCAAAGAGCTAGGCATAGTCAAAGCACTTCAGAAGAAGAAACTTTAAAAAGAGGACGTTGCTCTACCAGAAGTAGTATGTGAGACTACTACCATGGGCAAAAGAAAGACTATTCAACAAAAACAAACAGGAAAAATTGGAAAACGAAAACAAAAATGAATCCTTCACACCAAACACTAAAAGGAATTAAATGTCAAATGCAAAACTTCAAATCCTATGGAAAAAAAAATACAGATGAATATCTTTCTAACCCTCAAGCAGAAAAAGTTTTCTTAAATGAGACAAGGAAAAGTACTAACTATAAAATGTTGGCCAGGTGTGGTGGCTCATGCCACCCCAACACTTTGGGAGGTCAAGGCGAGAGGGTCACTTGAGGTCAGGAGTTCAAGATGAGCTTGGGTGACATAGCGAGACCTCATCGCTACAGAAAAAATTTAAATTAGCCATGCATGGTGGCATATGCCTGTAGTCCTAACTACTGGGGAGGCTGAGTGGAAGGATCACTTGAGGCCAGGAGTTTGCAGCTGCAGTGAGCTATAATGACACCACTGCATTCTAGCCTGGGTGACAGAACAAGACCCTGTCTCTTAAAAAAAAAAAAAAAAAGTAAAATTGTTAAATTTAGCTACATTAAAACTACAAATTTTTGTTCATCAGAAAACCACTTTAAAGAAAATGAAAAGAGGAACAATAATCTAGAGGAAGATAATTGCAATATAAATAACCAAATAATGGTTGATATCAAGTCAAGAATATATAAAGAACCAGAACCAATGAGAAAAAGACAAATACTCTAATAGCAATATGAGCGAAAGATATGAACAAATCATTTTACAAACCTATGATTAGAAAACATATGAAGAAAGGCTCAACCTTACTACTGCTGAAAGAAAGAAAGAAACTCAACATGTTCTCTTGTACATTACTGGTGAGAGTGTAAATTGGTAAAGTAATTTGGCATTCTCTTGTTAAATTGTACATTCACATACCCTACCCATTTCTAGATACAGACTTGACTTGAGAAATTTTAGCACTTGTGTGCCTGAAGACACATTAAAAATATTTTAAAAACTGTTCATAATAACAAAAATGTGTAAATTGTCAACAGGAAAATAGATAAGTAAATTATAGCAAACATACACATAGTGGAATATCATAAAATAGTGAAAAATGAATGAAATACATAGCTACCTGCCACAAATGGATGAATCTTAAAAACAGTGTTGAGTCAAAAATCAAAACATATATGTGTGTATGTATACATACACACACACACATATATATTATTTTATAAAGTTAAAAACAAGTAAAACTACATAGCATAGTAGTTAGACTTACATAAAGTGTTAACACTTAATTTTAAGAAGCAAGAAAGGGGCTGGATGCAATGGCTCATGACTGTAATCTCAGCACTTTGGAAGGCCAAGGTGGGAGGATCTCTTGAGCCCAAGAGTTCAAGACCAGCCTGGGCAACATAGCAAGACCCTATCTCTACAAAAATAAAAATAAAAAATATAACAAATAAAAGGCAAGAAAAGCAAAACACAAAATTAAAGATACTGGTTATCTATGAGGGAAAGGCAGGAGATTAGATGGAGGAAATATAGTTGTGATATTATTGGTGTTTAAATCTTGAAGAAATATCTTGAGTTGTGTGGTATTTAGGTTATATATATTATAGATATATGTGGTATGTGTATATATACACAGTATATACAGTAAAAGGTACATCTAATAGTGAAGAAATAATAGTAATGAACCTTTATGAGTCAAATAACACCACATCAAAACATGCAGTCAGACTTCTAGAAAAGATGGTAAAGTATGGCTTGATCACAAGTCACTTAACTTCATATCTAATGAAGGGAGCAAAAATCATTTTTAAATGGTGAGCGAAAAGAGTATTATAATTATCAACCACAGTTCCTCCAAGAAAGGAAATAGACCCAACCCATTAACTTTAGAAAGTGACAGCCACGGGGTAGGAGTAGGGGGACAAATAATCTGAACTCACAGAGCACAATGTGGCAGATCTCCTGTCATTTACAAAATTATGAGATTCCAAATTCAAAGGAAAGGGAGCCAAGTATGCCACCGTATTTTTTCCTTCTAACTAGAAGGTGCCTCTGAGTAGAGAGCAAAAAAGGATGGGATGTGAACTGTGACCAAAAAAAAAAAAAAAAAAAAAACAGGTTTTCCAGACCTTAAACAGAACTGGGAGAACTACCCAAAGCCCATGATGATGTTTCCCCATTAGAATGGGGTGCACCCTGGACTGTGGTGGGGCAACATAGTAACTCTAACTTCTTAATGTTTCCTATAAGCACCTGTCTTAGCCTGAGAGTGTTCTTTTAGAAACTATTTCTTGCCTGGGCACGGTGGCTCACGCCTATAATCCTAGCACTTTGGGAGGCCGAGGCAGACAGATCACGAGGTCAAGAGATCGAGACCATCCTGGCTAATATGGTGAAAACCCCGTCTCTACCAAAAACACAAAAAAAGCCGGGCGTGGTGGCACACGCCTGTAGTCTCAGCTACTCGGGAGGCTGAGGCAGGAGAACTGCTTGAACCCAGGAGGTGGAGGTTGCAGTGAGCTGAGATCGTGCCACTGCACTCCAGCCTGGGCAACAGAGCGAGACTCTGTCTCAAAAAAAAAAAAAACCAAGAAAATATTTCTTGTAGTGAAGAAAAATTTATCTTAAGTTTAGCAACTCCCTTCATTTCACTTGAGAGTTTGAGAGGTTTTGCTTGTCTTGATGTGTGTGTGTGTGTGTGTGTGTGTGTGTGTGACTAAATTCTATAAGCTAAAATTTAACCATTTTCATTAAGAAAAAGCCTTTTCAGTATGGTTCCAATTTATAAAACTATTTCTGTCTAACCCACCTAATGTTAATGATAATTCTTGATGGGTAAGATTTGAGATAATTTATTGTTGTCTTTATACTTTTCTTCCTTGCTTGAATTATTTAAAAGAAGCATGTATAGGCTGAGTGTGGTGACGCACGCCTGTAATCCCAGCACTTTGGGAAGCCAAGGTGGGTAGATCACCTGACGTCAGGAGTTCGAGACCAGCCTGGCCAATATGGCGAAACACCGTCTCTACTAAAAATACAAAAATTAGCCAGGCATGGTGGTGCACATCTGTAATCCCAGCTACTCAGGAGGGTGAGGCAGGAGAATCACTTGAACCTGGGAGGCGAAGGTTTCAGTGAGCTGAGATCGCACCATTGCATTCCAGCCTGGGCAACAAGAGCAAAACTCTGTCTCAAAAAAAAAAAAAAAAAGTATGTATTATTTTACAAACACAATTCAGTGTGTATAAAAAGACAGACAGAAACAGCTAGAAACTGTTGGTAACAGTAGCTTACACAGTGAGTGCTTACTGTTTGTCAGGCAATGTTCTTAAACCCTTTACATGTATTAGCTTGAGTCACATAAAATTGCTAATATTTGGCTTTTCGACCTACAAAAATGGTAATTTCACATGGCTCATTTTATATTTATTTCTTTAATCCTTGAATAACCCTAGAGATAAAGGTGGAGGGCTGCTAGAAATGCAAAGAAAAATCAAGTGCCACCGCCTCACAGCGCCCTGCACCCCCGCTCCCAGTCCAGCCCTTGGCCTTGCCCTCACACCCCTCCTTTCAATGTCAGGGTGCACACAGGGCAAGGGATTCTTCTCTGTCCGTCCCAAGATGCCTTAAGAGGTAGCATCAACCAACCCCCTGAGTGCTGAAGGTAGGACATGTGGCCTTGCTGTAACTCAGCTGGAGTCATTTCAGGGTCTTAGCAGGTTCCCCATAAATGAAAGCTGACAGAACACCTTGGGTACACCAGCTTGGGTACAACCCCAACTGAGTCCCCATCCATGTCCCCCCATGCTGGCACTGAGGCAGGCACATTCAACAGTTTTATGTTTATTTTCAGAAAGTGATGAAGACAAAAGGAATATATCCAGACACCACTCTCAGTACAATAAATAGCCTCCCCCATTCAAAAAAAATAAAAAGAAAGAAAAAGAAAAAACACACACCCACACACAACCACCACAAACAATATCTTGCTTCTTGAGATGTGGGCCATTCCCCCCTTTCCAGCCCCTTTTCTCTGATCCCCACTGTGTTTGAGCAGGGGGAGCCCAGGCCAGCTGTCCAAAGTCAGGTGAGTCCTTTCCCTGACCCTGGCGGGCTGATGGTTATAACATACGTGTATTTGTTCTTTTTGGATCAGGGATTAACACACATGCCAACGAAAAGGTTGAAAGTTACTGTACAAAGGAAGAAAGTGGAGTCTCCTGCTCCCATGTCCCACACCTGACCCCTCCCACCCACTAGATGCAAAAAGCTCCTTCATGCCCAAGACTTTCTTGTCTTCTTTTCTCCAGCTGGAAACCAAAAGCAAGACGCAGCACCAGGTAAACGACTGTAGTTAGGGCAGAGGATGGGGCAAGGGGACACCCCTCTCAGGTTTCATCGTGGGCCAGGAAGCATCTGGTGAACCCCAAAATCCTTCTTGAGCCCCACTTCCCCAACCAACTACTAAACAGAGAAGGGCCAGAGGGAGCGGGGGCCTTCTCAGTCCTTCATCCGTTTCCCAAATTAGTCGGTGTCCTCCAACCTAATAACACTGTTTCTGTTCCTTTCATCATGTCATCTGCTCAGTTGGGAAAATAGTTATAAAACTGTCCTTCAGCTTCCTTATCAAAAGGAGAAGGGGCCCCAGCAGGGGAGGAGCTGTCACCACTGGAAGGATAGGGGGACACGCGCCTCCTCTTAGAGTCTCCTTCGCCCAGTCCTGAATCACTGGATTCCGGCCGGATGGGGGCAATCTCAGTCCACACCAAGGGGGGACCCTGGTCCTCTGGTCCCCGTCCCTCTGAGCCTCCAGGGCCGGGTTCCATGGGCAGAGTCCGCATAGGGCGGAACCAGCTGGCCGGGCCCATCTTGGGAGGGTACTGGGGTGCCACAGGCCAGCCAGCTCCAGGTGCCAGGACCTCCTGGCCTCGGTAGTAGGACATGGTGGGCCCAGGGGCAGAGGGCAAGAATGCAGGCTTCATGCTGACTGCTCGAAACTCAGCCTCATAGCTGTGGTCCCGGGGGGCCCCCAGCCAGTAAGCCTGGGGAACCACATCCTTCGCCTGGCCAGGAAGGTCGGGGTAGAAGCGGCTGGGAACAGGATACTGGTTGGGTAGGAGAGGAGAGTAGTGATCTCCCCCAAGGAATTGACAGTTGGGTCCAGGCGGGGAGGGGATGCTGGTGTCAACAGATGTGTACATGCTAGAAAAAAATAGAAGGCAAGAAAACGGGTCACAAGCAGAACCAGTCACCTGTGAGCCTACCTGTTTCACACATTCCTTCTCCGACCCTCCTTCCCTGGCCTGCCCACCTGTAGCATCTGTCCCCCACCCTCCTGTTTTCAGGGGCAGGGAGAGGATGTGTCTCAGGAGGGACCAAAGCTGAGTTGAACCCAGTGGCACTTACGACTCAAAGTTCTCCCGGAATCCTTTGGCAAAGGGGTTATTATCAATTTTCAGCTGAGTAATCTAGAGAGAAGGGAAATAGAGTCACCTGAGTCCTGAGTCTGGGGCTCGGGAACTTTCCAAATCCCTCCCAAGGAAGACAGTGGGCCCCACTCTGCCCTCCTCCCCACCGGGGCTCAGGCAGCCCTCACCTCGGCATTCTGGTAGGCAGTCACGGCAATGAACTGGGTTTCTTGGAAAGTAAAGATATGCGTGTTGGAAGCGTTGCAGGCTGCCTCTGGCTCTCCGTCGTTCACCTCAACGATATGCAGCCGGGGCTGGTACTTATGGAGGGACTGGAGCACAATCATCTGTAGACAGAGCAAGACGGTTGTAGGGGTGGGGAGGAAGGATTTCGAGGATCCCATCACCCCCACCAACAGCTGGCCCCACGTGAGGCTAGCAAGCACCTTGAGGTCATCCTGTCCATTCCCCTGCTCTGCCACCATGTAACTTCCCCCAAGCTTTCCAACTCCAGTGTCCGGACTCTTTGGGGCACCAATTCTAGCCTCTTGCCCCCTCTTCTACCTCCAGATGTCAATTGAGACCAAGGTATCAGCACAAACAGGGCTTTAGGGCAAGGGCACTTTTTTTTCTTTTTTCTTTTTTCTTTTTTTTTTTTTTTTGAGACGGAGTCTCACTCTGTCACCCAGGCTGGAGTGCAATGGCATGATCTCAGCTCACTGTAACCTCTGCCTCCCGGGTTCAAGCGATTCTCCTGCCTCCGCCTCTTGAGTAGCTGGGATTACAGGCACCCGCCACCATGCTTGGCTAATTTTTGTATTTTTAGTAGAGACGGGGTTTCATCATCTTGGCCAGGCTGGTCTTGAACTCCTGACCTTGTGATCCACCCGCCTTGGCCTCCCAAAGTGCTGGGATTATGGGTGTGAGCCACCACACCCAGCCAGCAAGGGCACTTTTAACAGGATTGTTCAACCTAGAGAAACTCGGCATCTATTCCCTGGGACCACAGGGCCAACTCTGTGCCTTTCATGGTGCCGGAGCAATGGCAACCCATGATTTGGTGAAGAAACCCTGAGGCTGGGTTGGCCTGTGTGGCCTGAATATGACCCCCGTCCAAGATTCAGCTTCATCCCATCTCATCTTCCTCCCAAGGTGGGTGAGAAACAGCCAGAGTTTAGGAAGGAGGAAAAATGACCCTTCGTTTAGGACAGAAGAAAAACGAACCTTCCTTCCTGTAGGAAGGAAGAAAAAATGAACCAAACTGGCCCCGCAGGACCCTTGTGGCCTTGGAGGTCTCAGACCCAGGGTGGGGAGCAGGGCGAGGCTACCTTTTGAAGAGCAGGTCCTACCTGGGTCACATTGTTGGACGCCCCCTTGTTGTTTGTGAGCTTTAGTTTCCCAAATGAAACTTCCTGGCGCATCCAGTGCGCTCCTGTGTTGGGGGAGTCCGGGTGGACGTACAGGCGGTTTCCTGTGGACAGTTCACCTCTTTGACATGCAGCCCCCGGGACAGAACCCTGGTGATGTAGGGCTTTGCCTGTCCCGAGAGGGACGTAAGGAAGGACACAGGGGGAGGACCAGGCAGGGAAGGGCAGAGGACTCAGCAGAGGACAGGCTAGAGCAAAGCAGGAAGCCAGAAACAGGAGGGATGCAATGGCGTGGGATGGAGTGGGAGGGGGTTAAAGGTCTAGGAATTAGGGGTAGGGGCTTGGTGGGCCCACCAGGGGGCGCCCAGTCCCAGCGAAACAGAGCCCACCGCTCCCAGGGGCGCGCGCACCTGGCATGCTGCCCTCGGCCTTTCCACACTGCACCCACTTGCCGCTCTGGTACCGCCAGTGGTGCTGGTCCACCAAGACCACGTCCACAAACATCCTGTAGTGGCTGGTGGGCTCCAGCCCGGCCACAGTAAATGACAGGAATGGGAACATCCGCCTGGAGAGAAGAGAGAAAGCCCCCAGCACCCATCAGCTCCAGCTTGACAGCCAGTCCCCCCTGCAACAGTGCCCAGGCATCAGTGGTGTGCTGTAGCCGGCTTCCTCCCACTCACAAGAACCAGCTGGAAGGTGTTTAGGGAGTTTGCCAGCCAGTGGTTAAACACAGCCATAATTAAAAATTAAATTATATAAACTTGCAATTCAAGACATATTAACAGTCAAAGTAGGCCCGGCACAGTGGCTCATGCCTGTAATCCCAGCACTTTGAGAGGCCAAGGCGGGCGGATCACCTGAGGTCAGGAGTTCGAGACCAGCCTGGCCAACATGGCGAAACCCCGTCTCTACTAAAAAGTACAACAACAACAACAAAAATAGCTGGGTGTGGTCGTGGGCGCCTGTAATCCTAGCTACTCAGGAGGCTGAGGCAGGAGAATGGCTTGAACCCAGGAGGCAGAGGTTACAGTGAGCTGAGATCGCGCCACTGCCCTCCAGCCTGGATGACAAGAGCAAGTCTCCATCTCAAAAAAAAAAAAAAGGAGTAAAAACTAAAAAATCATCACTGCCCAGTTATTTTACGTTTTACTATTGTCTGCACTGTCGAGGTTACTTCCGTCTATCGCAGCTGCATGGAGGAGGTACTAAATCACAGTGCACTGTGAGTCTCTTCCCGGCTCTGTGTTCAATGACTCACATGAGTCGCTTGAAATCATCCATAGCAGGAGTATTTACACCACAGGGATCAGCAAACACTACAAATCAGAGTTTTTTAAAATGTTCTTTCAGAGGGTCAGTTGCTCGACATCTACCTGCACACCCCTGTCTCTAACCTTAGCTGCTTCCTAGGAGGGGGCACCACCAGCTCTCCACAGGCAGTTCCTGGAAGGTCCTCACGCCTCAGTTCCTCAGCCACCCTCTCTGCCGTGGCTCTCACAGTGCTAACACACTCCCAGACCCATGACACCCACTCACAGGCCCTCCCTCTCCCATGCTCCTGGGTCTGCCACCTGCGGTATAGTCTGCCCTCAGCCTTTAGAGAAGTTGCACACATCCTAGTTGAACAGGGAGCTTCCCATCCACCTGAAAGAAGGCTCTATTGAACACGGGGCTCATGTTCAAAGTCCTTGTTTCCAGGAAAAGTAGAGGAAGTTAGGGGGTGGGATGCTGTATGATTCCGCTGTTGTGCCAGAGTAACAGATTCAGAAAAGAAGCACTCTTCTACCATCACCATCTCCACCACTAACACCTTCACTAGCCCCGTCACCACCACCACTACAACCAGCACCATCACCACCAGTAGCACTGTAACCACCCATCACCACCATCACAACCACCGTCACTACAACTGCCCCCTCCACCATCACGATAACCACGATCTCCACCAGCACCAGCACGGGCACCACCATCTACAGCCACCACCTTCACCATCACAACCACCACCAGTAGTACCGTCACTACAACCACCACCTCCACCAGCACCAATTCCATCACCAGCTCCAATGGCTTAGCCTTTCTCTTCTAACACAAGCAGGAAGAGCAGAGTTTTCAGAATGGCAGAAGCTAATCCTCATCAGAATTATTTTTCATTTCCACACACTTCCCCCTCCTCTCATGAGAAGCCCTGAAGGATGAGGAAAAAGGGACCTATCTGAGTCAGGAAACCTGGAGGAGGGAGGGTTCCAGGGGCCTAGGAACTGTTTTTGAGGGACTTCTAATCCCCAGAGGTCCCCAGGACAACTTACCTAACAACCTTGGGAAGGTGTCCTAGAAGGGTGCTGTCACACGCCTGTCTTCCCCTGACTTTCCTGAGTTGAGAAAAATAGATTACTACCCTATGACCCTGGATAAGTTAATTCTCAAGCCAAATCTCAGTTTCTTTTTGAAATGGAGTTTCGCTCTGTCATGCAGGCTGGAGTGCAGTGGCGTGATCTCAGCTCACTCTAACCTCCACCTTCCAGGTTCAAGTGATTCTCCTGCCTCAGCCTCCCAAGAGCTGGGACTACAGGCATGTGCCACCATACCCGGCTAATTTTTGTATTTTTAGTAGAGATGGAGTTTCACGTTGGCCAAGCTGGTCTCGAACTCCTGACCTCAAGTGGTCTACCCGCCTCAGGTTTCCAAAGTGCTGGGATTATAGACATGGGCCACTGCACCCAGCCCAAATCTCAGTTTCTTCACATGTAAATGGAGAGTCTAACTCCTGTCCATCTTTCCTCTGAA
Source organism: Homo sapiens (assembly GCF_000001405.40). Classification (NCBI taxonomy): domain Eukaryota; kingdom Metazoa; phylum Chordata; class Mammalia; order Primates; family Hominidae; genus Homo; species Homo sapiens. The sequence continues at coordinate 47,740,390 of NC_000017.11, read as the reverse complement.
AGCTGTTAAAAAGTTCGAAAGATGGCCCAGCACAGTGGCTCACACTCGTAATCCCAGCACTTTGTGAGGCCGAGGAGGGTGGATTTCCTGAGCTCAGGAGTTCGAGACCAGCCTGGCCAACATAGTGAAACCCCATATTTACTAAAAATACAGAAAATTAGCCTGGTGTGGTGGCATGCACCTGTAGTCCCAGCTACTTTGGAGGCTGAGGCAAGGAGAATCGCTTGAACCTGGGAGGCGAAGGTTGCGGTGACCCGAGATGGCGCCACTGCACTCCAGCCTGGGCAACAGTGTGAGACTCCATCTCAAAGAAAAAATAAAAAATAAAATGTTATTTCCAATTTTATATTTGAAGAAACTGACGCTCCGAGAGGTTTGGTGACGGTCCTCGGTGGGAGAGCAGAGGTGAGGTCTTCTGACTGCAGAGTGCATGCTGTGCTCTGTGGTCCCCATTTCTTCATATTCATTTTTTTCTTTCTTTTTTTTTAGACAGAGTCTCGCTCTGTCCCCCAGGCTGGAGTGCAGTGGTGTGATCTCGGCTCACTGCAACCTCTGCCTCCCAGGTTCAAGAGATTCTCCTTGACTACAGGCACCCAACACTGCGCCTGGCTAATTTTTTTTTTTTTTTTGAGACGGAGTCTCGCTCTGTTGCCCAGGCTGTAGTGCAGTGGTGTGATCTTGGCTCACTGCAAGCTCCGCCTCCAAGGTTCACGCCATTATTCTCCTGCCTCAGCCTCCCGAGTAGCTGGGACTACAGGCGCCCGCCACCACACCTGGCTAATTTTTGTACTTTTAGTAGAGACGGGGTTTCACCATGTTAATCAAGCTGGTCTCGAACTCCTGACCTCAGGTGATCCACTGGCCTCGACCTCCCAAAGTGCTGGGATTACAGGGGTGAGCCACCGCGCCAGGCCATACTGATTTTTTTTTAAGAGATGGAGTCTGCTATGCTGCACAGGCTCTGCTCAAATGCCTGGGCACAGGCAATCCTCCTGCCTTGGCCTCCCGAGTCACCCGAGCGGGGTTATAGGTGCTCACCACCATGCCCAGCTCATCCTGTTTTTATCACTAGTAGAGGGAAATGGAGACACAGGAAGAGGCTGGGGAAAAGGGAGAAGAGAAAGGAGATCTCGGTTTCTCCCTAAAAGTCTAGAATCACCACCAGCTGGAATCCCAAAATAGCCCCTGATTTACATGACACTTTGCTGGGAAGGAACCGAGAGTGGTGATGGGTCTGGTGTCAAATTGAGCGTCCCTAAAGGCCACTTACCATCCCACCCTCATAAGACAGGGTCCAAGACCCCAAATTCCTCTGCTGGCCCTAAGAACTAAGTAGCCTTGGGATGGTTCACAGGGTCGTCATACCTCTCCCAGATTCGGAGCTCCTGGCACAGGCTCTGCTTCACTGTAATTAAGTGCAAATTAAAATAGCAAGGAGATAGATAGTTCTTCTCAGTCATATTGGTCAATGTTTAAAAATTGATAATATTGGCCCGGCGTGGTGGCTCACGCCTGTAATCCCAGCACTTTGGGAGGCCGAGGCAGGTGGATCACCTGAGGTCAGGAGTTTGAGACCAGCCTGGGTAACATGGTGAAACCCCATCTCTATTAAAAATACAAAAATTAGCCAGGCGTGGTGGTGCATGCCGGTAATCCCAGCTACTTGGGAGGCTGAGGTGGGAGAATCGCTTGAACCTGGGAGGCGGAGGTTGCGGTGAGCAGAGATCATGCCACTGCACTTCAGCCTGGGCAACAGAACGAGACTTTGTCTCAAAAAAAAAAAAAATGTGATAATATCTACTGCTGATGAGGCTGTGAGAAAATGGGTCCTCTCATAGACTATTGGTGTGGGCGTAAATTGGTAGCACCTTTTGGGAGGGTATTCTGGCAATGTGTCGTACCTACCAAAGTACAAAATGTGCTTGGGCATCAAGGGAACTCCTCGTCTTACCAACCTCAGATCCACTTAATAGACTCAGACAGCCACTGGCAAACAGCCAGACAAAAAGCAAAGCTGCAGCCTGGGCAACATAGTGAGACCCCATCTCTACAAAAAATAGAAACAATTAGCCGGACATGGTGATGTGCGCCTATAGTCCCAGTTTCTCAGGAGGCTGGGATGGGAGGATTGCTTGAGCCCAGCAGGTTGAGGCTGCAGTGAGCCATAATCGCACCACTGCACTCCAGCGTGGGTGACAGAGCAAGACCATGTCTCATTTAAAAAAAATTTTTAATTAAAGTTGTTTTCACTTGCCCCAAGACAAATGAAACCAGTTAAGCATGCTTAAGCCTAAAAAAAATGTTTTTAGCTGGGCACAATGGCTCATGCCTGTAATCCCAGCACTTTGGGAGGCTGAGGCGGGAGATTGCTTGAGATCAGGGATTTGAGACCGCCTGGGCAACACAGTAATATTCTGTCTCCATAAAAAATAAATTAAAAAAAATTTTTTAAGATCTGAAAAGTTGGGCCAGGTGCGGTGGCTCACACCTGTAATCCCAGCACTTTGAGAGGCCGAGGCGGGGGATCACTTGAAGTCAGGTGTTTGGGACCAGCCTGGCCAACATGGCGAAACCCCGTCTCTACTAAAAATACATAAATTAGCTGGGCTTGGTGGCTTCTGCCTGTAATCCCAGCTACTTGGGAGGCTGAGGCAGGAGAATCACTTGAACCTGGGAGGTGCAGGTTGCAGTGAGCCAAGATTGAGCCACTGCACTCCAGCCTGGGGGACAGAGTGAGACTCCATCTCAAAAAAAAAAAAAGATGTAGAAAGTTATCGACTAAAGTTATCTATGTGGGAGGTTCAAGTCCACTTCCTGGCCCATGAAAAATATTACAAATAAAAAAATTAAAGTTCTTGGAGTTGGGAAAGTGGAGACAAAAAAAAATTGTAATGACTGTGAGGATAGCAAGGATAGTGTGGGACTGAAATTGTTGTTTTACCAACCTCTGTCTTCACATGCACAAATCCAAATGCAGATTGAGCTTAACACAACACAGCTACCCAAAGTTATCTTAATTATAATAATCAACCAATCACACCCAGAAAGTGGGGATTGCCAGCAATTAATACACACCCACACACCCACAGAGACACAGGCCTCTCTCTTCCTCTACTGAGAATGTCTACCATCAACTATTATATACTCGCCAACACATTCGCAACACACACACACTGCCACACAGAAACCCTCGCACAAGCCTGTGTGGGGCATTATCAGGCTGCCCCAAATCTCCAGACACAAACGTAGACACCAAAGTCTCCTACTGGGATAATCCACCGTTTTGTTCTCAGTTCCCCTCTCTCAGCCCCATCTGAGCTGCCTTGATCAATCTCCAGACCCAGGAATCACCCCCTGTGCCCTGCCCCATTTCTGCCCGTTGGGAAGAGCATGCCACTGGCGCTGGTCAATACCGAGGGATAGATCCAGGGTGGGTGGGAGAGGAAGAATCCGGGACGGCGTGAGTCAGCTCAAGGCAAAAAGCCGTGGGGCTGTAGGCTGTAGGTGGGCCTGAGGTGGGAGAACCTTTCAAAAAGGAAGAAGGTCATGGGTGATGTGGTGTGACTGGTGGGTCACTGGAACCCACGGAGGGATAGGCCAGCCCACAAAAGCAGGAAGACGGAAAGGAAGCTGTGCTATAAGCCCAAAAGCCTGTTTTGAGAGGAAATGGCCACTGATTTCCCAGATCTCAGGAGCCCAAGCTGAGAAGGTATGGAGGTAACCTGGGGCTAGTGGGACTGAATTGGGGTTGTGTGTCCTCTGTCCCCTCCATGGCAGCGTGGGGTCTATGAAGCCTGATCCAAGAAAAAGCACCAAAAGAAACAGTGAAGAGCCACTGCCTCCTTCAACAGGGACCCCGCGTATGGAGCCCCTCAGAATGGAGCAAAAAGTGTGAGGATTGGAAAACACACACACACACACATTTATGAAGCAATCAGAGAAGCTTGGTGATATTTAGGAAATTCTTTTCAGGTTTGCTAATGGTAATGCATTCATTTTAAAAAGTCATTTTTAGAGGTGCAGAGATAAAATAATATCTAGAATGTACTTAGTAATTACTATATTACTAATATAGTTGCAGACAGAAGAAGCGAAGTGAGGATGCAGAAACAAGATTGGACCCATATTGACAACTGTGGAAGCTGGGGATGGAAGTCTGTTACATTCTTCTGTCCATGTTTGTATGTAGTGGAATTTTTCATAATAAAAAAATGTAAGTGTATGTATCTAAAAGGGGGACAAAAAAACTTGTCAAGTGAGAATTACTCAGCAGGAACACCAAGGAAAGGAGGCCATGGGAGTAGAGATGGTGATACACACTTCGAGAATCATCCCCTCAAGTGCCTCCCTGAAGTGCTCTACAGCCTCCCTGAAGCTGGCTCTACAGGCAGAGAGGCAGCCCCCTAGCACTGGCCAACTCCCTAGAGTGCTGGCTGATGCTCCATCCACCCCATCCCTCAAGACTGGCAGGAGGAGGCAGAGGCCTGGCAGAGGCTGTGGGGAGACCCCAGCAAGGGCCCAGGGTGGGAAGTCCTCCTGACCACACAACAGAGTGGAAGGTTAAGAGGCCCCACTTCTGGTCTGCTGTGTGATGGAGTGCAAGCCCCTAGCTGACCCTGCAACTCAGTGACCTCAACTGTAAAATGGGGAGACTGCTTGGCCTACCTAACGCACAGTGAAATAATGGAAGTGAAAGCACTCTGAATGCATCAGGGCCTTCAGAGAGCGTGGGTGGCTGTTTTTACTGGTGGCCGTAGGGGGCCAGAGAAAGAAACCCAAGCAAATACTATCTGGGCTGTAGTGCCAGCTCTGCCTGCAATGAGTGTGTTGTGTGACCTTGGAAGAGTCTCTTGCTATCTCTGGGCCTGTTTCCCTGTCTGTGCAGTGAGAGGGACAGGATCTTCTGGGTCCCTTCCAATTCAGACACATTGGGACCAGAAGCTTGGGCTGTGTCTGGGTACACCCAAAGGGTGACTAGGGTTGGGGGGAGCAGAGAGAAATTATCAGAAGGCTTAAGAGATGAAGGCTGAGCCATCAAAGAACACGCCAACTTTCCTGGGTTCATCCCAGGGAAAGTGGAACAGCTCAGTAACTTGAAGCCAGTTGTGGCTGGCAACAGGTTCCCCAGTCCCAGGCTACCCCACAAAAATCATCTGGAGGGAAGAATGTTCCAGCAATGCCCAGATCGAATACCAACCTCTGGGGTCCAACATGGCCTTCTCCCTCTCCCCTCCACCCCAAGCCCCACGTTTGGTATCCACACCTCTCGGACCTGGGACCCAGCATCCCAGGTCCACCAATGACAACAGCCCTTCCACACTGGTCCTCGCTGGTCCCCTGCTCACATGGGCCGCACTGGGAAGGGTGGGTGCGCACAGCCCACATCAGACACAGTCCACTCCGGGGGTTGCTTACTAAACAAATACCACACAAGTCACAGGTTTCTGTTTCTTTCCTTGCGCAGGAGGCTCTATCCGGAAGCAGCACCCTCAGCCCCAAACTCTCCCCATCACGCACGGGGCTCAGGAACCCTGAGCCATGAAGCCATGGGACACCCCTTCCCCACTTCTCCAGGCTGAACCGGTGAATTTCTGGACAGGAGTGTGGGGAAGGTTTTCACTGGACCAGCCTCAAAGGGTGCAGTGTGGGGCTGGCTACCAGGCTGGACCCCTGGGTGAGCTTCATCTGCCCAGCCCGTGGGCATTTGTGCCTGGAAGGGATCTGTGCCCCCTACAAGCTTTACTGCACTAGCCCCCATACACACACACCCACACACACATACACACACACACACACACACACACACACACACACACACACACACACACACACACACCAGACATATGATCTCAAAGTAAGACCGGAAAGGAAACTTGGCGACTGCTTCTCCATGTCACCAAATCCCAATCTCCCCCCGTACACACACACCACCACCACCGCTACCACCACCACTACCACCACTAAAGCTGACCTGAGCACACCAGCAGCAAAGGAGCCGGGGGAGGTGGGCGCAGGGGGCCCGGAGATAAGGGGCTCCCTTCCCCTCCAGTTTCCCACACAGGAGGCCCAGGCGTCCTGTCCGCCCAGAGCACAGGCTTTCACTGCCCGCTGCGACTCCTCTACAGTAGAGAGTGGGGCAGGGGCGCACACCAATTCTAGGTGAAGCCACAGTCACCCTTCCCCTAAATCAAGGTGACTTCTCACTGTCCCGCACTCACCCGTCTCCCTTGTGAGTCCTCTGGCTGTTGGTGCAACAGCCTGGGCACAGACGCCCCTCCGGAGCTTTCCCTGTCCTCCTAACAACCCCATTCCCCTGTCTCCCTACGCTGAAGCCAAAGCAGTGAGGGACACGGAGTCAGAAGCATTGTCGAGCCAGAAAAACAGACGAGACGTTCTTGTTCCGGCGCGGGCACAGAGGCCCCAAGGGCCGGCGCGCCGCACTCACCGTCCCTGCTTGGTGATGATCATCTCTGTCTGGTGCTGATTAAACTTGGACCACAACAGGTGGTTGTTGAGCGCGACCCTCAGTTTCCCCGACACCTCCAGTCCCGCGGGTAGCGCGTAGTCCTCACGCGGCCCCGGGTAGAGCCCGGCGCGCGGGTCCGGGGCGGCGTAGCCCTCGCCCGGCTGGTAGCCCTCGGCGTCCGCGGGCGGCGGGAAGGACTCGCCCGCGCCGGGGAAGCCGGCCGCCTGGGGTCGCGGCGGGTAGGCGTAGGCTCCAAGGAAGCGGCTCGGCGGGGCGGGCACCAAGGCGCCCCCCGGGTAGGGAGACCCCAGGCTGCCGCCCCCGCGACGCTCGTCCGCGTCCTGCGCGCCCGGCTCCGGGTAGAAGTAGCGGTGCTGCGGGTCGGCGCCAGGCGCCCGGCCCTCGTCGCTCCCCGGCATCGGCTCGGTGCCCGTCAGCATGTCTCCGCAACCCGGCTCCACGATGCCCATCCGGGGCGGGCTGGCACCTTCCCGTAGCCGTCGAGGACCCGCCCCTCCGCGCGCGAGAGGGTCGCGTGGGCTGGGATGGGCAGGGAGCAGGGGGCGGGGGACCCGAGGGCCGGGTGGGGGACCCCACCGGAGCCCGGGCTCTGACGCCTGGCTTCTACGCCCTCGTCCGGCAGGCGCGCGGCAGCTCTCGGGCTTCCTCTCCAGCGGGCCGCTGTCACTAGAGTCGCAGCGCTTTGCTGTGGCTTTATGAAGCTCTCCGGCTCCCCCCCACTCCGCCACCTCGGCCCTGCTCCGCCTCGCCCCACCCCGCCCTCTCGTGGCTAATACTAGGCAAATTCTACGCTCTTGGCGAGTACTGCAGGGCCCCCCATGGTGGAGAGAAGCGAGAGCCTGCGCGCACCCTGTAGTTCGAAGATCTTGCTTTCTGGGAGTGTCAGCTCCGCTGCCTGACACACCAGCCCGTGGCTCTCTTCTGGACCCTCGGGGAAATTCAGCCCAGCTTTGAAGTCTCAGCTCAAAGGCCCTCTCCTACAGGAAGCCTTCCGAGATGGCCCAAGTGGGACTCGCTGGGCATTCTCCTGGCACTCAGAGGCTCGGAGCACGGGCACACTAGAAGCAACTTTGACCATGAACATTCAATCGATCTTTATTGATACCTACTGTGTGCCCAGACTCTGTGCTAAGTGACCTTTCGGGTTGCCCTCTTTCTCCCCACCAGAGGTCCACATGTGCTGAGTTGGCTGCATCTTGTAGCTCTAGCCCTGGGGGCAGACCTGGAACCTGATGGACAACAGGAAATGTTCCTTAAAGCGCACTGCATCAGCAGCAGCCAGGGGTTTGCAGGGCCCTGAGCTGGGCCTGGCAGGGCCCACAAAAGCTCCCCTACCCTGCATGGCAGTCATGGGCACTGGAAGTAGCATTGGGCTGCCAGTGCTGAGAGTCCCAGGTCTGGCTCTGCCTGCCAGGTATATGTGACCCAGGCAAGTCATTTTCCTTGCCTGAAAGTCAACCTCACGTGCCTCATCCATAGACTGGGGGAAATAAACAGATCTACTTTTCAGGGGGGCTGCAAGCCTTACATGAGAGGGTGTACGTGTGCAGCACTTTCCAATCTATTATTATACCTGGATGGAAAAGCTGCTTTGAACAGATTCAGAGCCGGCTGACAGGAAGGAAACCCACCACATGCTCTGAAGGGCTGCCTCGGAGATAGGACGATGGAGGCTTTTCTTTCTCCATTTTCCTTTTATGTTAACTAATGTATTAGACTCCTTTTATGATGAAAACTATCCGTTTCCCCCCCCCCAATTGAAAATAGCATCATTGGGAGTTTTCCTGTGTATAAAGATGAAACATACTTATATAGGAAATTTAAGCAGCACAGAAAAGTAAAAACAAGACTGTATAAATCACCCCAAATTCCACCCCCTAAAGCCAAACAGGATTAACATTTCAGTGAACACCCTCTGAGACCTCACTCCTTATATACTCTCTGTCTCTGTCTTTTGCACACATGCACAAATATATAATTTATATAAACACTACACATGCTGCTTTATAATGTGTACTTTTTTTTCACTCCACAAGGTGTCATGGAATATTTTGCATATCAGTATATAGATAAAGATTTACATTTTTAAGAGTACTTTGAAAAATACTTTAATATTTTTGTCATGTTAAAGTTTAACTTCTCCTCTCTCTACCTTCACCCCAGTCCTCCCCAGTTCTCCCCTGGGAACTGGCCCCAGCTCTACATTTCTGTCCCAGCCTGACAGGGCTTCACCCTTAGGGGCCTATGGGGACTCTCTGCTCCCAAATAGAGCTGAACCAAGAGGCAAGTTGGCAGGCAAAGGCAAAGCTGGGGACTCCAGGAGGTGGGCATGACCCAGGGAGGCTTGGGGGAGAGAGAATCAGCACATCTTTTGAGGTTGGAGACCGGATACATGACAGTACCAGAAACACAGGACTGGCCTCCTCCCCAACACCTTACCCACCATTTCTCCGTACCTTAAGGAACAGGGAAGTTTCTGCCTGATGTTCAAAGTGGGGCAGCATTGCTTGGAAGAGAGGGTGACCTTGGGATCCTTCACTACTTTTGGGGAAACATGAGAGCTTTCAGTAAGACCCTCCTGAATGACTGATTCCCTAGGAGATGTGAGACTGTTGAATGCTGACACCCCTTTGGGGGACATTTTTGCTCAGTGCTTGGCTGTTGAAGATCAAATGGAGTCTTGCTCCTCCCTCTCTCTCCCCCTCCTCTTTTCCACATTAATCCTCAGGTCAAGTGATTCATCCCCTTGCCTCTGAACAGGATGACATGAGCTCCCACCCAGCTTTCTGGGGCAGGTGGAATTATGAATCTCAGAATCAGGTGGCCCTGGGGCCATGCCTCTGGAGGAAGAGGAAGGCTGGGGGTGGTCTCTCTAGAACCTGACAGGCTGTTATAGGGTCTTACAGCCTGGTTCCTCAATCCCCGATTTCTCACCCCCTCTCTCCAATTTCTTCCACCCAAAAAAGAAAGTGCTTGTGAAAAGCGGGGGCTGAGTGGCCCTGGTGTCACTGCTGCCAGTCCCGCCCCTCTGCCAGCTTGGGTGAGAATAAGGGCCCTGGCAGTGACACCTTCTCCTCCAGCTGCCACCTCACCCTCCTCCCGGGCCCTGGGGCTGGAAAGGTGGGAGAAGAGGAGTGAGGAGATGAGGCCCCCTGGGATCCCCTCACTTCCCCATGGCTGCTCCTCCCAGCCCTCTCTATCCCATCAATACAGGGAGCATTATGAGGCTGGTCCTGGTGAGACCGGAGTGAAGAAACACAAGATAAGTGTCCAGGAATGAGAGAGACATGGCCTCCAACCAGCATCACATTTTATGAGACACGGTGGATGGTAACTATGCAAAATGGAATAAGACACCAAACTCACACAGTGCATTTGTGGCAGAGCTGAAGCTAGAACCCAGGTCTCTTGACTCCCAGGCCAGTGCTCTTCCCACAAGAATGAGGAAGAATCATACTAACACTGGAAAAGGTTTAGAAAACAGGCCGGGCGTGGTGGCTCATGCCTGTAATCCCAACACTTTGGGATGCCAAGGCCAGCAAATCACTTGAGGCCAGAAGTTCTAGACTACCCTGGCCAACATGACAAAACCCCATCTCTACTAAAAACACAAAAATTAGCTGGGCATGATGGGCGCCTGTAATCCCAGCTACTCAGGAGGCTGAGGCAGGAGAATCACTTGAACCCAGGAGGCAGAGGTTGCAGTGAGCCGAGATCGTGCCGCTGCACTCCAGCCCGGGAGACAGAGCAAGACTCCATCTCAAAACAAAAACAAAAACAAAAATAAAAATTAGCAGGTGTGGTGGCTGGCCCCTGTAATCCCAGCTACTCAGGAGGCTGAGGCAAGAGAATCACTTGACCCCAGGAGGAGGAGGTTGCAGTGAGCTGAGACTGTGCCACTGCACTCCAGCCTGAGTGACAGAGGGAGACTCGGTCTCAAAGAAACAAAAAGAAAAAGAAAAGAAAAGGTTTAGAAAACAGAAAAGAAAATCATGCCTAATCCCACAGCCTAGACACTGGTTCTCTCCACGCTGTTGTCCTCTGCAAACGTTCAGGGCTTCCTTTCAAACTGTTTCCCATGAAGACTCAAAATGAGAGAGGCTCCCCGAAGGTCACACAGCACTTGCTTCACCTGTGGGCTGCAGACTATGCCAGGAAGCCACAACGATGTGGATTTCTGGGACTTGCTTCTAGAGATTCTGAGGCCCAGGCCTGTGGCGGGTCTCTAGAATCTGTATGTTTAAGGACTCCAGGTGATGCGTTGGACTTCAGGGAGTCCATGCACCCCACTCTCAGGCTCCCTCCCATTTTGCTGTCCCATCTCCAAGTCCCATCCTGCGAGTCAGTGTGCCTTGAGCTTGCTGGGTATGCACACTGAGGGCGGTGGAGGAGGTTTCATGCCTGAGGAGGGTGGCTGCAGGCATTGAGATTTCCTTATTGATGCTCTAGGACCAGATGATTCCTCACCCCAGAGTCTACCAGCCACCTGGGTCCTCTCCTGAAAACGTATGGAGTGCTGAGCTCCCTAGGCACCTGGAAGGCTCTTGGATGGGTTTGGTGGGGCAGCTGGGGAGGAGCGGCTATTACTGGAAACTGTTTTTTTGTTTTGTTTTGTTTTGTTTTGTTTTTTGAGACAGAGTCACTTGCTCTGTCACCCAGGCTGGAGTGCAGTGGTGCGATCTCAGCTCACTGCAACCTCCACCTCCCGGGTTCAAGCAATTCTCCTGCCTCAGCCTCCCGTGGTGGGTGGGACTAGAGGCACATGCCACCACGACCGGCTAATTTTTTGTATTTTTAGTAGAGATGGGGTTTCACCATGTTGGCCAGGCTGGTCTCGATCTCCTGACCTCGTGATCTGCCCGCCTCAGCCTCCCAAAGTGTTGGGATTACAGGCATCAGCCACCACGCCCAGCCTACTGGAAACTGTTAGTGGAGCATGGCATGGCACCAGGACCCAGGATTTCCACCCTCCACCCTGCTGGGCAGAGCCTTAGAGGCTGTGAGAGGGTAGATAGTAAAAGAGAGGGGGCAGCGAGTTGGGGAGAAGGCGTGAAAAGAAAGAGAGAGCAAAGTGAGAGGCTTAGGGTGCATTTCTGAAAGAAAGATTTAGACCCAGAGAGGGACAGGGACCACAAAGTCAGGGACCCAGATCGTGACTCAGTGGGAAAGTCTCAGGCTGGGCCTGCGAGAGGGGCATGAAAGAAAGGAGACAGACAGAGATGGGCCAATGGGAGGAAAGTCTGCAGAGGCAGAGAGGCCTGGGGGTGCTGGAGCTGGGGCAGAGAGAAATGGGGTGGGGAGACTTAGTTGGGTGGCTGGGTTGGAACCTCAATCCCAACCCTTACTGGCTGTGCTACCTATTAAAGTATCTTAACCTCTCTGGGTTTTTTTTGTCAGTAAATGGAGCTATCAGACCTCTGCCAGGACTGACTGGGTCTGTCATGTGAAGGTTGAGGGATGCTGTCCTAAGGCTGAAACAAAACAGAGGCATAAACTGTGCTAAGCCCTCTTTCCTCTACTCCCAGCCACTTACACCTGCCCTTTCCTCCCTCTGGCTTAGTGGCTCATCCACAAAGTGTCCTTCAGGTCCATCCTCAGCCTCCACTCAGGGCCTGGGGCCAAAAGAGAGCCCCTCTGTTCATAAGACTCACATATTAGAAAGGGACAGGCTTCCCCTCCTGATACCCATATACCATTCCCTGGGTACCTGAGCGCTGGGATAAGCCAGGCCCTTGGAGATCTGGGATCACAAAGATAAATTAGGGTCAGTCCCTGCCCCCAAAGAGCTCCTAGCAAAGTGACCCCCTCAGCCCTCTTGCTCCTGGGGTGTAGACTCACAACACACCACGTGCACACACGCCATCATCCACGCATGTGCACACACACCCCATGCAGAGCTATGCTAGGGAAATCTCTGCGATCCAGTCCCTGCAGCCCCACCGCCTGCTCTTGCCCCACATCCAGCATCCCAGAGCTCCTTCAGCATCTGACTCTGCCCACCCCGCGTGCCCTGAATCCCCTCCCCCTCTGGGCCCAGACTGCCAGTCCTTCAGAGGGCATGGCCGGAACCATCAGATTAACAGCCAGAGAGGGGGGAAGGGGAGGGACAAGCACCTGTAGAACCCCCCCGCCCCGTGACAGCTGCAGGAGTTCCGAGTCCCCAGCACCCAGCACCAGGTGGTCAGTGTGAACACAGAACAGAGGGCTCCTCCCAAGGTCAAGGGCTCCAGGCTCTCATCTGCAGGCTGGGTCACCCTTCCCCACACACCCCCCACCAAGCCTGAGCGGCCCTTACCCCTGGGCTCCAGGCCAGGCCTGGGTGCCTTTCAGTCCTCCTTCTCCGTGGCATCTTATTTTGAATCATCTATCCTCTCTCTATCTCTAGCTGCTCTCACCCCTGCCAGCATTTCACATAAGACCCACACCCTCCATGCACACCCACGCATGCAGTAGGCCGCCCCCGCTGCACTCCCAGGCTAGGGCTCCTGCGCCCTCCTGAAGGGATATTCAGACATCAGGTACTTGGGTAACTCTGTTATCAGGAGGGCATGCCACAGTATGGATGGGCAAGCCCAAGCTTCAGGAGGCACTGGGGAGAGGCTGTGCCCCCACCCTTCCTGCCTCTCAGCAGACAGGCCCTTAATCTCAGGCAGGAAGCAGGGTCTGGTTACCAGGAGTTGGGCTGGGGAGGCGGGAAATATCCAGGGCTTTGGGTAAAAGGAGCTGGGAGAGGAGGGAAGAAAAAGAAGAGCCAAGGAAAAGGGACTTGGAGGGAGGGCACAGGCTGAGGGGTTAACCCCCACGCTGCCAAGCTCCTCTCTGCTTCCCATCTTGCCATCTTGGCATGACTTCCTGGCACAGTCAGGCTCTGCCAGGCCAGGCCTCGCTGTCCTTCAGAGGGCCACCCACCCCCTGGGGCCTCCTCTCTCCCCAAGGTTCTCTCTGGCTTCCTGGGATCTGTGGGCAGCCCTGTGTGCCCATGTCTCTCAGGGCTCCTGAGTGTCTGGGTTCCTCTGGTCTGATTCGGCCCCTCTCTGGGTCCCTGTGTTTTTGCCTGCGTCTTGTGTATCCTCTTTACGTCCACTCCTATCCCTGGGACCTGTGAGAGGTCTGCACGCTGGTCCTGAGTGTAGGTTCTGTGCCTCTGTCTGCGTCTCTGTGTCTGTCTGTTACCTGTGGGCCTCGGAACTTGCCTTGTCTCTGTAGCGTGTTTGTGTCTGTCTCTGCATCTTCATGTCACTGTCCGTGTCTCCAGGGCTATCCAGCGCTCCATGTATCTCCTGCATGTCTATCTGTCCATCTGGGACTAGGCCTCATCTGTGAGTTGGCTCTGGCCTTCCTGTGTCTGGCCTAGAGCTTTTTGCCTTGTCCACCTGGTTAATGTCTCAGGGTGCGGGTGAGACAGAGCAGACTTACGGACTTGGTTAGGGATGAATGAGAGAGGAAGAGGGAAAAGGGCATGGGTGGTATTGGGGGAAAGAGTCCCATTCCTAAATAGTGCCTGAAGCAAGCTGCCCAGCCCTGAAATGCCAGGGTGAAGCTCTGTGTGGCCAGGGGGCAAGGGAGAGAGGGCATGGCAGGGAACACACCTGCTCAGGGCTGGCAGCGGAGTTGCACAGAAACAGAAACAGACCTAGTTGGTATGTGGGGGTGGGCCCTCTACATACCAGAAACAGGACCCAGAAACAGGTGGAAAGACAAACATGGAACTCTAGGTTCTGATTCTGGCTCCGCCACTGGCGTAGATCACCTTGGGCTAGGCCCTTTCCCTCTGTGTGTCGCAGTTTTCTGCTCTGTAAAATGAGACAGCAAGGACCATCCCCTAGAATTCTGTTAGAGAGCCAGAGTGACAGAAGACATCCCTAAACCCAGGACAGAAGACTAGTTGCCCCTTTCTGTCCCTTAAGGAGGTATCCCAAAGACCCTTATAGTACCAACAGCCTCTGTGTCTGCGATTCAGCACCACTAGGGGCAGGACAGAGGGAAGAATGGAGGTTAGACAGCAGGAAGGACTTCCTGCCAAGCAGTGGGAGGGTGAGGAGGCCCCAGCTTCTCCCAGCAGTCCTCCAGGGCCCCTCTGTCAGGGCTAGGGGTGGAGGGGCAGGAGTGGGGGGCGTTCAGCAGCTGGGTAATTAGCCATCGCTCTCAGGCCCTGCGGGGAGGGGCTGGCTGGACTGAGAAACCAACGCAAAGTGACAGGGGTGGTTTTGACACGCGGTGGAGCTGACGGGCCCAGGGGGCTGGGGGTTTGGTTTGGGGGGGAAAAATCCCATCAAATGATTAAAAAATAGGTCAGAGGGAAGAAGCCACAGCCGGCACTGGGTCCGTGGTGAGAACGCCATGTCGCTTCCCCAGGGCTGTGGGCCAGAATGGGGTGGGGGAGCTGAGGAGTGTTTGCAGTGGGCGGGTGAGCTGGGAGTGGGGGCAAGAAGGCTGCAGGCCCAGCAGCTGGCCCTCTGCTTCCCTCAACCCTGTCTCACGGGGACATTTTACCTGCAGCCCACCTCCTGGCCTTCCTGTTGTACCATCTTCCTCCTCAAAGGCAGGATGCTGCAGCTCTTCTTCTGTTCCCCCTACCCCACCCACAACATATATACAAACTCCATTCCAGAAACACTGAGGCTACTGCCGCATGTGGAAGCCCTTCTTACCTTCTCACCTAGGGATCTCCTGCGCAAAGGCAGCTTGCTGACTTATCCTACATTTCTTGCCCATCTGAACTAATTCACCTGCCACTGCATCCCCTTTGCCATCTTGCCAACTCTGCAAGGGGTCCACTTTGGCCCTCCAGCTTGTTCTCAGATTGTCCTTTTCCCTCCTTCTCTCCTTTTCTGCCTTCCCAACTTCTGCCACAAATCATAACCACAGTAGCCTGGGAAAGGCAGAGAACAAGGAGGAGTGAGGTAATAGACTCAGGAGCCTGGGACAGGTTGGTGATCTCTAAGCACTTAGAGATCTAAGTAGGTGGAGGCTGATTGACTGTGTCTGCATTGTACAGCAATTTGAGATTCCTGGTAGTGTTCCCCCGATTTAGGCAGTTTACAGCCACCTCCCACCTCCTCTACTGAAGACTGGGACATTCTTTCAGCTGTCTTCCCACAACCCCTTAAATTGCAGCTTAATCCCATTTCCTTTTCTGAGGTCACTGAAACTCATGGAGAGATTAGCACCTGAAATTTGGGAGTAGAACGGAGGCCTGGGATCCACATGCCACAACTCCCTTCCTTATAAATCCTAGGCACAGGCAGAAATCAGGCAAGCAACCAGTGTGTGAAGCAGAGGGACAAACCAGGCATTAGGCTCCCAGCAGTGCTGTCTCCAGCTGAGTGGGCACCTGGGTCCCAGCCACTGGAATGGAGGACACCCAAGGCCATGTTGGCGCGAAAATGGATTGGCTAGGTCTGACCTTGAGTTTAACCCCACTTACCACCCCAGACACAGATCCGCTCTGACACACAAGTCTGAGATTTCCCCAGGAGCCTGCTGTTTGCTGCTTGCCCCGCTCAGTTACCCAGGAAGTGTCAGAAGGCGTCCAGCCTACCTCCTCCCACCAGGGCCATGGGCAGCTGGCTGGACCGAGCTGGGCACTGAGAAGGGCCCTGGACCCACGTCTCTGGCCACAGGGGACATAAAGGTGGCATGGCTGCCCAGCATTGCCCCCTCTCCTTGCTCACCGCCATTTCTTTCCAATCACTGGCATCAGAACCTGACATTCTGTGAGTTGGGAAAGGATGGTTATGGTCAGGCAAGTTCTTAGCAACTGGACCAGTAACTGGGAGTTGAGATACTGACCTCATCACCTTGCATTTCACACACATGCACACACTGAACTAGGGCCACCCAAGACCCAGGGCCCTGCAAATAGGCAGTGGGGCATGGGGCTCCCAGGTTCCCATGCATGACCCTGGATGTTGCCAAATCTAGCTTGTACTTTGTCTCAATCCTTGACTCCCAGTGAGTTTGGAAACTGTAAAAACCCCAGTTCTTCCTAATTAACCCCCTCCTCCTATCACCACTCTGGGTTGAGGGGTAAAGGATGAGATAAGAGAATATCCCGGCCAGGCATAGTGGCTCATGCCTGTAATCCTAGCACTTTGGGAGGCCGAAGTGGGCAGATCACTTGAGATCAGGAGTTCGAAACCAGCCTGACCAACATGGTGAAACCCCATCTCTACTAAAAATACAAAAAAACCTATCTGGTCGTGGTGGTAGGTGCCTGTAATCCCACCTACTAGGGAGGCTGAGGCAGGAGAATTGCTTGGACCCGGGAGGCGGAGGTTGCAGTGAGCTGAGGCTGTACCACTGCACTCCAGCCTGGGCAACAGAGAGAGACTGTCAAAAAAAAAAAAAAAAAGAACATCCCCAGGCAACTCGTACCCTTTATTTCCTTTCTTTCTTTCTCTCTCTCTCTCTTCTTTTTTTTTTTTTTTTTTTTGGTTAAGACTAGTCAATATACCTTTGATTTCATTAGACTTCACAATGGTGTGAAGGCAACTGGGTGGGAACCATTGTTCCCATTTTACAGACAAGGAAACTGAGATATAAAAAAGTTAAGTATCAGCCAGGCACAGTGGCTCATGTCTGTAATCCCAGCACTTTGGGAGGCCGAGGCGGGAGGATCACAGGGTCAGGAGATTGAGACCATCCTGGCCAACATGGTGAAACCCCGTCTCTACTAAAAATACAAAAATTACCTGGTGTGGTGGCACGCGCCTGTAGTCCCAGCTACTCAGGAGGCTGAGGCAGGAGAATTGCTTGAACGAGGGAGTTGGAGGTTGCAGTGATCTGGGATTGTGCCACTGCACTACAGCCTGGTGACAGAGCGAGACTCCATCTCAAAAAAAAAAAAGTTAAGTACCAGCTGGGCACAGTGGCTCATGCCTGTAATCCCAGCACTTTGGGAGGCTGAGATGGGTGTATCACTGGAGGTCAGGAGTTCGAGATCAGCCTGGCCAATATGGTGAAACTCCATCTCTACTAAAAACACAAAAATTAGCCGGGCGTGATGGCACATGCCTGTAATCCCAGATACTAAGAGGCTGAGACAGGATAATTGCTTGAACCCAGGAGGCAGAGGCTGCACTGAGCCGAGATCGTGCCATTGCTCTCCAGCCTGGGCAACAGACAGAGATTCTGTCTCAAAAAAAAAAAGAAAAGTTAAATACCTTGTCAAGATCACATGGCTGGTGACCTAATGAACACTTACTGTGCACTTTCCTGAGTGGAGCCTCCCACACCTGTGTGAAGAGGACACTATCGTTCCCATTTTGCAGATGAGAAGCTGGTGCTCAGAGAGGTGACACAATTTTCCCAGGCTCTCAGTTATTTTTATCCCCTGACCCTCTCTCCTTATAAGGTACCCAACCCAACCCGGGCTGAGTCCTTCTCCTTATTCCCTCTGGAGAAAGGCAAGATGGAAGGGCCCTCTATGTCACCCAGTGAGTGTTCCCCTATGTTTTGGGAAGTCATCCTGGTGTCCTAATTGACATTACCCTTCCCTCAACCCAGGCCTCTTCTCACCTCTCCTGGTGTCCTTTCTGTCTGATGACCCTGCAGAACCCGACCCCGTTACTCAGCAAATCCCATCCTGCTGATGGGGTAGGAGTGGGGAAGCAGGGCTGAGAGACCGAAAGGGGCAGGGACTAGCT
Source organism: Homo sapiens (assembly GCF_000001405.40). Classification (NCBI taxonomy): domain Eukaryota; kingdom Metazoa; phylum Chordata; class Mammalia; order Primates; family Hominidae; genus Homo; species Homo sapiens. The sequence continues at coordinate 47,722,255 of NC_000017.11, read as the reverse complement.
TCGTCACACAGCAGCCACTGTGGCAGTGGAGGAAGATGAGTCCAGATGGGAAGGACCCAGGAGTCCTGGTTTCCAGGTGGAGTGAGAGGCAGGAGCCTTCCTCACTTCTCCAAACTCCCTGCCCCAGGCAACGGAGCCCACTGCCAGCCATCCAAGCTGTTAGGTGTTTCTGCCTGAGGAGGGAAGGGGCCTGGGCAGCTCCTAGAATGGGAAGAGAATGCCACTGGGCATGTGCCCTGCCAGGCAGTGCTTCCGTCTTTCTGCCCACGCCTAAGTTCATCACACCTTCTGCTCTGCCCTCCTGCTAATCGAACCTGCACTCTCCTCCCTCTTGCTTTTCACCTTGGGACACGTGAGCCAGTGGCCAAGAGTGAGGCAGCAGAGCCAAGTGGAGCCACCAGCTGCCTCATCCCCTCCATGCCAGCCAGACTGCCTGGGATTCTGGGGATCCCTGTATGCCCCTGCCGCAGCCTCAGCAGTAGCTCTGTCGACAGCTCTTAGGAGCTCCTGTTCCGGGCTGGAAGTGAGGAGGGGGCTTTCCTTGACAACAAACAGGGAAATGGGGGGCCCCACGCCCTGGCCCCAGGCTCTTCTTACGATCTAACCCCCTTGGGGCAGGCCCTTCTTCTCGAAGAAACCCAGGGAAGGCTTCCAAAAAAATCACCTGAGGCAGAGTCCCTTTCTTGCCCCGGGCTATAAGTTCTTCTTCTAGTCTAACCTTGATCCCTTGCAGAGGGGTGGAAGAGGGCAGAGATGAATTGCAGTTTCTTATAAACCTGGTGGCTTCTAGTTCCCCGACGACAATACAGCGGAGGAGCCCTGTGGTTCTGGCTCTGAGTCAGGCCCCATCGCCCGGGCGTCCCCAGTGCCATCTCCCTCCGCCCCTCCCCGGACTGGAAAATCAGGCTCATGCCTCTGCCGAGAGTCAGTGCTTCCCCTCCTTCCCCTCACCATCTCGCTTTCCCCTAAAGGGAGGTGTTTCCTCGAAGCAGGGAAAAGTCAAGGGGGCAGAGACCTCACCAGCCACCGGGAGGCGGCACTCGGTAGGCACGGGCACGGGGTGGGGGTGGGGCGACCCTGCCTTCCTCTCCCTTCCCCCTCCACCCCTCCAGCCCAGCTCCCCGGCCATGCTCTTCCAGACGGCTGCATGTGTGCGTGTGCACACACACTTAAAACACGTGTGTGGTTGGTATGTAGGGGGGCCCTCTAGCCCCCCGAGGGAGAGGGCGGGTGGAGGAGGGAAGGAAGGTGTCATGCCTCTGATGTGCCTATCAGTGACACAAACTTTTTCCACACGTATGTTCTTCACACGTTCTGGGTCTGCACGTGCTCATCATGCCTCCCGAGTCACATGTCTGATCGGCGTCCCGCTCCCCCGCTTGGCATTGATCCCTGGGTATTAAGCGGATTCCCTCCGCCTCCCTGTGAGGAGACCCGCCCACCTCGGGAGGGAAGGGTTGGGAATTCAGGAGTCTCTGAGGATACCGGCACCTCCCTCTCAGAAAACTGGCTCCTCCTCCCAGCAGAGGACCCTCGGCCTGGTGGGGGCAGGTCACAGACGTGCCATGCAGACCCTCAACCTTCCCATCTGTTTGAGGGCTCAAAGAGATATCAAAACTCCACCCCTAGACCCTGGATGTAGGTGGGAGAGTTTGGGGAGGGTCTCACCCCTTGGGGAAATTGAACCCAGCCGGGGAGTGGTTAGGAAGGTCTAGGTCAGCAATCAGAAGAACTCACGTGCACCTCGCTGTCAGGGGTGGGGGGAGTATGAGGGAGCCTAAACAGAAAGTGAGCAGGACAGAGGGAGAAAGAAAGAGAGGGAAAGAGAGAAACTGAGACCACGGGCAGTCACAAAGAGAGAGGAGGGCAGCGCTGGATGTGGGCAGGACCTTCTGGATAGCCGGGCAGTGTGGTGAGGGGGCCTGCGGGTCTACAAAGTGGTTGCCTTTTCCCTTTCTTCTCTAGCATCACAGATACGCGAAAGGTCAGTGCTGAGATAATCCAAGCCTTTCATCTCAAGGAGAAATCGAGTCAGAGCAAGACGGCTCAGAGCCACTAAAAGGGAATACAGAACCCTGTAGAGCCCACCCTCCTGCCTCCCAGGTTGTGAATTTTCTAACCCCATGGGGAATCAGGAGGACCCAGCACCTGGGATGTTCAGCACAGCAGGGGCAGTTCCAGCACTCTCTGCAGCTCAAGCAGCTGGGCTGCCTAGCTGGTGCCCAGGCCCTGCCAAGGGGACCCATGATACCCAGTCCCACTAGCAGCATCAGCAGCTTAGCTACCCCGAGAACTGGGACCAGAAGAGGCATGTTGAAAGGAGACTCTTTTGATGACCCAGGCGTCCTCCACCCCAACCCCTCCCCACTCCAAGCTGCTGGGTGTGCAAGCCCAGGGATACTGCTACCTCCACCTTGGTGACCCCCCAGCTCCTGAACCCACAGACATTGCGAGACACAGTGCGCGCAGGCCCTGCCACTTGGGAACTCAGACCCTAGCAAAAGCCTCCAAAGAAAACAATGTTCTGTCTTGGCCTCTGACTCCCCTGAAAATCTGGGGGGCTAATGGGAGGGACTTTTAACCCCCTTAGTCATCCTAGGAAGCCAAGCTGAATAGCAGTGACTGATAGTCACCCGACCACAAGCCAATTTTGCGGTTTCAGTTGTTTTCAGAAGGAGCAGCAAAGCAGTGGCAGGAGGCCCTGGGCAGAGGAGTGGGCTGACTCCCGGACCCCAGCCCCTGCCCAGAGCACTCTGCCCTAGCACGACCCAGCCCAAGGCTCAGCAAGACCCAGAACTGCACCCACTTTACAGATTCACACAGACAGGGTTTGCAACAACCAGAAACAGCCTTCTGTATCCCCTCCATGTACCCCTGGCTACTTTACTGGCAAGGCTGGCTGCTTTCTGCATCCACGATGAGCCCTTTTGCTTTGCTTTTCTCTTTTGTTTTCCTTCATTTCCCCTCCTTTCTTCTTTCATATCATTTCACTTCCTTTCTCTTTCCCTCTTTCATTTTTCTTTCCTTCCCTCTTTTCTTCCTTTCCTTTCTCTTCCTTCCTTATTCCCTCCTCTCTCTCTCCTTCTCTCTCTGCCCCTGCCCCATTACATGTGTGCCTGGCAGGAATAATCTAGGAGTCACAACCAAGAGCAGAGGCCCCTGAGTCCCCCAGGTATACTCCCGAACCACATCTGTCACCTCCCTCATGAGCTACAGGGAAAGAGATCAAGATTAGCTCTAAGGGAAGCTTCCTGCTGAGTGGAGTTTGGAGTAATCTCAGAAATATAGAATGCCAAAATGTCAGAGCCGTGATGGAAATTAAACCACCTAGTCCACTGAGGAACAGAAGCACTGAGAAACCGCACAGTGTTCACAGAGTGCGGCTAGAACCAGAGGTGCTCACTCTCAGAACAGGCTCTAAACGGCTTCCTTCGCTACCCTGCAAGCTGAGAATTCCCTCCCCTTCTCACAATTTTCAGTGTAAACCAGACCCCTTGTCCTCATGACCAGACAGAAGAAGAAAGTAAAGAGGAATGGACTTGGCTCAAGGATGTGGATACAGGTCAGTGGCAGCCCAGGCACAGACAGCTACAGCATTTTGGTAACATATGGCATTGCCGTGTCCTCTTCCTCCAGGAAGCCTACTAGAATTAGGAATGAGCCTGTCACCCTCCACACCTGGTGGCCTCAGCCATGGCAGAGAGAGAAAGGATGAACGAGATGTGCCTGAGTACCAGCCACAGCTCACAGCCCTGAGTGACAGAGAGGAAGGAGGAGGAATGAGAGGGGCAGGAAGTGGGGTCCAGACAGGAGTGGGGAGGTGCGTGAAGCTAGGGAAGGGGAGGCACTCCCACGGGGAAAAAAGCTGCCCTGATGAGTCACTGCTGCCCAGGTGCAGCCCTCCTTGGGGCTGCCCAGCTGCGTTTTAAGTTTTATCATGTGATTTCTATGAAGGATAATGGAGTGGTGGGCTGGAGCTGGCTCATGCCAGCTCTCAAGAGCCAATTATGAGTATCTCTTCCCAGTGCTCAGTGCTGAGGTAGCTTACATTGGAGAGCTGGTTGTTAAACATTTGCCAGCACACCACTGGATAATGAGGTCAGCTTCAGAGCCAGGAGTGTACGCGTCTGCATATGGGTGTGGGATTTCCATGCATGTGTTAGTGTGCACTATTCCTCGGTTCCTGTGGCACGTGGGACACACCTGTGTGGCACTGTGATCCTGGCTGTGTGTGTTGGGAGGAGTGTGTCCCTGCACGTGGGTGTCCCTGGAAGCCTGGTAGGTGGGGAAGGGATGAGCATGGAACTGGGTCGGTCCGTGTGCTTTGTGTATCTGGGGTGATGTGACAGGGTGAGTCTGGAGGGTGGTGTGGTGACAATGCAACTGCTTGACCATCCGTGGGAAGGAGACCCACCTGTGCCCACTGTGGGGGACTAGGGCAGCACCTGAGATCAGAGACACACACCTCTGAGCTCAGAGGACGCAGGGAGTCCTGAGACCCTGTGCGAAGTCTCACCTCTGCACTGCTTCTGTCCTCAGGCACAACCATTTGCCAGTCTGGGAAGGAGTGGAGTGTCCAGGTGGGCATAGGGCTCTCTGATCCCTCATGTGAGTTGTGTGTGTGTGCTGGGCACACACAGAGGCCAGCACCAGGGGGCACTGTCCTCTCCCTTCCCCCTCACCCATGCAGGGGTGAACTATTTCTTTCACACCATCTCCTGATCCTCCCCCTCACCTCCCATCCACAGTGTGCTTTTGCTGTCTGTGGGGAGAAGGGAGAGTTCGGCTCCTGCAACACCCACAAGGCCAAGGGCCCCATGAAAGGGGAGGGGCAAGATCATTATTCAGTCAGCCTGGCCACCTTCTCACCTCTGGGCTGGAGGCCTGGCATGGGCATCCCTTCAAAGTGACATGGTCCCCTGCCTCTCGCCTCATTGGCTGCCTCCAGCTGCTCTACCCCAGGGGACTTGGCTCCACTGTTGCATTGACCTTTGAGGCTCCAAATGAGGTTTCATCTCAGTCTCCCCACCAAGAAGTCCTGCAGGCCTCTTGCTCAAGGGAGGAACGGGTAGAAGGACCAGAGCCGTTTCTTCCCACCCCCTCTCTGCCCTGGCCCATAAGGCCAGAAGAAGAAAAGCAGGAAGACAGGACAGGTGAGAGGAGGTGCGGAGAGGTAGCCTTTCCTCCCTGTACTCTTCCACCTCAGATCCCTCAACGCAGGCTGTGGCCTGGGGACATGTGTGTTCTCACGCCTGGACCCACCCTCATCCCTCCTGCCTGGAGCCTTCTGCCACCCACTCCCCACCCGCAGTGGGTCTCTCTGTTCATCTCTCTGCCTCTGTTCCCAAGGCCAGGCCAAGCTCCCAGATCCCTCTAGGGATCTGCTGTGGGGAACATCCAGGGGACAGGATCCCTCAGTTCTTCTTTGGAAATGTGTCCGCAGGAAGTTCTTCCTAAAGTTTAACCGAAGGTTCCTTCTACTGCAGCCAGTGCCCAGCACCTCCCAGGCTGGAAGTTGGGTCTTCTTCCCACTCCAGCCAATGCTCTCCTTCAGGTGAAGCTGGATCAGGTGGAGAAACAACCCAGCTCCAAAAAAGAAAACAAAAGTCTTTGTTCATCCCCTACCCTCCCTGCCCACCCCTGTCCCCAGCCACCACAGAAACCCACAGGGCATTGGAGCCTTCATCCCAAAATGAGTCAGGGCCCTTCAGAGGGTTGAACTGGGGTGCAAGAATTTCCCTTCATGCCAAGCAAGGGTTCTATCTAATAGCAATCTCCACCCAGCCTCCTTGGGCCAAGGAGCAGGTCAGCCTCCCCATTGGGAGGGGTCCAACCACCTGTGGAAGCTCGGCTGGCCTGGATGCGCCTTTCGCCCTGGCCTCCTCTAACACCAAATTTCACTCCCCCTGCTTGACACTAAGGGAGGATCTGCGCAGAGTGCCTAAGTGTGGAGTTGGGTGCAAGAAGTACTCAGGCCTGCTGAACCGGGCTCCGTGCCTGCCTCACAGTCTGCCCTCCACACCCACCTTCCAAGGAAGCAACGGAAATAGAAACTTCCCCCTAGGTCTGAGGCCCCAGGGACCCTCACAGGGTACCAAGAGGCCAGCTCCAAATCTCCTGGCTCGTTCTTTCCACCCTCACACTCAAGGGAACAAGAAGACTTTCCCAGAGAGGAAGGAAGTGCTTAGGTGTCCCAGGGCCAAAGAAGATGCCTAGGAGGGCAGCAGTAGCCCAGCTGACCCCATGGAGAGCCTGCTCCCCCACCCCTGCCCCCTGCGCTGCATATATTTTCTCCCCCTAAAATAGCATCTCTGGAGGGAGGAGTGGGGGAGTTCTCAGTTCACTGTTCTCTCCTTCCCACAGTGCGTTCACAGCTCTCTCACTGTCTCTCACGACCTGGTTTCCCTGCCAGGCCCTTCTGCTCTGCCTCCACCTCGCCCTGCCAGGTGCCAGGACCTCTTGGCCAGAGAGGGGGCCTGCTCTCCATGGCCCATCATTTCCCACTTCCAAGCCGTGACTGTCACACCATTCCCTCCCCTCTTTGGGACAGAAGTAAATTCAATCCACACAGTTTGAGCATCAAATGTGTCTGTGAGTCTGTGCCTCAGTCACTGGGGCAGGGGATAGAAGTGTCGCGCTGCCACGGTCCTGATCCTTTTCTTCCAGGATCCCATTGCCTGACACTCAGAGGCCTCTAACAGAGCTGGGAGTCCCTGGGGTTGCGGGGACGGGGGTCTACCTTTGCCCCACCACACAGCCACAGTCTCACACCGGACCCGGATTTACCTCATGCCATTTTTAGAATCTCATCGCAAGCTCTTCTGCTCTATTGTGTGGCCTATTTCCCATGTAGAATGGTCCACTGAGCTGGTCCCAGATTGGCAGGGGAGGTTCAGACCTTGGCCCTGGGAAATGCCCAGTCTGATGGGGAAGGCAGGACACAGACTGAGAACACTGGCAGAGACAACTCCCCAGTTAGGTAGAGCTGGGGTCATTACCGCTGCCAGAGGGGCACCAGGGAGAGGGTTCCCAGAGGAAAAGACAGTGGGGAAGGCTCTGAAGAGGGAAAGGTCAGGGCTCAGGTGTTTGGGGTTGAGGGAAGTGGGAAGCTAGAAAGAGGTGTCTGCCCAACCTGGAGAGGGATGAGCCACAGCAGGTGCATTTCCCCTGCCCAGGGCCCTGCTGTGGGGCTGACCTCCTGTCCCCTGCACCGTGGGAGTGTTGGAGGCAAGGAAAGGGAACCTCAAAGTCCCCCTCAAGGGAACCGCCTCCCCCCTTGTTATTTCTGGCTCCATTTTCTTGGTCAAGAAGGGTGTCAGTGGTAATGCAAATTAGGAGGTGTTTGAGGTGCTGGCCGACACCCATCCTGTCCCCTCAGCCCTCCCCCTCCCCCATGCCCACACTCACATAGCCGAATGGGACATCTGTGAGATGCGCCTGGTGACTCTGCCCTTGGCTGAATTGGCATGCAGGATGGGTGAAGCTGTGGGCTGAGACTGGGTTCTCAGGGGCATCTGCCTCTGCCCCAAGGAAGGGCAGGTGCGAGAGGGCCTCTAGCTGATGCCCAGGTTCCCCCTGTGCAGCCCCTTTGTGCCCTCAGCCCTGCCAGACCTCCCTGGTCATGACAGAGCCACATGGCATCTACATGGCATCTGCATGAACAGTGAATGCACAAACCAGTAAGTGCCTCAAGCCAGAGCCTTCTGTCCTGGGCTGCGGTGTAAAGGGCACGGCTGGAGGCTCCTGAACAGCATGGCTCACGTGCTCACCGGGCTCCGGTGCAGCAGATGTGGGTTGGCTCTTAGAAGGCAACCAGGGGGCGCAGCCTTGAGCACTGAGAATGTCTCTGGGGTCAAAACAGAGAAAGTGGAGGAAGTGCAGGAATAGGGGCAGGTGCTGGAGGATTTCACACATTTTCCCCACATTACCTGGCCGCTGCCTCAGACACCTTGCCCGCCCCTTCCCAGCTAGGATGCCCGGCCCTTGTGGTTCATCCTTATATCTGACCTCTATTCTTCCTGTGGCCGCCAAAGTTGGTCTGTTCTTGTCCTTGCAGAGGGAGAGATGGGACTGGGGGAACTGTCCAGCTTTCCCTACTCTATAAAGACGTCACTGAGTGAGCCCCCCACCCACTCCATTCTTCATTAGTCCTAATCAGCTGGGTAAGGTGTTTCTGATTAACACGGCTGACTCACCCACACACCCCTCCCCTTGTTAGGATCCGATGCTCCCAACATACACTGTCCCGCACACATGTGCACGTACATGCACCACCAGCTGCTGAAAGGAGCTGTTGCTGCACTCAGCTGATCTCCTGACACAGCCTGCATGGGGACCCAGGCCAGGGGCAGGGGTCTCCATGGCCTAGTAGCACTGGCTGGGGAAACCCTGTGGGGAGAAGGGGCATAGCCGGAGAGACTGTGGGACACTGGCCTTTAATACAGCATGTGGCGATGCGCCCGAGGGTGGCTTGTTCCCTGTGAAGTTGTCTTCCCCCAACCCTGCATGTCTGGCTTTGGGAGAGTGAGTGGGTCCCCCACGTGTGTCTTTCCAGCCTCGACAGAGGTCTTCCCTCCCTCCGCCTTGCTCCTGCCGCAGTTTTCCCACCCCCTTCCCCTTTCCGGGAGCCTAGAGACCCCTTTGCCTCTGCATTTTCTCAGCCCCAGTGCCCTGCCTCCCTGTCTCCACAGAGTAATGCATATCAAGTGTCCTTCCATGATCACAGCCCTTGAGAGAAGGACTGGCAGGGCTCCCTAGCCCTTCCCCATCTCCCCACACCATGTCCTCTCCTTTTGGTGGCAGGGGTGAGGGGGAGGATTAGAGGAAAGGCTGGGGCACGCTAGCTTTCTCTCCTTCCCAGCCTTCCCTCCCAGCCCCCAGCAACTTTCCGCCCTGCACCTGAGCCGTCTCCCAGGCCCCTAGAAATCAAGGAGACAAGCTGCCAGAACCTGCGCCCTGTGTCCCCACACTCCCCCTCACCCTGGTGACAGGGGAATGTCCAGGTTGCAGGACACCTGGGTTCCCTCCCACCTTCAGACATACTCAAGGACCAGCAGTGGTTACCTGGGTCATCCCCCTGCCTCTGTGCTCTCATTCCCAGCCATCCTTTGTGCCTTTTCTCAACAGCAGGATTTCTCTTTGCCTCATGTGTCCCTAGACCACCCTTATTCATTCATGCACATCTCCTAAGTGCTTCCAAAGATCCAAATGGCACCCAGGTCCAGAAACTCGGGTGCTGCCTTCCTCCATGGAGGTGGAGAAATAGCAGGGGGCACTACACGGGCACCCATGTGCCAAAGGTTCCAGAACCTTCTTTCCCAGGGCTGTGAACCCATGTCACATAGGGAAGGCTGGTCAAACTTCTCCTGGCACTCAGAACTTGGCCACGGGCACAATTGAGCTTGGATGAACTTTGAGAGGGCAGCATAGTTGTTAACTGCAACAGAGAACCCAGGGCAGCTGGGAAGTCTTCCCATGGGGGTCTGGACTTTGGCACTGAATGGGAAGGCACATTTGCCCTGGGTCTAGAGCTGAACCTCACACCTTCAATGAGCAATTGCCTTTGTCCCCTTTTTGTTTTTAAGTGAACCATTGACCAAAAATGGCCACATGGAAGAGAAAGGCACCCAGTTGATGAACAAGTCACTGAAGCACTTTTTGCAGACACAGGGCACAGCCCCGGCTGGGGCAGAAGTCATGGGTTCATGACCCAGCTCTGACTTTTCAGGCTGTGGGACTTCCGAGGCAGCTGCTGAGCCTGGAACCCAGCCCCTCCCCTGTTCTTAGACCCATGAGGACATGGAACACGGATGTTCTTCCTCTTTGAGGCCCCAGCCTGGTTCCTGACAAGCAGAAATCATTTGATGAATACATAACTGTTACTGATAAACCCCAAGGCTTTAGAACCTTGACTGGCCAGACCTACTGGGTGGGAAATTCAAGAGGCCTGCTCAGGGCTGGGTGACTGCTTTGTATCTATCTGTTCTAATGACTGCCGTGCCACAAGTCATCTGCAACCACTTACACATCTGAACCTCCAGAACCGCTCTGAATGTGGGTGCCCCATGCATCCCCTACTTGCCCAGTGTCTACCTCCCATGGTCACAGTCCCTTGAGACACACTTTCCAAGACCTCCTGCTACCAAGGGCTCTACCCGTCCCCCGCCCTGCCCCCAGCCACAGAGGGCACAGATTGAGCACAGATGGAACAGGTAAGTTTTATTTGGACTTTCAACTTGTTCAGAGAGCACAGGGGCCCCTGCCTCCCCTCTCCAGGCCCCCTTCCCCATTTCCACTCCCTGGGGACGCTCAGGGTACAATGACGTGTCCTTGGCCCCTTCCCCGCCTGACATACCCCTTCACTCCCCTGCTCTATAGAGGGGAGGGGTGCAGGGAGGTGGGGCCTGGAAGAGTTGGATAAGAGCGGGACATGCGCTGTCGGTAGCGGCCACTGCTCCCCACCCAGAGCTGAGACCTGGGAGAGGCGCGCAGTGGAGCAGGGTGGATTCATTGTGGGGTGGCAGGCTTTCGCCGTAGAAGGCTCCCCACCTCAGCCCTGGGGACCCCCTGGCCTCCTGCTTACCCGTCCTTCTGAGGGTACAACTCTGAGGTAGATTTCACAGAGGAAATGTAGGTGGGTGGGTGGAGTGTGGGAAGGGGTTAGCTCTTTTGAAGTTGATCTCCACAGCACCCTGGGCCCGTTCTCAGGTTCTGGCCTGGGAGGCAGGGGCTGATGACACCCACCCAGCTAACAGAGGCTGAGTCACACAAGGGCTCCAGGGCACCTGTGGTGTCAGGGGCTCCAGTGGAAGAAGGGTTGAGGGGGTACCTGCCTTGACGATCTGTGCCTCAGTGCCAGGGGCACCAGGAGGGCATGGGCCTGGGAGGCTGGCAGACAGTCCCCTGGCCGTAGGGGCATGCTGTAGGGCCCTGGCCCTCAGAGAAGCCTCTTTAGGCTAGATCTTCCCAGTCCTCCAGGATCCTCCCTCTCCTCTCCTCTCCTCCCCTCCCTATTCCCCAGAGTGGGCAGAACAGGGAAAGGAGGACAGGACTGGCCTGCAGGGAACCACAAGAAACAAGATGCCTCCCTCCCCCAGTGGGGGCCCATGCCATGAGCCCTAGGCTGGCCACAGGATGGAGGAACTGGGGTCAGTGCACAGAGCAGGCTCTGGGACCCCAAAGGCAGCCTGTGGGTGCTCCCCAGACAGAGCCCCGTCTGAGAAAGATGGACATTTGGGGAGGGGTGCAGGAGCTCCTGGAGTCCTCTAACACCTTCCCCCCACCCCAGGCCCAAGCACTGGACACCTTCTTGGATCCAACCCTGATTAAGAACAGAAAGGCAGAGGGAGAGGCCTGGGAGGGGTATGCCGTCCCCATCCCAGCCCAAGTCCCCACCTCCTAAGCAGAAACCAGGAGCATGGGGGGAGCCTCGGCTGACCTCCCAGGAAGAGCCAGAGCTGAGTGGTGCCTGGACCAGGGAAGATGGCACACACGTTGACTCGGTAGCAAGTGGAGGTATCTGGGGGTCGCAAGGGCAGGGACCCCCCACGAGATTCATGCAGCATTCAAAGTGAGTGTTTGGGGGTGATAGGAGAGGACGGAGAAACAGCCAGTGGGTGGGGCTGGTGCCCTAGATCTTGCTGTTCTCCAGGTGGGAGTCAATGTGTTTGATGAGGGCATCATCCGGGTACCCGACAGGGAAACCCAGCTGGCAGAGGGGGCAGCTGCGGATGTCGGAGCCCACCGTCTCCATCAGCAACTGTCGAGAGAGAAGGAAGTCACTTATGGTCCCCAGCCCCCACCCATGGTCCCCACATCCCAGCCTGCCCTGTCCCAGGACCCAGGGCAGGGAGGGCTGTGGCATGCAGGAGGGGTCCAGCCACCCTTTCTTCAGCACCGTCCTCCCCCACACCAGCTCAGTGTCCACCCCCCTGCCCAGGGACAGGGTCCCCAGGAGGCAGGTATGAGAGAGTCACTGCTAAGCTTGCCAGGGCATCTGTGGTAATGAGAGAAGCCAAGACCCAGACATGCCCCCAGAGTGACTAAGACAGCTCCCGGATAACTCAAAGCAATGTACGATCCTAAACAAGGTACAACCCCAAAATAATTTTCTGTCTGGCTTTGGAGTATATTTTGGTCTTTCCAGGTTACAATGGGTGGCTCTGACATTCAGGGAACTCATTATTTCAGTGAAATGATTGAGCCCTGAGATAGGCTTCTGTCTTTCAGGACAGACAGAAAAGGGCAAGGGCTCTGAGGCCTGAAGAAGGGAGCTGGATAAACAGGCCTGTTCCTGTGTTGGCTGGTGGCCTGCTATGGTCAGTAGCCACCATCACCACAGCCAATATAATAGCAGGTGCTTGAGCCAGGCACTGTGCTGACCACTTTAGGCTCACTGCCTGCTTCTTAAGAACCCTGTAAGGTAGTCAGATACTATAATCATTGTCCCCATTTTGCAGATGAGAATATTGAGGATCAGAGAGGATAAGTAACTTGCACAAGGTCCCACAGCTATTAAGCGGTGGAGTTTGGAATCAAAGGCAGAACTGTCACTCACTCCAAAATCCATATCCTTATCCAAGGAAATGAACGAAATCTTAATGGGGCAGGCCCCAATTTCTGGTGACAGAAGACCACGGGAAAGGGAGGTGAAAGGACCTAGACTGTGGCCCGGGGTCCAAGGAGGGTGAATAGTTTGTGCGCTGACACCCGAAAGGGGCAAGGCCCTCAACGGAGGGTGAGGCGCTGGGGTCTCAATCTCAAGGCCCGGTCCGGGGTGGGCGGAACGCGGGCGCCCCACTCACGTTGATGGACGGCCAGGACTGCGCGTGCTCGGCGTGGGCGTAGGCGGTGGCGGCGGGCGACTCGGGGATGGGGAAGCCCGCGCAGAAGGAGGCGCAGCGGATGGTGCCCACCTCCGGGCTGGGCGGGCTGGTGGGCACAGCCCACTCGTCCTCCTCCGACGGCTGCTTCTCGAAGCGCAGCCGGATGCCCTCGAAGGCGCGCCGCGGGCTGAGGGGCCTGCCAGGGCCGTAGAGCTCGCTGCCGTAGGCCCGGGGCTTGGGGAGAGTGGCCGCTTCGGCCTGCAGCCAGGGCGGGGAGGCGCCCGCGTAGGCCGCGCCCTCCGCCAGCTCAGAGTAGCTGCGGCGGCCCTGGAAGCCGGCCTTCACGTGGTGGCTGGGCGGCTTGGCGTAGGCGCGCTCGGCCAGCGTCCTCTCGCCCGGCGGGGGCGGCGGCGGTGGCCGGGGCTGCGGGGCCGGGCAGCTGGGGGGCACCGGGGAACGGCGCTGCGGGCTGGGGGACTGGCACGACGGCGGCACCGGCGAGCGGCGCTGCGGGACGGGCGACGGGCAGGAGGGTGAGGCCGGAGAGCGGCGCTGCTGCGGCGAGGGGCACGGGGGCACGGGAGAGCGGCGCTGGGGGACGGGGGACTGGCACGGGGGGCACGGGGGAGCCGCTCGGGCAGGCGGGGAGGGGGAGGGGCACTGGGGGGCCGGGGAGTGGCGTTGTGACAGCGGCGAGTGCCTCTGGCCTGGAAGAGAAACCGGGACGGGGTGGGGGGACAAAGGTGCAGAGAGAAGACCTCAGAACTGGAGCGCCAGGGGCTTGCCCGGACCCATGCCCACCAACTCCAGGCCACAGGAAAGGAAATAAAGGGTGGTCCCCATGACCAAGATGGTTGCCATGGCTACCCGCTCCTTCCCGGGTCCCGCGGCTGCCTCCCCCTGCCCTGCCCCATCTCACCGCCACTCCGGGCCTGTTCCTGCAACAGAGTCCTCAAGATTCTCCCCTGTAGGGAACTCAACTCCCGAAGCCGGCCCAGCTCCTCCGTCAGCTCGGTGTAGGCCAGCGCCAAATTCACCCTGAAGTCAGAGGGCAGTGGGAAAGACGAGAAGGGCAGTGGGTCTACCGTCCCAGCTGTGGAGGAAGAACTGGCTCTACCCCAGCATCTGGCCCCACCATGCTCCCTCCCACCCGCAGGGCCCTCCTACCCCAATTGCAGAAATCCTCCCTACCTTTAAGGTCCAGCTCAAAAGCCACCTCTTCCAGGGAGACTCCCTCTGCATCCTGAGACCCATTCCCTGGGCTAGGGCAGTGGTTCCCAGCCTAAGTGCAGGGACAGGGAGCAGAGAGATTCCAAGGGCTCCCTGAATCCCTGCATCAGGCACTGTCCGTGGTCTGAACACAGCTCATACAGGTATGTGTGAATGTTTTTCTAATCTGTGCAAAAGCTGTGATGATGAATTAAAGCACCGATTCATCAAAAAGCTGTACTGAATTTATAGTAGCTTCTGTCACTGTGAATTTTCTCAAGCAATGCATACTAAAAGTGTTATAATCTGTGTACTGGGAGTGGGATCCATGAAGAGTCCTCACCTTTGAAAAGGTTGGGGACCCTGCTGCATAGAATAGCTCGTTCCATAAGTGAAGATGGTTTCCTGGCTGGTGGAGGTGCTAACTGATAAACTTAACCCCAAGCCAGCCCAATTCCATGTCCACTGCACCTGGCTCGACCTCAAAGCTGCCTCTGGGCTCTTTTCAGCTTTGCCCCTCCCAGGACCTCCTTGCTGTACAACTCCACCAGGGCCTTAACACTGAGATCTTTGTGAACAGCTGCTGTACACTGCACACTTGCAGTGAGTGCCAGTCACACCAGGCACTTCTCAAAGGCTGCCTTGTTCTAGAACTTTATGGGAAGTTTCTTGATGGTGAGGATTACGTCATTGTATTTATATTCCCACCACCTTGTCCAGGGCCTGGAACCCAGCAGATGTTCAGTAAGTGGATAATGCATTTGAGCCTCTCCCTCCATTTTTCTTTCTCCTTCCCTTTCTTCCTCCCTGCTTCCTGTTCAGGCATCTTGGGCACCCACCCTCATGGAGCTGGAACAGACTTGGCAAGGAACCTCACCCACTTCCTTTATCTCTAGGTCACTTGCAACCCAGAACCATGGAAGGTCATCACTCCACTGCTCTCTGCTTTCTCCCACTGTGGCCTGCACGGCCCCAGGAGCCCTCCCTGACCTCATGGGAAGCTCTGCCATGCCCTTGGGCCCTGCCTTCATCACTGTTCTGAGTGTGGACAGAGCCTTGAATCTCCCTGAAGGCAGAGATTTAGGTTTCTTTGGCTCTCCCCACCTCCAGCTCCAGAAGGGACTCGGGGAACTTAGTGGAAGATGGAGCTGGGAGAAAATACCAGGTGTCACTCCACACAGATCTCTTCCCAGGGGAGGTCTTGTCCCAGGACAAGGGGGCTCAAGTTCTTAAGCCTGGAGGGCCCTGTCCCCATCCCATAGTGATGGACATGTGGATGGGAGAGTGTGAAGAGAGGTGTGAGGCCAGGCTGATGAATGAGGAAAGGCGTGAATGAGCGTAGGGGTGTGTGCGTGTGTGTGTGTGTGTGTGTGTGTGTGTGTGTGTGTGTGTGTCTAAGTCTAACCCTAAAGGAGAGGAGGGGAAGTCGTGAGGTTAGGGCTTCAGAGGGCAGGAAAAGAGAGGTGGAGAGGGTAGATAATGACTAGGCTCCCTGCTGTCGCTCACTGGCTGTCTCTTACTAATCCTGGGGCAGAAACTGCCCCTCCCACAAGACTATTTTTAACCCACTTGGGCCAAAGCCAAATTACTGCAAATGGGCCAGGTCTCTGGGAGACAGCCCTCTTCTTAGGGAGGGAGTCCTCGCCACCCATCTGATGGTGAGCAGGGCTGGGCAGGCAGAGAGGAAGGAGTCCCAGAAGCTGCTGCTGAGACCCTGCAGCCTCCATCCCATCACATCTCAGCCCTTGTTTTTGTTAAATGTGTCCTGTGCCCCCTCATCCTCAGCTCATGGGTCTGTGGGAAGAAATGGCATCTCCCCCATCAGACTGGGAGGTCCAGGTGTGTCCCACGTCAAATTGGGGACTCCCCAAGGGAAGGCTTCCCCTTCAGACTGAGGACATCTGTGGGCAGGAGCTGTGTGTCCCCCATCAGACTGGCGGTTTTTGGAGGGCAGGATCGTGCTATCTCCTTGGCAGCAGGGGAAGGAGAGGGCTCTGGGCAGGGCACAGACAGAGTGTGGTCCTCTGTCCACATAGCCAAAGCTTCTCTCACCATCCATTTTCACTGCTGTATCTCAGGCGACAGATACAGGTCGTCGTCTTCACACCCCGCCTCAGAGATTTCACCTGCCACACTCAGTTCCCAGGTCCCTGTCACTCCCCTGCTTGCCTCCCTCCCCTTGTCAGGAGCTACCCCAGTTTCTACCACCCAGCCCCTGGCATCCTTCTCACAGTGAAACAGACAGGGTGGCTGAAAATGGAAGGAAGAAGCCCTGGCCCACAATGCCCAGCCCCTCTCCCAGCTCTGCCACCTGGGGCCTGAGGCAGGTGGGTTCTGTCCACCCAGAACTTCAGGCAACCCTCACAAAGACTGCTAAGTCCCCGGCAAGGTGATTGACTTGACCTCCTCCTGATGCCCCATGGCCTTTTGGGACCTCCCCCTTCATTGGGTGTCTCTCTCCATCTCAAGATGCACAGGCCTGGGCCGCTGAAGATGCTAACGACCTGAATGACTCACTGAAAACACTGCCAATTCAGTGGAAAAAAAAATCTCAACTTCACAACACAACCAAGAGTTGCACACGTGCACCGAAATACACATTCCATTTCCTGGCTTCCTGGCCCACACCTGAGTGCTTTTTCACCATCATGACTGCTTGGGAAGAATGGGTCAGGTAAGTGGCAGCAGATGGCTGCATTTGGATGCTGCTTTATTGCTTACATGACAGGAGAAAGTTCTGAGTCTTTCAAAACCTGGGAGGCACCCAGAGAGAAAAGAATCGGATGATCTGTTTGAGTGCTCACCCCGGGGCCAGGCACTCTGCTGAGAACTTTATTCATCTCCACAACAACCCTACGGCATTGCCACTGTTACCTTCATTTTACAGATGAGAAAACTGAGGCTTACAGAGGTTAAGTTACTTGACCAAAATCATAAAGCCTACTAGCAATGGAGTTGCTGGGATGGGAGCTCTGCCCCCTAGACTCCAAAGTCCAGGCTACTGACCATCATGCTATAACGTCCCCCAAAGAAGCGGGAAGGAGGGGAGAGGAAAGGCAAGGCAGCAACAGAAGGGAAAGACGAAGAGGAGGAGGGGACTGGGGACCTTGGCAGTGGCCTGGAAGCCCTGAGAATCACCACCCCTTCCCTGGGGGTGATAGGAAGGTGCTAGACACATGTGGAAGTAGAAAATCAGGGCGATTAAGAGGCTGGCTCAAGGTCACAGAGTGGCAGTGGCACACAGCAGATTCAAACACAGGTTCTTGGCACCTCAGCCTGCCAAGCTGGCAACTTCGGAGGAGCCAGAGAGCAAATGGCAGAGCTGGCAGGAAGGAGGGCCCCCTGGGCTGCAAATATTCCACGCTTCGCATCCTTTCATTCAGTCTTTCCACGAATAATTCACAGATCTCACACACTTCTGGAAACGATAAAGCTGGGGACTGCCTTGAGGACAGGATTAAAGGAGCCAGGGTCAGACTAGGAGTGGGGTTGATGTAGCACGTGGCCAAGATTGTGGACAGAGCTGAAGGTCAGGATCAGGGATAGGGTTAGAGTCAGGGACGGGAGCAGTAAAAGGGTTAGGATTAGGGTTAGGTTTAGAGCTGTCCATGTGGTCAGAATCATCGTCTGATTCAGAATTGGGAGGAAAACAGAAATCCAACCTTCCAGGGCCCTTCCATCCTTGCTCAAAGCTGCCCCCAGCTGCCCCAGCCACCTCACCCCTGTGGGATAATTTAGGGACCAAACTTTCCACCACCCACAGGCACACCCAGCATCAGTCTTCCCGCCCGACCCTCGGGGAGGGGACCACAGGCACCGGGCCGTGGAACGGACTTGAGGTTGCGGGCCGGCGGGGAGGAGGAAGTTGCTTTGCAACAACCCAGTGCTCCACCACTTCCTTTCGGGCGCCTTGAGCCCCTTCTCTCTCCTCGACCAGCTATGACTGGTGGGGTCCCCAGAGCCTGGCTCTTCATGGCAGCCCCTGCCACGAATCCACCAGAGCTGACATCCCGGGTCTAGAAAGCTTCCCAGATGCAGCTGATTGGAGCAGCTCAGGGGTAGGCCTGGAAACCAGGGTTCCTACATAGGTGGGGTGCCCAGAGATCCCAGTTTGCCTAGGACTGTCCCAGTTCACGCTAGTTGCCCCAGCATAATTATTAATAGTGCCCCCTTTCACTTTCAAAAGTGATCCAGTCTGGTCAACAAATCACACGGTTGCCCCTCATATAAGGGCTTTCTACCTGAAGAAGAACCTGAACCAGAAACACACCGCAGAGGTGCCATCACCCGATCTGCTCAGGACCCACTTGGCATCTGCACTGAATTTCTTACTGAACTCTCAGATTACTTCACTTCCCTGCACCTCAGTTTGCTCATCTGTAAAAGGGGGACAATACCTACATCACGTTTGTGAGAATGAAATGAGATTTTGTAGGTAAATCACCTCGCATAGTGTCTGGCATGGACAAAAAAAAAAAAAAATTTCAGGGGAGTGCCTAGCAGATAGGTGGAGAAGGGGGGAAACTTGTTTTGAGCCTTTTTTTGGAGACAGCAGCCTAGTGGCTTCGGTTTAAGGAGGGAAGATGGGCGTTTCCCATCGAGGGAGGGGGCGCTGGCATGAGCTGCTCCCCACCCTGCTGGCAGGCAAAGCACCAAGGACTGGGGCTGAAAGCCCACACATCCCTCAGACCCACCTAGCCTCTGGGAGCCCCCGAGGCTGCAAGTGCTCAGGGGTTAACTCCTGTGAGTGCAGCGCGGGTGCCCTGGCCGAAGGAGACTTGAAAGAAAGGAAGTAGGGAGGGTGAGAAGCGTGAAGGGGGAGGCCCTGGGCCTGCTGGTTCTGGGGCATGAGGCTACGCTCAGGGTATGCGGGGGTCTCCGACTTCCGTCCTGACCCACCCCACGCTGCCCTTGACCTCCGTGCAGAGTTTCCATCCTCTCTCTCGAGTTCACACTTCTTCCCACCACTAACCGCAGCCCACGCAGAGGCTTGTGGGTGGAGAGAGGGGTGGGGGGGGAGGTGGTGCGGAAAAGGGCCCGGGCTGCAGCGCTGAGCCCCCAACGTTGGGAAGAAAGAAAGGCCTATAGTTTTTTCCTCATCGCCCATACTGAGTCCCCATCTTCTCCCAGATGGACCCCGCACAGATGAGCCCACCCTCCCTTACCGGGCCCTTATTCCCCTCACAGACCCCCTGTCCCTTCGGAGCCCTCATCCCCTTCAAGAAGTTCCCCCCCCCGCATTTCCCCTCCCCCTCAGCACGGCCATACCCTCCAAAAGGCCCCACTCTGGAACCCCAGGCTGGGGAGCTGGGCCCAGAGAGAAGGGGGTTGTGGGTGCTGCGCCTTCCACCTGGGCTGGGAACCCCCCAAGGGTCAGGGTCTTTACCTCCCTGTGCATCCTCAGGAGCAGGGTGGGCTCTGCTCCCACCGCCTCCCTCATCACTGCCTTTGGCCTCTGCGTGACCCCCAGTGGCTCTTCCTCTGGGGCAATTTGTCTCCCTGGGCTCTGTCCCCAGGAGCTGGGCAAACCAAACCATGGGTTTCCCAGGGGGTCAGACCTGGAGGGTAGTAGTCTGCCTCGGTCTGGTCTGGGTGTCTGTTTTCGTGGGAACGTTAATGGCCAGAACTTGTGGGCCAGGGGCTGGGAGGGAAGGAACTGGGAAACCCTGGGGCTGGGGCTAGGATCCAGAGAAGGGAATTAATAGAGATGGGGGTGGGGGCGGTTAACCTTGAGGACTCCCGCAATAAAACTGGCTGCCCCGGAGGTGTCTAGACCAAGACAGGTGGGCATACATACATACAGAGTTCACCATACAGAAGACTCCCGCCTAAGAGTGGGCTGGACTCAGGAATTGGGTGTACCCCTCTTCAGCCTTCATATCCTGGTCCTCCTCACCCCAATCACACCCCAAACCTGGGTCATCCAGCCTCGACACTCACTCCACTCCCGGAAAAGCCTACTTGTAAAATTCCCACCAGCCTGGAAAGTCAGGTGGAAACAGAAGAAAGAGGGGCACTAGTGGGGGAAGAGGAGCTGAAAGCAAGTGACTGAGGCTTCCTTGGGTGGAAGGACAGGGGAGGGAGCACTCGGGAAGCAGCCTATTACCAAAAGGAGCTGAGTTTATAAGAAAATAAAACTATCGGGGTAGTGAGGACTTCCTCTGAGAATTAACGCTCGCCAAACTAGGGCTGTCCAGAGATGCTCGCTCGGCCTGAAAGGAAGCGTGTGGCTGGGCAGCAGAGCCTGGCTGGCTCCAGATGCAGAGATCTGGGAGGCTGGAGGCAGAGCCTAATCACAGGGAAGGAGGGGAGGAGCCAGGAGGTGGCCTCCAGTAAGCCTGTGGGGCCAGCCCCCAAGCAGAGGCCAGCTCCCTCCAGCCAAAGGGCCTGAGAAGGGCAGGAGCCTTGAGAGAGAGAGGGAAGGGGCTGCTCTTGCCAGAATGGGCAGCGTGGATGATACGGCCTCCTAGCCCCTTATAGGGTGGGCTTCCTTTCACTCACACAATACAACCTTGGCCCCTGGGAGCCCTGCCCCTTCTCTGCTTCTACCCACCGCCTCACCTTCCTCTCCCATCTCTCAGCAATGACTGGCCCCTGAGCCTGTGAGGGAAACTGGATCCAGAGAGGTAGAGTCCAAGTCAGTAAAGAAAGGCCCCTGGGATTCAAAACCTGAAGAGCCAGACTCCAGCCCCACCAAAATGTCCTCCCTTGGAGTTCTACCAATTCAGGGAGATTCACTGCTGGTCTGGTAAGAGGGGACTGGGTTCAGTGACCCATGAAGGGCCCTACATCATGACTTCTGGGGCAAGCTAGGATTGGAGAGTGTGAGAGAGAGAGAGAGAGAGTGTGTGTGTGTGTGTGTGTGTGTCTGTGTGTGTCTGTGTGTTCCAGGTCTGGGCACATGGGCTATGATGGGCCCCAAGCTCCAGCCACAAGCTAGGGTGGACCCTCTCCACAAAGGCCTAGCTGAGGGGTCCCACCCACCAGTCCCACAAACTGGGTTCTCACCACCTCCCCAGCTATCACAGCTCCACCCAAGCCCTCACTCTTAGGTAGGGAGGTAGGCGAGGGGTATCCCCAGTTGGCCAGAAGCTGGGAGGCAGATAAGGAAGAAGCCTGCTGGGCAGGAGACCTCCGGAGCCCCGGAGCTGGGTATGCTATGCGGTGGAGGGTTAGTTCCTGCCCCTCTCTGGGCCTCAGTCTTCTCCTCCAATTAGAGTAGGGAGTCTGTGCCACACAGCTCATCTTAGGGGAGAGGACTTAGGCGGAAAGAGGTTTGAGCTCTATTTCTCAGAAAGTGGGAGAGGGTGAGTTCAGTGCGGATGTGAAAGGCACCAGGTTCCACTGTTGCCGGGTGGCTGCTCACCCCTCCCTTGCTGTCCAGTGCCCCCCTGGAGGCCCCAGCACTGGGCCCCCCACCAACACAGCTCCCTTGCCGCTCTCTGCTGCCCCTTTCTTGGTAGGATTCAAGGGAGTACCCTAGCAGAGCAGATTCTAACTCCCCACCCCACGGCTGTGTGAACCCATGGAAACCTCTCCTGTCTCTAAGCCTCAGGCTTCTCTCTCCTGAGATCAGCAGACAAGGCCCAACAAATCCCAAGAAACACCACCTCCCTCTTCCTCACTAGGGAGGGGAGGGTGAACCCAACTGGCCGGGCCTTGTCACTGGAATAGAAAATGGGGCCCTACGGAGGCCCAAAAGCTCAGCAGGGGACATTACACTGGACACAGCGACAAAGCAGCCGAGTAAGTGTCACTTAGCCCTGGCATCTCCAGAAGAGATGGGTTTGGGCCCCAGAGGAAAGCAAAGGGAATGTCCCAGATCCCAAACACTCAAGAACCCCACCTCCCAGGAGTCGAGACCAGCCTGACCAACATGGAGAAACCCCATCTCTACTAAAAATCCAAAAAAAAAAAAAAAAAAAAAAAAAAAGGTCCGGGCGCAGTGGCTCACTCCTATAATCCCAGCACTTTGGGAGGCCGAGGCGGGCGGATCACAAGGTCAGGAGATCGAGACCATCCTGGCTAACGCAGTGAAACCCCATCTCTACTAAAAATACAAAAAAAAATTAGCCAGGCGTAGTGGCGAGCGCCTGTAGTCCTAGCTACTCAGGAGGCTGAGGCAGGAGAATGGCGTGAACCAGGACGCGGAGCTTGCAGTGAGCCGAGATTGCGCCACTGCACTCAAGCCTGGGTGACAGAGCAAGACTCCGTCTCAAAAAAAAAAAAAAAATTAGCTAGGCATGGTGGTGCATGCCTGTAATCCCAGCTACTCGGGAGGCTGAGGCAGGAGAATTGCTTGAACCCGAGAGGCAGAGGTTGCGGTGAGCCAAGATCACGCCATTGCACTCCAGCCTGGGCAACAAGAGCGAAACTCCATCTCAAAAAAAAAAAAAAAGAACCCCACCTCCTTCCTATGAAGGATGCACACAGAGCAACAGCAGCCCAGACACCACACCCCTGAGGGCTGGGAGGGGAGGTCTCCCAAACATCACGGAGGGACCAGGGTTACCAATGTGACTTACTGATCATCCCCAACTCTTTTCACCCACGCCATGTCTCGCTCCGACTGGTTGGAGGCCAGATCCTAAGGAAGAAGATGAAGAGGTCAGAGCCCAAGCTCACCCCTGCCAGGGCCCTTGTCTACAGTTCCCTGGGCCAGTCTGCACACAGTGGGGAAGGCCCAGCCCTGGACCTCCAGAAGCTGTTCCAGGCCCCTGCATTTACCTGGGCCCGGGTCTCCTGCAGCTGCTTCAGCTCCCCCTGCAGCCGCTCGCACTCGGCCTGGAGCTGCTCCTCCCGGAGCTGAGCCCCCCGGGCCTCTCCCTGCGCGGCCTCCAAAGCCTCTTCTAGCCGCCGCCGCTCCAGGTCACTCACACTGGGTGTGGAGCCCGGCCAGCCTGCTGTCGGTGGACAGGACAACGTCAGGCGAGCTCAGCTGCCTCCTCCAGCTCCCAGAGCCAGAGTGAAACAGGAGGATGCAGCATGGGGACTCCAAGAGAGAAGCCAGGACAGCTAGCCAAGGAGGGATGACTGCGACAAGGGCAGCGAGGAAAGATGGGCTGAGCCGCATTTCTAATTTTCCTGGAGGCCAGGAAAAAAATAAGATGGGCTCTTGAAGGCTTTACTGGCCAGACTCAAGTCTAGAGCATCTGCAAGGGCCTCTCCTAGTCACAGCCAGAGACGGGGCGGGGGGACTCTGGGTGGGGGCGCCCTCTGCTGGCAGGCACAGGAATTGCAACGAGGTGATCAGGAATGACCGAGTTAGAAGGGGAGAAATTAGGGTAACAGTGGGTGAGGTGAGGGGACAGCAGGTAAGGGAGGATGGGATGATTATGGAGAAATAGATTATATTACAAATGGGATGGTAAGTAAGTGCGAGGTGTCTAGGAATGTTGAAATGGGGGTTGGGGACTAGGAGGTAAGTCGGGGTCACTGAGATCTCACCATGACTCAAGCCAGATCCCCCTCTCAGTGCCAGGTAGTGCAGGTCTAAATCAGTGCAGGGAGGGGCGGGGGCTGGCGGTGGGCTCAGGTTGGAGAAGGCTGCATCCTGGAGGCCTTGCTGTTGCCGCAGCTGCTGCTCCAAACCACAGATCTGACGCAGGTGCGTCTCCACCAGGGCCCTCTGGAGAGAGAGACAGAGGGGAGGGTCTGCACAGGCCCAGGACTTCCCCATGTCTGGAGAGTCATCACCCCAGACTACAGCAGAGGCCCCAGGTCACACATCCCAAGCCCACTCTCCAAGTGGCTGTGAGTGCAAAGTCTCCTCTCAGCCACCGCAATGCAGCTGTTGCGGGCTGTTGCCCCTGGCGAGGTCAAGTTAATGCCCCTGCTCTGTCATTAACACACAGGGACACTTAAAAGAACACTCAGCCCCCTGTTTGGAGGCCAGCCCCCCTCAGGAGCATCAGAACTTCCATTTGCATACATGACAAGAGCTTCTGGACTTCACCCACCTGATCCATAAAATGGGGATAACAGTCCCACACTCACCTCTTAGGGTTGTTTTGAGAATTAAAATGAGCTAGTGTATGCCAGGTGAAAAGAACAGTGCCTGGCACACCCCGAGTGCCACATAAATATCTATGATTATGAAGGCAAAGCATCTATACATGAATGCCCCATCACCCTCACCACAACCTGGTGAGGGTGTTAATATTTGCCCCACTTTTCAGAGGAGGGATGGAGGCTAAGTGACTTAACTGAGGTCATAGCTTAGGGTTGGCTGAGACCATGTCTCCTGATTTTTTTTTTTTTTTTTTTTTTTTTTGGAGACAGGGTCTGGCTATGTCACCCAGGCTGGAGTGCAGTGGCTTGATCTTGGCTCACCAAAGCTTCGATCTCCTGGGCTAAAGCGATCCTCCCACCTCAGCCTCCTGAGTAGCTGGGACCACAGGTGTGCACCACCACACCTGGCTAACTTCTTTTTTGTATTTTTTGTAGAGATGGGGTTTCACTATGTTGCCCAGGCTGGTCTCAAACTCCTTAACCTCCCAAAGTGCTGAGATTATAGGCGTGAGCCACCATACCTGGCCTGTCTCTTGATTTTGACCTGCTCACCGGCACAGCCATACCCTGACTCGGAAGCACACCCAAGCACAGGCCCATCCTAGCAGTCACACACTCCTGGTCACCTCTGCCCTCACCCTCACAGCCTCCCAAGGGCAGTGCTCACAGGCACAGGGTCACCCCAGCGTGAGAGCCAGGGCAGTGCTCACAGGCACAGGGTCACCCCAGCGTGACAGCCAGGCATACACACAGAGACAGAGGTTCCCACGGGGCCACTGCATGGCCAGGATGCACACAGACACCGCAACATGGATAACACATGCAGTCTCCCTCACAAGGGCAAATGGGCGGGCACTCACAGATACACATGAACACAAGCAGGGCACAAACAAGTGATGTGTGACACATGGGACTGCACTGTCACAGGCTGGAATCCTCACACACAGAACTAAATGCACACATGCACACACACAACCAGCTACACATCCTCAAGCACCTCCGGCTCCCCAGGCCTCACCATCTCCCTCAGCTCTGTCTCCAAGTCACTCTTCTCCACGCAGAGTTTCTCGTAGGCCTGGATCATCTCTCCAAGCTGTTCTTCCTGCTCCTTGTTCTTCTGTAACTGGATGAGGCCCAGAGGGCCCCACCACAGGGTCAGTCCCACACTGGACTTGGAGTTGGAGAGCTCCCTGCACCTCCCCACCCCCACTCCCAGCACCCTATGGAGGGGCAGGAGGAGCTGCAGCTGGGCTTAGGGAGGACCTGGCCATCTCTAATCAAAGGGCAGAGGCCAGATGCTGGGGGGTGTGGAGGGAAGGGTATCAGAAACAGACTGGAGCAAGATGCTCAGGGGGTGCGCCCAGCCTGGTAGGCTCACCTCATGCTGGAACTGGTTGAGCCGTTGCTGCAGGCTGACCTTCTCCACCTCCAGCAGGGAGCCATCCTTGATTTCATACAGAGAAAAGCCATGCTCCTCTCCAAAGTCACTGATCAGTGGGTACTGCAGGTGGGGTGGAGCTTCAGGAGAGTGGATTCCCGGGTGCCCAGCCCAGGCCTCAGCCTGGCTGTGCCCCCAACCCACAACCTGCCTCAGACCTTTGACCCTCCTTCTCCTTGGCTAGTGGGATCCCAATTCCCATGGGTCTGTAGCCATCTCCCACCCACCGGATCTGTTTTAGATCCCAGATCCAGCCCTTCTGAAGCCAACAGGAGACAGTTCGCATCCGGAACAGCCACGTCTCTCATGGGAGACCCTCAAGTTCCCAAGAGTCTGCACAGTGACCCCTCTTTTGGATCCCTGGTATCTACCAGATTCCCAGTCCCCCTCCCCATCCCATACACTCTATCAGGCGCCCTCCTCTCCAAGTTCTGACCTTGATCTCGTAGACTTTGAGGCGGCGTCGGAGGGTGGCGTTCTCCCTCTCCAGGCCCCCCAGCCGTTCCTTGATGTCTCCGTAAGCAGTGATGAGGGCAAAGTGGGAGGCGGAGCACATGTCGCCCCCAAGCGAGGGGTCTCCGGGACTGTCCAGCCACACCTCACTAGGCCCCAGGGCCTCCTGCGTCAGGATGCTGATGTCGTCCTCGAACATGGACTCCATGGTGAGGGCCGGGCCGCGGCCCACACGGGGCCTCCTAGGAGAGCAGGAGCAACCGTGGACAGGGCCGTCTGTCTAGGGTTTGTCCCTGGTACCCCTCTCCCTGGCTCTGCACTCCCTGGGGCCGGCTAAGATGCAACCCAGAAACTTCCTGCCCCGAGCTCAGCAGGGACTCCCATGGCCCCTTCCCAGACTCCTCAGCCCCATCCTCTCTGCCGCCTTGGGGAAAAGGGGCTGGAACCAGGTGAAGACCCCGCTGCCAGGGTGTTGACAAGTAGGGACAAGTAAGCCAGGCCGGCAGCAGGGGCAGGCTCCTGCCAGAACCCAGGGAGACCTGTGGATGGGAGAGGGCTGCCTTCCCAGCCGGGCCCGGCCCATTCCTCCGCGCTTCTCCACCCCAGGCCTTACTTCCCCAAATACCTCGCCGCCAAGCTCCTCAGCCTGGGCCTCTGGCACCCCAGCTCCTCCCCAAGGAAGGCCCAGAGCTGCGCGAGGGTCGGCCCCTCCACAGTCGGCACGCCCTCGGCTGCACCCCCGCCCAACTTCCCCACTTCCTCCCGCAGGATCCCAGAGTTCAGGAAAAGGAAGCGCCTCCCCCGGGCGCACCGGGGCTGTGGCAGCGGTCCAGGACCCCTTGGCCCCTGACCTGGGACCCACAGGAAGTCCTTGGCTGAGTGTTACGGGGCGCAAACTGGGGAAGGGGACCCAGGTGGAAGGGGACGCGAACGAATTCCCAAGGCTGTCTCAGGGTGCCCGCGCACCGGGAAATGGGGAACCCTACGAGGGGGCAGGAATGACTCAGGCTCCCGAAAGCAGGAGTAGGCAGTGAGGGGGTGCGTGTGTACTTCTCTCGGGCCTGGTTATGAATGTGTGTCTGGGGTTGGCGTATGGGGGGAGTGTGCGTCTGTGAATGAGTGTAGGTGTGTCAGTCAATGAGTGCCTTCGGGGTCGCAGGGGCGTCGGGACGGAGTGGGGCAGCGACCAGGAGGCTGGTGTGTGCACGCGTGCGTGAGCGCGTGGGCAGGGTGGCACGTCCGGGCCGCGTGTCACGTGAGACGCGAGGGGACTGTCCGAGGTGTGTGCGCGCGCTGGAGCGTTATGTGCACCCCGGAGAGGGGGCTCGGCAGGGAGCTGTGAGTTCAGACAGCGGGGCCCCCAGGTCGGGCTGCAGGAGCTTGGGGTGCAAAGGGCTCCGGCGCAGGCTCCAATTCAATCCACCCCCCCCCCTCCGCCACCCACAGGCCCATCTAAGTGCCAGGGAAACGCGAGTGACTGGGTCTGAGTAAGGAGTGTGTGCGCGCGTTTGTAGGGCCGGCCCCACCTTTAACCCTCTCCTTCCCACGCCATCCCCTCCCCCCAGCTCCGCGCGCCAGCGCTTACCACACCCCCCCAGACCCCCGCCCGCCCCTCTGCGCCCACCCCGCTGGCGGGGCTCTGTCCCCGAGGCCGCACCACAAATGCCTCCTTCCTCCGCATTCCTCTCTGGGCCCAGCGCCCGGGTGAGCGCAATGGAAGGCGGCTGGGGAAGGGGTGAGTGCCTCTGTCGGCCCGGGCCCCTCCTGCGGCCCCTTTAAGAGCCGCCCTTTAAACCCCTTTCGCTCGGCCGACAGAAATTGTCGCCCCTCCCCTCTCGGGGGCCGAGACCACGCAGCCCCCTCCCCCACAACCGGCCGAGCCCTGGGCCCCCGGACACCCTCTCGGGGCCGGGGAAGGGGCTCCGGGAGTGGCGCGGCCTGAGGAACGGCGGCGGAGGGGGACGCGAGGGGATGAGGGCGGCCGACACCGGACCCCTTCCCTCCCAGCCATCCCGTGCGGCTGCCAGCCGCCCTCCTGCCGCCTCCTCCTGCCCACCCCGCGACCCCTGGGGCCCAGCCCGGGCGCCGCTCCCCTCCCCCAGCCCTAGCCCCAGCCGGGGACTCACAGCTGCTGCCGGTTCCTGCTTGTAATCGCAGCTTACCCCCTCCGCCTGCTCCCTCCCCAAACGGGCACCAGTGCCCCCACCCCCCTGGTACCGCGCTCTGCTCCTCGCCCTGTCGCCGCCGCCGGGTCTCTCCCCACCCCCCACCCCTCCCCCCAACCCCCTCCCTCCCGTCCGCCCCGCTCCTCCTCCGCCGCCGCCGCCTCCTCCGCCTCCTCCTCCCCGGCTGCTCCGGGTTTCTCCAGCTGGGAAGGCGCCCCGGACCCCGCCGCTGCCACCACCACGTGGCGAGAGGCGGCGGCCCCTACGGTGCGGCCCTTCCTGGCAGCGCGCCCGGAGCCCACCGGCTCCCTGCGGCGCCAGCGGCCCGCGCTGGCGCCCCCTCCCCGACGCCTCCCGGCGCAGTGTGGCGTGGTGGCGTGTGTTGGGGGCGTCTGCGGTCAGTGCAGGGGCCCGGCTGATGCTTTGGTTGTTTTGGTTGTTTAGTTATGGGCTGTATATTTGGGGAGGAAGTGGGGCTATTTATCTGGCTTTTTTTTTTTTTTTTTGGTCTTTGCGCTTTTGAGAAGGAAATC
Organism: Homo sapiens; assembly: GCF_000001405.40. Taxonomy (NCBI): domain Eukaryota; kingdom Metazoa; phylum Chordata; class Mammalia; order Primates; family Hominidae; genus Homo; species Homo sapiens. The sequence continues at coordinate 47,693,622 of NC_000017.11, read as the reverse complement.
ATTAGACCTGCTCTTCGTTGCTCTTGGTAAAAGGGGCATTGCTGCGATAAATACATTGAACATAGGGTACAGAGAGATTAAAGCTGTAACTTCTTTGGAAGTGAGAGTAAACTAAGGAGGTCAAAGATTCATTCATGAAGAAGGACAGCCATCTCCCTCCCCACACACCACTCCCCGGCCACCCTCAAGTACCCACAGGTCAGGGAAATGAAGAAACAACAGATGTCACCCTGTGCACAAAGATTATTTGAGCACCTGCCAAACTGCTGGGCAAGAGAAACAAGTTTTTTGCTACTTTCCTGCTGTGTGACCTTGGGCAAGTTACCTTAACCTTTCTAAGCTGGAGATCATGCCCCACCTAAGCACTCTCATGGAGGAAGAATGGGGATCAGAACTAAATACAGCAGCCTGCGAATGCTCAGGAAGTGTTAACGATGTCATTTTGAGTATTGCCTGGTGGATTAAATAATGTGGACAGAGGCATGGTCAGCCTAGCTGCAGGTAGAGAATGATCAGGGGAACCCTGGAGCACTCTGGCTGAAGAGCATCCTCTGTGGACAGGGAGGCAAAGCCCGGAAGCAGGGGATAAGCTGGGCGGGGGCTTTTGGCAGATTCAGCCTTAGCTGCGAAGACTGCTGGGAACCTGAGCCTACCTTTTTGGCTCCTGAGGTGGGATGGGGGTGGGAATCTCCGAGGGGGAGGATGGAAGGAAAAGGTTTCTTGCTCTCTCTGAGCTTTGAAAAGCAGCAGCTGCCATCTTTCCTCACTGCTGGGAGAAAATTGGACTGAGAGGTGAGCTTCTACCAGGAGAGCCAGCCAGAGCTCTAGACTCATTCTCTTCATAGAAGGGGGGATTCTCAGTGGCTTCCTTCCTCCTCCTCCTGCTGGGTTCCCTTTCAGTCTTTCCTGCCAGCACTGGCTCCCGTTTGTAGTCCAGAACAGGAAGGCAGGTCAGCCACTTGTTCTCTGAGGCACTAGCTTTCTCTGAACCATGTGGGATGACCTATCTACCCTCTAGATATGAAGGCAAACCAGTGGGGACATCTGTCACCCCACTAATCCCAAGGGCTAGGCAGATGTTCCTTTCCCTAGTACTCCCCAAGATCTCTTCTGAAGCAAGGGACCAGGCAAAAGATTGGAGGCTAGACTAGGAGGTGTAGGGTTGTCTCTGGGACCCTCGGTGACCTTGGACTTGGCCACAAACAGGACCCATAAGACCAACTGGCAAGCCCTCCCTCACTGGAAAAAGGGGTCCCAGGACCCTCTAAGCACACACTGTCTGGGATGAGTCATCAGCCCCCTGCTGCTGCTTGGATGCTCAGGGCCTAATTGAGTCACCTGGCAGGGTGCAGCCAAATGCTTCTATCCTTGGTTCTAGGTGGTTGGTGGCAAAAGTCCATTAGGCCTGGTTTAGGTGCCCTAAAATCCTCCCCCTCCCCCAATCTGGACCTGATCTCATTGCATTCTCCATTTCTAGTTCTGCTGCTCATACCAGGCAGTTCTGAGAGCAGAGATTATATCCCATCCATCCTTGTATTCTAAGGTGCCCTGAGGGTTGGTACCTGCTCGTTGTATATTTATTCGGCAAAGATTTCTTGAACATCTATTATGTGCTGGGTGCTGAGAATACAGTGCTGAACATGTCTCTGACAGGTATACATGTCTCTTGCTCTCTTAGAGCTTGCAGTATGGTAGAGAAGTCAGAAAAATAAAAAGATGAATAAGTAAAACCACTAGAAATTGTGATAAAGGACCAGGCACAGTGGCTCATGCCTGTAATCCCAGCACTTTGTGGGGCTGAGGCAGGCAGATCACCTGAGGTCAGGACTTTGAGACCAGCCTGACCAACATGGTGAAACCCGTCTCTACTAAACATGCAAAAATTAGCCAGGCATGACGGTGGGTCCCTGTAATCCCAGCTACTCGGGAGGCTGAGGCAGAAGAATTGCTTGAACCCAGGAGGTAGAGGTTGCAGTGAACCGAGGTGACCCCATTGCACTCCAGCCTGGGTGACAAGAGCGAAACTCCGTCTCAAAAAAAAGAAAGAAGGAAAGAAGGAAGGAAGGAAATTGTGATAAAGGATAAAAAGAAACACCAAGGGGCAGTACTAGAGAAGAATGGGAGGATGGGATCTGCTTCACAGTATTCAGAGAAGGTCTCCTTGATGAGCTCTTACAATTTTTTTTTTTTAAAAGACAGGGTCTTTCTCTGGCGCCCAGGCTGGAGTGCAGTGGTGCAATTTTGGCTCACTGCAGCTTCGCCCTCCTGGGCTAAGGTGATCCTCCCACCTCAGTCTCCAGGCGTGGTGGCTTGCGCCTCAGCTGGGACTACAGGCGTATGCCACACGCCCGGCTAATTTTTGTATTTTTTGTAGAGACAAGGTTTCACCATGTAGCCCAGGCTGCTCTCAAAATCCTGGGTTCAAGCCATCCACCTGCCTCGGCCTCCCAAAGTGCTGTGATTACAGGCATGAGCCACCGCACCTGGCTAAGCTAAATCTTAAAAGAGTAAGAAAGTATGTTCTTTGTTGAATGAATAAATAAATGAGGCAGTGTGACTTAAGACTACTTCACTTTTCTAGGCCTGTTTCCTCATCTGAGAAAGCTGAACATTGGTCTGAATACCCTTTTTATTTTTATTTTTATTTTTTTATGAGACGGAGTCTCGCTCTGTCACCCAGGCTGGAGTGCAGTGGCGTGGTCTCCGCTCACTGCAAGCTCCGCCTCCCAGGTTCATGCCATTCTCCTGCCTCAGCCTCCTGAGTAGCTGGAACTACAGGCGCCCGCCACCACGCCCAGCTAATTTTTTGTATTTTTAGTAGAGATGGGGTCTCGATCTCCTGACCTCGTGATCCGCCTGCCTCGGCATTCCAAAGTGCTGGGATTACAGGCGTGAGACACCATGCCCAGCTGGTCTGAATCCCTTTTAAGAGCCCCTGGTATTGGCAGGGCTCATCATGGTGGAGACAATAATAGGGGAGATGGTGAAGGGGATAGGAGCCACAGTGGGAGGACAGTGGGGAAAGTGGTGGACAGTGGTCAGGCATGAGTTGTAAAACATTTCTAAATGGCCTTCACAGGTGTGATAACAGAGGACCCACCTCCAATCGTTAAGGTAGGAGAGACAGTGCAAATGCAGGCCCCCAGAGCCAGGCCCTGCCAGTGTTTCCTCCTTGGAAACCACCAGGGAGACTCTCCCACTCCCATGACTCTTGCTCTGGAGGCTGTCTTTCCTGTCCCATTATTGCCTGAAAAGAGTAGGAGGAGGTGACATTAGCAGCCAGTTAAAGAGGCTGAATCAAAATAAAACCCAGATGACTCAAATGGAACCCTGGCGGGCAGGAAAATTGATTAGCCCCATGTGACTGCAGGATCTAGGTGCCACCTTCGCCCTCCAGTTCCAGACCCTAGAAAGTGGGCCATTCACCATGCAAGCATCCTGGGACTCCAACTGCAGCTGCAGGTGTTCCATCAGATGGGAGGGTAGGGCAGTGGTAGAAAGACATTCCTTCACCACGTCCCCAAATTCCTGTGGAGGTAATGCAGAGCCCCTAATTGAATTAGTAGGGTTTGGGAAGGAATAGAGTGGTTTTTTTTTTTTTTTTTTTTGAGACGGAGTTTCACTCTTGTTGCCCTGGCTGGAGTGCAATGGCACCATCGCGGCTCACCGCAGCCTCCACCTCCCGGGTTCAAGCAATTCTCCTGCCTCAGTCTCCCGAGTAGCTGGGATTACAGGCATGTGCCACCATGCCTGGCTAATTTTGTATTTTTAGTAGAGATGGGGTTTCTCCATGTTGGTCAGGCTGGTCTCAAACTCCCAACCTCAGGTGATCCCCCACCTCAGCCTCCCAAAGTGCTGGGATTACAGGCATGAGCCACCACGCCCAGATGTTTTTTGTTTTTTATAATTCCATATGTGCTTCATTTTTCTCCACAGCCATGTTCATTTCTGCTATCTCCCAAACAGAATTTTTAAAAGGTTATATTGAGGTCAGGCGCGGTGGCTTACGCCTGTAATCCCAGCACTTTGGGAGGCCGAAGCGGGTGGATCACAAGGTCAGGAGATCGAAACCATCCTGGCTAACACGGTGAAACCCCGTCTCTACTAAAAATACAAAAAATTACCCGGGCGTGGTGGCGGGCGCCTGTAGTCCCAGCTACTCAGGAGGCTGAGGCAGGAGAATGGCGTGAACCCGGGAGGCGGAGCTTGCAGTGAGCCGAGATCGCGCCACTGCACTCCAGCCTGGGTGACAGAGCAAGACTCCGTCTCAAAAAAAAAAAAAAAAAAGTTATATTGAATTATTGAATATTGATTATTTATCCATCAGAATGTGAGCTCCACAGGAAGATTTTGTTTGCTTATTCACTGCTATATCCCCAGTGTCTCCTGGCACGTAAACAGTTGTTTGGTAAGTGCAGTAGCGCAATCACATCTCACTGCAGACTTGATCGCCTGGGCCCAAGTGATCCTCCTGCCTCATCCTCCCACCACACCTGGCTAATGTGTTTTTTTGTTTTTGTTTTTGAGATGGAGTTTCGCTCTTGTCGTCCAGGCTGGAGTACAATGGCGCGATCTCAGCTCACCGCAACCTCCACCTCCCAGGTTCAAGTGATTCTCCTGCCTTGGCCTCCTGAGTAGCTGGGATTGTAGGCATGTGCCATCACGCCCAGCTAATTTTGTATTTTTAGTTGAGACGGGGTTTCACCATGTTGGTCAGGCTGGTCTTGAACTCCTGACCTCAGGTGATCCGCCTGCCTCGGCCTCCCAAAGTGATGGGATTACAGGCGTGAGCCACTGCGCCCAGCCTGTTTTTTGTTTTTGTTTTTGTTTTTGTTTTGTGAGACAGAGTCTTGCTTTGTTGCCCGGGCTGGAGTGCAGTGGCGCGATCTCAGCTCAATGCAACCTCCGCCTCCCAGGTTCAAGCGATTTTTCTGCCTCAGCCTCCTGAGTAGCTGGGACTACAGGCATGCACCACCATGCCCAGCTAATTTTTGTATTAGTAGTAGAGATGGGGTTTCACCATGTTGACCAGGCTGGTCTCAAACTCCTGACCTCAGGTGATCCGCCTGCCTCAGCCTCCCAAAGTGCTGGGATTACAGGCGTGAGCCACCACGCCCAGCCTAATGTTTTTTATTATTTGTAGAGACAAGGTCTTGCTATGTTGCCCAGGCTGGTCTCCAACTTCTAGGCGATCCTCCCACATCGGCCTCCCAAAGTGCTGGGATTACAGGCATACACCGCGCCTGGCCAGTAGTAGCTGATTGGTTAATCAATGTGAGTTCAAGGTCCTGTGCTAAAAACTTTGTATGCATTATCTTTCATTGGGATCCCTGTTTTACAGGAGGAAATCGAGAATCAGAAGAGTTGGAGAATTTGTCCAAGGTCATACTCGAAAGACTAAAATATTTTGAAGGGCAATGCCCAGAACATAGCAGGCATTGCTCATCGCTATGAAGAGCTTATTCACACAGAGCCATTTGTGAACTCTTTCCTTCGGAAATGGTGACAGGCTGCCCCTCTGCATCCAGAGCTAATGCCATATGCCAAAGCTGAGATGTACTTTCCTTTCAGACAAAAAGGTACATTTCACACTGAGGACAGCTCAGCTTGGTAACCTGTGGCCAAGGAGCACCTGGGAGAGGGAACAGCTCAGGCTTTGAAGGCCTCCTGCCTGTGCTGTGCATGCAATCAGCTGACAGAGCTGGGGTAATTCAGATGTGGAGCTTACTCAGCAGCCTAATGGCCTTTTTGGCCACTGAGCACCAACAACCACCCCTCCCCCAGCCCTGGTTCCCAAAAGCTTCCAGCTTAGAGAGAAAGGGAGCAGAAGTGCAGGGAGATGGTTTGGTTCAAACTCCAATTAGGAGGGAAGCTGATCACACACACATTCAAACTCCAATTAGGAGAGAAACTGATCTCACACACACACACTCAATTAAGAGTCTGGCAGTTGCCAAAGGTTAATAATGGAACTTATTGTAGAATTAAGACAAAATGGCTTTGTTATTGAATTCCAAAATCTCAACCAGGGTTCTCTCTGATTGATAACTATAAGCTCATTTACAACACTGGCACACAATGTAGGCTAGAGGTACAAATCCAGGTCAGGACTGCTTGCTAGCCCACATGACTTTGGGCAAGGTTCTTAGCCTGTTCACATTTCCTCCTGTAAAATGGGACTAAAATGGTGCCTTCCTTATAGTGTTGATAAAGTTTATTACTCTATGAAAGAACTTATTACAGGCCTAGCATCTTGTAAGCACATAAAAAGAACATCATGTAAATAATGACTATTCACTAATCCTGTTCCCATTCCATCAGTTAATCCAAGGTTGAGAAGTTAGCCTGAAGTCATCCAGCAGATAAGAGCTAGAAGTCTTCTGTGGCCCTGCCATTCCCAGGTTTCTGGATGCTTTGCCCTTCAAAGGCTAAGTGATGCCATCACAGGAACTCTGTGAACTCTACTATGTCATTAGTTCAACAAATATTTATCGAAGGTCTACTATATGTCAGGCGCTCTCTCAGCTGAGCATACTAAAAGACAGTCAAGGTCACTGCATTAGGGAACTTACGTTATAGCGGGGAAAACTGGCAACAGATAAACAACGAAATTAAAATATACTTTTAGATAGTGCTGGGAAGGAAATGGATGGCATATCCTAAGTATGTGCAATATGGACCTTTGTTTTTTTATTACTAAGAGGCTCATAGCATCTGTCCAGGGCAAATGTGTAAAGCCTTGATTTGACAGACCGGGCTCCGAATTCTGGCTCTAAGTGACCTTGGTGTGATGAGTCAATCTTTCTGCCCTTCCTTCCTCATCAGTAAAACAGGAATACTAAGGTTGTTCTACAAATTAAAACACAAAATCTCAGTGTTTACCATTTTTCACTTCAGGTGGGCCAAGCTGGCACCTTGGAGGCCAGGTGGAACTGCAGGCTTGCACTGTGTTTCTGAGTGTTTGTATTGGGACCAGGTATACGGTAACCGGGTTTCTTGTGGGAGCAGTTGCTCCTTCTCTGCCATTTGATGAACTAATTGCATTCTTTTCTCAAGTCTCACCTTCAGTGGAGAAATGTTCTCAGTGAATCATTGCTGTTCAGGACTTAATGCAGTCTGGTAAAAATTTACTCTCTATAACTCAGTAACCTCCAAATTGGATTTAGAAATACTAGAACTTCTATTTATCATGTAATTGCTTTTTACTTTCTATTTTTGTGTCTTATGATTACACAATATGTGGTTATAGTAGTCCAAGTATGTTATTTATAAACACATGGGGTATGCATGATCAAAAGTTTACTAACAGGGTGTACAATCAGAAAAGGGAGTCTACAGCCCTTACTTTGCTTAACTAAGAAAGGGTGTATTTCCATGAACTAGCCTGCAGGCACCACTACGCTAATAAGCAGCAGGGTTAAAGGAAAGGGCCTAGTCTCCTAAATCTCAAACTAGTGTTCTAAGTTTCTTGAGGGGGGGAAATGCAAGTAGAAATGAAATACATGATGAAAACTAAGTGAAAGGCCAACTTTTGGATGATCCATTAGACACGGAATTAGCTTGAGAAATAGGCACAAACAGAGGACAATGATTCACTGAGAACATTTCTCCACTGAAGGTGAGATTTGAGAAAAGAATGCAATTAGTTCATCAAATGGCAGAGAAGGAGCAACTGCTCCCACAAGAAACCCCATTACCGTATACCTGGTCCCAATACAAACACTCAGAAACACAGTGCAAGCCTGCAGTTCCACCTGGCCTCCAAGGTGCCAGCTTGGCCCACCTGAAGTGAAAAATGGTAAACACTGAGATTTTATGTTTTAATTTGCAGAACAACCTTAGTCAGTATTCCTGTTTTACTGATGAGGAATGCTTCAAACTCTCCAAACACGAAACATCCTCCATGCATACTTTTTCCTTACCTCATTTGTAGGACACTGTTTCATCTATATCACATTACACTATGTAATATCCATTTCAAGATGTGTGTCCCTCCTTTTCCCCACACACATACATACACAAACACCTCTCACCACACATTCTGACTTTCAAACCATTTCACCTCCATGGAGGTGACACCATTTGGGACAAAAAAAAAAAAAAAAAGCAGCAAGATGTTGAAAATAAAAATAAAGCGGACTTTATTTAGAAGATAAAGGTGGTGGTTATCGGTTTTGGTTAATCGAGTTGGGCTCAAGTGTTTTACAGGTCTTAAATGCCATCACAGACTGGCATGCCAAGGGCATTCTGAATGCCAATTACAGATTGAAGTTGTTTCAAAAACCAAGATGCTATCAAAAGCTGATGAGTTTGGATTTTTCTTAAAGTTGGACTAACACACTTCTTAAATATTTGTAAGAGTAAATAGATTGCTTGGTTCTGAAAGTTAAAACACTACACTGAGCAATTCCCCTTCTCCACAAGTCCCTAAGGCAATATTACAGTTGCCTCTGACAGCAAGTCCAACATTTCAACAAAGGGGGGGTGAGGAGAACTGGGAAAAATGAAAAGCAAAATTAATAAATGTAATTGATACAGGCAGCTGCCACTTGTGGCAAACCAAAGCCTAGTCCGATGCCCATTATCTTCACATTTGCACTGACATCTTCCCAAGCAGACGGTAACTACATTCTTGAAGGAATGTGCCAAGACTAGGGTGGGGAAGGCCCAGACAGTGAGTGAACAGAATGCATTTTGCACCCAGTTGCCTTAGGTGGTATAACTGATATAAGGACAAATACCCAGACTATGGAAAACCCACTGGCAAAAGGTTAACTAGAAAAGAGGAGAATTAAATGCATAACCAGTGCAGAGTAACTGCAAGGCACCAAGACCACATCCAACCAGCCCATTTTCCTCCTCTCCACCACTGAATGGATCTGGGAGAAAGCATTAGTAACAGCACTCATCAACTGCTTCCCTGGAACAAAACATGACAAAACACACGGAAGGTTTTTTCATTATGGTTCTCGGTGTACTTTATTCTCCTGCTGTCTAGCTAAGCAGCCCACACAGGACAGAAATGGGTAGCACTGAGGAATGATCAGATTTTTTTTCTATCCCCAATATTTCTGCCCCCTCCCTAAGCCCTGACCCAACCCTATCTTAATAATCACGAATGGTTAGTACATCATTCTGTCTCTCAAAGAACAACTGAAATGGAAACAAGGCATTAGAGGACCAGGCCTCTTCTTAATAGGGCTTAGGAGCTGGTATGAGCTCTTTATTCACAATGGAGCGTCTCTCCTTCAAATACCTGGATTTTTTTTTTTTTGTACACTGGTTCATAGATCGGCACTTGACTTTGAACCTGGCACCAAAAGGCACAATATCTGATACCCTGTACAAGAGCTATTAGAGATGCTGCCATATGGATGGGCAAAACTGAGCCAATCCCACTTAGGAATGGAAGGCTTGGACATGGAAGGGAGGATATAAACGAGGAGTTGGAGAAAAACGCAAGCCCAGTTTTTGCTAGAGTGGAAATGAAAGTGGGAATGAGGGTCTTGTTTTTAGTCCTCTAAGGACCAGGAAGCAATTTTAAAACTTCCTTGGTTTTTCTGAAAGCAGCATATTCAAAATGCCAGCAAAAACTCCTAACAACTGCAAAACCAAAAGAGGATCAAAGCTCACCAACATCCCTTCTTATTGCTGAAAGGCTCTAAAATTCAGGATGCCCTGTTCCCTTGTAAAAGGGAAAATAATTAAGTCTGATTTATGGTAATCATACCACATCACACTTCTAAAAAAATATTCAAGTGTGTGACCAGGGGACGTTTGACACCATTTTATTAACCTTCAACTTCAGTGGAAAAATAAAACCTTTTCCAAGTGCCATTTTCATCACAAGACTTCTAGTTAGTGTGTGTGTGTATTCACACAACACACACTTTTTTTTGTTTTTGTTTTGTTGGTTGCTTTTGAAGTGCAGCAAGAGACCAATACCGCATTGTAGTCAATCAAATAAAAGAACAGAAGGCCAAGCAGTTTCCAAATGGTTATTTTATCAGATTGTTTGAACATTTAATTTATCCTGTTTGCAATCCAAAATAGTTACCTGAAGTTTGCTGTTTTGTGTGTATGTGTTTACTTTTATTGTATATTTATTTTTCTAAACTCTTTGGCACAATTTTCTGGGGGCGTTCAGACTGCCACAATACAAGTCAGGAGAGGGCGTTTTCTTTGTGCTGCCAATTCTGATCATTTAAATTTTGGTTTGTTTGGGTTGTGATTTTTTTGTTTTTGAAGTCTGCGTTATTTGTAACAATTGTACTTATATTTTTCTATATCCTCTAACGCCAGAGTTTTCTTTTTCTCCCCCCTCCCCCCCACTTCTACATTCACAGTTGAACCATATTATTAGGAAAGGCGCCTTGATGAAAAGATCAGGATAGGAGCTCTGACCATTCGTCAGTGTTTTCCCTAGAGTAAAAAAAACAAAAAACAAAACCAAAAAAAAAAAACAAAACAAAACCTAAAGAGCGTCTTTCCTCTGTGTGTGTGTTTTTTTTTTTTTTTTTTTTTTTTTTTTTACATCTCTTGTGCTGCATCAGTAAACAAAACTTCGGTTAGTTTTATGAAATGCAACATCTAACCCCTTGTTTTCTGGGAAAAAGAAACTGCAATGACTTGAAGTTGAGAATGTGGATACCGCCTCACTCACACACACTCATTCTCAGACTGTAAAAAATCCCTGACCCTCCTTCTAGCTGGCAAGCATACAGTACCATGTGGCAAAGGTACAGCGAAGGTGGGCTTGAGACCCAGGCTCCATCTTTCTCCTCAGTAGCAAAGGCCAGGCTGCCTTTTACAACAAAGCACCACAGCTGAACCCAGTCCCTCCTCCTCCCCCAAACCAGGCATTCCACTCGGCACTGGCCAAAAGACAGAAAAGCTACTTCTAGCCTCTCCTGGGAAGAGATAACTTTCTTTCTTTTTTTTTAAATAAGTAACTCCATTGTTTTTCTCTTTTCCAAGATGGCCGATGTTATGGTTTTCTACGAAGTCAGTGCTTACTTAGCTCACTAACAGCGCTGCTGTTGGCGGCTGCGGCTGCTGCTGTGGCAGGATTTTCAATGTGGTGTGTTTTCAAGCCTCACTCACTCATCCTCTCATTCCCAAACATTCAGCATCCGTGCACACTCCTCACTTCCAGGTTTTTCAAAAGATGGGAGATTTCCAGTGGGGGTCCTCAGGTTATCATCCCAATGGTAACAGATCTGAAAACAGATGGAAAAAAAGGTCAATCTTTGAGATCACATATACCCAACAGAGCCAATAATGCTGACTCCTACAATTACATGCTCCTAGGCCTGAATGGAATTTGTCAACATTTCAAGGATTGACACTCTTTCTTCTTGTCCTATGTGCCATTGACCTGCTCTTATTAACACCTACATCAGAGGGTGCGAGGGAAACTCAAAGAGCCAATTTTACTGAGATCTGTGGAGTAAGATAACTAATTAAGAGTGAAAGAAATTAAAACTGTATTTCAGTCTGGGTGCAGTGGCTCAAGCCTTTAATCTCAGCACTTTGGGAGGCCAAGGAGGGAGAACTTCTTGAGGTCAGGAGTTCAAACCCAGCCTGGGCAACAGGAGATCTTGTCTCTAAAAATAAAAAAAAATTAGCCAGTCATGGAGGTGCTTGCCTGCAGTCCCAACCACCTGGGAGGCTGAGGCAGGAGGGCCACTTAAGCCCAGGAGCTGGAGGCTTCTATGAGGTGTGATTGTACCACTGCACTCCAGCCTGGGTGACAGAGGAGACTCTGTCTCCAAACAAACAAGATTGCATTTCAAAGTAGGAGCCAAGGCCTGGTGTGGTGGTGCACACCTGGGAGACCGACAAAGGTGGATCACCTGAGGTCAGGACCAGTCTGGCCAACATGGTGAAAACCCATCTCTACTAAAAATACAAAAAAAAAAAAAAAAAAAAAAAAACCTATAATTCCAGCAATTTAGGAGGCTGAGGTGGGTGGATCACCTAAAATCAGGAGTTCAAGACCAGCCTGGCAAACATGGTGAAACCCCATCTTTACTAAAAATACAAAAACTGGGCCAGGCATGGTAGCTTACGCCTGTAATCCCAGTACTTTGGGAGGCCGAGGTGGGTGGATCACGAGGTCAGGAGGTCAAGACCAGCCTGGCCAAGATGGTGAAATCCTGTTTCTACTAAAAATACAAAAAAATTAGCCAGGTGTGGTGGTGGTAGGGCACCTGTAATCCTAGCTACTCAGGAGGCTGAGGCAGAGAACTGCTTGAACCCGGGAGGCAGAGGTTGCAATAAGCTGAGATCGCACCACTGCACTCCAGCCTGGGCGACAGAGCGAGACTGTCTCCAAAAGAAAAAAAAAAAAAAAAAGAAGAAGAAAAGAAAAGAAAAAAAGAAAATTAGTCGGGTGTGGTGGCATGTGACTGTAATCCCAGCTACTCGGGAGGCTGAGACAGGAGAATTGCTCAAACCCAGGAGGCAGCAGTTGCAGTGAACCGAGATTGTGCCATTGCACTCCAGCCTGGGCGACAGTGAGACTCTGTCTCAAAAAGAAAACACACACACACACACACACACACAAAAAAACATTTGACTTTGGAAATCTTCTCTAGAGCTAGGCAACGTCTAAAAGCACTGCTGTAAAGAAAGAATAGGGCATGAGGAAAGGAATAGAAAACAGAAGAGAATTAGGGGGAAATGGCATTACTGATGATTTTATTAGGACCCAAAATACTCAGGGAATTTCAGTGAATTCCAGTTTTAAAAGTTCTGCTCTCCATCACTATGAGGAGTCAAACATTTGGCTCAAGGAAAAACTGAGGCTGCCTGACTCAGAAGCACCTACATGGGAAAAAGTACAAACAAAAAAAATGCCAGAAGGCAGTGCTTGCCAGAATGGCCTAAAGAAAACATACCCCCCTCCTCCAGGAAGTAGAAGAAAGAGGACAGTGGAGGCAAGATCTTACCAAGCTTGGTTCTTCAGTTTCCTCAGTTCTTTTGTTGCCCATGTAGCAAGGGTTTTTGCTTTGTTAGTCTTCGATCTCCGCCCTTCAGTTAACAATTCATGGATCATTGGCCTAGCTTCTACTAATTTCAGTACATCCTTCCCAAATGCTGTACATAAGTCCCTGTGCAAAACAAACACAGCTGAGAATGAGCTCCTAGCCCCATACCAGTATAATGTTTTGAGCCTTCCAAACCAGTGCTATGGGTTTCTTAGCAAATTTCAAAGATAAATAAAACCCTCAGTAGAGGTCACTAGACAGAGGCAATTGTTGACCAACATCAGAGTTTAATGGGGTGTAATACAGACACCTTGAGGGTCTGGAATAAACTATCATGTGAACACTCAAAACAGGACATGAAGCGTTCTGCAAAGAAATCTCTGTGCCAAAAAAGTGAACTGTTGCCATCCGCGATACTCTCAAAACTCCTTACTCCATGTTTTCTCATTTTCTGTGAGAAGTTCTATTCAGCTCTTAGAAGCAGGGTATAACTTACCCTATTAGTCCAGCAGCACAAGCTACTACTCCATCTGTGTGATCCTCATCTCCAGCAATGTGGTCAATGAAAGACAGAATAAATTCTACTCTGGGTTGTACCAGCATCACATCCGCTATAAAAGAGAGAGAAGGTATTGGTCGGGTGCGGTGGCTCATGCCTGTAAACCCAGCACTTTAGGAGGCCCAGGCGGGTGGATCACAAGGTCAGAAGATCGAGACCATCCTGGCTAACTCGGTGAAACCCCGTCTCTACTAAAAATACAAAAAAATTAGCCGGGCGTGGTGGCGGGCGCCTGTAGTCCCAGCTACTCAGGAGGCTGAGGTAGGAAAATGGCGTGAACCCAGGAGGCGGAGCTTGCAGTGAGCCGAGATTGCGCCACTGCGCTCCAGCCTAGGCGACAGAGCAAGATTCCATCTCAAAAAAAAAAGAAAAAAAAAAGAGAGAGAAGGTCTGATGCAGCTGTCCCTCATATGGCAGGACTACATCCTTTTTCAAAATTTCCAACTATTATACCCCTATCATACAAGGTCCAAGCTGGATAACTAGATGCATATAGTTATATCAAATTATTCTTCCTTTGATTAATGTGTCGTTCCTCAAGTCGACAGAAGAGACAAATATTCCTCTTCCTATAGGCAAATATAGAAGAAACAAATTTAACTTTTTCCTGAGCTAATGATACCAAGGGGGGTGAAGTAAAAAATTTCCCCAATCAGCAACAAGAACACGTAACGGGAATTATGACTCCCCAGTCCTCCAATTTAGCTTGTGGGGATGGGAAAGGGGTAGGGGACCTGCCACTCATGGTTGATACAGGAAGCATTTATGTTGGGTTTCTTCCCCCCAACATTTTTGCTGAATCCCATCCCTTGTAATACTCAAGAAATATGAGAAAAAGAAGCAGAGGGCTGGGTGCAGTGGCTCACGCCTGAAATCCCATCACTTTGGGAGCCCAAGGTGGGAGATTGCCTGAGCTCAGGAGTTCGAGAGCAGCCTGCAAAACATGGTGAAATCCCATCTCTACTAAAATACAAAAAAAAAAAAAATAGCTGGGCATGGTGGTGTGTGCCTGTAGTCCCAGCTACTCAGGAAGCTGAGGCATAAGAATCACTTGAACCCAGGAAGTGAAGACTGCAGTGAGCTGTGATCGCTCCACTGCACTCCAGCTTGGGTGAGAGTGAGACTGTCTCCAAAAAATAAAAATAAAATAAAATAAATTTAAAAGGCTGGGCACAGTGGCTCAAGCCTGTAATCCCAGCACTTTGGGAGACCAAGGCGGGTGGATCAATTGAGATCAGGAGTTCAAGACCAGCCTGACCAACAAGGTGAAAGCTTGCCTCTACTAAAAATATAAAAATTAGCCAGGCATAGTGGCAGATGTGTATAGTTCCAGCTACTCAGGAGGCTGAGGCAGGAGAACTGCTTGAACCTGGGAGGTGGAGGTTGCAGTGAGCCGAGATTGCACGACTGCACTCCAGCCTGGGCAACAGAGTGAGACTCCGTCTCAAAACAAAAAAAAGAAAGAAGAAGCAGAGCAAAAACAGTAGTCTACAGTTTTCCCCAAGCCACTCTCTTCATTAGGGCACTGCTCCCCCTTCTCCCAGCCTTTTAAGCAACAGGCACTAGGTTCACAAGCGAGCTACAGAATGACAGACATAGCCCACTTGGCTAAGTGCACATTGGCGAGCGGACGAAGGGAACTGGGTTGTATACTCAACGGTGTACGTTCTCCTGATCCCCCTTTAATCCCTGGACGATTCCAGTATAGGCTTCCAAGCAGCTTTCCCTTAGCTCATTCAGATAATCCACCATGTCATAGTCTGACTGTAAGACACAAAGAACAGAACCTACATCACACTGATCA
The DNA here is from genome assembly GCF_000001405.40 of Homo sapiens. Taxonomy (NCBI): domain Eukaryota; kingdom Metazoa; phylum Chordata; class Mammalia; order Primates; family Hominidae; genus Homo; species Homo sapiens. The sequence goes on along the minus strand of NC_000017.11, from coordinate 47,678,267 downwards.
CTTTTAGCTGCATGTTTGTCAATAGTCCCTCCAATTAGAGCTAGACTTAAAGAACAGCCAAGATAGCTTTAAGCTTACCTTGTCCACCTGGGCTTGGGAGGCCTGCTGAAGAGTATTCAATACAACCTCTAAGTATTTTTTAAACTCTCCTCCAATAGCAAGGGCAATATCACCAAACACTGACAGAATCTGCGGCTTCACAGACCTGTGGACGTTCTCATTCTGACAAGGAACAAAAGGAAAAGTGAATTAAGTCAAAACTTGTTTGGTCCAAAGATTCATGAAAATTTCATTTCTAACAAGCAACTATTGATTTTAAATATTTGGATGGTCCTTTATAGCTTACAAAACCTTTCCCATTTGCACCTCACACCAACTCTAAGAAGCTAGCCCAGGTATTGGTATTCCCACTTTACACATGAGGAGACTGACTTAAGAATCAAGTGACTTGTCTGAGAACACACATGTACAATAATTAATGATGGCTATCTCTGGAGAGAGGTATAATATACAAATGGTCCCCTGCTCATGATGGTTTGATGATTTCTCCACTTTACAATGTGTTTATTGGGACCTAACTCCATCATAAGTCAAGGAACAACTGTATTTACTTTTCCTTTGCATTTTACTGTTTTGTTTTAAAAATCTCTAATAGAGCACACATTCCTTTAACTTTACAATCTTTCTTCAGAGTCATCTGTGAAATGAACAACTCCCCTCTTTATAAGCCCAAAGCCAATGTTCTAGAAACTTACAGCTCCCTGTCACTGATTTTTTTTTTTTTTTTTTTTTTTTGAGACGGAGTTTGGCTCTTCTTGCCCAGGCTGGAGTGCAATGGCGTGATCTTGGCTCACTGCAACGTCCACCTCCCGGGTACAAGCGATTATCCTGCCTCAGCCTTCCGAGTAGCTGGGATTACAAGCGCCTGCCATCACGCCCGGCTAATTTTTTTTGTATCTACAGTACAGACGGGGTTTCACCATGTTGTCCAGGTTGGTCTCGAACTCCTGGCCTGCCTCGGCCTCCCAAAATGCTGGGATTACAGGCCACTGCGCCCAGCCTGGTCGATATTTAACTATCTTTCCAACTGTTGTTTTCTTCAAAGAAGACTGGTTAATTAGATTGTGTGTAGATACTCACCCCCAAATTTTCCAGAAGCAGCTGCATCACCTCGTCACAGAAAGGTATGATGTTGGATTGCAGGGCACGGCACAAGTCTCCCACTAAGCCCACAGCTGCCAAACAAACCTGCCAAGAATCAAGGAAATAATCTTCTAACAGAAAAGGCTGCCTGCTGGGGCAAGATATTATTTTTAACTAGCTGCTGAGCTTTTATCACTTGAACCTAGAGTTAAATCCCTCTGCCGAGATTAATTTTTCAACAACCAACATGGCAGGCAGGGAACAAAGACTATCCGAGAGAGATCACTGATAAAGTTAAAAAAAAAAAAAAAAAAAAAGCCTTGCTCTCCAGGGTGCTAATAGCTCAACTTTATAGCTGCTCCTGCATTAGTACTGTCTAAGCAAATAAACAGTCATCTTGTCCACCATTATCTGTTACATCTAATATCTTGTCCACCGTTATCTGGTACATCTAATATCCTGTTTTTCATGGACTACTTCCAGTTCAAACGTTCAGGCAATGAATAAAGTAGCTTGCCTTTTAGGACAATGTATCAGGAAAAACTACTTAAGCTATAAGAACCTGGTTTTGCGTGCACTACAGTGACTGTCAGATATAAATGGGAACATACTATTTTGAAAAGCACATCCTACCTGGTATTCAGCATAATTTTTTAATCCAATGCCCAGGAAGGGTTTAAAGGCCTCCATGTACTTGAGGAATTCACCACCCAACACTGTAATGAAATAAGCTATTAGCCAATGACAGCACCACGGGTTAACACAGAGGCAGGCAGAAATAACCCATCCTACCTCTCCCAAAATGTACTCGCTCCACTCAACAGGTTGGGTGAAATGTGCTTTAGTTACCGATTCCATCATGAAGACATTAAAGGCTTGCATAAGCCAAATTTATTACTGCTGGAAGGGCCCTAATTCATACGCCACAGAGACAATGCCCACTGTCCACAGAATAGGGCTTTACTCTGACTAATACAACCAAGTGGTATGACCCTCAAGGAATGTCAAGGTTAATTTTAAATGGGCTGAACCAGCAATACTGACTCTTGTCCACCTCCTCATCTGATAATAGCATGTCCTTTCTGCAAGCCAGCTTCAAAACAGGGTCCTTAGGCAATTCCATCAAGGGCTAAACAAGCCACAGCCAGGAAAAGCAGCACTGGGCTTCAGATCCAAATCAGCCACTCCAGGAGCCAAAATTAACTTCTTTGCCCTTTCAGAGGAGTGGTCACATGTTGACAGACCAGTTGGACATAGGCTGTTTATGCCAAAAATAGGTCTAGTCCTCAGGAGAGTGGTCCTCAGGTAAATGGCCTTAGCAATGTACTTACAGGCCACCCCTGAAAAGGCATATCAGATTCCTAAAGTGCTTCGTAATGCCCCTTCAAAGAGTCTTAAGTCAGATATGGCTTCCCCAAACCAATTTTGCAGTCAGACATGTAAAAATCAGAAAATCAATTCCTAGAACTCGCTCAATGTTTCATTTCATCCCATACCAGGCACCATGATGTGTCAATCTTAGTCCAAAGCACTACAAACCAAACCAGGTGATGACAAGTACCAGGAAAGAAAATAGAAACTTTTAGCAGGGCACAGTGGCTCATGCCTATAATCCCAGCTACTCAGAAGGCTGAGGCAGGAGAATTGCTTGAACCTGGGAGGTGGAGGCTGTGGTGAGCCAAGATGGTGCCACTGCACTCCATCCTGGGCAACAGAACAAGTCTCAAAAAAAAAACAAACAAAAAAAAAAAACAAAAAAAAAACAACACCTCTGCCAATCTCCGTTGCAAACTGGCTCCCCATTTAAATGGACTGACAAGGCAGTTATACAAATTTAAGTGGTGTGCACTTAAGTTCAATCTAACTTTGAAGTGACTCATGCCCCAGTAAAAGGACTATGCTTTCTATAGTCAAAAATTCTTTAATGCTCTGACAAGGAGGCCCAGGAGTTTGAGACCAGCCTGAGCAATATAGTGAGACCCTATCTTCACACACAAACAAAATTAAGCTGGGCCCAGTGGCTCACATCTATAATCCTAGCACTCTGGGAGGCTGAGGCAGGAGGATCACTTGACTCAGGAGTTCAAGACCAGTCTGGGCAACATGGCGAAACTCCATCTCTACCAAAAATATAAAAATTAGCTGGGCATGGTGGTGTGCATCTGTTAGTCCCAGCTACTGTGGGGGCACTGAAGTGGAAGGATCATGTGAGCCCACGATTTCAAGGCTGCAGTGCGCCAAGATCGTGCCACTGCACTCCAGCCTGGGTGACAATTATTTAAGGCCACTGAAATGCCTACATTCCAAAGACATTCCCTGACCAGACAGTATTTCTCACCGACCTTCCACCAGTGTGCTAACTGCCATCAGGGCATCCTCTTGTACTCCCCCAGACCCAGCTGTGCTTTGGAACATCCTTAACAGGGAGGCCATAACCACATCAGAGATCTGCAAAGCATCTTGATGTTGCACTTTCCGAAGAACATTCTGTGAAATGAGTAAGAGTTCAAGATCAGTTGATTCCAAATCTCCCAATCAGAACACTATACCTTTTCTTTTTAAAATCAATTAAGTCCCTTGATATTTTTTAATTTTGGGAATGCCAAATGTATTTTATACACAAAAACATTGACAGTACCAATCATCAGCAATACATTTTAACATTTCTCCTGTTTCTCAATTCAGAACAAACGTGAGCTGATCCTCCGTTGTGCAGAAGGTCATGTCCTCTCAATTTCATTTGTCTTACTGTCTGACAAATCCCTGCTGGTAGCCGCCATAGTCCAGTCTTACTGGAATGATAGTTAAATTACTTCAGCTTTAGAGAAGGCCCTATCACCTTAGAGCTCTTATTCATAAAACAAACAAAAAGCAACCCTTCCTATATCCTACCTATTTACAGATGACCTAGAAATAAACTTGATAAAATCAAACCAACCTGACTTCTCCCATCAAACATTCCTTCCTCACTCGTTTGTTTCAACTAATGTCACTGACATTAGGTCAAACAGCAAATGTTTCAAAAGATGACGGTACAAATTCAAGGCTTTATTTTTAGCCAAGTGAACTATAGCTGGGAACCAAATCTGACTGAGCTAGGCTTGAATAACCTAATGAAAAACCAAGAGTTTTTTGGTTTTCAAAATAAAAAAACCAAAACCATTCAAGCTGCCAACACAAATGAGCTATACATCTGGAAGGAACCATCACACATTAAGTAGTTTCCTTCTCTACACAGTGACATTAGTTGAAACAAACGAGTGAGGAAGAGAGGTCTGAGGAGTGTATGTTGAATTAGGAGAAGTCAAGTTGGTTTGATTTTATCAAGATTACATCTAGACCATCTGTAAATAAGTAGGATTTGAATCTTTCTAGACAGACAGGTAAGGCAGGTGGGGAATTCCTCTCCCAATCAACCAATCACAGACCAAAGCCTTCTGAGAACAGCTTCTGATCCGCATCATCTATACCATTTTCGAGTTCTGTGTGTACACGAACTTGTTATACTGAGATACTAATAATTCTCCAACCTGGAGTTATTAAGTCATAAGGCACCACCATACCTGAAGAGTTGCACAGAGTAAAGACTGAAGGTCATTGAACTGGATTCTATCGGATGTGCTCTGGATATGTGACTACAAAGAAAATAAGAAAACATACTCTACATGAAAACCTTCCACTTTTGCTGGGACCATTTAATAATCTTCCCTAATACTAACATAGGAAAGTAAACAACAGCAACAAAAAACCCATAATACATATAGTGTAACACATATATGAGTAAACCATGACAAACAATGCTAACGTTAAGGTGCAATGTTTTTTGTATAAGCTTTATTATCTTTCTGAGAAAATATATACTTAAACACTAAAAAGACAGAACAGTCTGGAAAACAGACCTAGGTGTCAAAAGTACTACCCAATTCCCACCCATAGTCAGGGGCACTCTTAGGTCTCACCTCCATCTGAAGAACCTGTTGCAGTCGTTCCATGATGACCAAAGTCGTTTTCTGGACAGCAGGATAACAATCCTTGGCACTGTTTTTCACAATTTCCATCAGAGATTCATATGCAGAACTCCTCAGGTTGTTCTGGTGTCCATCAGGTCTGTAAAGAACACAGCGAAAATCTTAAAGCCTCAAATGAAAAGGACAGGGAAGAACATAGACAATGTCTTGCCAAAAATAAGAACTCAGGAACCGGTATGTCTGCAGACCTGGTTTGAGTTTGAAAACACAATATCCAAGAATGAAATCTTCAAGTCCTTTGAGCCAATGGCTATGTTCATTATGGTCTCCAGACAGTTAAAATTTAGAATGGCCCTTTTGGAAATGGGCTAAAATTATAGAGGAAAAAATGGTTTGAAATGGTAAAAAATCATGTGAACAATTTAACAGGTTGTCTGAAGTGCTATGAAGAAAATACCCCAATTTTCCTGGCTAGACGTGATGGCTCATGCCTATAATCCCAGCAATTTAGGAGGCTGAGGCAGGCGGATCACTTGAGGTCAGTTTGAGACCAGCCTGGTCAACATGGTGAAACCCCACCTCTACTAAAAATATAAAAATTAGCCAGGTGTAGTGGCTTGTGCCTGTAATCCTAGCTACTCAGGAGGCTGAGGCACGAGAATTCCTTGAACCTGGGAGGTGGAGGTTGCAGTGGGCCGAGACCGCACTCCAGCCTGAGCAACAAGACCGAAACTCCGTCCCAGAAAAAAAAAAATACCCCAATTTTCTTCATTCATTTAAAAAAGATGTCTTCATATATAATCTCAAAGAGGCATGGACATGAACTAGTTAAATGGAAGATTTTTTTTTTGATGGGCACAGTGGCTCAGGCCTACAATCCCAGCACTTTGGGAGGCCAAGGTGGGCAGATCACCTGAGGTGTCAGGAGTTTGTGACCAGCCTGGCCAACATGGCGAAACCCCATCTCTACTAAAAATACAAAAATTAGCCAGGCATGTTGGTGGGCACCTTTAGTACCAGCTACTCGGGAGGCTGAAGTACGAGAATCACTTGAACCCAGGAGGTTGCAGTGAGCCAAGATTGCACAATTGCACTCTAGCCTGGGTGACAAGAGAAGACTGTCTCAAAAAAAAAAAAAAGGAAGATTTTGTGCTCAGCTCTCTTCCTGAAGGTTTACTTTGCTCATGACTTTAGGTATAGCTCATACAAAACATAAATTGTTAAAGGTTGTCTCCAACTTATAATCCCTTTAAACAACATTTCAAAAGCTTGTTTCTAAGTCAACTGTATTTACCCCAAGTTCTTCATCCTATATAAAAATATGGTAGTTGGCCGGGCATGGTGGCTCATGCCTGTAATCCTGGCACTTTGGGGGGCGAAGGCAGGTGGATCACGAGGGTCAGGAGATCGAGACCATCCTGTCCAACATGGTGAAACCCTGTCTCTACTAAAAATACAAAAATTAGCCAGGCATGGTGGCATGCACCTGTAGTCCCAGCTACCCAGGAGGCTGAGGCAGGAGAATCGCTTGAGGAGGTTGCAGTGAGCTGAGATTGCGCCACTGCACTCCAGCCTGGGCAACAGAGCAACACTCTGTCTCAAAATAAATTAATTAATTAATTAATAAAATAAAATAAAAATGGTAGTTATTGATTTGGTGTGGCAATCAAATTCATAATGAGTACTATCATTTCTCTTGTAACCAAATACTCCTGTTAACTGTCAATGCTGCAAAATGAAGGAACCTCTCTAGATCTATTACTCTCTACAAAGAAAGCAGAGAAATTACACTATATTCAGATTTCAGCTGTAAACTGAACAATTCTAAGGTAGGTGGAATCTGCATTTCTTTCTCCATCTTTAAACAAACCAATCAATCAATCATGGAATTCTTTTTTTTGAGACGAGTTCCACTCTTGTTGTCCAGGCTGGAGTGCAATGGCGCAGTCTCAGCTCACTGCAACCTCCATCTCCCAGGTTCAAGCAATTCCCCTGCCTCAGCCTCCCAAGTAGCTAGGACTACAGGCATGCGCCAGCACGCCCGGCTAATTTTTTGTATTTTTAGTAGAGACAGGGTTTCACCATGTTGGCCAGACTGCTTTCGAACTCCTGACCTCAGGTGATCCAGCCGCCTTGGCCTCCCAAAGTGCTGGGAATATAGGCGTGAGCCACCGCGCCCAGCGGGTTTCTTTTAATTCCTCTAGAGAAGGTAGAGTCTTGTCCTGTCTCATTATGCTTCTATGATTAAGCTAGATATCCTCCACACAGAAGGCAATAGAACTTGGATGCAAAGACGTCACTCATTTCTGTGAAATATCAGTTACCTGTCTGTAGTCTCTAGGAGCTTCTGAACTATGAGTTCAAATGAAGAAGATAAGCAGTAAGTAGCTGGTTCTTCCTGATCATCAGCAACGTCTGCAGCTTCATAAGCAGCTTCAGCCAGACTGGAGAAAGCCTGAAATGCACATAGGTTCAATGTTAATCCTGAAAGAACCCCACACCTTAGGATTATCTCATTTTTCATTAAGATACTTTGGGCCGTGTCAGTGAACTTCCAACTTTTTCTGCCAAGGTCATCTCAAGACAGCATTTTACAGGTATCTTTTAAACTAACTATTTATTTATTTGATTTGTACTTCCTGTTCATCCTGTCTGATAATCTGACAACTCTCTAAGCAGCAGAGTACTTTCACCAATACCTGCCATTTCTTCTGTTTCCAATCACAGAAATCCTGTCTGATAATCTGACATCTCTCATCATCCTGTTTGATAATCTGACAACTCTCTAAGCAGCAGAGTACTTTCAACCATACCTGCCATTTCATTTCTGTTTCCTTTCACAGAAAGACGTTTAGCCCCATTCCTTCCTTATTTGAACTTCCTCCCCTTAACCAATTACATTAGCCTATACTGACTCAGCATTTAGGCTGCCTACCTTCCTTCCCTCTTGCCCTCTACTCAGCAATGATACTTCTTACAGCCAAAAACTCTCTACCTTAATCAAAACTTCTTGTCCCCAAGCAATTCAAGAAAGCAACCCAAGTCCAGATAGTTTCCCCACTGGGTTACCATGACTGTTCTAAGTGGTTCAGGAACCAGTAACCATAAGTCAAGTGTTCCCACTGGCTCTTGCAGTTGGAATCTCCCCCACATTTTAATTGAATAAATTAGAAAGAAAATCAGAAAAAGCATTCCAGTGAGGCAGATTGATTTCTCTCCCACACCTTCTACTTTCTTGCCAGTGGCGCAGGCAAGCTCCTTTTCTCACCAGCAAGAAAATCCCTTACCCAGCACACATTTGAAGCCACTCTGGGTTCAGCACTGAGACCCTCAATCAGACACTGTAGCAGGGGAGCCAAGTAGACATCATTGATGGCAGCTTCAGGAAGCAGCTCACAAATTCTGCCTACAGTCCATGCAGCTGTATCTCGAACAACTACACTGGGGTCTTTCATTAATTCTATTAGGGTGGGCATAGCCTGAAAATATAACAGTTATTAGCAAAGCAAAACAAAGATTAAAATTCATGTTAACTACTACCCCAGAGAAAGAAATACTGATGGATGGCTTAACTCAAAAAAGTCACCAAGATACTTCTGTAATTTTACAGGACATGGTGTGAAACATCTTTCAAAATATTTGAAAATATCTTTCAAAACTCCAGTTTAGAGTTTTATATTAAGAATTTGGTGTAAATGCTTTTAGTAGTCTGCAATAAATTACTCAGATAGAGGCCGGGCATGATGATGGCTCATGCCTGTAATCCCAGCACTCTGGGAGGCTGAGGCAGGCAGATCACTTGAGGTCAGGAGTTGCTTGAGGTCAGGAGTTCAAGACCAGCCTGACCAACATGATGAAACCCGGTCTCTCTACTAAGAATACAAAAATTAGCTGGGCATGGTGGCACATAGTCCCACCTACTCAGGGGGCTGAGGCACGAGAATTGCTTAAGCTGGGGAGCTGGAGGTTGCAGTGAGCCTAGATTGCACCACTGCACTTCAGCACTCCAGCATGGGTGACAGAGTAAGACTCCATCCCCCCGCCTCCCTACCTCAAAAAAAAAAAGAATTACTCAGATACTCAGAATTCTCAGGATGCAGCTATGATGGCATCTGGCTATATCCAGAAAGACTGAAGACTGAATTCTTTAAGCACTAAACTCAACTATAACAAACTCTTTTTTTTTTTTTTGAGATAGAGTTTCGCTCGTTGCCCAGGCTGGAGTGCAATGGCACGACTTGTAATAGCAAAACAAGCACAACATTTCCATAAGAACATTTTCATTACATAAAGGACATTTTGTCCAAAGAATAGAATAATAATGCCATTATTAAAAATTATGGGGAATCAGTGCTAGGTGCAAAAAAAAATTATTGGGAAATGTTTACAACATAGTATTAAATGAAGAAACAAGTTATAAAACAATCTGCACAGGAAGAGCCTGTTGCACACACATGCACATAGGAAAAAGCTTCAAGGATAAATACAGAGTTAAGAGTGGTATTTCTGGGCAATGAAATTAAAGATGACTTTTCTCTTTTGGCTTCTTTCACATGTCTCTGGATCATGCTGACTTATGTAATTAAAAACCTAAGAAATATATTTTACCCTCATTAAAAGTAAACAAGTATCTAGAGATAATCTTTGTAGATGACAATTTACAGTTTTGTTTTGAAAAATAAAGATATGCTTTAAGTTTAAACAATAAATATCCTACTTTCTACTCCAAAAATCCCTCAGTTTCACCTGTATAACTAGTGGTTTGAGCTGACTGGGCTCTGGTCCTTCCAAGATACAACCAAAAGCCATCACTGCTGCATCCCGGTACCGCCAATCTGGGTTCTTGATGTGTTCTTTAATGAAGGGGAGGACATGTGGGACAATGTCATCTTCACAGCAGGTGGCCAGAAGCATGAGGCACACCCCTGCTGCTTTGCAGGGGTTCCAGTCATCGTCATCATCATTTTCGTCCTGGTGAAAGAATATGGCACTAGTTAAGATTTTGTCCAAAGAATCATTTTAACTCTAAAGGTCCTCTGACTACTCTTGAATGTCTTTAGAACTTAAACTCCAGGGAAATAAAATATAAGACCTTTATATTTTGTCTCTTCCACAAACATTCATCACAGCATAGCCTTTGTTAAACAAGATTCAGATGGAAGAAGATTCCATTTAGTACTACACAACAAGAATGAAAAAATTTCAACTACATCCAAAAAGAATGAATTCCAAACATTTAGAACAAAATACAGAACTAGAATGTATGCTGTATGATTCCAGTTATGTAAAGTCCAAAATCGGCCAGGCGCGGTGGCTCATGCCTGTAATCCCAGCACTTTGGGAGGCTAAGGTGGGTGGATCACCTGAGGTCAGGAGTTTGAGACCAGCCTGGTCAACATGGTGAAACCCCATCTCTACTAAAAATACAAAAATTAGCTGGGTGTGGTGGCACGTGCCTGTAGTCCCAGCTACTCAGGAGGCCAAGGCAGGAGAATTGCTTGAACCTGGAAGGCGGAGGTTGCAGTGAGCCGAGATTGTGCCACTGTGCTCCAGCCTGTGTAACAGAGTGAGACTCTGTCAGAAAAAAAAAAAAACATAGTATTAAAAATAATAATAAATAAAGTCCAAAATCAACAAAAATTAACCTATGGAATAAAAGACCAGGAAAGTAAGGGAGTTTCATGACTGGGAAGAAGACATGATTCAATCAAAAGTTCAAAAAAGAGGCAAGGTGCAGTGCAGTGGCTCATGCCTGTAATCCCAGCACTTTAGGAGGCCAAGGCAGGCAGATCACTTGAGGTCAGGACTTCGAGACCAGCCTGGTAAACATGGTGAAACCTCGTTTCTACTAAAAATACAAAGACTAGCTGGGTATAGTGGCACACACCTGTTAATCCCAGCTACTCGGGAGGCTGAGGCAAGAGAATCACATGAACCAGGGAGATGAAGGTTGTAGTGAGCCAAGACCGCCCCACTGCACTCCAGCCTGGGTGATAGAGCAAGACTCTGTACCCCCCAACGCCACCCCAAAAAACCAAAAACCAAAACCACAAAAGTTCAAAAAAGAAAAGATTCCACTAATATCTCCTCTTAAGTTAGAATCCAAGGTATAGCTTCCTAATTGTGGCCATTCACACCACATAGTAAACTTAAGGCAGGTTGCCTATGCAGTTTCAGAAAATCACACAAAGAATAATTTGTTCTCAAATAGGAAAAGCACAATAAAAATATAAGAAAGGAGGCCGGGTGCAGTGGCTCATGCCTGTAATCCCAGCACTTTGGGAGACTGAGGTGGGCGGATCATGAGGTCAAAAAATCGAGATCATCCTGGCCAACATGGTGAAACCCCGTCTCTACTAAAACTACAAAAATTAGCTAGGCGTGGTGGTGCATGCCTGTAGTCCCAGCTACTCAGGAGGCTGAGGCAGGAGAATCGCTTGAACCCAGGAGGCGGAGGCTACAGTGAGCCGAGGTCGCACCACTGCACTCCAGCCTGGCAACAGAGTGAGACTCTGTCTAAAAAATAAATATATATAATATATATAAAATATATATAATTATATATAATATGTAGTACATATAAAATATATAACATATAACATAATATATAATATATAATATATAACATAATACATATAAAATATAATATATAACATTATATAAAATATATAATATATAACATTATATAAAATATATATAACATAATATATAAAATATATAATATATATATAAAATACACACACACACACACACACACACACAAAAGTAAAGACACGAAGTCAAAAGATAAAAATAGCAACTATAGGCCAGGCACAGTGGCTCACGCCTATAATCCCAGCACTTTGGGAAGCTGAGGCGGGCGGATCACTTGAAGTCAGGAGTTCGAGACCAGCCTGGCTAACATGGCAAAACCCCGCTTCTACTGAAAATATAAAAATTAGCTGGGCGTGGTGGTGCGCACCTGTACTTCCAGCTACTGGGGAGGCTAGAGTGGGACACTGCTTGAACCCAGGAGGCAGAGGGTGCACTGAGCCAAGATCATGCCATGACACTCCAGCCTGGGAGACAGAGTATGACTCCATCTCAAAACAAAAGAAAAAACAAAAACAAAAACAAAAAAACCCTGAGAGGAGAGATGAAAATTAAGGGAACACCCAGTTCATTTTAATCCAAACACATCCCTACTTAGCTTTTGAAACTGCTATATTGAGAATTATACACATCCCTAAAAACAATTACATTCCTGTGTACAAAGAAATGATGCAATGCTCAGTTACCAACATTGTTTCGTCAGAGTACTAGCAGCTCTTTGGTAATACTTCACATGCACCAGAAGAAGCTTCCCAAATACCGTATCAAAAAACACTGTGTTGCATCAAGTCAGGAGAACAAAAGCAACCAGGACACGGTCCTCATAAAAGAACTTCTATATTTACTCATTAGACCCCAATCTTTATGAAGTCTTGTCACTTTACTTTCATCCTGAATCTTAATAATTGAAGTTAATTATCTTAAAGGATCAGTAGAAGGGTTTCTTTCTTGGGTTGGGGTCCTTCATTAGCATCTGAATAACTTATATCCAACTTCCTTAGAATTTTAAAAACATACACCCTGTGAACTCACGAAAGTATCCTGGATATTACAACAGATACGCAAGTGGCCTAAAACCAGCACATCTTTGCTCCTAACCTTGCTTCACTGAAGCTTTGACAGAGCACCTTTCTTTTATGAGTTTGGACAATGGAGCACTCAGGAAATCAGAGCAGCATGTGGCTCATTCCTGAGCAAGATGCATCTGAGATGTTAAGACTCAGTTCTCCTTCACAAAGAAGTCAGAGCCTAGGGGATCTTATAGATGCAGCTTAGCTGTTTCTAAGTCATCAACAACAGAACATCAAATAGTTGATGGGCTGCGAAGTTCCTTCCATGGAAAGTTTCCACAGTTTACTCTTAGTAAGGTTCCACAGCTTACCTACCTATATTTGGAAGGTAACTCACCTGTTTAGTTAGTGTCTGTGTGAGGATTGGAACCAGATACTGTAGTGCTCCCTTCGCATAAAACTTGCTGGTGTGCTCAGGGGGCCGTCCTTGTTCTGCTGCCTGAGGAGAAACAAAGCAAATTCTAGACAAAAGCAACCGAGCTCTGTATACTAAAGGCATACAATGAGAGCCGAACAGGGATCTCTTAACAGAAACAGAAACATACAAGGACAAATGGTAACATACAATGTGATCTTGGAAAGTGCTAATTTTTTGGTCTACTTCAGTGAGAATCTTTTAGGCCATATAATATAGGTCCAAGGCAACATTAAGTATAACTTTTTTTTCATAAGTTCAATTCATATGGACAACCTGATATTTCAGTGTTCCTTGGATCAACACACACTCAGTTTGCCTAAAGATGCCAAAAAAAACCTTTTTATTTTTGTCCTGAAATAAAAGTGTGTAAAGACCAAGCTGGAAACAAAACTTGAATTCAAAGATCCCAAGTACAGAACTCCCCATTCTCTTCCATATCTGACTCTTTCACCAGAGTTAGTAAAGTATCAATTATACATCCTAGGCTTGCATTAGGACTTCCAAAAGGAAATAATTCAGCATCAGGCATCACCTTGGTAAACTGCGACAGCCTGCTGCCCCCTTGTGTTCACAGTGATAATACCACTATTTACGATCAATCATGCCTGACTGCTTGGCAAGAACGTGAGCCCTCATTACTGATGTGCCTCCTTCATGAAGGGCTCTGGCTAGCAGAAAAATCAAAATCTCTGCCAATGGAGATACCCTCTAAACCCAGACAGAATAAAGTTCTCCTAGAAGGGGAACATCATCCACAAATGAGATATGTCCCAAAGCGTATTCAGAGTAATAGTTCTCCCCAGCTCACCTCTGAAGCTTCAATGGCCAAATCCATTTCCTCATCACAGACATTGGACCAGAATTCTATCCCTTGTAAAGCCACCTCATCAATGTCACTTTTCATTGCTTCGATTGTGATCTTAAGAAGAAAAACACCCCAGGCCCCAAATAAGTACTGATTCAAGTGAGTCCCTGCCCCAACCCGGCTTTAACCACAGACATGCAAATTTCAGAAATGTAACTATAAAAAGGAAGCTAGGCTTGAAAGAAAAGATAGGAAAAGAAAGATTTTCTTTTCTTTTTTTTTTTTTTGGTGATGGGGTCTCACTCTGTCACACAGGCTGGAGTACAGCAGCACAATCTCAGCTTACTGCAACCTCCACCTCCCAGGCTCAAACAAACCTCCCACCCCAGCCTCCTCCATAGGTGGGACCACAAGTGCATGCCACCTCACCCAGCTTATTTTTGTATTTTTTGTAGAGGCGGGGTTTCACCATATTGCCTAGGCTGGTCTCAAACTCCTGGACTCAAGCGATCTGTCAGTCTCAGCCTCCCAAACTGCTGGGATTACAGGCGTGAGCCACCATGCCCAGCCTCAGATTTTCAAAATGCAGGTTGTTTCTTTTTTCTTTTTGAGACAGAGTCTCGCTTTCTGGCCCAGGTTGGAGTGCAATGGCGTGATCTTGGCTCACTGCACCCTCCGTCTCCTGGGTTCAAGCGATTCTCCAGCCTCAGCCTCCAGAGTAGCTGGGATTACAGGCACGTGCCACCACGTTCAGCTAATTTTTGTGTTTTCAGTATAGACGGGGTTTCACCATATTGGCCAGGCTGGTCTCGAACTCCTGACCTCAGGTGATCTGCCCACCTCAGCCTTCCAAAGTGCTGGGATTACAGGCGTTAGCCACCGGGCCTGACCTCAAAATGAAGGTCTTTTACCCACACAAAGTTAGCACCAGTTTTCTTGGCACACCACTGATGAGCTTAAACCGAACAGTCTCGAGGAATTTCCTTGATTCCATAGTATTAAGTAAAATATTACAGAATTGGCAAAATAGCGACTAAGGATGATGGGCTCTGTAATTAGCCACAAGCTCAAATCACATAAATAGAAATACTTACTGCAAAAAGAGCAGGACCCATATATGTCTCCATGTACTGATAATATAAGGACATTATCTTCACCAGATTCTGTAAAGCAGCCACTCGTACCTTTTATGAACAGCAGATCAGATAGTTTACTAAAATAACAACGCAATCTGACAAAGTTAGATTCACTCAAATGGGCCAATAATCCTAAGGATTAATTGAGGTAAATATGGGATACGTTATCATTTCCCTAAAATTCATTCTCTCCCTTTAATTCCCTCATTATCTGTTCCTTTATTTTCCCATTTTGTCTCTCTTTTTCGGGGAAGGGACAGAGTTCCGCTCCTGTTGCCCAGGCTGGAGTGCAGTGGCATGATCTTGGCTCACTGCAACCTCTGCCTCCCCGATTCAAGCAATTCTCGTGCCTCAGCCTTCCAAGTAGCTGGGACTACAGGTGCCCGCCACCATGCCCGGCTAATTTTTTGTATTTTTAGTAGAGACGGGGTTTTGCTATGTTGACCAGGCTCATCTCGAACTCCTGAGCTCAGACAATCCACTCACCTCGGCCACCTAAAGTGCTAGGATTAAAGGTGTGAGCCACTGCGCCCGGCCATTTTTCTCTTTTTTTTTTTTTTGAGACAGTCTTCTTGCTCTGTCGCCCTGGTGCAAGTATAGTGGCCATGATCACGGCTCACTGCAGCCTCAACCACCAGGCTCAAGCAATCCTCCCACTTCAGCCTCCCACGTAGCTAGGACTACAGGCTCGCCCCATCACGCACAGCTAATCTTTGTGGACATGGAGTTTCGCCATGTTGCCCAGACTGGTCTCCAACTCCTGGGCTCAAGTGATCCTCTGGCCTCGGTCTCCCAAAGTGCTGGTATTATAGGTGTGAGCCACCACAGCCAGTCCTTTTTTTTTTTGAGATGGAGTCTCCCAGGCTGGAGTGCAGTGGTGTGATCTCAGCTCACTACAACCTCCGCCTCCCGGGTTCAAGCAATTCTCCTGCCTCAGCCTCCTGAGTAGCTGGATTACAGACATGCGCCTGTAAAGTGTTGGGATTACAGGCGTAAGCCACCGCGCCTGGCCTCAGTCTTTTTTTTTGCATTAAAGGTGCGTGTGGAACCCATGGTACGGCTAAATTCACTAATACTATTCAGACTGAAGATATTACTTCTATCTTCTTGAAGGGTCAGGTTTTGGGTATAGCAATAGCAAAGCTGCTTTAATGGCTACAGGGGAAAACAATCACTTGAATAACCTATGGCAATAAAGTAGCAAAGCTGATCAAAAACCTTTTCTCCCTTAACTGTTTGTGTATATATATTTTTTAGTAGAAATGGCTTGAATAACCTACGGCAATGAAGTAGCGAAGCTGATCGAAAACCTTTTCTCCCTTAACTGTTTATTTGTGTATACATATTTTTTAGTAGAGATGGTGTCACTATGTTGCCCAGTTTGGTCTCCAACTCCTGACCTCAGTGATCCTCCTGCTTTGGCCTCCCAAATTGCTGGGATTATAGTGTGAGCCACCACACTGGCACCTTAAACCTTTTTTAAGAGGATGGCAACTTCCATGACAATTCTTCCCTCTTCTCTAATGTTTTTATTAATTATCATTATTATTTTTTGAGATGGAGTCTGTTTGCAGTGGCATGATCTTGGCTCACTGCAACCTCCACCTCCCAGGTTCAAGCGATTCTTGTACCTCAGCCTCCCCAGCAGCTGGGACTACAGGCACGTGCCACCACACCCAGCTAATTTTTTTTTATTTTTAGTAGAGACAGGGTTTCACCATGTTGGCCAGACTGGTATGAAACTCCTAACCTCAGGTGAACTGCCTGCCATGGCCTCCCTAAGTGCTGGGATTACAGGTGTGAGCCACCATGCCCAGCCAGAATATTAATTATTAGTAACAATATTAATCAAACCTTATTGCTGAAGTCAACTGATTCCCAGTATTTCAAACTTATATTAGATTTGACATTTCCTAAGAAAGATGTAAGACAGATTTTTCATATAACCTCACACTTACCCTCGTATCTGGACACTGTGTGGCTTCACAGACCACCTGCATAATAAAGTGCCTTTCAGACTGTAGGAGGAATAAAAATAAAGAGAATTAGGAGAGCATAACCTGTACGTAGGAAGATTTCCAGACTCCCTCTACAAGGAAAACCTCTCACTCCCCCTCAGGGCCCCACACAGCCCTGCCTGGTACAATCAAGCCACTCTCCCTTGAGATGGTACAGCACTATAAAGGCTATAAAGAGTTTACCTTCGGTGTCTGCTATGTGACTTGCCCTCCAATGAGGTCCCTAATCTTTTAATCTCCAAAATGACCACTAACAAAGACTTCAGGGAGGAAACAGAAAAATGTAGGTCACAAGTTTTAAATAAAAATGGTTAAAAGATAAAAATTTACATGTAGGAAAATCAGTTTCCTTATATAAGAGAATTCAAAACATCTGCTTTATTTCAGAGACCAAATTTGTTTTCTGAGAGGTAGCAAATTCACATCAAATGTGGTGAGAAAAGGGAGAATGAACTTTATGTGCTACCCTCCTAAATCTTCCAAAATCTATTAAGGAAAAATCCAGTTTTCTAATCAATTAGAATTGCCATTTGCTCTGGGGTTTCAGACCTTTCCAAAGTCAAGAAATGGTAAAAACCCAGCTGAAGTGTCAACAAACATATATACAGAAATACTTTCAGACCATGACCCTGGCAATTTTACTTGTCGGTATTTACCCTAAAGAACTGAAAGCAGAGTCTCAAAGATACACATGCATGCCCATGTTCATAGCAGCATTACCCACAATAGCCAAAAGGTGGATGCAAACCAAATGGCCATGGATGGAAGACTAGATAAACAAAATGTGGCATATACATATAATGGAATATTAATCACCCTTAAAAAGCCAATTTTGACAAATGCTACCCCTTAGATGAATCTCGAGGACATCATACTAAGTAAAACAAACCAGTCGCAAAAAGACAAATATGATTCCACTTACGTAAGGTATTTCGTTAGAGTAGTAAAATACATAGAAACTGAAAGTAAAATGGTCGTTACCAGTGGCTGAGAAAGGGGGAAATGAGGAGTTGTTGTTCAGTATGTACAGTTTCAGTTTTGCAAGATGAAAAAGTTCTGGAGATTGTTTCCACAGCAATGTGAATCTACTTAACTAACTATACATTTAAAAATGATTTAAGATGGTAAATTTTATGTTATTCATTGCATTTTCAGCCAAAATGTTTACATATATATTATACATACACATACATATACATATATATATATTTTTTTTTTTTGGAGACAGAGTCTTGCACTGTTGCCCAGGCTGAAGTACAGTGGTGAAATCTTGAGCCTTGAACTCCCAGGCTCAAGTGATCCTCCCACCTCAGCTTCCCAAGTAGCTGGGATTACAGGCATGTGCCAAAGCACCTGGCTATATATCCTGTTTCTTAAAAACACCTTCCTAAGGTGGTATGAAACAGACCAATTGCTATAATTTTTATTTATTTCATTTTTCATTATTTTTTTTCCATTATAAGCCCTGTAAACACAAGAGCTCACAAAACTGGTTAACAACTCAGTTGTTCTTCTCCACAGAAATTTTTTTAGAGACAGGGTTTTGTTACGTTGCACAGGCTAGTCTCAAACTCCTGGCTTCAAGTGATCCTCTTGCCTTGGTGGCCCAAAGTGTTGGGATTACTGGATGTGAGCCCCAGCACCCGGCCTCCACAAAATCTTTAGTACAAGGCAAAAGATTCACACAATCTTAAAAGAAACCAAAGTAAACCAACATATATAGTACATACCATAATTTCTTTCTTTTATTTTTTTTATTTTTTATTTTTTTTGAGACAGTCTTGCTCTGTCGCCCAGGCTGGAATACAGTGCTGCAATCTCGGCTCACTGCAACCTCTGCCTCCCAGGTTCAAGTGATTCTCCTGCCTCAGCCTCCTGAGTAGCTGGGATTACAGGCGCACGCCACCACACCCGGCTAATTTTTTTGTATTTTTAGTAGAGATGGGGTTTCACCATGTTCGTCAGGCTGGTCTCAAACTCCTGACCTGATGATCCACCCGCCTCAGCCTCCCAAAGTGCTGGGATTACAGGCTTAAGCCACATCGCCCAGCCTATTCCTTTCTTTTTTTTAAGGGACGATATCTGACTTTGTTGCCCAGGCTGGCCTTGAATAACTGGACTCAAGCAATCCTCCCGCCTTAGCCTCTGAAGTAGCTGGAGTACCAGTATGCACCACCATGCCCTATAATTTAAAAAAACCCAACAACATTCCACACTTTGGACTGCAAAAGGAAAAACCTAAGCTTAGAAACACTTTATTTCCAAAAGCATGATGAGAAACGGCAAACACTCCATGGGGATATCTCACACAATACGAACTCGACTAAACTGGAAACAAATACTTTTAAGTAGGTGGTACTTTCTAAACCATAAACTTAAGAAAACAAAACAAAAAACTTTCATTCAACTCTTTCATCCCTTACTGTCTGAATCTATACCTTATTGTCAAAAAACTTACCTCTTTATCAAAGTTTGCTTTGGTGAACTCCAATGAGTTCAGGAGTGCATTCGTAGCAGCTAGCTTCACATTATTACTAGGCTCTTCTTTCCTCATCCCCTGGATTATGGCAGTCAGAATCTCATTGGATTTATCTTGTAGCTGCTCTGGGTCCTGTAACAAGCAGAGAAGTGCAATGAATATACAGTCAGCCCTCTGCAGCCATGGGTTCCACATCTGTGGATTCAAACAACTATGGATTGAAAATATTTAGAGGAAAAAAAATGGATGGTTGCATCTGTACTGCACCAAAAGGTGCATGTACACCTTTTTTTCTTGTCATCATTCCCTTAATACAGTATACCAACTATTAATATAGCATTTACATTGAATTAGGTATTGTAAGTATTCTAGAGATGATTTAAAGTATATGGGAGGATGTGCATAGGTTATATGCAAATACTACACCATTTTATGTAACAGACTTGAACATCTGAGGATTTTGGTACCTGAGGAGGGTGCTGGAATCAATCCCCTCCAAAAGACTGCCATAAGGAGCTTCACGACAGAAGCAGTCCTTCTTCTGTTCTTAAGAGACAGGGTCTGTATTGCCCAGACTAAAGTGCAGTGGCTATTCACAGGCACTACCACAATGCACTGAACCCTCAAATTCCTGGGTTCAAGTGATCCTCCCACCTCAGCTTCCCAAGCAGCTGGGACTACAGGTGTAAGCCACTGTGCCTGGCTTAATTGGCAGTCCTTTTAACTGTAAAGTTCACTCAAGAAAGTATCATGAATTGGTGATCTTTCCCCACCCGTTTCCATTTGGGAATAACACTGCAAACCACCTGCAAAATGTCTCATGGTACTGGCAATCCAGAACTGAACAAAACCAAGTCAAACTCATCAACTTCATCTTTGACTTCTTAGCATAATGACTCTGGGTATGAGGTAATATTCGCTTTCCTCCCCACTTCTGTGCAAATGGAGATGGCAGTCTGTTCGTATTTTCCAGGCCATCTGTACTCTAAAGTAAAGCTTCAGGGCATTTAAGGGCCAAGGCCAAGGATCGACACCTAGGCACATCTAGGGAGTCTAAGTCTGGGTCAAGTGCTGTGGGCTCCTTTGCTTCATAAAGTCTATATATTAAAATACACACCAAGAGTGGTAACCTCATCAGGAACAACAGTGCTGGGGGGGCTACATCTAAAATACTGTGTCTCCAGTGGCTAAACCAACTACATCAAATGTTGGCAAAACTTTCCGTAATGTTGTAAATGAAAATGCGCCACAACATTCATGGTACATTCGGGATCTTAAGAAAAAAGACTGGGTCAGGGATAATCCAAATGAGAATATCCTCATTTTGTAAGTCTAGAATCTAAGACTCTTCAAACATAGACTTCTGTTTTCAGTTTGCGATCCTCAAGTTTCTTTACTTTAGGGCATGATTAGCAATGTGAAGACACAGGCCTAAGGGAAATAAATCAGTCTCACTTTCAAAACTGTGCAATTTAGCTTGGCTTTCTTCGTGATTCAATAAGGTAGTACTAATATCATTGATGTCACAGCTAGAGGCAATCAGAGGTATATAAACCAGATACATTAGGCAAGCACTTACTATATCTTGGCAAATATAACCGATGGCTTCCAATGTCGACTCCTTCATGTGCTCTGTGCTGTTGGGGTTTGTGACATTGGCCACCAGCTGAGGAATGAGTTCTGGCCACTGGTTTACTGGGATCTCTGCACAAGCAATACCAGCCACACACTGTGAGGCAGAACTAGGCCGGTAAGTTTCTGTACCCAATGTCTGCAAAACCTGCACCAAAAAAAAAGACAAAAGATACAAATTTCTAACACTATTTGACCACATTTTGCCCACCACCATACTTATATTAGTGTCTCTGAATTCTTTTTTTTCTTTCTTTCTTAAGACAGGGTCTCACTATGTTGCCCGGACTGGAGTGCAGTGGCACGATCACAGCTCACTGTAGCCTCAATCTCTACGGTGCAATCTATCCTCCCGCCTCAGGCTCCTGAGTAACTGAACTACAGGGGTGGATATGCTGACATGCCCAGCTATCTTTTGTTGAGACAGGGCATCACCATATTGCCCAGGCTCAAAAAAAAAAAAAGGAAAATACAAGGCCTCAGTCAGTTGTCCAGGGTGGAGTGTAGTAGCAAAACGATAGTGCAATGGCACAACGATACTGCAGCCTTGACCTCCCAGGCCTCCCTGAGTAGCTTAGACTACAGGCACATGCCATCACACCCAGCTAACTTTTTTGGGTTTTTAGTAGAGATGGGGGTCTCCCTATGTTGCCCAGGCTGGTCTCAAATTCCTGGCCTCCCAAAGTGCTAGGATTACAGGTGTGAGCCACTGTGCCCAGGCAGCTGTCTCAGAATTCTTTTTTTTTTTGAGACAAAGTCTCGCTCGTGTCCCCCAGGCTGGAGCATGATGGCGCGATCTCGGCTCACTGCAACCTCCGCCTTCTGGGTTCAAGCGATTCTCCTGCCTTAGCTCCCCCCAGCAAGTAGCTGGGATTACAGGTGCCTGCCACCATGCCCGGCTAGTTTTTGTATTTTTAGTAGAGATGGGGTTTCACCATGTTGGCCAGGACAGTCTCAAACTCCTGACCTCAGGTGATCCACCCACCTCGGCCTACCAAAGTACTGGGATGACAGGCGTGAGCCACTGTGCCTGGCCTCAGAATTCTTATCTATAATACGGAGAAGTAGGAAAGGCTGTCAGAAAAAACCAGCCTCAGTAGCAACATCAGCATAATCAACACTGCCCTAGAACCTAGAAACAAAACCAGTCATCCCACCTCACTTCAACCTTCAACACGAGGTGGGAAACCAGAAGTTACAAGAGGAGGTAGCAGTAAATGGCAAAGGAGAGAGATGGGGACAAAACTCATCTTCCAGGCTCATTGTTGCTGTTATAAGGAAAGGATGTTCACACCCTCGTTTTGTAGACAGACATGGACACTAGAATGAAGCTAGTTCTGGGGCATTCAGGTGGGTCTTATTCACAGTAGATCACTGTCTAATCTGATCCAAGGAGATCTTACTCATGAGACGTGGGCTGAAACAAAACTTTTTCCTTCTAATCACTAACAACTCAGCATTCGGGGTGACTTACATAGAAAGGCCTTGGTCAAGTAACAACATCACTAAATACAAAAACAACGTTGCTGATGTTAATAACACCTATGAACTAATCTTTATATAACTTCCAATCTGAAAGGATTTGTTCTGTTTGCCCAAGAATCAAAGAACTGTTCTATCACTGACAGATACCAAAATCTAGCCAGATGTCAAAACAAGATCCACTTGTCATTAAACATGTCTCGCTTGACATGGTAACCACGCCACCATTTATGTAAAGAGTAAAGGCACAGGTATGATAAAAGATGAAGCCACAATTGACCTAGAGCTAATTATTACCGTGATCAGCTAATTCAGTCAATGAACTCACTAAGAATCAGTAGTCCACTCAAAGGCAAACAGTTAACTGTTCTGGCATGAACACGGGACAAAGAATAGCTGCCAGATATTCAGGCCAGCTCTGCTGACTGGGTCGGATCACTTAGTATCCTGCTTTGCAGCTAGCACCAATAATGAACTCCCCCTTTCCTTCTTATACGGTATATCATCATCCCTGGCCCCCACCCCCATCAGCTCTACCCAACTACAAACAGTTCTGATTGATGTTAAATGAAAGGCTTTGCTCTCGAGGACTAGCAGAGCTAGAATGGACAAAAACGGTATGTCAAAGACACGAGGGAATGAGGGGGAAAAACAAGGTGAATTGTCCAAAATATCAGGGGCTGAATGGGTATTATTAACCCAAGTCCAGGGTGCCTTCACACCACACTACATAGTCTCCTAGTACATATGTGGAGTGCACTGAATCCCATTCTACCTTTACCTTTTTCCTTTAGATTGCTTTCTGAAGACTCCATATTACTTGAGGTGATTTAGAAACTACGGATGTCCACCTCCTGAGTACTAAAAGTTTTCTGTTTAAACTAGAGGTAACCTTAATAGTAATATTCAATTATCAGAAAAGAGAAACTAGCTCCCAATTGTGCCCCAATATCCAGATTTCAAAAAAGATCACCAACAGTGAAACTTAGTATTAGTTATCGTTGTGCTATGAAAGGGAAAAAGGCCAAGGTACTGTTAGCTTTTTTCTCATGCCCGAGGGCTTAACCATGCCTATACAAATTATCTAATTTTTTTTTTTTTTTTTTTTTTAAGAAATGGAGTGTCACTCTGTCACCCAGGCTGGAGTGCAATGCGCAATCTTGGCTCACCACAATCTCCGCCTCCCAGGTTCAAGCAATTCTCCTGCCTAAGCCTCCAGAGTAGCTGAGACTACAGGTATCCACCGCCACAGCCAGCTAATTTTTGTATTTTTAGTAGAGACAGGGTTTCGCCATGTTGGCCAGGCTGGTCTCGAACTCCTGACCTCAGGTGATCCACCCACCTCGGCCTCTCAAAGTGCTGGGATGACAGGCATGAGCCACTGCGCCCAGCCATTATTGTCTAATTTTTTTTTAAAGGGTTGGTGTTAAGAGTGATGTGCCAAAAAATAAGCCAATTACAATTCCAATTACATCTTATCCCATTTACTAGTGTGTAAATTAAGGAAGATGAGAAACTGAATGGGCACTATCAGTATCGAGATTTCCAGTGATAGAATATACTTCCATTTATGTCACTTAGCTGAGGGAGAAGGAATTAAAATGTTGTTATTACACAAGCAGAACCAACATGAATAGAAACAGCTCTACATGCTCCAAAACGATTTGAAACCAAGTTGGATTTAATAACCCGGCTCCTTATCATGGGTATGCAAGATTGGTGACAGAAGGAGGTACACAACCAGATACAGAAGTTACTGCCTTACAGGGCACTACTTTACCTAATGCTGATATCTAGAACCAGGAAATAGCAAGTATGATGTGCATAACCATGTCCTGCACAAGTACATATGTAGGAATTCCCCACTAGTTTCCACTCAAATACCAAGGACAAAATGATGACTGCACAGATATTTAACTCACTCCTCTTTGTGCCTTACCCATGTAAGACAGATCACTAAAGAACTTAATTTAAAAACAACAACAGCCAGGCGAGGTGGCTCACTCCTGTAATCCCAGCACTTTGGGAAGCCAAGGCAGGCAGATCACCTGAGGTCAGGAGTTCAAGACCAGCCTGGCCAACATGGTGAAACCCCGTCTCTACTTCAAGTACAAAAATTAGCTGGGCATGGTGGTGGGTGCCTGTAATCCCAGCTACTTGGGAGGCGGAGGCTGCAGTGAGCCGAGATCATGCCATTGCACTCCAGCCTGGGCAACAGAGCAAGACTGTCTCCAAAAAAAAAAAAAAAAAAAAATTCCCTGAGCTGTACTCCAGAAGTACCGAATCGGAATTTCTGGAGAGCTTGGAAATACCTATTAACAAATTCCCTAATTTTTATACAAATGTAGCACCAATTTGTACACTACTCCCATTTGCCAAACAGATTTTACCAATTATGGCACGTAATTAAAGTTTCCCAAACTGCTGCAGCCTACCTCAGTCATCTAAAAAGAATTCCAATCCATCAATGGGAATGGACAAGCTGTGTTGAGAAAGATTTAAGACAAAGACAATTTTTATCTTTAGGTAAAGTTGAGGTCCCAGAAACCTATCACACTGTTAGCTCTATCCCATGCAAATAGCAAAAGATCTGAGAAAGCGATTTCTTGTTCTCTGGGCAATATAACCAAACAGATAAGCGTTACTCACATAGTTCTTGACTTCTCGTCGAGCATTAGCATCAATAGCAAGCCACCTCTGCTGATATTGTGCCTTGATATCTGGATCTTTAGATGTCAAAGAGTTCTTGATTTGTAGACCAGCTGCAACTCTGGCAACCTGACTGTTTCCTGGATTTGCCAGCACTCTGGACAGTTCCACAAGGAAAGTGGGCTGTTAAGGGAAGATAAATTTGTAAATAAAAATATCTTAGGAATTTCCACAACTGAGGATAATTTATAGAGCACTGAACCACCAGAGGGGCGGCGAGGGGGGGAACTAATGTCTAATTTTTTTTTGATATAAGCATTTCAGGAAACCACAAAATATTTACTTCACTGACTTCTATAAAAATGTTACTTAGTGTAACAGGAAGTCTTCCACTTTTCTCGTGGAGCCTAGCACTTAATGAGGAATTACAGATTTCCCTATCAAGATCATTCTTAGTGCCCAAATTGTCATGTTAGACCCCCGAATTGCAAGGTTTCAGAGTATGGTAGTAGTAGTCAGTCTTCTATGTATACTGAGGTGTCCCAAGAACTTTTAATAATGTCTGGTACTCAATGTTTGTTAAATGAATGGCTGTTATGATGGGGGGTAGAAAATAAAACTGTTTATCTAAATTTCAAAAACCTTGGTCCCAAAAGAATGATCCAACTTTCCATCTCATGGCAGCAGCAGGGTAGCTTTTCAATCCATGGAAGGAGGTGATCTTTTATGAGAGGGGGAAATACAGATAAGCCTAAAACAAACTTAGGAGCCTCATCCTCCGTTTTATTTGTGGGCACTCAGCAAAAAGGGAACAATGAAAAAAGCAGATTTATAAGGAAAAGTGATAAGATATTTAGAAATAGGGAAAAAGTGAAAGAAAAAATCTTCAGGCAAGCTGTTCAAGCAAAATAACTTTGTATCTAATGATCAACAATTACTTGCTCCTTTACATTTGGACTTTAGTTGAGGAATACAGTGGATCCCTGAAAAGCATGTTCTTTTGTAACCTTTTGTAATCCACAGGCCTCAAAAACTACTCCCTTTGTTTAAAAATTTAGCACACACACACCTCTCCACCAAAAACCGTGCCCAAACAGCAAAGTTAGCAGGAAAAGTCAAAAGCAGACACATTTTTCTTACTGCTAACAAGCTCTGCAATCACAGCAGAAGATAATTCTTAAAAGTTTTATTAATTATGTACCACTAAAGAATGTTAAGAATGTTAGGAATAAGATAAAAAGCTTTTTGCAAAATTTGCAAAAGCAGAAACAGGAATAATACCCTAAATGGAATTATCAGCCTATACTAGTGGAAAAATCTCTTCTAGGAAAGGATAAACAGGTTAGTTGTAAAAATTGGCACATATGAAAAACAACAAAAAAATCATTCAAAGGCAGTCTGTATAAAATAAGCCTTGTCACTTTGTTGATGTTGACATTTTGCCTATATAACACAAAGGAACACATATGGTTAGTGTTACTCAGACTTAATTCCTATTACCTTTCTCAAAGATGTCAAGCATCATCCAATCCTTCCCTCTGACCCCATCCCCCAACAGGAGATGGACACCAAAGAGAAACTTAACTGGCATCTAGGCTGTTTCAACCAATCCATCCCACATTTTTATACAAAGGACCAGTCTCTAGCGGACTTAGCTTCATTTTCTCCGGACCCCTTAAATTTTAAAATATGAAAAACGAGGAACTTTCCCCTGTGATTTCATCAGCAAACAGGCCCCATCTCAAAGATGAGCCTCAGTCTGTTTTCTGGGTGCAGATCCCTAGTGATTAGGTCTCTATTCATCCAGGTCAGAAGAAAAAAAAAAAAGAAAGAAAGAAAAAGAAAAAACCCCAAGAGAGGAATAACCGAGCAAAGAGGGAAAAATATCAGTGGAAATGGGTTAAGAGGCAGTCGGGTGCCAGGCCTGGCCATGAGTACAGACCAAGGTAGCTAGGAAAGGGCAGAGCTCTAGGAAATAGGTGGGGAGAGCCACAGGGGCCACGGGATAGGAAGGAGAAGCCGGCCGGGGTCAGACAGGGCGGGCGGCCGGGCCCGGAGCTTCCACATGGCCCCTAGGCCCGACTCCCCCGCCCCCACCCCTGCTGAACACGCAGCGCCGCGCAACCTAACTTCCCTTCCCTCCCTCTTTCTCCCTCCCGCTGCACCGCCGCCCTCAGGCCGCGCAACGATTGGGCGGCAGGCAGCTCGGCGCGCCAAGCCATTGGCCAGTCGCGAGGCCCGGGGCGGGACACACCCACCGGCTTCCCGATGGCGGGGTTAGGTTGGACCGGGTTGGGGGGGGAGGGGGAGGGGGGAGGGGGACGGGATGGGGCGGGGTAGGTTCCCGAGGCCTGGGCCTCCGGGAGGGCGGGAAGGCCCCGCACGCAGGGGATGGGGACGCGGCGGGATGGGCGCGGCGGGGTAGCACGCACCAGGTTCTCCACGGCCGCACGCTCCAGGAACTTCTGCGCCGCTTCCAGCTCCAGCCGATCTAGGGGGAGGAAAGTGGGAGACGGAGCGGGGTCAGAGGGGCCGGGCCTCCCCTCCCCCACCCCAATCACCTCAGCCCTACCCCCGGCTCCTGCGTCCTACCGGGAGACACGGTCTTCTCGAGAATGGTGATCAGCTCCATGGCGGAGGTGGCGGCGGCGGCGACTCCTCCTAAGACGACGGCCCGGCCTTTCGGGCGGCGGCTCGAACTGGGGATGGGGGTTGGGGGTCGGGTGGGAAGGGAGGGTGGGGTGGGGGGCGGGGGTCACCACAAACCCATTCACCGGCTCTGTCTGGGTAGTCGGTCCGGCTCCCCTTCCTCTCCTCTTCCCTTACTTCCTCCCTCCAAATGGGCTGCTGGCGGCGGGGGAGGGACCCTGGGGGCAGCTCAGAGCGCGCTGGTGCTCGGGAGGCGGAGGGAGAAAGAAGGAAGGGAGGCTGTGAGTGAGAGGCGGCGCGCAGGGAGGGAGCGAGGGAGGGAGGAAGGCGGAGGGATATTCGGACCGGACCTCTCCGCGGAGGCGCCGCGCTCCACGACGATTGGCCGTTGTCCTGGCCACGCGGAATCCCTAACTGGCCAGGCGCTCAGCGTCGAAGGGCCGTCTCGCGCCCATTCGCCTGCTGGTTTCAAGGCCCGGGTTGGCTGGGCGGGCAGCGGAATGGAGCGCGCGGATTGGCCGAGGGGAGGGAGATTGGGATGGGGTAGGAGAGAGCCCGCCGTTGATTGGGTGGGCTTGGTAAAGGCCTTGAGCTCAGACCGGCTGAGCGCTGGGAGGAGGGTGGACCGGAGGCACGACTCGGATCCTGCGCGATTGGCTGGGATAGTAGGCGTTGATAGGATAGGGTGCCCGGGAGAACTAAGGAGAGGAGTTCGGGGTCGGGGCGCGGGAAGGCGGGAGGTGCCCGGCAACCCTAGGAGCCCGGCGCGGGGCACGATGGGACGCCCCCGGGAAGAGGCGGAGCTGGGTTCGAGCGCTGGGGCTGCGGTTGGGTAAGCGCCGTCGCTCCGAGGGGCGTGTTGCGCGAGGTTTTCGCGGGCCTGAGCGGGGGAGGGGGGACTGTTGAAGTCCTGCGCCGCGCCCACAGGAAGCTGCTTTAATGGCTAGGTCGGCTTGGTACCCTGCTTTCGGCTGGGAGGGATCCGTAAGGCCATGTGGCTCCACTGCCAATGTGTAGATGTGGAAACTGAAGCCCAGAGAGGGTATGGAACTTGTCCAAGGTCACACAGCTGGTTAATGGCTTGGTAAGGAATGGGTTCAGGAGCCCAGAGAGGGTCTGGAACTTGTCCAAGGTCACACAGCTGGTTAGTGGCTTGATAAGCTCAAGCTCTCCTGACGGCCCTTGTCCCTACAAGCAGCTTCCTCTCCAAGGAGTCCCCTAAGCCTGCTTATATGGGGCTTGAGACCTGTGCTGTGATAAATCTGACTTGCTTAGGGGTGAGCTAAGGGATTCCTCCTCTTAGACCCCCCATCCATAGCTACCAGGTACTTGACAGGATGGAAATGTTTCACCCTCCAAAAGTACCCTGTAAAGGCCCAACCTCGAACCAGAAAGAATGTGTGTACAGGAATAAAGGATTGTGGTTCTTAACCTGTTTCAGTTCTCAACCCCGGAAGAAACTCATGAATGCCTTTTCTTAGCAAAATGCATATAAAGAAAACGTGGGCCGGGCGCTGTGGCTCGCGCCTGTAATCCCAGCACTTTGGGAGGCCGAGGGGGGCGGATGACGAGTCAAGAGATCGAGACCATCCTGGCCAACATGGTGAAACCCCGTCTCTACTAAAATATAAAAAATTAGCCCGGTGTGGTGGCGCGTACCTGAAGTCCAAGCTATTCCTGAGGCTGAGGCAGGAGAATCGCTTGAACCCTGGACGCAGAGGTTGCAGTGAGCCGATATCGCGCCACTGCAGTCCAGCCTGGCGACAGAGCGAGACTCCATCTCAAAGAAAAGAAAAAAAATGTGCATACAGTATGTGGCTCAGGCCTGCAATCCCAGGACTTTGGGAGGATCGCTTGAGCCCAGGGGTTCAAGACTAACCTGGACAACTTAGCGAGATCCTGTCTCTTTTAAAAAAAATGAAGATTTTTAAAATGATAAAGGAAAAGTGTAATAATAGGGCCGGGCGCGGTGGCTCATGCCTGTAATCCCAGCACTTTGGGAGGCCGAGGCGGGCGGATCACTTGAGGTCAGGAGTTCAAGACCAGTCTGGCCAACATGGTGAAACCCTGTCTCTACTAAAAATACAAAAAAAAAAAAAAAACCTAGCCGAGCGTGGTGGCGCACGCCTATAATCTCAGCTCCTCAGGAGGCTGAGACAGAATCTCTTGAACCCGGGAGGCAGAGGTTGCAGTGAGCCAAGACTTCACCACTGCACTTCAGCCTGGGCGACAGTTAAGACTCTCAAAAAAAGAAAAAATAAATGGTAACAAAGAATTTCTTGAATTGTTTCATTTTCACAGTAATGATGTAGGGGTAATTGGATGTAGCTGGTTCATAGAGCTTTTTACCATATGACTTGAGCTTGTGAGGTAATTGCCCTGCAGTAGCCACACTGGGAAAACCTAGGAGGAAGTCTGACTTTGTTGAAAGGTTTCACAAAGAATTAGGAAAGATTGGCCAACTCTTTGTTAAAAGAGGAAGAAATGGTCTTTCTCTGCTAGAGATATCTTTGCAGTTTTGAAGCTAGAAATGTAGGGACACCATTCCTCACACCATACTGTGACTAGTGGATTTCCCATGGCTTAGCAGCTAACCCCAGCCTTTTGCTTCATCTATTAACTGTGGAAGAACTGCCCTGTGTGTGTAACTTTGTTATAAATCAGTGAAGATTGGGCCAGGGCGTGGTGGGTCACGCCTTTAATCCCAGCACTTTGGGAGGCTGAGGTGGGCAGATCAACTGAGGTCCGGAGTTAGAGACCAGCTTGGCCAACACAGTGAAACCCTGTCTCTACTGAAATACAAAATTAGCCGGGCGTGGTGGTGGGCACCTGCAATCAATCCCAGCTACTCAGTAGGCTGAGGCAGGAGAATTGCCTGAACCCGTGAGGCAGAGGTGGTAGTGAGCTAAGATTGCACCACCGCACTCCAGCCTGGGTGACAGAGCAAGACTCCATCTCAAAAAAAACCCACTGTACTCCAGCCTGGATGACAGCAAGACTCCATCTCAAAACAAAACAAAACAAAACAACACTGCATTCAGCCTGGGTGCCAGAGCAAGACTCCATTTCAAAAAAAAAGAAATCAATGAAGATTGGCCATGCGTGGTGGCTCACGCCTGTCATTGCAGTACTTTGGGAGGCTGAGGCTGGAGGATCTCTTGAGCCCAGGAGTTTGAGGCCAGCCTGACCAACATGGTGAAACCCTGTCTGTACTAAAAATACAAAAATTAGCCGGGTGTGGTGGTGGGAGCCTGTAATCCTAGCTACTTGGGAGGCTGAGGCAGGAGAATCACTTGAACCCAGAAGTCAGAGGTTGCAGTGAGCCGAGATTGCGCCACTGCACTCCAGCCTGGGCGACAGTGAGACTGTGTCCCCCCACCGCCGCTAAAAAGTCAATGAAGATTAAGTGAGATGACATCTGTGAAAATCCTGGAATTGTCCTTACCTGAGTTACCTACACTACAAATTATCCATAATTTGTTTCACTCAAGCTAACTTTCCCCTGCTCTCCAGCAGTTTGCTGGGCTACCTCTGTCTCAACATCAGTCATGATGATACCAGTGAGGGCAAATGGATTTTTAAAGCAACTGAAATAAGAGCAAAACCCTGTCTCTATACAATTTTCTTTCTTTCTTTCTTTCTTTTTTTGATACAGAGTCTCGCTTTCACCCGGGCTGGAGGGCGGTGGTGCCATCTCAGCTCACTGCAACCTCCGCCTCCCGGGTTCAAGCAATTCTCCTTTGCTCTTAGGATATAGACAAAACCACTTGCATGGCAGGCAAGGTCTTGTATGATCTTGCCTCCGCTCAGCACTAGCTCGACTCAATCCCTTGTTCTCAATCCCTTGTTTTCCCAAGTAGCTGGGATTACAGGTACCCACCACCACGCCCAGCTAATTTTTTTTATATTTCAGATGGGGTTTCACCATGTTGGCCAGGCTGGTTTCAAACTCCTGACCACAAGTTATCCGCCCACCTCGGCCTCCCAAAGTGCTGGGATTACAGGCGTGAGCCACCACGCCCAACCCATACAATTTTGAAAAAGCCGGGCATGGTGGCATGTACTTCAGGAGGGTGAGGCAGGAGGATTACTTGAGGCCAGGAGTTTAAGGCTGCAGTGACCTATGATCCTGCACTCCAGCCTGGGTGACAGCTAGACCCTGTGGCTGAAGTAAAATGCTGGGAAAATAAAAGTTTTACAGCAAAGTTCCAATCAAACATAAAATCCTTACCAAAATCAAAATGAACTGACTTTAGTTGAACTAAAGTTACTGATGGTGCTGTTTAGTTCTTATCAAAAGTACTCACATTCAATAAATGCTGGTGAGGTACCGGAGCTTGAGTGATGAGCACAGACTCCAGAAATTGGGTGCCTGAGTTCCTATCCCAGCTCTACCACTTCTTAGTTTGTGAGTTAACTTTCCTCAATGTAAAATGAGACTATTAATTGTCCTTACTATGTAGGGACAAATAGGGAGGTCCTAAGTGAGTTAAGACATGGTGAATGGGCTGAGTGCAGTGGCTCATGCCTATAATCACAGCACTTTGGGAGGCCAAGGCTGGAGGATCACTTGAGCCCAGGAGTTTGAGGCCAGCCTGGCCAACATGGTGAAACCCTGTCTGTACTTAATACAAAAATTAGCCAGGCGTAGTGGCAGGAGCCTTTAATCCCAGCTACTCGGGAGGCTGAGGCAGGAGAATCACTTGAACCCAGGAGGTGGAGGTTGCAGTGAGCCGAGATCACGCCGTTGCACTCCAGCCTGGGTAACGCAGCGAGACCCTGTCTCAAAAAAGAAAAGAAAAATATGGCAGCTTTAATTTTAATTTAAAAAAATAAATAAAAGACATGGTGAATGCCAGTCTAGCATGTTATGTATGCATTGGCTGTTATCTCCTTACCATGTATTTTGTGCTAAGTGAGTGGTCCTTGGTCTATTAGGGAAGATAGACTTTAATCATTTAATCTCTCAAACATGTAAAGTTGTAAAAGTGACACATGTCAAGGAAGGTTCCAGTCAGGGAGTTCAGGGAAAGCTTAGCTGAGGAAGGGAAGAGAGTTACTCAGGTGAAGAAGAGAGGAATAGTGTGTATGGAGACTCTCGTGGGAAGGAGCTTGGGGATTACAAGTTACTGCAAGAATGCCAGTGTCCCCAAAACAGAGAACAAGGGATTGAGTTGAGCTAGTTTTGAGTGGAGGCAAGACCATATAAGATCTTCCCTGCCATGCAAGTGGTTTTGTCTATATCCTAAGAGCAAAGGAGAGCTATTGAAAGGTTTTAAGAAGGATGGTCATTACAATGTCGAGATTGGGTGGGAAGGGGAAAGAGCAGATGCAGGGAGACCAGTTAGGAGGCCGTTGCAGTAATCACATAGGACATGATACTTGTGAAAAGGAGAAGGGTGGAAGTAATGGTAGAAACACAAAGAGATATCGAAATTAATTGAGCTTGGTGATTTTTTTTTTTTTTTTTTTTTTTGAGACAGGATCTCGCTTTGTCTCCCAGGCTAGAATGCAGTGGCATGAAGAACTTTGCGATTGATTGAAAGAAGAGGGAAGTGTCCACTGGTCCCTACTAGATTTCTGGCTTGCACTGCAGAATGGGTGGTGGTGCCACTTTGCAGTGTTTCCCAAGTGGGAGGAGTTGGTGGCCACATGGTTTAGTAGGATGGGGAGGATTACACCGAGACTTCAAGTTGCATTTCCTTGAACTATGTATGGATTACATCAGGCTTTTTTTTAGACAGGGTCTTACACTGACCCAAGCCGGAGTACAGTGGCGCAATCTTGGCTCACTGCAGCCTCCACCACCGCTATTCAAGCTGGGACTACAGGCACATGCCACCACACCCAGCTAATTTTTGTAGAGACATGGTCTCACCATGTTGTCCAGGCTGTCTTGAACTCCTGAGCTCAAGCAGTCCACCTGACTCAGCCTCCTAAGTGCTGAGATTACAGGCGTGAGTTACTGCGCCCAGATGCTTTCTTCTTTCTCAGATTATCAAAGAAATATATGTTCCTCACTGTAGGAATTTTGAAAAGGAATTCCGCAGAAACCACCTGCAACCTCAAATTATATCCACCATTAAAATATTGGCATATTTTCCCCAAAATGGTTCTATTTTAAATGGAAACCAAAATATTCCTATGTATCATTTCTTGTTGACTCCAAAAAATGTACTTTTAATGATTTTATTTATTTATTTATTTATTGAGACTGGATCTTGCTCTGTTGCCCAGGCTGAAATGCAATGGCATGATCTTGGCTCACTGCAGCCTCAACCTCCCGGGCTCAAACAGTCCTCCTCCCTTAGCCTCCCAAAAAGCTGGGACTACAGGTGTGAGCCACTGCACCTGGCTAATTTTGTTCATTTTTTTGTAGAGACAGGGTCTCCCTATGTTGCCCAGACAGGTCTTAAACTCCTGGACTCAAGTGATCCTCCTGCCTCTGCCTCCCAAGATGCTGGGATTATAGACATGAGCCACCTTGCTCCGCCCTTTTAAGAATTTTAAATTGACTCAACTCTTTATCAAGTTGCATTGAAAAGATAATATGAATTAAACATATGTGAACTGGCCCCAGTACATTTTCACACTGGTAGTGCAATGCAGAAGTGAAGCCTTTTAACTTTGACTTAACCTTTAAAAAAGGTACCTACTGATAGAATAAGCTAAAAGTTGCAAATCGTTGAAGTATGTCCACTGGGTCCCAAAACTGGAAGTTCACTGAGGCCTGTCTTCCTGGCCAGGTGTCACAGGGAATCCTGTACTCTGGCCCAGGGCTATTCTATCTTTTCTGTTTTTTTTTTTATATGTATAATTGCATAATGCTCTATTTTGATTGTCTGCCTTGTACAATTTGTATGTATGCATGTATCTTTTGTCCTGAGTTAGACTATGACTCAGGGTTTCTCAACCTTGATTATTTTGGACAACATAATTCTTTTTTTTGTGGGTGTTGGGGGGCGGTGGTGGCAGAGAGCAGAGTCTCACTCTTGTTCAGACTGGAGTGCCATGGCGTGATCTTGGCTCACTGTGACCTCTGCCTCCCAGTAGCTGGGTAACCTCCTGAGTAGCTGGGATTACAGGCATGCACCACCACACATGGCTAATTTTTGTATTTTTTGTAGAGACGGGGTTTTGCTGTGTTGCCCAGGCTTGTATCGAACTCCTGGCCTCAAGTGATCCACCCGCTTCGGTTTCCCAAAGTGCTGGGATTATAGGCATGAGCCACTGTGCCTGCCCTCACATAATTACCTTTGGGGAAGCTGTCCTGTTCATTTCAGAATGTTTAGCAGCATTTCTGGCCCCTGCCTACTAAGTTCCACTGGCTCGTCTCCCACCAAGTCATGGTGGGACAATCAAAAATGTCTCCAGATGTTACAGAATAACTCCTAGGAAGGGAGTGAATCCCTGCTAAATCCTCCCCACAATTGAGAACCACATTTATAGCTCCTCAAGGTTAGAAGCCATGTCATATAAATTCCTGTGTTTCCTGCCTAGCACATAGTAAGCATTTTTATTGTCCAAACAATATCATTGCTTCATGAAAATAATAGCTTTTTTTTTTTTTTTTGAGACCGACTTTCGCTCTTGTTTCCCGGGCTGGAGTGCAATGGCACGATCTTGGCTCACCGCAACCTCCGCCTCCTGCGTTCAAGCGGTTCTTCTGCCTCAGCCTCCCGAGTAGCTGAGATTACAGGCATGTGCCACCATGCCCAGCTAATTTTTTTGTGTTTTTAGTAGAGACGCGGTTTCTCCATGTTGGTCAGGCTGGTCTCGAACTCCTGACCTCAGGTGATCCACCTGCCTCGGCCTCCCAAAGTGCTGGGATTACAGGCGTGAGCCACTGCACACGGCCCTTTTTTTTTTTTTTTTTTTTTTTTTGAGACAGCATCTTGCTCTGTCACCCAGGCTGGAGTGCAGTGATGTGATCCCACTGTAGCCTTGAACTTCCCGCTTAAGTGATCCTCCCACCTCAGCCTCCTCAGTAGCTGGGACTACAGGTGTGTGCCACCACACCTGGCTAATTTTTGGGGTGTGTTGGGGGGTATTTTTTGTAGAAATGGGGTTTTGTCATGTTGCCCGGGCTGGTCTCAAACTCCTGGGCTTAAGTGAACCTCCCACCTCCCAAAGTGCTAGTATTATAGGTATGAGCCACTGCACCCAGCCTGATGTTTTTAAAACACTTACTCTTTGTATTGTTCAAGGCTCTTTACATATAGTAACTCATTTAATCCTCCCAGCAACCCTCCAAAATAGGTACTCCTATTGTGCCTTTTTTACAGTCAAGAAACTAAGGCTTGGCCAGGTGCGGTGGCTCATGCCTGTAATCCCAGCACTTTGGGAGGCCGAGGCGGCGAGGCGGGTGGATCATGAGGTCAGGAGTTCAAGACCAGCCTGGCCAAGACGATGAAACCCCGTCTCTACGAGAAAATACAAAAAAATTAGCCGGGCATGGTGGTGGACACCTGTAATCCCAGCTACTCGGGAGGCTGAGGCAGGAGAATTGCTTGAACCAAGGAGGTGGAGGTTGCAGTGAGCCAAGATCGCGCCACTGCACTCCAGCCTGGGCGACAGAACGAGACTCCCTCTCAAAAAAAAGACAAAAAACGAAAAAGGAAACTAAGGCTCAAAGAGTTTAGGTTAGTTGCTTAAGGTCACCCAGCTGAGAGAAGTGACACCTGGGATCTGAATACTACTAGCCCAGGTAGTCTGGCTACAGATTCTGGGCTGTCAACCATTTTGCTGTATACTGCTTCTAAATACAAAGAAAAGAATTAACTCATGACAGTGCTTTCAAAAAGCCTCATGTTATCCATCTGCCCACAAAATTTGCATAGACAAACATATGGTAAAAATAAAATTTCCTGGCCAGGCACAGTGGCTCACGCCTGTAATCCTAGCACTTTGGGAGGCTGAGGCGGGTGGATCACCTGAGGTCGGGAATTCAAGACCATCCTGACCAACATGGAAAAACCCCGACTCTATTAAAAATACAAAATTAGCTGGGCATGGTGTTGCATGCCTGTAATCCCAGCTACTTGGGAGGCTGAGGCAGAAAAATCGCTTGAACCTGGGAGGTGGAGGTTGTGGTGACCCAAGATTGCGCCATTGCTTCCAGCCTGGGCAACAAGAGTGAAACTCCATCTCAAAAAAAATAAAAAATAAAAATAAATAAATAAAATTTCCTATTCTGCCACAAAACATGATACAGTATAGCAAAGCATGTTGCTGTGTTGCTGAAATTTTCTAAGTTTGAATGGCTGCATCCTAGTCTATCAAGAGGATAAACAATAAACTAATGTAACCAGTCCCTTGTTATTGGGCATATGGGTTGTTGCTGATATTTATTTGAAACATAACTGTTTTTGAAATATAATTTACATGCAGAAAGTGCACCAATTTTAAGAGTACAGTTTGGTAAGTTTTGACAGATGTATAAACCTGTGCTACCACTACCACAGTCAAGATACTGACCATCGGATCACCTTTGTTCCTTTCTGTGGTAATGTGCTGGAGCTAGCTAGTACCAGCTCAGGAGAGCCAAATATGTACATCTCTTCCCAAATCTACATTAGTAACATCGTATTAGTAGCTCAAAGTTGGTCATGGTGGGAGTATTTACACCACAGAAAACAGTAAGTACCACAAATCCAGGCTTTTTCTTTCTTTCTTTTTTTGGGAACCAATTTACCAGCACCATGACTTACACTCCTTTGCAATCAACCTCCTACATCCTACAGCCACAGTCTACTTGTGGACATTATTTTATTTTGTGTTCTCTAGAATTTTATGTAAGTAAAATCGTGCCATATGTACTCTTTGGTGCTTCTTTTGCTCCGTGTGTTTTTGAAATGAAGCACATTGTTATGCATAGCAGTAGTTCATCCCTTTTCATCGTTTTCCATTGCATGGATGTACCACACATTTATTCATTCATCTGGTGATGGACATTTGGGTTGCTTCCATTTGGGATTACTATAAATAAACTTGTCATAAATATTTATGTGCCAGTCATTGGATGGACAAGTTTGAATTTTCTTGGAAAAATAGCTAGGAGTAGAGTTGCTGGGTCATATGTTAAGCTTATATTTTTATATAAGGAGCTGCTAACCTGTTTTCCAAAGTGGTTTGAGACAGGATTTTGCTGTGTTGCCCAGCCTGGAGTGCAGTGACCTACAGCCTCAACCTGCCCAGCCAATCTTCTCACCTCAACACCCCAAGTAACTGGGACCACTGGTGCATGCCACCACTCCTGGCTAATTTTATTTTTTGTAGAGACAGGGTCTCACTGTGTTGCTCAGGCTGATCTTGAACTCCTGGGCTCAAGTGATCCTCTCACCTTGGCCTCCCAAGGTGCTGGGAATACAGGTGTGAGCCAATGCA
Source organism: Homo sapiens (assembly GCF_000001405.40). NCBI lineage: Eukaryota > Metazoa > Chordata > Mammalia > Primates > Hominidae > Homo > Homo sapiens. The sequence continues at coordinate 47,639,841 of NC_000017.11, read as the reverse complement.
CCCAGTCAGTCTTGTCTTTTTAGTTTTAGACATTCTAGTGGGTGGATGTATAGTGTTATCTCATTGTGTGTATTTTTAAATTGCCTTTATTGTGGTATAATATATTTTTTAAAATGCAGGTTTTAGGTTTCTATGCTAATCTGATCACCATCACAATCAAGATAGTGAACATTTCTATCACCACCAAAAGTTCTTGTGTCACTTCCAAACGACTCTCCTCCTCCACCTCCATCTCCAGGCAACCACCAATCTGTCCTCTGTCATCATAGATTGGATTTGTCTCTTTTTTTTTTTTTTTTGAGGCAGGGTCTCACTCTGTCACCCAGGCTGGAGTGCAGTGATGCAGTCTCGACTCACTGCAACCTCCATTTCCTGGGTCAAGCAGTCCTCCCACCTCAGCCTCCTGAGTAGCTGAAACTATAGGAATGTGCCACCATACCCGGCTAATTTTTGTGTTTTTTGTAGAGACAGGGTTTTGCTATATTGCCCAGGCTGGTTTCAAACCCTGGACTGAAGTGATCCTTCTGTCTCAGCCTCCCCAAAGTGCCGGAATTACAGACATGAGCCACCACGCCTGGCCAGATTTGTCTTTTTTTAGACTTTTGTATAAATAGAATCATAAAACATGTACTATTTTTGTGTCTGTTGTCGTTTGCTTAGTGTGAGATTCATCCAGTTGTTCCATGTATCAATAGTTTGTTCCTTTTTCTTGCTGAGTAATATTCTGATGTAGGAATTTGCCAGAATTGGCTTAGTCATTCTCCTGTTTATGGACATTTGGATTATGTCTGGGGCTACTATGAATTAATGCTGTTTTGAACGTTTTTGTGTAAGTCTTTGTGTGGACATCTGTTTGTTTGTTTGTTTTGAGACAAAGTCTCACTCTGTCATCCAGGCTGGAGTGCAATAGGGTGATCTCGGCTCACTGCAACCTCAGCCTCCCGAGTAGTTGGGATTACAGGCATGTGCCACCATGCCTAGCTAATTTTTTTTGTATTTTTTTGCAGAGACGGGGTTTCACCATGTTAGCCCAGCTGGTCTTGAACTCCTGACCTCAAGTGATCCACCTGCCTCAGCCTCCCAGAGTGCTGGGATTACAGGCATGAGCCACCGTGCCCAGCTTGGACATGTGCTTTTATCTTATTTCCACCTAGGAGTGGAAATGCTAGGTCATATGGTGCGCATATATTTATAAGAAACTGCCTAACTCTTTTCCAAAGTTGCTGTATTACTGTACATTTCTACCACAGATGTTTGAGAGTTTTAGTTGCTCCACATTTTCATAAACACTTGATATTGTCAGTCTTTTTAATTTTAGCCATTCTAGTCATAGTATTTCATTATGGTTTAAATTTGCATTTCTATGATGACCTAATGATGTTGAACATTTTTTTTTTTTTTTTTAGATGGAGTCTCACTCTGTCACCCAGGCTGGAGTACGGTGGCATGATCTCGGCTCACTGCAAGCTCCGCCTCCCGGGTTCACGCCATTCTCCTGCCTCAGCCTCCCTAGTAGCTGGGACTACAGGTGCCCACCACCACGCCCGGCTAATTTTTTGTATTTTTAGTAGATGCAGGGTTTCACTGTGTTAGCCAGGATGGTCTTGATCTCCTGACCTCATGATCTGCCCGCCTCGGCCTCCCAAAGTGCTGGGATTACAGGCTTGAGCCACCGCGCCCGGCCAATGATGTCGAACATTTTTTACCAGTCTACTGACCATCATATATCTTATTTTGTGAAATACCTGTTTAAATATTTTGCCCATTAAAAAAAAAATTGATCTAGGCCGGGTGCAGTGGCTCACACCTATAATCCCAGCATTTTGGAAGTCCAAGTGGGGTGGATCATCTGAGGTAAGGAGTTCAAGACCAGCCTGGACAACATGGCGAAACCCCATATCTATTGAAAATACAAAAATTAGCTGGGGGTGGTGGTGTGTGCCTGTAATCCCAACTATGATGCCTAGAACAGGACAAAACAAAATCTAAACTTTAAACAGAGGATACATATTCTCAGAGATATAACAATGTTGTATCAATGAAATAAGAACAGGTTTTTTTTTAAAAAAGAACATTGGAGAATAAAACATCTAAAAAATATGATAACCATTAACTTTAATCAATGAGTTGGAAGATAAAATTGAGAAAATAGCTTTTTAAAAAACCCTAAAAGCCAGAAAAATTTTTTAAAAACTAAAGGTGGCCCAGTAAGACTAATACTCAATTAAGAAGCATTACAGAGGGCCGGGTATGGTGGCTCACACCTGTAATCCCAGCACTTTGAGAGGCCGAGGTGGGCAGATCACAAGGTCAGGAGTTCGATACCAGCCTGACCAACATGGTGAAGCCCCATCTCTACTAAAAATACAAGAATTAGCCGGGCATGGTGGCGCATGCCTGTAATCCCAGCTACTCGGGAAGCTGAGGAAGGAGGATTGCTTGAACCCCCGAGGCGGAGGTCACAGTGAGCCGAGATTGCGTCAGTACACTCCAGCCTGGGTGACAGAGTGAGGCTCTGTCTCAAAAAAAAAAAGAAGCGTTATAATGATATGGAACATAGAGAAATGGAGAGAAAGCAATCATCAAAGGAAAAATTCAAGAAGTCATCTCAGATCTGAATGGCCTAGATTTCCAAAATGAAAGGCCCACTGAGTATACAATGTAATGGATGAAAATGTTCATTCAGACATATTATCATGCAGTTTCTGATCAATGTGTTAATAGAGGATCCTAAAACATAGAAAAAGCAGGTCACATTCAAAGGAACAGCGATGAGAATGGCATCATGTTTCTTATTAGCCATGCTGAAGGATAATGTAGGAATGTTTTCCAATGATTTATGATATATAATTTTATAAATTATTTAAATTGTGAATTCAGTAGAGTAAGCATATTTTCAGGGCCAAGTATAGTGGCTCATGCCTGTAATCCCAAGCCTTTGGCAAGCTGAGGCTAATGGATCACTTGAGCCTCAGGAGTTCAAGAGCAGCTTGGGCAACATGGTGAAACCCTATCTCTACAAAAAGAAAAAAAAAGGTTTGTGCTTGGAGTCCCAGCTGCTTGGAAGCTGCACATGGAGGATCACCTGAGCCCAGGGAGATAGAGGCTGCAGTGAGCCATGATCATGCCACTGCACTCCAGCATGGGCAACAGAGTGAGACCCTGTCTCAAAAAAATAAAAAATAAAGCATATTTTCAGATACGTGAAATCTTATTTCCTATCCATGTACCCTTTCTCAGGAAACTACTGGAGGATGTGGTGCACCAGAATAAGAGAATAAACCAAGAAACAGGAAGACGTGATCCAGGCAACAGGATATTCCAGTATAGGTGAGAAATAAGAAAGTCTCCAAGATGATAATGAAGGGAAATCCTAGGGTGATAGCTGGCCTGGCAGCAGGCCTAGGGAGCAATCAGTAAGGCTGGAGCCAGAGGACAAAAGCCTCCAGGAGGGAGGTACCCAAGAAATAAGATGAAATGAATACAGGAAAAATCTACACTTTTAGTGAATGATGGAGAATAAATTCATGATTGGAACATAGAAAACTAAGCAAATAAATCCCAATTTTGTTTTTAGGTATAATTGACTCCATGAAATTTTTTTTAACTAACAAAGAAACAAAACATAATCATAGTAGGCTAAATTGCCCAGCGGTGAATAATATATCCAGAGGCATAAACAAAGTGTGTCGATTTCCACCAAGCCCAGCATAACATGGGCTTTCCTCTTTATGGTCCAAGATGGCTACTTTCCAGCCGTCCTGCCTGCACTCCAGCCAGCATGAGTCCTCTTTGTTCCAGCTATCCTGGGTTTCTTTTGGTTAACTAGGAATTGAATTAATGAAATTCAATTAGTAAATTAAAGCATTAAGTTAATAAATGTTTGAATTAAAATATTAGTCTGGGCATGATGACTCATACCTCTAGTCCCAGATACTTCAGAGGCTGAGGTGGGAGGATCAGTTAAGCCCAAGAGGTAGAGGCTGCAGTGAGTATTGTGCCACTGCACTCCAGCCTACATGACAGTGGGAGACCCTGTCTCCAAAAAAAAAAAAAAGCCAGGCGCAGTGGCTCACGCCTGTAATCCCAGCATTTTGGGAGGCTGAGGTGGGCAGATCCTTTGAGGCCAGGAGTTTGAGACCAGCCTGGCCAAGATGGTGAAACCCTGTCTCTACTAAAAATACAAAAATTAGCTGGGCATGGTGGTACACGCCCGTAGTCCCAGCTACTCAGGAGGCTGAGGCAAGAGAATCTCTTGAACCTGGGAGGCAGAGGCTGCAGTGAGCTGAGATCTCACCACCACATTCCAGCCTGGGTGACAGAGCTAGGCTCCATCTCAAAAAAAAAAAAGAGAGACCCTGTCTCGGGCGGAGTTCCAGAACAGCCAGGCCAACATGGTGAAACCCCGTCTCTACTAAAAATACAAAAATGAGCCAGATGTGGTGGTGGGCGCCTGTAATCCCAGCTATTTGGGAGGCTGAGACAGGAGAATCGCTTGAACCCGGGAGGCGGAGGTTGCAGTGAGCCGAGGTTGTGCCGTTGCACTCCAGCCTGGGTGACAAGAGCAAAACTCTGTCTCAAAAAAATAAAGTAAATGCATCACTGAGTATTCAGAACAGCTGGGTTTTGACAGAGTTTCCAGTGATGACTTGTGTGACCTTGGGTAAAGCACTCTCTGGAACTCAGGTCCTTTTCTGAAAAATGGGAGGGTGGAAGAGATGATAATAAAAACATCAACCACAGTGCAGATCACAAGGATGTGGCAGTGCTGTGTAAGTGACTGAATGCTATGTAACCAGCTCAGCCGCCTGAGTAGCTGGTACCACAGACACACATCACCATGCCCGCCTAATTTTTTTTGAAACAGTCTCTCACTATGTCACCCAGGCTGGAGTGCAGTGGCATGATCTCGGCTCACTGCAACCTCCACCTCCTGGGTTCAAGCAGTTCTCCTGCCTCAGCCTCCCAAGTAGCTGGGACTACAGGTGCGCGCTACCACTCCTGGCTAATTTTTTGTATTTTTAGTGGAGACAGAGTTTCACCATGTTGGCCAGGCTGGCCTTAAACTCCTGACCTCAGATGATCCACCCACCTCCACCTCCCCATTGCTGGGATTACAGGCTGAGCCACCGCGCCCAGCCAACCCTGTGGGTAATTTTTAAATTATCTGTAGAGACAAGGTTGTGCTATGTTGCCCAGATTGGTCTCGAACTCCTGGGCTCAAGCAAGGAATCATCCCGCCTTGACCTCCCAAAATGCTGGGATTACAGGCATGAGCTGCTGTGCTGGATGGTGATTTTTCAAGAAAAGCTGGTAATCTGGATTTTTATTTAAAATACCTCGATTTTTTAAAGCTGGAATGGAAATTTTCAAGCAGATTGAGGGTTTTTGGTCTTCCCACCCACTGGCCACATGAGAAAATAAAATAAATAAGTAAATAAAATTTCAAAAAGACTTTGAAAGCATTGTGTAGGTCAAGAAAAAAAATGCAAGTTTGCAACCTCTGGGGTATAGTACTATAGAACATTTAGAGTAGTCAGTGACCTCTCTGGGGAAGAACTGTGTTTAGTTTGTTCTACTCACAGTTAGCAAGAGGGTTGTGGTAATGGTAAATCACATGCCTATCTGGGCAGAAGCTCTGCCCTCCTATACTTGGGTAATGTTTCATATTTTGCAGGCAGAGAGGAAATGGCCCAAAATGAGCCCTTATGTTTCTCCATGGTGACATGTCAGGGCTGGTCTGGAGAGGTAAACTCCAGGTTTCTCATCCATTCTGTGAAATTTGACTACTTGTTGTGCCTACTACTCGGAACCATTGCAAGAATAAAGTATCACATATTTGGAAATAGGTGGAATTTCTCCTAAAGTGTAATAAAGCAGGCACCAATTGGGATGATGATTTTGCCATGAACAGCTCAGAGTGTAACATTTCTGGAATGATGGCAGCTGCTATAAAAGCTGAGCTAGGACCAGCCTGGCTAACATGGTGAAACTCCGTCTCTACTAAAAATACAAAAATTAGCTGGATATGGTGGCGCATGCCTGTAGTCCCAGCTACTCAGGAGGCTGAGGCAAAAGAATTGCTTGAACCCAGGAGGCGGAGGTTGCGGTGAGCGGAGATCGCACCACTGCACTCCAGTCTGGGCGATAGAGTGAGACTGTCAGAAAAAAAAAAAAAAAGAAAGAAAAAAAAAGATGCTGGGCTTGAGCTTTGGCTATAAGAAATCAAGAGGTGGCCGGACGCAGTGGCTCACGCCTGTAATCCCAGCACTTTGGGAGGCCGAGGCAGGCGGATCACAAGGTCAGGAGATCGAGACCATCCTAACACAGTGAAACCCCGTCTCTACTAAAAATAGAAAAAATAAGCCAGGCAAGGGGGCATGCGCACGTAGTCACAGCTACTCGGGAGGCTGAGGCAGGAGAATTGCTTGAACCCAGAAGGCGGAGGTTGCAATGAGCTGAGATCGCACCACTGCACTCCAGCCTGTGCGACAGAGTGAGACTCTGTCTCAAAAAAAAAAGAAAAAAATCAAGAGGCAAGAATGCTTTGGTGATTCTGCTCTGGTGGGTTTGAGAAGGAGGCAGAATGATCTTTTCTGAAAGCGGTGTCAGGGAGTTGGTGTAGAGCTGAGAAATCCACATTGCCATAAATGGTGTGATCCTGTTCCAAAGAGCTGCATTCACCCCCAGGCTTCATAAGTCTCACACTGGAAGTTTCAACTGAAATAAACTTATGACCTTTCCATCAGTTCCCTGGAGCAGGTCAGGGTTTTAGAGGGTATTTCATATTCCCATTATGAGGAGATTTGAACTCTTGGGTTCTATTAAGAAAGCAGCACAACTTCTTATTACTAATAATATAATCTTAGTAGTATTCCTATAATGCTTTATAACTTAAAAAGACCTTTTATTTGTATTATTCTCATTTTGCTCCCTGATAACTATGAGATAACTGTTGTTATTATTCCCACTTTACAGGTGAGGAATGTGATGTTCTCCCATTGTTCCTTAGTTAGAGTCCTGAATATTTTTACTTTTTTTGGAGAATTGAGTCACACTATGTTTCCTAGGCTGGTCCTGAACTCCTGGGCTCAAGTGATCCTTCCACCGTTGCCTCCCTAAGTGCTGGGATTACAGATGTGAGCCACCATGCCTGGCCGAGTTCTGAATCTTTAACAAGGCCCAAGTTCTTGCCAGCCTGGCTCTAGTCTGTTTCTCCAGACCCCTCTTGTACCACTTTCCCAAGAGCTTTCTGTTCTCCTGGGTTTCTTTTTTTTTCCCCAGTATCTTTTTTTTTTTTTTTTTTTTTTTTTTTTGAGACAGAGTCTCGCTCTTGTACTATCTTGGCTCACTGCAACCTCCACCTCCCGGATTCAAGCGATTCTTGTGCTTCAGCCTCTCAAGTAGCTGGAATTACAGATGTGCACCACCACGCCTGGCTAATTTTTTTGTATTTTTAGTAGAGACGGGGTTTTGCCATTTTGGCCAGGCTAGTCTCAAAACTCCTGACCTTGGGTGATCTGTCTGCCTTGGCTTCCTAAAGTGCTGAGATTACAGGCGTGAGCCACTGCACCATGCTGTTTCTTCTGCTAATAAGACTTATTTTATTTTATTTTTTTAAATGGAGTCTCACTCTGTCGCCAGGCTGGAGTGCAGTGCTGCGATCTCAGCTCACTGCAACCTCTGCCTCCTGGGTTCAAGCAATTCTCCTGTCTCAGCCTCCCAAGTAGCTGGGACTACAGGCGTGCACCACCATGCTGAGCTAATTTTTATATTTTTAGTAGAGACAGGGTTTCACCATGTTGGCTAGGATGGTCTCGATCTGTTGACCTGGTGATCTGCTCGCCTCGGCCTCCCAAAGTGCTGGGATTACAGGTATGAGTCACTGTGCTCGGCCGAGTATCCTCTTTTTTTTTTTTTTGAGACAGGGTCTTGCTCAGTCACCCAGGGAGGAGTGCAGTGGCTGGACCACATCTCATGTACCTGAACTTCCTGGGCTCATGCGATCCTCCCACCTCAGTCTCCCAAGTAGTTGGGACTATGGGCGCATGCCACCACGCCTAGCTAATTTTTTTTTTTAAGTAGATACTGGGTCTCACTATGTTACCTAGGTTGGTCTTGAACTCCTGAGCTTAAGCGATCCTCCCACCTCAGCCTCACAAAGCGCTGGGATCACAGGTATGAGCTACTGCACCCAGCCCATCTTGGATTTCTTTTGCTTTTTTTTTTGAGACAGAGTTTTGCTCTTGTTGTCCAGGCTGGAGTGCAATAGCACTGCCTCGGCTCACTGCAACCTCCATCTCCCAGGTACAAGGGATTCTCCTGCCTCAGCCTCCCGAGTAGCTGGGATTACAGGCGCCCGCCACCATGCCTGTCTAATTTTTTTGTATTTTTAGTAAAGACGGGGGTTCACCATGTTGGCCAGGCTGGTCTCGAACTCCTGACCTCAGGTGATCTGCCTGACTCGGCCTCCCAAAGTGCTGGGATTACAGGCGTGAGCCACCGCGCCCAGCCCTCTTTTGCTTTCTTAAATAGGTCTGCTTCCTTCTAACTACAGGCCCGTTGCACATGCTGTTTCTTCTGCTAATAACACTTTTTCTCTCCTCTTTGCCTGGCAACTACTCATCTTTCATGTTTCAGTTTAACATTTCTCCAGGGAGACTTTCCTGAACCTTCAGGCTACTTTGAACTGTCTGGTATAGCACACTAAACTTCCCACTCCAGAGTTGGCACACTTAAAATTACTCATTCGATATCTCTTGTCGCTGCTAGATTGTAAGCTCCATTAGGGCAGAGACCAAGTCTACCTTATTTGATACTGTAGCCTCAATATCTAGTATAATAGGCATTTCCTTCTGCAGTAAAAGCTTTTGCAACTATGTAGTGTCTGCCATCTGAATCCCATAGCCATTGAACAAATCCATCAGAACCTTGCCTTGAATACTGCACTCAGGTTTAATGCTGTGGGGCTTTTCTGATAAGGTTCTTGTGATAACCAAGGTCTTTTGATCAGTGGCCAAAATGCACACCCGTCCCATCAGATAGCAGCCTGTGAGGCTGGAGCACAGTGCTGCTGTATTATTTGATAATGACTAGAAAAGGCTGGTCCCCTTCTCACCAGCCTTCTGTGATGCTTATGTACCAATGAGAACGTTTGCCCAGCATCTTAGTGGGGATGGCTAAGTTTGGATCCTAGAGAACAGGAACATTTAAAGCTACCTAGATTATTCCTATCTCAGGTCTTTCCTGGGTTTAGTGCACACTTGGGGCATTTCTGGATGGATGGCACATTTGTTTTATTTGTTGGAAGCAGTGAGGTGTAGTCACCAAGTTAACAGGGGTAAGCCTAGGAGTCAGGGCAACACAGTTGCTCAGGCTGGCGTGGCAGGTGTCAGCAGGTAAGCAAGCCCCAGTGGGAGGAACGCATGGCCTCATTCAACAGTGTCAGCAAGCTGAAGTCCCTGCACATTGGGAACCTATGAGAAGAATACCCTCACCCCCCTTTTTTTCAAACCAGTCACATCTCTCTTCACCAAAATCTTTGTGAAATTCATCATCATATAACTTCCTGAATCTAGTTAATGGTGATATTAACCAAAATTTGTAGCTCAACACCCAGGCAACAGTGTATAGGATTGCAAGTGTTAGTTCCAAATATAGTGCAGTTCACATCTCCAGTGAGGGAAGTACATTGAGTGAATTCATTACATGAGCCACTTAAACTAATTGAACCAGGAACTTAAAGTCACGTTCTTCAAATGTGTGCAGTCCACAAAACTGGCATTTAACATCAGGAAGTCAGGCTGGAAAACATTCATGAACCAGTGACTCTAAACAAGGAAGAAACACTTCTCAAGGTATGCATTTGCCAGCTGTTACTTTGTTCACAAGTAGTCTTTGGTGATTAGCTTCGTGACTTAGGACACGGGTGGCAGCTCTGAGCATGGCACATTTAGTTTCATACAGCAAAGACTGAAAACACGTGGCACTGGTTACGTGGTCAGACAAGTGAAGGAGGCACAGCCTATCTTCATTACTAAAAATATTCAAAATGCATAGAGTATAAAAACGTAGAGGAGTTTGTAAGAAGAGAGTCACTTTTTTTTCCTTCAATTTTTGGAAAATGAATACGACATGTATTACATTCATGAAAAATAAAATTTTAAATGAATAGGGGTTAGTGATAAAATGTTCTTAGGTGATCAGCAATTTGTTACAAGATTAGTAAAAATGTAACTTTGTTTTTTGGAGACAGGGTCTCATTTTGTTGCCCAGGCTCTATAGTGCAGTGGCACGAACATGGCTCACTGCCGCCTCCACCTCCTGGACTCAAGTGATCTCCCAACCTCAGTCTTCTAAGCAGTTGGGGCTACAGGTGTGTGCTACCACACTCAGTTAATTTTTTCAATCTTTTGTAGAGACAGAGTCTCACCATGTTGCCCAAGCTATTACTTTCAGTGATACACAAAAAAATACACTTGGATATATGAGGTGTAGCTCAGGGTGGTCCAATAGAACTTTCCTGAGTGATGAATATGATTTATATCTGTGCTGTTCAATACAGTAGCCACTAGCCTTATGTGGCTGCTGCGCAGTTGATTTGTGGCTAGTGCAACCAGGCAACTTTTTTCTTGAGACAGAGTCTTGCCCTGTTACCCAGGCTGGAGTGCAGTGGCATGGAGTGCAATCTCCGCCTCCTGGGCTCAAGCAATTCATCTGCCTCAGCCTCCTTAGTAGTTGGGATTACAGGCATGCGCCTGGTTAATTTTTGTATTTTTAGTAGAGACGGGGTTTCACCATGTTGTCCAGGCTGGTCTTGAACTCAAGTGATCCACCTGCCTTGGCCTCCCAAAGTGCTGGGATTACAGGCATGAGCCAGCCCCAAGCAACTTTTTATTTAATTCTAATTAATTTAAATAGCTGTGAATGGCTAGTAGCTACTGTATTGGTCACATAGGTCTTCCATTTGCTGAGAGTAAGAAATTAAGAGAAGGCCAGGTTTGGTAGCCAAGAGATCTAAGTCATGTACTATTTCGTTGTTTATCCAATAGTCTGTCTACTCTGTTACTGTTATAAGAATGAACTAAGAGGCCAGGCGCAGTGGCTCACGCCTGTAATCCCAGCACTTTGGGAGGCCCAGGTGGGCGGTCAGGAGTTCAAGACCAGCCTGGCCAGCATGGCGAAACCTCATGTCTACTAAAAATACAAAAATTAGCCAGACAGGTGGTGCATGCCTGTAAGCCCAGCTACTTGGGTGGCTGAAGGTGGGAGAATCGCTTGACCCTGGGAGGCGGAGGTTGCAGTGAGCCAAGATCACGCCATTGCACTCCAGCCTGGGCAACAGAGCAAGACTCCATCTCAAAAAAAAAAAAAATGAACTAAGGCGGGGCAAGATGGCTCATGCCTGTAATCCCAGTAACTTGGGATCACGTGAGCCTAGGAGTTCGAGACAAGCCTGGGCAACATGGTGAAACCCCACCTCCACAAAATTAACAAATTAAATTAGTGGGTGTGGTGGCACACACCTCTAGTCCCAGCTACTCAGGAGGCTGAGGTGGGAGGATCCCTTAAGCCCAGAAGTTCAAGGCTGCAGTGAGCCAGGATCGCACCACTGCGCAGTGAGCCAGGATCGCACCACTGCACTCCAGCCTGGGTGACAAAGAGATCATCTCAAGACAAAAAAGAAGAAAACAAAGAACTTCTTTACACTTGTAGAGGGCACAGTATTAACTTCATCCTATCACATCCCTTTACATTCTGACTTACAAGTGCTCTGCTGATAGAAGAGGAAATTGACCTGTTAGAAAAGCAACAGCAATCTCATCCATTCTCATTCATCTCAAATATTTTAAGTGCTTTGTACATTTTCTTGTAAGTTGTTTCCTTCCATCTCCCTTCTATTATTTTGTATGGTGTTCTTGAGACTTCTCCCACTAACCTAATAGCCACTCCACATACTGATTTTTTCTTCTCCTTATTTTTATTACTATTATTTTTGTTTGTTTGAGACAGGGTTTTGCTCTCACCCAGGATGGAGTGCAGTGGTGCCATCCTGACTCACTGTAGCCTCAACTTCCTGGGCTCCAGCGATCCTCTTCCCACCTCAGCCTCCTGAGTAGCTGGGACCACAGGCATATACCACTATGCCTGGCTAATTTTTTTGTATTTTGTATAACGAGACGGGGTTTCGTTATGTTGCCCAGGCTGGTCTTGAACTCCTGAGCTCAAGCAATCCACCCACCTCGGCTTTCCAAAGTGCTGGGATTACAGGCATGAGCCACCCCCCCGGCCCTATTATTGAGACAGGGTCTCACTGTCACCCAGCCTGGAGTGCAGTGGTGTGACCATAGGTCAGTGCAGCCTAAGCCTCCTGAGTAGCTGGGACTACAGGCACATGCCAACATGCCCAGCTAATTTTTTTTCTTTTAGTAGAGATGGAGTTTTACCATGTGGCCAAGGCTGGTCTCAATCTCCTGAGCTCAAGTGATCCTCCCACCTTGGCCTCCCAAAGTGCCGGGATTACAGGTGTGAGCTACCATGCCTGCACCTCCTTAACTATTTTTTATTTTTTTGAGATAGGGTCTTGCCTTGTCACCCAGGCTGGAGTGCAGTGGCATGATCTCGGCTCACTGCAACCTCCTGCTGGGCTCAAGCGATTCTCCTGCCTCAGCCTCCCAGGTAGCTGGGACTACGGGAGCATACCACCACACCCAGCTAATGTTTGTATTTTTTGTAGAGATGGGGTTTCACTATGTTGTCCAGGCTGGTCTCAAACTCCTGGGCTCAAGTGATCCGCCTGCCTCAGCCTCCCAAAGTGCTGGGATTACAGGCGTGAGCCACGGTGCCTGGCCCCCTGCTTAACTTTAAAAGTACAGGCTAATAAACATTAAGGAAGAGAATGTCCAGATGAGTACAAATAATGCAAGGTAATCAGTGCCCTATTAAGAGTTGCCCAGAATTGCAGTGTAACGTAATACACCTGTAAAATTTGTCAAATTGGTGATGAAGGTTAAAGGTGGTTAGAGTAGGGGTAGGGGATGTCTCAGAGGACCATATTGGTACTGTCAGCCAAACCACGGCAAGGATTATTTTTTTCTTCCTGGTAGTCATCTTAATTGATGTATAGTATATCTGCTGTTAGCTGCTACAACCTCCCTGAGAAAGCACAGATCATGACAGTAAACTATGTTCATTCTCTGCCAATTCCTCCCCAGTGTTGGAAACAGAAGCCCAGTAGTGAAAGCTACAGCTGCCATATACTTGCAGTGGAATCACAGGAGCAATCACAGGTCTTTGTAAGTGGCAGTAACAACTCACTTGACTTTCCTTCACCTGACACTGTCACCTATCACAACACTGGCCATCAAACTGGTAGAACAACCAGTCCTCTGATTTGGTTTCCTAGGGAAGGCAGTTGTTCGGCTCAATGTTTTGTTAACATCAAGGCTCTTATTCTTGCATTTGAAACCAAACACCTCAATCATTTTGCTTGCACCAGGGTTGGTACAAGAAGGCACGGTCCTTCTTGGGTGGGTATTTTGCATTGTCACAAATACTCTTATTTAGAGAAAACCAACTCTGAAACCCTAAAACTAGTATCTAGTAAAGGAAGAGATTCAGTTCTATCAAGCAATATATTTTTCAGTCAAGAGTGACGCTGTAAGTATAGATTCAGCAGTATAAACATATTACCAAAAGCTTGGATTTTTATTTATGCATTTTATTTTTGAGATGGAGTTTCGCTCTTGTTGCCCAGGCTGGAGTGCAATGGCGCGATCTCGGCTCACTGTGACCTGCGCCTCCCGGGTTCAAGCAATTCTCCTGCCTCAGCCTCCCAAGTAGCTGGGATTACAGGCATGCGCCACCACACCCGGCTAATTTTTTTTTTTTTTTTTTTTTTTTTAGTAGAGACAGGGTTTCTCCATGTTGGTCAGGCTAGTCTCAAACTCCCGACCTCAGGTGAACTGCCCGCCTGGGCCTCCCAAGTGCTGGGAATACTGGCGTGAGCCACCGCGCCTGGCCTGTTTATTTTAAAATTAATTGTTTTTTTTTGAGAGGGAATCTTGCTCTGTTACCCAGGCTGGAGTGCAGTGGTGCAATCTCAGCTCACTGCAACCTCTGCCTCCTGGGTTCAAGTAGATTCTCTCACCTCAGACTCCCGAGTAGCTGGGATTATAGGCATGCACCACCACACCGACTAATTTTTGTATTTTTAGCAGAGACGGGGTTTCGCCATGTTGGCCAGGCTGGTCTTGATCTCCTGACCTCAGGTAATCCACCTGCCTTGGTAAGTGTTGGGATTACAAGCATGAGCCACTGTGCCCGGCCCACTTGCTTTTATTTAATAACTTGCTAAAAAATAAAAACAAAAAACATTAGCACTTACATGTGGCTCCATGATGTCTTTCTGGTAATTCTGGAAACTTTTTGGGTTATAGAATTTGAAGAATCTATTTAGAGCTATAGAACTCCTCTTAATCCTCCCCAAGTTGTACTCAACAGATTTATTCCTTGCTCCCTAAAACCTATCCTTAGAAATTGCAAGTTGAGAATTCACCCCACCACTGCCCACTGTTCCAAAAAGCTTTACTGAATCTCATTAATGAAAAATAATGTAAAACTCTCCATAGGAGGCATTAACATACTTGTTTCTTCCAAACCTTCTGATTTCCACTAAAATTTGTAACCAAAATATATTAGGAAAAAGTAATTAAGCTTTAATGCTATTGCCTGGCCCAGTCTAACTATGATCTTTTAATTGTGGAGACATGGCAGTTCCCTGAAAGACCACAGCCTTTGGAGACTAGCAAACCTGGCTTGATCACTGGTTGATAGTTATTTTGCTGTATTAATTTGCCTTACTTTTCTGAGTCTGCATTCTCATCTGTAAAATGGGTGTATGACTTATGATAGGGAGCTATTTGAAAAACAAAACATCTGACACAGAAAAGGCTGAATTAAAACCTTTAGAGACCCAAAGCAGCAGGGCTATTGTGCCCAAATCACTCAAGGTATTGGTAGGAAAGAACACAAACTGAGGAAGGTTTAATAAAGGACTATTTACAGAGACATGGACAGAGTGCAGGAAAATCAATGAAGAATAATGGCGTAATCCAGGGCTGGTAACTAAGTCCTTTTTTTTTTTTTTTTTTTTTTTTTTGAGACAGTCTCGCTCTGTTGCCCAGGCTGGAGTGCAGTGGCACGATCTCAGCTCACTGCAGCCTCTGCCTCCCAGGCTCAAGCAATTCTTGTGCCTCAGCCTCTCAAGTAGCTGGTATTACAGACATGCATCACCATGCTTGGCCAATTTTTGTATTTTTAGTAGAAACAGGGGTTTCATCATGTTGACCAGGCTGGTCTGAAACTCCTGACCTCAGGTGATCTGTCTACCTCAGCCTCCCAAAGTGCTGGGATTACAGGTGTGAGTGACCGCACCCAGCTTGAGTCTTCTTTTTTTTTTTTGGAGACGGAGTTTCACTCTTGTTGCCCAGGCTGGAGTGCAGTGGCACGGTCTTGGCTCACTGCAACCTCTGCCTCCTGGGTTCTGGCAATTCTCCTGCCTCAGCCTCCCGAGTAGCTGGGATTACAGGCATGCGCCACCATGCCCAGCTAATTTTTGTATTTTTAGTAGAGACGGGGTTTCACCATGTTGGCCAGGCTGGTCTTGAATTCTTGACCTCAGGTGATCTACCCGTCTCGGCCTCCCAAAGTGCTGGGATTACAAGCGTGAGCCACCGCACCCAGCTCTCGAGTTCTCCTTTCTTTCTATTCCTAGATGTGAAGGAGCAAAGAGAAGGAGCCAGAAGCTAGAGGGGGCTGCTTGGTAAGAGCTGTGGTCTTTGCTAAAGGGACACAGACAACCCATGTGACCTGGCAATGAGAAAGCCAGAGTACTCTGACCATCTCTTCCTTATATCTTCTCATCTTCTTTGGATATTAATAATTGGATAAACAGAAGCTGAAGTCAGAGGGCAAGGGAGCCATTCATGCTGCAGTCCATGTGGGTCAGCACCCGCTGGGGTCCAGAGTGGGATGAAGAGGGGTTCTGAAAGGCAAATGGAAGACATCTAGTATAACCTCTCCCTGAACGTAATTCAAACTACTTAACTATTATTACAGACAAAAATCACATGTATGCTGAAAGTAAAATAACCTGTTTCCAGAATTTCTGATTGCAAAATTCTGAGTTCTTCAATTAAACCTGCATTTTTCTCAGTCTTTTTGGTGCCCCTGCTTCACTGGTGCCTTAAGAACATTTGAGAGCCTAAGGGCAGCCCTGAGCATGGTGCCTGAACTAGGGTGCCTCAAAACTAGGGACTGAGGAAGTCTCAAGTTCATTCCTGAATGCTGACTATAAGAGTCTCTGAGAGAGTTTTGAGAATGTAGAACTGATTTAGAATGAATCTCAGGATTTTTCTGTTAAGATCTATAAATTAGGAATTAAGGAACTGGATTTTTTTTGAATTTGAAAAATCCTATGATAGTATAACTTTGCATAAGCCTACTGAATGATAGGAAAGTTTTTAGTTTCTTATCAAAGAAAGAGAATAAAGTGAATCAGGACATCAGTTTCACATTGACATTTTTATTAACGCCAACTGTTTTTTAATTATTTTTTTAAAACAATAGCACAAAAATGTTTCAAGGAAGCAGTCTCACAATCTGATGACCTTCTGAAATACCGTTAAGCCACACCAAATATGAATTTCTGTTAATAACACAAAATATTTTTTTAAGAAAAAAAGAAAAAAAAGGTAGGGAAAGAAGAAGGGAATGAGATTTAGATTTAAAACTCATTGGATTAAATAGGTGAGGCTTATTAGGATATACTGTTGAAGCAAACAGTGGCACACACAGGCTTACAGTCTTTGTTTTTTAAACCAGTTACCACTAATGTATTAAGCCCTGCAGCAGTTACCACTGACTTCTCGCACGCATAAAATGAACCGGGAGAAGCCAGTGTTGATACTGTTGTGAAGAGGTTCAAGAGCTGGCTTTTCAGACAACTAAGACCATTTTTAGCAGAATAACTCCTTCAGAAAGGCCTGGCTGAAGATCTTTTTATTTCTATTGTCTCACCTATATAAATTTCAGGGTTCTTATAAGTCATCTTTAAAAAGAAAAAAATAATGTATATCAGTTTCTCTTATTTAATGTGGCTATGAAAGATGTTTCCTTATTATTTCTTCATCTCTAAGAAGGACACCAGGGAATGGGGGTTGGGGGTGGAACTAAAGGGAGGAAAAAAACCAGAACAGGGTAGGTTTTTGTTTTTTGCTTTTTGTTTTTTTTTGGCCAAGGGGTCGGTCACACAGAAGGGAAGGCAAGGAGGAAAACTAAACTACAATCCTTGGTTCAGATTGAGTTATGCAGGAATATATCTTCCTGATCAGTCCCCGTGCCAAAAAAAAAAAAAGCCACTTGGAATTATGCACTGACTCCAACTATGTGATACCAGCTATCAGCCTTTTGTGTTTAACCATTCCCAGAAATGGACACCACCCTTGGCTTTATAGGCTCCTTGCAGAACCCACTTCACAAAAATGCTCTTCACCAAGAAGCCTCTAGTTTCCTTTTGGTAGGTTATAAAAACAGAACATCTGTCATTAACAGTAGAGTGTTAAATACTTTTAACCACTGACAAGGCTTCAGAAAGTTTCACAGTTTCGTTATGCTCTATTTTATTACTATCATATTTACATTTTTATTTTTTATTTATTTTTTGCTGAATTGCTGATTTTCCTTTTTCAATAGAATTTAATTCTGGAGTGTGAGCAGGAACCAGTTAACTACATTCATTGTCCAACCCCCACTGGTTTGAAAGAAGACTCCAAATTCTTGGCATATGAATCAGCTGTTCGGTAGCTCCACCTTATCCCTGCAGCGAAGCAGCAGAACCGCCAATGGCGGCACCTCAGGATTCACACTGTGGGTGGTGAGGCCTTCCGCTGAAGGAGGTACTGGTGGATGCTCTCAGCATCTCGCTTTAGCCAGGCAGCATTCAGCAGAATATTTTCACAACACTGCTGGATGGTACGCTCAGCTGAAGGAGCTGGGTGACTCTCGAAGAAAGCCTGGTATAAAACAACCCAGAATGCAGGATCATTACTAGCAATAAGAAGTTAATATTACAGGTTATGAAAAAATACCCACTGGTCTATATGAAGGATGCATAATCTTCAGGCATGAGAATTTACCACTGCCACCCTCAGGCTAAAAGAAAACAAGCAACTCCTTGGACCTGCATATAGGAATTCTCCCCTTAATTATATGCTTAACAACCTAATCAAAAGTTAATAAAGAGACAGAACCTACTGCCTTTCTTTTAGGCTAATTGTGTAGTGGTAAATATAGTCTTTGGAATGAAGACTTGGAACCTGAATCCAGGCTTAGTCATGTACTAGCTTGTGACTGTGAGAAAATTAACTGCTCTAAGTCTCAGTTTTCTCAACTATGAGAAAATATCTACTCCAGAAGATTAAAGAGACAATCCATATAAACATTTGACAAAATACCTAGCACAGAGTACTTAAGGATTCAACACATTTTGGCTGCTTCAAATAAAGATTAATTTGTAAGGGATGATAATACAAAGAAGTTTAAATTGCTGCTATGCCCTAATAATTTAACACCCCATGGTCTTTTTTTTTTTTTTTTTTTTGAGACAGGGTCTCACTCTGTTGCCCAGGCTAGAGTGCAATGAAACGATCATGGCTCATCACAGCCTCAACCTTCTGGGCTCAAGTAAACCTCCCACCTTAACTTCCTGGGTAGCTGGGACCACAAGCGTGCACTCCCAGGCCAAATTGTTTTTTCCTTTTTGTAGAGATGGGGTCCTACCATGTTGCCCAGACTGGTCTTGAACTCTTGAACTCAAGCAATCCTCCCACCTCAGCCTCCCAAAATGCTGGAATTACAGGAATCCAACATTTTTAATACAGTAAACCAAACAATTTCTAAGTTTACAATTTATCACAATGCTTAATGATTAAAAGTTGAATAAACTTTTCTAATGCAGTACACCTGGTTTCACAGAAAACAAAGCAACTCTTAAACACCAGCTGGCAAAATGATAGGGCTTTTCCTTTGAATTAGTCACCACAGGTGTGAAAGACAGAATGACTAATCCATCTGATTAAACATAGACCTTTTAGAAATCAATAACCTTATTTACACAGATGACAATTGCTACTGTTCCAAGGCTCCTAATCATGGTTCAGTTCTCAGGGCCTCAAGTCTTTTTCCATTCCATCGCAGAGTAGTACCAACATTTATACACCAGAAACCTGGGGATTATCCTGGCTTGTTTTTCTTCCTCTCCCAGATATGCTCACAACAGAGAAGCCAATCAATAAATATTGTTGAACTAAATGGTTAACAAATTCAAGCCCCTGAATCTCCATTATTCCATCTCCTCCACTACTGCCACTACCCTACTGTAAGCTATTCTATCATTCTTGCTAGGAGAGTTAGCTTCCCAACATCTTCTCTTCCCCATTCCAAACTATTATCCACATTGCAGCCAGACTGAAATTTTTATAACACAAATCAGATCAAGGCACTGCCTTGTTTATAAACCATTCGAAGGCTTTCCATTTTTAGGACTTTTTTTTTTTTTTTTTTTTTTGAGACAGGAGTCTCGCTCTGTCACCCAGGCTGGAGTGCAATGGCACGATCTCAGCTCACTGCAACCTCCACCTCCCGGGCTCAAGCAATTCTCCTGCCTCAGCCTCCCGAGTAGCTGGGATTAGAGGCGTGCACCACCATGTCCAGCTAATTTGGGGTTTCACCATGTTGCCCGGGCTGGTCTTGAAGTCCTGACCTCAGGTGATCCACCCACCTCGGCCTCCCAAAGTGCTGAGATTACAGATGTGAGCTACCATGCCTGGCCATTTTTAGGAAATTCTTAATATGGCCTATACAGCCCTGCATGATGTCTTTCTCTAAACAAAAACACAGAGATGCTACAGTACATTATCCCAACACTATAATTACAACCAGGTTATTGTTTTTACTTACTAGACTGAAAAGTGAAGAGTAAACAGTATTTTCCTTACCTTAACCTCTCCAGCCATTTTATCAACTGCAAATCCCTCAACTGATAGCTGCAAAACAATGGTTTTAAACAGTAAGTGAAACCAAGAGGCTGAGAACAAACTTCCATTTACCCTAAAAATAAATCATTCTGTTCTCTGCCAACTTCAGTCTGTTATAAAGGATGTGTGATGGGAGATGGAGAAGTCCTTAAATAAAGCCAGTAACTATTTAAGGAAACTTTTTTTTTTTTGAGACGGAGTTTCACACTTGTTGCCCAGGCTGGAGTGCAATGACCTCATCTCGGCTCACCACAACCTCTGCCTCCCAGGTTCAAGCGATTCTCCTGCCTCAGCCTCCCAAGTAGCTGGGATTACAGGCACACACCACCACGCTCAGCTAATTTTTGTATTTTTAGTAGGGACAGGATTTCACCATGTTGGCCAGGATAGTCTCGAACTCCCGACCTCAGGTGATCTGCCCACCTCGGCGTCCCAAAGTGCTGGTATTACAGGCGTGAGCCACTGCACCTGGCCACAGGAAACATTTAAAGAGCAAAGACCACAATGTATGGGTGTAGTGAATCATGGATGTCACTAAATAATATCCATGATTAGCAAGCTACTCAAAGTTTTTCACATACCTTTATTAGTCTGGATATTAAGAATCCTCCCTGGTATCGGTTATAAAGTTCTTCCCAGTTGTCCTTTATGAATTTCCAAGCAGCTTTCCTACCATGCTTGCTGCCTCCAGCTACTCCACCAATTACCGATACAGTGTCCTGTGGACGTACCTCTTCCTAAAAAAAGAAAGAGAGCTAAAAGTCTAGTGTATCAAAAACATATTCTGGTACCAGAAAGTGCACCATACTGTGACACTGAAGTAATCACACTGAAGACACTTATTCCTTGTTTTAGGAATAACTGGAACCAGAAGTTCTCAGCAAAGAAGATAATGTTTAAGCTAAAGATAACCAAAATGAGAATGAGGTACTGAGACAGGTTCAGACAGACAGACTGCTCAACAGATACTTGCTTAGGAGCCTATAGGTTTAAGAAAGGAAGAGACACAAAGTAAGCAAAGGCATAAGCCAGTTTCCCAGTTTTCAAGAGTCCCTGTCCTCATAGTTTCCATTCTGGAGAGACAATTTGTTTACTCTCCCAACTATTCTGATTCTCGCCACTAGTGGGAGAAAAACAGAAGTCAGTAACAAAAACTCAAGCCAGTTACTCTGGAAAAGGAAGCTTTAGTTAGGGTTAAGGCAGCTCAAGAGGATCAGAGCTGAATCAGAGACACTTCTCAGAGATGGGTAACGATTCACTTCTAAATGCAGTTTTCACCGTAACTTACTGAAAGTGCAAACGTGAGGACTTTTTGAATCAGGTCAGGCAAAAGAGTAGCGCCAAGGACTCTTTCGATTCGGTTTTTCTCTTCTTGCATATCTGCTTGTTTATGAAGCTACAGGAAAAAAGATAAAGATAGGAATAGTTAACTCTCCCTTGGATGTTCTGCATATGATTATATGAGCTTCTTCCCCAGTAAGGTAAAACTTAGGTTCTATATTCTCACTAGGTAAGAATGGCAGGGCATTATATTAAAGAAAGAGAATACTTTTCAAGATGCTTTGGGCCAGGTGCGGTGGTTCACACCTGTAATCCCAGCACTTTGGGAGGCCGAGGCGGGTGGATCACCTGAGGTCAAGAGTTCGAGATCAGCCTGGCCAACATGGTGAAACCCTGTTTCTACTAAAAATACAAAAAAAAAAAATTAGCCGGGCGTGGTGGTGCCCACCTGTAATCCCAGCTACTTGGGAGGCCGAGGCGGGAGAATCGCTTGAACCTGGGAGGTTGCAGTGAGCTGAGATCGTGCCACTGCACTCCAGTTTGGGCAAGAGAGCGAGACTCTGTCTCAAAAATAAAAGAAAAAAAAAATGATGCTTTGGCACTAAATTTGTCATCTGCTGTTACAGTAAGTAAATCACTAGATGTAAATGCTACCAGATGAACAGCCTGTCATTAGTTCAGACCAGTTTAACATCAAGATCTAAGAGGTAAAATCTATCATAGCCAAATTCTTTACATCATTGATATCTGGCTAATGTTCTGTTTTAGAAGAACAAACTAATCATTAGTGTTCTTATACCAGATCATCAAATTAATTTATAATAGTGAAAAATTGAAAATGAATACTGTACTTATAAAAATGCATTATTGAAAGTTATATTTTAAGAATATATCATAAACATGTTCTTATATTTAAGTGAAGAAAGCAGACAAAGCAGAATTATCCTAAAAAATATATATATATATATGGCTGGGCACAGTGGTTCACGCCTGTAATCCTAGCACTTTGGAAGGCTGAGGTGGAGGTTGCAGTGAGCCCATATCGTACCACTGCACTCCAGTCTGGACAACAGAGCAAGACTGTGTTTCCAAAAAAAGGGGGTGGGGGAGAACCCCTGGAAATACATCAAAATGGTAGTATTAATTAATGATGGTTTCTGATCAGTGGGATTATGCATCTTCACACTTTTTAACTGCAAAAGCAGCACATACTGAATGCAGAATATCTGAAAGACAGAGAAGCATAAAGAAAAAAATAAAATTACTACTATATGTACATTAACAAATCTGGAAAGAGAGCATGTTATACATGCTGTTTTTGCTACCTGCTTTCTAAACTATAGGTAAGTTTTATTTTCCTCTTTATACTTTTCTAGTCTCTAAATCTTCCATAGTATATATGTATATAAAATCTTTTCATAGAAACAAAATGTTGTAATTCTTAAAAATTAGAACTATAAATGTATAAGAGCTATGTCTCCAAGACAATTTAGACTCTTTTGATCTTTTCTACCCCTTAAGATTTAACACTGACCAGAGTGTCTGGAGACCTCATCAAAGCTCTCAGTTTCCTCTTCCTTTCGACACTTTTTTTTTTTTCAATAAACAATTTTAATTTATAAGAAGTAGAGATGGGGTCTCGCTGTGTTGACCAGGCTGGTCTCTTTTTTTTTTTTTTTTGAGATGGAGTCTCGCTCTGTTGCCCATGCTGGAGTGCAATGGTGTTACCTCAGCTCACTACAACCACGCCTAGCTAATTTTTCTTTTCTTTTTTTTTTTTTGAGACGGAGTCTTACTCTGTCACCCAGGCTGGAGTGCAATGGCACAATATCGGCTCACCACAACCTCCACCTCCCAGGTTCAAGCAATGCTCCTGCCTCAGCCTCCTGAGTAGCTGGGACTACAGGCGCCCGCCACCACACCCGGCGAATTTTTGTATATTTAGTAGAGACAGGGTTTCACCATTTGGGCCAGGCTGGTCTTGAACTCCTGACCTTGTGATCCACACCCGCCTCGGCCTCCCAAAGTGCTGGGATTGCAGGCGTGAGCCACCGCGCCTGGCCTAATTTTTCTATTTTTAGTAGAGCCGGAGTTTCTCCATGTTGCCCAGGCTGGTCTTGAACTCCTGGCCTCAAGTGATCCTCCCATCCAAAGTGCTGGGATTACAGGCATGAACCACCACGCCTGGCCCCTTTGGACTCTAAGCAGCAGTGCAGTAAAATAGACAGGACCTTGGGAGATCTGGGTTCTAGTCCCAGTTTTGCCTCTAACTAGCTGTGTGATCTTGACTAAGTCCTTCATCCCTCTGGGTCTCAGTTTCCCCATGTGTAAAATGAGATGGGTGGACAGATAATTTCTAAGGCCCTTTTCAGCTCCAATATTCAAGGTCTGAACCTCTGGCTTTCAGGAAGCGTTTTCCTCCATAGAGAACTGTTATTCTAGTCCACTAGATGGCACTCTAACACCACATTTCAAATATACTATGAATTAATGTTTTTTAACTCTGCCACATTATTCCTAAATTACCATCATAAGACAACCCTCCTCATCTCTTACCAAGTGGCTTCTTGAAGAACCATGATTCGGCCTTCATTAGAGCTATTTCCATAGTGAAGCTGATTATCGTGAACTCTCTTGTGTTAAATAAATGCAAACTCTGAATAAATACACATACTTGTGGAAAATCTTAAAAGTGCCATGACATGAAAATATCAATGTATCTGCCATGAAATTTACAGAACCCCTATTTTTTTCCATATCATCATGGAATAGATGGAAAAAAATCAAATATCCCATTTCATACATATCATTTATAGTATACAGGTTCACAGAATATTAAGACTGAGAAGGGACCTTAATGTTCAGGTGGAAAGTAAACCCAAATTTAACTTTTTTTAGGGTCTTTTTTAAGATAGGGTCTTGCTCTGTCACGCAGGCTGGAGTGCAGTGGCACAATCATAGCTCCCTGCAGCCTTGAACTCCTGGGCTCAAGCGCTCCTCCTGCCTCAGCCTCCTGAGAAGCTGGAAATATAGGTGCATGCCACCGTGCCCAGCTCTCCCAAATATAACTTTTATATTCTTAGAAAGCAGGCCAGACATGGTGGCTCATGCCTATAATCCCAGCACTTTGGGAGGCCGAGTCGGGTGGATCACAAGGTCAGGAGTTCGAGGCCTGCCTGGCCAATATGGTAAAACCCCGTCTCTACTGAAAATACAAAAATTAGCTGGGTGTGGTGGCGGGTGCCTGTAGTCCCAGCTACTTGGGAGGCTGAGGCAGGAGAATCACGTGAACCCGGGAGGCAGAGGTTGCAGTGAGCCAAGATCGTGCCACTACACTCCAGCCTGGTGACAGAGTGAGACTCCGTCTCAAAAAAAAAAAAAAAAAAAAAAAGAAAGAAAGTAAACCTATTACAACATGGGTAAAGCAGTACATTTTGAGGTACAGTTTCTTAAAGTTTTTATTTTCAGACATCCTAATCATTTTTCAGAGGATTTGTTTAAAACCAAAATATCAGAATTTAGATCTGCAATTATGATCATTAGAGCTATTTCTACAGTGAAGCTGATTATCATGAACTCCCTGTAAGTCAGAAGAGTGTTGTTAATCCATGAAAGGTAGAGACAGTAAAGCACATTCCACTCCTGTCCTAAGCGTGGATCTTTTAACAAATGGGTTTTTAGGCACATTTTGCACATTTTATTTAATGATTAAAAAGTAGATTCGGCTACCTCCACCTCTAATGTAGCCAGTGCACTCAAGCCATTTCTTTATAGACCGGAACTGTATGAATAGGGACTGGAGATAGCATTTGCTTCACAGTACTACTATTGATTCAAAGTTGCAAACACTGCTGCCATTATGAGGACATGGAAAGTTTTATCTATATTTTGTCTAAGTCAGAGCTTAATTATATGCCAATTACTCTGGGAAAACTAGAGAGGCTATGAAGGCAGGTGAATTAATTTCCTGTCTATTAATAAAGGACCCTGCCATAGCTCAAATGCTTGAGACACTTGATCATCATCTGTCTATCCCTTTTCTAAGCACAAAAACAAACCTAAGCACAGAACCTAAGCACAGAAACAAACGTTTTGCTTAAAATGGGCAGAACCCCAAGTAAGTTTACACTGAAGATAAAATTTAAAGAAAGTGACTTGTTAATCAAAACGAACATTTATTTCAGTGTTAAAATTTCAGCTGGGCACAGTAGCTCATGCCTGTAATCCCAGCACTTTGGGAGGCTGAGGTGGGTGTATCACTTGACCCCAGGAATTTGAGACCAGCCTGGGCATGGTGAAACCTTCTCTCTACAAAAAACACAAAAATTAGCTGGATGCGGTTATCACACTCCTATAATTCCAGCTACTTGGAAGGCTGACGCAGGAGGATCACTTGAGCCTGGGAGGTTGATGCTGCAGTGATCCATGATTATGTCACTTTAGCCTGGGTGACAGAGTGAGACCTTGTCTCAAAAAAAAAAAAAATAATAATAAGATTTCAGATGCAAAAAGTGAGTAAAAAAGGCGGGGAAAAGTAAGATGTCTTTGGCATCATACTGATAATACTGATATAACATATATGGATAGACATAATTCTCTCACAGTTTTAAAATACTTGCATGTCTACAATATGCATCTTTCTTTTCTAGGACTGTCTTTTTTTTTAACCATTTAGAGGTTTACTGTGTGTCTATCCAAGTTCAAAAGCAGGAAATGGGAGCCTTCTCAAATATACTTACTTTTAACATAATATCTAAAGTAGTGCCATCACCATGCTTCAAAACAGTCAGATAGACCTACAAGGGACAAAAAATAAGTCATTTGATTAAATGTACCTTGTTTCAAGTATTCTAATACTAAGAAAAGACAGAAAGCAAGTAAACAATATTGTAAATGTTGGCCGGCTGCGGTGACTCACGCCTGTAATCCCTGCACTTTGGGAGGCCGAGGCAGGCGGATCACCTGAGGTCAGCAGTTCCAGGCCAGCCTGGTCAACATGGTGAAACCCTGTCTCTACTAAAAATACAAAAATTAGCTGGGCGTGGTAGCAGGTGCCTGTAATCCCAGCTACTCAGGAGGCTGAGGCACGGAGAACTGCTTGAACCCAGGAGGTGAAGGCTACAGTGAGCCGAGATCACACCACTGCACTCCAGCCTGGGTAACAGAGTGAGACTCCGTCTCAGAAAAAAAAAAAAAAAAAAAAAAAAGTAAATATTATAAATGTGAATATTACAAACTGTAGTTAAGGAGCTAGCAGTGCCTGTGAGCAACCACAAAGGTAAATGGCATGTTGTACCAGCAGAGCACAGCAGCTTTCAGGGGAATGTGCACAGCTAATCACCTTTCAGCACTGCAACACTGACTGAGAAACTTTAAACAAATAAGAAGAGGACTATAAACCACTTAAATAGTATATATTAAAATAGAGTTAGACGTGGTTTGTGGGTCAGTTCTTAGGTCAGTTTTGGCTATTAAAAAATGTTCCAGGCTTTTTAAAAAAAGTTACAGGCATGGTAGCTCACACCTGTAATCCCAGCGCTTTGGGAGGCCAAGGCAGGTGGATTACCTGAGGTCAGGAGTTCGAGACGAGCCTGGCCAACATGGCGAAACCTCGTCTCTACTGAAAATACAAAAATTAGCTGGGCGTGGTGGCGGCGCCTGTAATATCAGCTAGCCAGGAGGCTGAGGCAGGAGAATCACTGGAACTCGGGGGACAGAGGCTGCAGTGAGCCGAGATCATGCCACTGCACTCCAGCCTGGGCGACAGAGCAAGACTCTGTCTCAAAAAAAAAAAAAAAAAAGTTCCATGCTTCACAAAATGATGTTACCTATAAGTCAAGGGAATTTATGATGAAAACCTACAGGACTCCTCAGATCAGCGGAGAGAATCTGTTTTCCTTCCACGTGGTCCTTAAACCGACGACGGGCTTCTTCTAACGTTGCCTTATGTCCTGCTTTTCCTAGTTTTCCCAGAACCAAGCCCCTCAGGAGTGCATCGAGATGACCTGATTTGAGAAGTAAAAGAGACATAAGACTACTTAAAAAGCCTATTTTTATAAGTTTGCCATTTGGATATCTTATAATTGTGCTATACCAATTCTATGGTCTTGAACAAACACACTCAATTAACTTAATACCTGAGAGAATACTCGTTTTACATTTATCAAATCATAAGAGTGATATGCTAAACAGACTAGACAAGCAAATAAAGTTGCTGACTTTATCTACAGTCACGAATGCAAACTATCTGAGTTTACTAAATGTTTACTCAGTCTAGTTAACTACTCTGCTAAGGATTATGTGTGAAAAGGACAGGCTTACATCATGCTGTTTTGACCCAAGGTTCAAAGAAAGATCACATATGGAACTAGTATGCTCTTTGTATAATAAATTGAAATCTTAGATTTTAAAAATCAAAATCTGATGGGTCCATTCCTCCAAGACACACAAATAGCCAATAAGCACATAAAAAGATGTTTAACACATTAGTCATTAGGAAAATGCAAATCAAAACCACAATGAGATACCAATTCATACCCACTATGATGGCTATAATAAAAAAGATAATAGCAAGTGTTAGCAAGGATGTGGACAAATTGGAACCCTCAAACACTGCTGGTGGGAACACAATATGGTGAAGCCACTTAGAAAATCAGTCTGGCAGTCCCTCAAAAGGTTAAACATACAGTTATGGCCAGGCACAGTAGCTCATGCCTATAATCCCAGCACTTTGGGATGCCAAGGCAAGAGGATCGCTTGAGCCCAGGAGTTCAAGACCAACCTGAGCAACACAGCAAGACCCTGTTTCTACAAAAAACTTAATAATTAACCAAGCATGGTAGCATATGTCTGTAGGCCCAGTTACACAGGAGGCTGGGGAGGGAGGATCGCTTGAGCCCAGGAGCTTGAGGCTGCAAGGAGGTTGAAGCTGTAGTGAGCTATGATCACACTACTGTACTCCAGCCTGGGCACAGAGCAAGACCTTGTCTCTTTTTTTTTTTTTTTTGAGATGTGGTCTCGCTCTGTTGCCCAAGCTGGAGTACAGTGGCATGATCTCAGCTCACTGCAGCCTCCACCTCCCAGGTTCAAGCAATTCTCTACCTCAGTCTTCTGAGTAGCTGGGAATACACGGTTGTGCCACCACGCCCGGCTAATTTTTGCATTTTTAGTAGAGACAGGGTTTTGCCATGTTGGCCAGGCTGGTCTCGAACTCCTGACCTCAGGTGATCCACCTGCCTCGGCCTGCCACAGTGTTGGGATTACAAGCGTGAGCCACTGCCACCCAGCCGACCCTGTCTCTTAAAAAAACAAAAGGACGGGCGCGGTGGCTCACACCTGTAATCTCAGCACTTTAGGAGGCTGAGGCAGGCGGATCATGAGGTCAGGAGATCGAGACCATCCTGGCCAACATGGTGAAACCCTGTCTCTACTAAAATACAAAAAATTAGCCAGGTGTAGTGGCACAGACCTGTAATCCCAGCTACTCAGAAGGCTGAGGCAGGGGAATCACTTGAACCCAGGAGGCGGAGGTTGCAGTGAGCTGAGATCATGCCCACTGCACTCCAACCTGGAGACAGAGTGAGACTCCATCTCAAAAAAAAAAAAAAAAAAAAAAAAAAGAGTCATCATATGACTCAGCAATTTCACTCTTAGGTATCTTGAAAATAAATGAAAGCATGTCTACACAAAAACTTGTATACAAATGTGCATAACAGAATTCATAATAGCCGAAAACTGGAGCCCTCATGAATGGGAATAGTGCCCTTATAAAAGAGAGCCGGGGGTCTGGGTGTGGTGGTTCACGCCTGTAATCCCAGCACTTTGGGAGGCTGAGGCAGGCAGATCACGAGGTCAACAGCTCGAGACCATCCTGGCCAACATGGTGAAACCCCATGTCTACTAATAATACAAAAATTAGCTGGGCGTGGTGGCGTGCACCTGTAGCCCCAGCTACTGGGGAGGCTGAGGCAGGAGAATTGCTTGAACCCAGGAGGCGGAGGTTGCAGTGAGCCGAGATCGCACCACTGCACTCCAACCTGGCAACAGTGTGAGACTCTGTTACCCCCCCCCAAAAAAAAAAGGAATGAAAGACTGATACATGCTACAACATAGATGAATCTTGAAAATACTATGCTAAGTGAAAGAAGGAGATATAAAAGGCCAAGTATTTTGTGATTCTATGTACATGAAATGTTCAGAATAGGTAAATCCATGAAATAGAAAGTAAATTTGTGGTTGCCAGGAAATGGAGAGTGACTGCCAGTGGACACAAGGCTTTTTTTTTGGGGGGGTGGGGTGGGGCTGAGAGTGGGGAGGGTGAAGAAATTCTTCTGGAAATATAGAGGTGATAGTTGCACAATCTTGTGAACATACTAACAAATACTGAATTGTATACTTTAAAAGGGTGAATTTTATGGTATGTGAATTATCTCTCAAAAAAAGTTAACATCCAGGAAATAAATGATTGATTAAAAAAACAGTTAATGGCACACAAATCTGATGAATTGCAGCAGTACAATGGACAAATAAAATGTAGTATATTCATATGATGAAATACTACTCAGCAATAAAAAGCAATGAACAACCCAGATTATCTCAGAAACACTACGCTGAGTGAGAGAGGCCAGGTATAAGAACAGAACACACATTGTATGATTCTATGTATATAAAATAGAAGAGATAAATATTAATCTAGGTGAAAGAAATCAGAATGGCATGTGCCTGTGTGGGGTAGGCACGGGAGGCTCAAGTAGCAGGGACCAATTAGGAAGGAGCCCAAGCAGCTTTCTGGGTGATGGAAATGTGGTATGTGTTTGCCGAAAGTCATGGAACTGTAACATTTAGATTATTCATTTTGCTACACTTAAATCATAATTTAACCAAAAATAATTTTAAGAAAACCATCAGAGATCAATAGATAACTACACATTGTTGTGATGATTCTTACAAGAAGTAATTTATAATTCTGGCTCTGGTACTAACACGCTGTGTGATGCAAGGTAACATTTTATTATTTTGCCGTGTTTCATTCTCCCATCTGTATAGCTAGGAAATTGAAGGCATTCTCCCTATATTGTAAAGATAGTTTTGAAGTCAAAAAGTGTCACGTTATCATCATGAAAGAAAAGTGCAACATCCATTAATTTACCTGCATCTGTGTCCATGTACTCCTATCCTGT
Source organism: Homo sapiens (assembly GCF_000001405.40). Classification (NCBI taxonomy): domain Eukaryota; kingdom Metazoa; phylum Chordata; class Mammalia; order Primates; family Hominidae; genus Homo; species Homo sapiens. Next base: position 47,609,285 of record NC_000017.11, on the reverse strand, counting down.
CACTATTCATCTGTGCTCCTATCTAAAACCAACTCCTTAACTTCTGCACTGGACCTCAACTCCTCTTGATTATTCAGCTGTCACTATAGCAATAAGCCCTCTCTCTCACAAAACATGAATTTTCTCCTGTCTCAGCCTCCTGAGCATATTACTACCGCATATGTTCAAATAGTTGCAGAAAATGTAATATAAAATCTCCCAACTTAAAAAATTCCTTCCTTTACCCCACGTCTCTCTCATCTACCCCTTTTCTCTGATCTTCTCAGCAAAACTCCTTTAAAAAGTTGTCTAAGTGTGTTGTCTCCATTTCCTCTCCTCCTATTCTAAAGAACCTGCTCCAAAAGTGGAGAATTCATTATTGTTCCCCACTACTCCACAAAACTTGTTAAATGTAATATTGAATTAGCCTTCATCATTCTGTTTGACTTAGTGTAGTAGCATCTGACACAGCTGATCACATTCCCTCTGCCTTCATCTACTGTTTCTTTTCATCTACTATTTATTTAAATTCTGGGATACCCCCCCTCTCTCCTGGCTCTCCTTCTACCTCACTGGCCAGTCCATCTCTTTTGCTGTTTCTTCCTTTTCCACACAATCTCTAAATCCTGAACTCAGACCACTTTCTTCTACTTACACTCAGTCACTGGTTGATCTCATCCAGTTTTGTTTTGTTTTTTAAAGACATGAGTCTCACTATGTTGCCCATGCTGGGCTTGAACTCCAGGACTCAACCAACTCTCCTGTCTCAGCCTCCTGAGTAGCTGGATTACAGGTGTGAGCCACATGCGTGATATGATTCCCACCCCCTCACTTTTTTTTTTTTTTTTTTTTTGAGACGGAGTCCCGCTCTGTTGCCCAGGCTGGAGCGCAATGGCGCAATCTCGGCTCACTGCAACCTCTGCCTCCCAGTTCAAGTGAGTTTCCTGCCTCAGCCTCCTGAGTAGCTGGGACTACAGGCGTGTGCCACCATGCCCAGCTAATTTTGTATTTTTAGTAGAGATGGGGTTTCACCATGTTGGCCAGGCTTGTCTCAAAACTCCTGACCTCAGATGTTCCACCCCCCTCAGCCTTCCAAAGTGCTGGGATTACGGGTGTGAGCTACCACGCCTGGCCTGATTCCCTTTTACACCCAAATATGCTTCTATGCCAGGCACAGTGGCTCATGGCTGCAATCCCAGCACTTTGGGATGCTGAGGGAGGAGAATTTCTGGAGTCCAGGAGTTCAAGACCAGCCTAGGCAACACAGTGAAGTCTCATCTTTTCCAAAAAAAAAAAACATAGCTGGGTATGGTGCATGCCTGTAGTCCCAAATACTCAGGAGGCTGAGGTGGGAGGATAGCTTGAATCCAGGAATTCGAGGCTGCAGTGAGCTATGACTGCATCACTGCACTCCAGCCTCGGCAACAGAGCGAGACTCTGTATCTTTAAAAGAAAAAAATGTTTCTACAGCAGTCTTCCCTATCCCTGTACATGGCAACTTCATTCTTCCAGTTCTGCAGGCCAAAATTTGATGACACTTCTCTTTCTTTCCACCACACAGTCCATCCTTCACCAAATAGTTTCAGTTGCACCTTCAAAATATACACAGACTTTACCACCTGTAAGTTCTAGTTGCAACCAGCATCTCAACTGGATTGCTAAAATAGCCTTCTGAATGGTCTCCCTGCCTCCTCTCGTCTTCTCTTAGTCTGTTCTTCAGAAAGCCGAGTAAATCAAATCAAGTTCCCCTGCCCAAAACTCTCTAATTAGCATGTCATATCACTAAATGTGAAAGTCAAAAAACTTCTCACTGTAGCAAACAGGTTCTACAGGATCAGAAAGGTCTCCCATTGCCCTCTCCCACTCATTCTTGTCCTGAACTCAGCAGCTTTCTTGTTATTCCTCGAATACCCTAAGCATGCTCCCATCTCAGGTCTTTTGTACTTGCTGTTTCCTCTGTCTCAACCACTTTTCTTCTAGGTAGCCTCAAAACTCTCTCCATGTCTCAGTTTATGCTCAATATCACCTTATTAGAGACAGTTTCCCCAAACACTCTCTATAAAATAGTGGCCCAGCACTCCTTATTATCTGACGACTTTCTTTTTCTTTTTTTTTGAGATGGAGTCTCGCCCTGTCACCCAGGCTGGAGTGCAGTGGCCTGATCTCAGCTCACTGCAGCCTCTGCCCCCTGGGTTCAAGCAATTCTCTGCCTCAGCCTCCCGAGTAGCTAAGATGAGAGGCACCCGCCACCACACCTGGCTAATTTTTGTATTTTTAGTAGAGACGGGGTTTCACCATCTTGGCCAGGCTGGTCTTGAACTCTTGACCTTGTGATCCACCCGCCTCAGCCTCCCAAAGTGCTGGGATTACAGGCGTGAGCCACCACCCCTGGCAACTTTATTTTTCTTAATGATACTTCCTGCCACCTAGACCATTATACATTTAATTATTTGCTATGTCTCCCATTAGAATGTAAGCCATATAAGGCAATATTTGGGTTGCTGCTGTTTCACCAGCTCTTAGAATAGTATATGGCATTTACTAGCTACATAAATATTTGTTTGGGACCAGCTGTAGTGGCTCATGCCTGTAATACAGCACTTTGGGCGGCCGAGACGGGCAGATCACTTGAGGCCCAGAGTTCAAGACCAGCCTGGCCAACATGGCGAAACCTCGTCTCTACTAAAAATACAAAAATTAGGCAGGCGTGGTGGTATGCTACTCGGGAGGCTGAGGCAGGAGAATCGCTTGAACCCAGGAGGCAGAGGTTGCAGTGAACCGAGATGGCGCCACTGCGTTCCAGCCTGGGTGACAAGAGTGAAACTCCATCTCAAAAAAAAAAAAAGAAGACAAGACATAGAGCTCTAGGTATTGCTACTATTTTTATTACAAAAGACTTCTGGGTCAAGACTGGTCAGGAGGAAACACCACCTTTAGTTATTAGCAGATGATAAAAAATAATGATATGTAAAACCTTTAAATAATCATCCCCAATATTTAAATGAGAGCAAAAAGAGTAAATATATGCTTATAGAAATAATCAGAGCAGAGAACACATGTAGAAAGCAAATAATTTCCTTAATTAAAAAAGCTGACCCCTGTGTCTCTCAGCACCTTTACAAGTTATACATAAAGGTGCCTGGTATTTATGGTAATAATAAATAAAACTTGGGAGGCCGAGGCAGGCGGATCACCTGAGATCAGGGGTTCGAGACCAGCCTGACCAACGTGGTGAAACCCCATCTCTATTATAAATATAAAAGTAACCAGGCGTGGTGGCACATGCCTGTAATCCCAGCTACTCGGGAGGCTAAGGCAGGAGAATCACTTGAACCTGGGAAGCGGAGGTTGCGGTGAGCCGAGATCGCGCCATTGCACTCCAGCCTAGGCAACAAGAATGAAACTCCGTCTCAAAAAAATAAAATAAATAAATAAATAAATAAAACAAAACAACCTAAAATTCCCTTTAGCTTTTCTTGACTAAAAATAGGCCTTTGGAATTCTGCAAAAGACTTTTATTTCCACCATGTGCACAAATTATATTTAGCATCGAACACACATAACCACTACTGTTTCTATGTTGTTGACCCATGTAACTTCACCAGCAGACTTAAAAGACTCACGTCTTAATTTCTGGCTTGCTGAATATATAGTAACATCCAGTAGATACAAAGATGATATTAATTATATTGTTAACCACATAAAAAAGTACCAACTTCTGCGTAATTCTTTCTCCATTTAGTATATCCATTACCTTCTCCAGGTTTGGGGTCCCAGCCCAGTCTCTCCCCTATAGGTGAAAAGACATCTTTCACAAACTCCTGGATTTCCTCATAGAAGTCTGTGTGGGACAAGAGAGTTGAGAGAATCCCCAGGTTACAGCTCAGGTCGCTCCATACAGTATAATTGGGCTCATTCACAAAAGCCTCCATGACTTTTAGAACCTCTACAGTGCTAATGATTCCAGCTCGAGCCTGGGATAGGAAAAAACATAAATTAACCTAGTCTTCAAACAAAACCAAAAAACATAAGCATGCATTTTTGGCATTATCTACTGCTAGCAATTTCTTTGGTTTAAGGAAATGGGACTGTATAAGCTCAGAACACTGTTAGCATAAAAATCCTATTCAGACAACATTCCTTCTTTAATCCTTTGTTATTTTTTTCTTTTTCTTTTTACAGAAAAATTAGAATGAATCATTTGCTATTTATACAAGAACTACTTTTAAAAATTACACTAAGAGTCCCAACAATTTGAGAACAACAACAAACCACTTAACTTCTATTTCTACTCAGTTTCTGGGGACTTGGCTTTGTTACTGTTTTGAAATTTTTCATACTTTCAGAAAAACTGCAAAAATAGTTTGAGCTTTGGTTTTTGACAAACATTCTTTCAAAGCCGGACCTGCAAACTGTGTCAACTTAAGCCTCTCCTTTACTCATTTCTAAAAGAACATAAACTAGAAGGCACTACAAATTCAAAGTCCTTTCAGAACTAACAGAGTTAGGAAAAAGAACTTCTGTTACAGCAGCCAGCTGCACAAACAGCTCACTCTCCTGGGACAGGTCTCTCTCAGCAATTAGATCAGCAGATGTGAGGTTTTGTGCATCAATGCTAATCTGTGTTTATACAAAGGCAGAATCCAAAACCAATGACTGCAGAGGGGAGGGAAAATTTCCAGTCCAATTTAAAGAAATACTAGGAGGAATATGACAATTTTATCATAAAGACATCTGGAAATTACCTAACCTACGCTGAAGTCATAAAGAAAATAATACTAATTGCTGCTTTAAATCCTTTCTGGAAGAAAGCCAAATATAAATATAATTCTAAAGCTAATGGGATATAATTTGAAATAAGAACACAATGTTTAAAAATTATGGCTTTCCCAGCAAAGTACAACCACTATTTAGAAAAACATAAAATCACTCTGACTTAATTATTTTAAAAACCTATCAGTAGGGTCATTTCTTCAAGGCTTATATTTATTTCTACTGAAAAGAAAGGAATTTTTTGCCTTACAAAGGATAGTTTAATTAAGAGTTTCAGAAAGCTGGCTTAGGAGTAGTGAAATGGGATTTAAATTATATAGCCTCAATCTTGTCATATTAAAAACAGTGATTTGCTCTAGTCCCAAAGGTGTTTTTAACCATCATGAAGACCCATATTCTTCTAATTATGTTTCAGACACTCCAGGAAAAACAGAATCTTTTAATCAGCAAAATCCATCATATTACTTAAGTCACAGATGCTCACCAAGGAGAAGAGGTCATTCTGTAATCCAAGTCGATCCACAGGGGGCAGAGAAAGGTCACGAATGCCTGGTAATAAACTTTCCAGCATGGCAGAGCTGTACTGGGTCCGATAAAACCCAACTGTTCCTAAGTTTAACTGCAAAGATATCCAGTAAGTACTATTAAACAGCTCCATTAATTTTTTAAATCAACCTTTTGTATGTTTAAAAGGAGTTCTGGTTTTAGATATATCTGGATGAAAAACAATTAAGACCATCTATGCCAACTAATGGATTAAAACAAGACAACACATCAAGACAGAATGAATGCACAGACAAAAGAAAAGGGAAACTTGAAATTGTGAGGGCCAAAGTGAGGGACAGTAGAAAGAACAAGGAAGGGACAAAATAATGTGGGTTTCTATTTCTAACCTCAATTTTAGGTTTACAGAAAATACTTAATATATATGAAAACACCTGGACAGTGGAATCTCTAAGAAAGCTTAGGCCTTTACAAACATTGATCTTATAAGCACAGAGACTGAACGGAATAACAATTTTCAGATTCCAATTTTAAAGAAGTACATGGACCTAAAAGGCAATTTCATAAGATTTTTGGCGTGAGGTAATTACTGACTGCATTATTCTTTTTTTTCTTTTTGAGATGGAGTCTTGCTCTGTCACCCAGGCTGGAGGGGAGTGGCATGATCTCAGCTCACTGCAACTTTCACCTCCCAGGTTCAAGTGATTCTCGTGCCTCACCCTCCCAAGCAGCTGGGATTACAGGCACCCGCCACCACACCCAGCTAATTTTGTAATTTTTAGGAGAGACAGGGTTTCACCGTGTTGGCCAGGCTGGTCTCGAACTCCTGACCTCAGGTGATCCGCCGCGCCTCAGCCTCCCTGGGATTACAGGCATGAGCCACTACACCTGGCAACTGCATTATTCTCTATAGGCTATTTACCAATAGCCAAAAAATAGTTTTGAGAACATTTATATTCAAAATAGTTAAATGGTAAAACAGTAAGATACAAATATTTTACTATTTATATGTAAATATTTTTAAAACCACCCCTACAATTTTAACGCAACTATCACTTTATTGATTCCCTTTATTTAACCTAATCAAAATTGTAGTGTACATAACTTTTTTCTCATTTATAAGAAATTTTTCATATTGCTACAACATAATCTTCCAGATTATAATTTCAAATGGTAATATTCCAGTGAGTATATTTTAAATATATATTTAAAAAAGTAAAACAATGCCAGGCATGGTGGCTCATGACTATAATCCTAGCTACTCCGGAGCCTGAGGTGGGAGGATCACATGAGCCTAGGAGTTTGAATCCAGCCTAAGCAACATAGTGAGACCAACTCAAAAAAAAAAGAAGTTGATAAACAGAAAAAATGGCTTTTTTTTTTTTTTTTTTTGAGATGGCGTCTCACCCTGTCACCCAGGCTGGAGTGCAATGGCACGATCTCGGCTCACTGCAACCTCCGCCTCCTGGGTTCAAGCGATTCTCCTGCCTCAGCCTACTGAGTAGCTGGGATTACAGGTGCACACCATCACGACTAGCTAATTTTTTTTTCGTATCTTTAGTAGAGACAGGGTTTCACCATGTTGGTCAGGCTGTTCTTGAACTCCTGACCTTGTGATCTGCCTGCCTCGGCCTCCGAAAGTGATCTACCTGCCTCGGCCTCCCAAAGTGCTACCACAGCGTTCGGCGGGCTTTTTTTTAAAAAAAAGCACAAATGTCTGATACAATGTATAATTCCTATTAGGAACATACAATTAAGAGTCTGTAGTAAATACTTTCATTATGAAAGGTACAGAGTACAGAATAATGAAAAATAATTCTTACCTATTGGTATTTTTGTGAAATGGTTTTGAAATACCAACTAAGGAATTTTACATTTCAGTGACACGAACCGATTATTATGTATGTCTGCTCTCATTAGATTACAGTAGTACACATATGGTGACAACACATCATTGAAGTTAACCTTTCATTACAATGACAGGGGAGTTTGAAGGTGTGAGACTACACATATTTTGGTTCATATATGCTTACACTCAGTCTACTTTTTTTTTTTTCTTCTCCTCCTTAGTCCTATGCCTTTGGATCTGCTTCTCTACCACTACCTTCCCTAACATAAGGACAAATGTCTGGACAATACTATATGAAAATTCGTCCTAAGTTTCACAAAGAAAAGTTTAGGTTTTTTTTTTTCTTTGAAACTACTAAACTGAAGCAGAATTTAAAACCGGCCATAAAATGTATAAGTGAGAGAAATCTGTTTAGGTAAGATTCTGAACTCACCTTCACCCATTGGTCTGGTTTGACATTTTTCAAAACCACATTCATCTCTGGCTTGTCCATTAGAATTTTTAGTTTGGCCTGGTTGGGGTCTTCACTAGTAGAGATTGTGATAGGGACCATCCACTGGGGACAATCTTCACCTAAGCCAGAGAAGAACAAACAAATTTTGCACTGGGACAAACAGAAGGTAAGGTGGAGAGAGGAGTGGTGGTGTTCTAACCAGGAGCCTAAGCCAAACTGTTAAGTCAATAGTTCATTCTTAGTGGTACATGAACTCTTCCAGATAACCTGAATAGTATCAGTGCAAAGGAAGGGATCATTTACTAACAAAATCACAACATGTTGTCTAAAAAAAGAAAACAGTTAACTCACTTGTAGAATCACAAATGCAATGACTTAAACTTAATTATCATTTTCCCCCTAGAGAGCAAAGACAGCAATTTTACTGTTAAAGTAAAAAAACAACAACAACAACAAAAAATATATATATATATGTATGTATATTTTTTTTTGGAGACAGAGTTTTGCTCTGTCGCCCAGGCTGGAGTGCGGTGGCGTGATCTCAGCTCACTGCAACTTCCACCTCCCGGGTTCAAGAAGTTCTTGTGCCTCAGCTTCCTGAGTAGCTGGGACTACAGGTGTGTGCCACCATGCCCAAAAATATACAATATTTTTTTGTACTTTATTAGTAGAGATGGGGTTTTGCCATATTGGCCAGGCTGGTCTCAAACTCCTGGCCTCAAGGGATCCACACGCCTCAGCCTCCCAAAGTGCTGGGATTACAGGTATAAGCCACTGCGCCCAGCCTTCATATATCATTTAAAAACAAATTCTAAGGTGCAGTCCTTAACAGGTATACACACTGCTGAAATATCGAAGGGTTAATTTTTATTGTTGTGATAGACAGGATACAACCTGGAAGCTGTTATGTTCCGTCACAGAGGAGTCATATCTACAAGCCAAAGCTTTTGTAAGGCAGAAACACTGTCTTACATATCAGACAGCAAAACAGACTTGGCATTAAGATGCCAAACAAAAAAAGAGTCCTTGCCCAGTACATTCATGGAAATGGAGCTACTTTAATAAATTACATAGCTTTATGCTATCAGGTTAAACCACAAAGTAAAATTTCTCCAATATTGGGATACTGCAAGTTTTAATGTTACCTCTACTGGTCACAGAGTATTAGAAAAACCTGTCAGTACTACAATGTGGATTATAGGTAAGAGGCAGAAAACGGCAACTGTGACACGTACAGATTTATTTGGATAATAAAACTGTCATCTGATTTGTTAGATATTTTTTCTCCCCCCAGACAGGGTCTCGCCGTGTCACCCAGGCTAGAATGCAATGGCACAATCACGGCTCACTGCAGCCTCGATCTCATGGGCTCAAGCAATTCTCCAACTCAGGCTCCCAAGTAGCAGGGACTGCAGATGCATGCCACCATGCCAAGCTAATTTTATTTATTTATTTTTTTGAGATGAGGTTTTGCCATGTTGCCCAGGCTGGTCTCGAACCCCTGGGCTCAAGCAATCTGACCACCTTGGCCTCCCAATGTACTGAGACTACAGGCGTGAACCACTGTGCCCAGCTTTGTTAGATATATTCATTAAAAGAGTAATTCTATGGCTGGGCACAGTGACTCACACCTGTAATACCAACACTTTGGGAGGCTGAGGCAGGCGGATCTCGAGGTCAGGAGTTCAAGACCAGTCTGGCCAACATGGTGAAACCCTGTCTCTACTAAAGATACAAAAAATTAGCCGAGCATGGTGGCATGTTCCTGTTAATCCCAGCTACTTGGGAGGCTGAGGCAGGAGAATTGCTTGAACCCAGGAGGTGGAGGTTGCAGTGAGCCAAGATCACGCTATGGCACTCGAGCCTGGGCGACAGAGTGAGACTCCTCAAAAAAAAAAAAGAAAAATTTCCTATTAGTTGGAATACTACTGGTATTAGTTAATATCCAAATTCATCAATCATATCTCACTTACAGCCATTTACTTACCAACATATGACCCACCAGCACAGAACTTCTTTTGGGACAACCTCAATAATCTGTCATCTTCTACCTAAAGAAGCAAAACAAAGGCTATAATAGTACTGACACCATCTGGGGTTTTGGTTTTTGTTTTTGAAGAGGAGGGAGACAACATTTCTGTGACAAATGCTGGAACGAGCACAACCAAATGTCTCATGAGTATACAAAATGCAATTGTGATGAAGACGGTAATACTAAAGAGAAAAGTCCAAATAACTAAAAAGCCAGAGGCAACAATGGTAAGTACATGTGTTTACAAAATACTTCAACAATATGCAGTCATTTGTGTCATTTATTAGTTACCACATCCTGGATTTCAAATAACACAGACTTAAGATCACCTAAATCAAATGTAAAATTGGGCTAATGAGTTTCATGGATAAACTTACTGCAAGAAATAGAATTGAAAAACTAAGAAAAAATTTAAGTGAGAAAGCAATGGCCACTTTGATGCCACAGGGAAACTATTAATGAACGTTAACACTAGATACTAATTATATATATAATCAGTTATATATCACACAGATTTCCCTGAGAAAGTTGAAACCTTTTACATTGATTCAGAATTAGAGCAAAAATATTTAAATTTGGGGAATGTAAAGTGAGAAACAGATCATAATCAAGATATGTTACACAGCTCTCCTATTCTTAAAAGAATTAAGAGCAACAGACAGGCCTTTAATTTCATTAATATATTTTTAATTTATTTTTAGTTTTTTTAGAGACAGGGTCTCACTATAATATTGCCCAGGATGATCTCAAACTCCTAGGTTCAAGCAATCCTCCTGCCTTAGCCTCCTAAAGTGCTAGGATTATAAGTTTGAGCCACTGCACCAGGCCATTGGCCTTTTATGACAATGCAAAATGGAGGATGAGTTTGGCCGTGCCTGTAGACAAAAAAGAAAACAAAGAAAGCAAGACCTTGAAAGCCCCTGGATGGAAACAGTTTCAGTAACACTGAGAAGTGTGGCATTACTGTTCTCTGTTCTAACTGATAAACTATTATTTCTTAAAAGTGTGTTCTGCTTTAAGAAAAAATTACGGCTTAATAATCTGTTTTATGTGTAATCATTAACATTTCAATAGTTTTGGGTTTGTTTTTTTGTTTTGGTAGAGGCAGCATCTTGCCGTGTTACCCAGGCTGGTCTCAAACTCCAGAACACAAGTGATCCTCCCAAAGTGCTGGGATTACAAATGTGAGCCACTGCGCCTGGCCAATTGTTTGTTTTTTAATACATGGTCTTGCTCTGTTGCCCAGGATGGACTGCAGTGCTGCCATCACAGCTCACTGCAGCCTTCACACCTCCTGTGCTCAAGCGATCCTTCCAACTAAGCCTCCCAAGTAGCTGGGACTATAGGCACGTGCCACCATGCCCAGCTAGTTTTTTTTACTTTTAGTAGAGACGAGGTCTCACTATGTTGCCCAGGCTTGTCTTGAACTCCTGAGCTCAAGCAATCCTCCCACCTTGGCCTCCCAGTATTCTAAGTACAGGCGTGAGCCACTGTGCCTGGCCCAGCCAATAGTTCAGTAGTTTTGAGGGAACGAAATGCTCAGATGAGAAGTAACAATAATTTTTGTATGTTAATATTCTTAAAAGAGTCAGTCTATATGCAGTGTCAACATCAAATTCAATTAGTCATCTCCTATAACAAGACTAGTCCCAAGTGCAGAAAAAAGACTGCAAAGAAATAGAACTGGTCACAGTGGCAGGTCACTAAACTTACAGGTATTCTTTCCCACCAAACATGATCAATTGCATTCCCTAAATTGCCTTTCCAAGTTATTGCAGCCAATCTAACTGAGAGGTCCTCCAGTGTGCACACTTTAGTGTAAAATCCAATCATGTTTAAAGTTAAGATTTGGCTCTGAAAGGGTAATCTGCAAGCTTACACGTGAAAATGTTCCATGTAAATTTGGGAGCATTTTGAGAGTGCAAGAATTGGTTTAAATGTCACCTAGAATACAAATGTGCAGAAAAGCAAATTTATAACTTAGATTGCCACATTGAGAAATTATTTGTAAAACATACTTGGCTTTGGCTGGGTGTGCAGTGGCTCATACCTGTAATCCCAGCACTTTTGGGAGGCAGGGGTGGAAGGATCACTTGAGCCCAGGGGTTCCAGACCAGGCTGGGCAATACAGTGAGACCTCATCCCAATTTTTTAAAATATAAAAGTAATAATAAAAAAATACTTAGCTTTGTGGACAATGTAGGACCACAAGAAAAAACACATACTAAAAAAGAACTATGAATCCACTTCCCTAAAAATGAACAGGAATTAATTCCCCATGCAGCTCACAAAACCATGGCAAATAAACTGAAGAGAACAATTTCATTTAATGAAACCGAGTTAAGATCACTTTTTGGTAGGCATTAAAGGATGTTGTGTAATTCTCAGTCCTTTTGAAGTATAACTCATACCAAAGTACTCCTCTCTGAATTCAGGTAACAGTTCAATTAATGAATTGCAATCCTAATTAAAATCACACTGCCATCCAACCAACATTAAAAACCTACTTTACACAATTGATATTATAAGTGGGTATGAAATTTTACCAAATGTTTTTTCTACATCTAGTCAGTGATTATGTGCTATTTGCATTTGATTCTGTTTATGTAGTGATTATAAATCAATACATTGATTTTTTTTTTTTTTTGAGACGAAGTCTCGCTCTGTTGCCCAAGCTGGAGTGCAGTGGCACAATCTCGGCTCGCTGCAACTTCCACCTCTCGAGTTCAAGCAATTCTCCTGCCTAAGTCTCCAGAGTAGCTGGGATTACAGGTGTGTGCCACCATGCTCAGCTAATTTCTGTATTTTTAGTAGAGACAGGGTTTTACTACATTGGCCGGGCTGGCCTCAAACTCCCGACCTCAAGTGATCCACCCGCCACGGCCTCCCAGAGTGTTGGGATTACAGGCGTGAGCCACCACGCCCGGCCTAATTTTTTAAAAAATGTTAAACCAACCTTGCATTTGTAGAATAAACCATATTTGGTGGTTTTAGAATTATATCAAATTTTACAGTATTTTCCCTGGAGACTAGACAAGCAAGTAACATTTTGTTTTCTCTCTTAAGCATGTATAATTTTAATGATGCAAGCTGTAAAATTACTGATAAAAGAGTAACAGGGCTGGTTTAAATGTCACTAGAAAACTTAAAGTACAGAAAAGCAAACTTGATACACTGTACTGAACTTCATTTAATACAATATCAGACAAATGGAAAGACTTTATATGTTTACCTGTTCAGCTTCCACATAAATGAGGGGAAATCCCATTTGTTTGGTCCAGGTATTCATCACAGCTGCTATAGGTTTACCACTAGCATTTTCTAAACTTTCCCAGAGATCCTCTAGAAGATAAACAATGATAATCTAAAATGTTTATATTTTTATTTTCCTAAACAAAAAAGAAATTTTATTTAACTTTTGACACTACACTGCTAATTCTTTGGTTCTTTCAGGTTCAGGAAACAGTGAGCCAAATTAACATTCCCCTTGCCACCCCTCTTCTGCAACTAAGTAAATTCTATCATAAAAACTGGTATTTTTTGAGATACGGTCTTACTTCATCACCCAGGCTAGAGTGCAGTGGCATAATCACAGCTCACTGCAGCCTCGACCTCCCAGACTCAGGTGATCTTCCCTCCTCAGCCTCCTGAGTAGCTGGGACTACAGGTGCACACCACAACACCTGGCTTTTTTTTTTTTTTTTTTTTTTTTTGAGATGGAGTCTTGCTCTGTTGCCCAGGCTGGAGTGCAGTGCCATGATCTAAGATCACTGCAACTTCTGCCTCCCAGGTTCAAGCAATTCTCCTGCTTCAGGTGCCTGAGTAGCTGGGATTACAGGCATGTGCCACCACACCCAGCTAATTTTTGTATTTTTAGTAGAGATGGAGTTTCGCCATGTTGACCAGGTTGGTCTTGAACTCCTGACCTCAGGTGATCCACTGCCTCGGCCTCCCAAAGTGCTGGGATTACAGGCATGAGCCACCGCACCTGGCCCATAATTTCTTGCAATTTTTTGTAGAGATGGGATTTCACCATGTTGCCCAGGCTGGTCTCAAAATCCCGGGCTCAAGCAATCCACCTGCCTCAGCCTCCCAAGGTGCTGGAATTACAGGTGTGAGTCATAACACCTGGCCAAAACTGGTCTTTTATTCTGAGATATACTTAATCATTCTAATTTATAAGAAAAATTACAAATTATAATAAAAGATAAACAGATGAGTTAAGGAGAAACAAAGAAATTGAAATGTGTTCAAGATCACTACTAAACAATCACTGACAAACTTAAGACCGTTATACCCATTCAATTAACCTCACTTTAAAAATATCCAGGCTGGACGCAGTGGTTCATGCCTATAATCCCAGCACTTTGGGAGGCCAAAGCGGGCGGATCACCTGAGGTCTGGAGTTCAAGACCAGTCTGACCAACATGGAGACACCCCATCTCTACTAAAAATACAAAATTAGGCTGGGTGCAGTGGCTCACACCTGCAATCCCAGCACTTTGGGAGGCCGAGGTGGGCACGTCACCTGAGGTCAGGAGTTCGAAACCAGCCTGGCCAACATGGTGAAACCCTGTCTCTACTAAAAATACAAAAATTAGCTGGGCATGGTGGCACACACCTGTAATCCCAGCTACTTGGGAGGCTGAGACAGGAGAATCACTTGAACCCAGGAGGCGGAGGTTGCAACGAAGCCAAGACTGCACCACTGCACTCCAGCCTGGGCGACAGAGCAAGACCCTGTCTTTAAAAAAAATAAAATAGGCCAGGCGCGGTGGCTCACGCCTGTAATCCCAGCACTTTGGGAGGCAGAGGCGGGCGGATCATGAGGTCAGGAGATCGAGACCATCCTGGCTAACACAGTGAAACCCTGTCTCTACTAAAAATACAAAAAATTAGCCGGGCGTGGTGGCGGGCGCCTGTAGTCCCAGCTACTCGGGAGGCTGAGGCAGGAGAATGGCCTGAACCCGGGAGGTGGAGCTTGCAGTGAGCCGAGATCGCGCCACTGCACTCCAGCCTGGGCGACAGAGCGAGACTCCGTCTCAAAAAATAACATAACATAACATAACATAACATAACATAACATAACATAACATAACATAAAATAAAATACAAAATTAGCCGGCCGTGGTGGCACATGCCTGTAATCCCAGCTACTCAGGAGGCTGAGGCAGGAGAATCACTTGAACCCGGGAGGCGGAGGTTGTGGTGAGCCAAGACTGCACCATTGCACTCCAGCCTGGGCAACAAGAGCGAAACTCTGTCTCAAAAAAAAAAAAAAAGAATTGAAAAGAATCAAAAAGTTAAAAAAATTAAAAAGTAAATTTAAAATGTTACAGTAAGCTAAGGTTAATTTATTATTCAAGAAAGAAAAATTATTTTTATAAATTCAGTGTAGCCTAAGTGTAAAGTATTTATAATATCTATAGTAGTGTATAGTAATGTCTTAGGCCTTCATATTCACTCACCACTCACTCAACTAGAACAACCTCTATAAGTTGTCCTATAAGCTGCATTCAGGTGTAGCACCTTATTTTCTTTTGAGACCGCGTTTCGCTGTTGCCCAGGCTGGAGTGCAGTGGCCCAATCACAGCTCACTGCAGCTTTGACCTCCCAGGCTCAAGTGATCCTCCTACCTCAGCCTCCCAAGTAGCTGGGACTACAGGCACATGCCACCACACCCAGCTAATTTTTGTACTTTTTATAGAAGCGAGGTTTTGGCATGGTGCCCAGGCTGGTCTCAAACTCCTGGACTCAAGCAGTCCACCTGCCCCAGCCTCCCAAAGTGCTGGGATTATAGGCATATCAGCCAGCTGGTGGAGCATCTTTAATATCATATTTTTACTGTACCTTTTCTATATTTAGAAATGTTCAGGTATACAAATACCATTGTGTTATAATTGCCTATGGTATTCAGTACAGTAACATGCTGTACAGGTATTTTGTAGCCTAGCAGCAACAGGGTATATACCATGTAGGCTAGGTGTACATAGCCTAGGACATACTGTGTAGGTTTCTGTAAGTACATTCTATGATGTTCACATATTGATGAAATTGCCTGACAACATATTTCTCAGAACATATCCCTGTTGTTAAGCAACACATGACTGTATTCCCTTTATTTTTTATTTTTTTCAGACAGGATCTTGTTCTGTTGCCCAGGCTGGAGTGCAGTGGTGCCATGATTGCTCACTGTAACCTCAAACTCCTGGGCTCAAGTGACCCTTCCCACTTCAGCCTCCTGAGTAGCTGGGACTACAGGCACATACCACCACACCCGGCTAATATTTTTGTATTTTTTGTAGAGGTGGGGTCTCGCTATGTTGCAAGCTGGTCTTGAACTGGGCTCAATCAGTCCGCACATCCTGGCCTCCCAAAGTGCTAGGATTACAGGCGTGAGCCACCACACCCGGCCCAGACTCTTTAAGTTGGCAAAATACTCAGTTATGGAAAGCAGAATGCTGGAGGATGACCAAAGGGATAACGAGTCCTGATTCATGTTGACCCTATGACTTACTGCAGGTTGAGTATCCCTTATCCAAAATGCTTGGGACCAGAAATGTTTTGAATTTCATATTTCTTTTGGATTTTGGAATATTTGCATTATACTTACTAGCTGAGCATCTATAATTGGAATATCCAAAATCTAAAATGTTCCAATGAGCATTTCCTTTGAGCATCATGTTGGCACTCAAAAAGTTTCAGATTTTGGGTGGGAATTGAACAATGAGAACACTTGAACACAGGGCGGGGAACATCACACACCAGGGCCTGTCATGGGGTAGGGGGCTGGGGGAGGGATAGCATTAGGAGAAATACCTAATGTAAATGACGAGTTAATGGGTGCAGCAAACCAACATGGCCCGCACATGTATACTGACGTAACAAACCTGCACATTGTGCACATGCACCCTAGAACTTTAATTAAAAAAAAGAAAGAAAGGAAAGAAAAAGTTTCAGATTCTGGAGCATTTCAAATTTCAGATTTTGAGATTAGAGATATTCAACCTGAACACAGCTTCAAATAAGGCTAATTTATTTATTACATGGATCCTGACCTTAAGTATTCAGAACAAAAATAAAATGTCCCAGCCTGGATAGAGTGACAATACTTTCTCTCCATTTCTATCTCAAGCTATTAGAGATTACCTGTGGCAGCATTCTTTTGTTGGAACTTGGTTAAATACATGTTCATTCCTTTCTTAAAGTCCTGAGAAAACACAATTTTTAAAATCCAGGGAAGTCAGATCTCAGAATTTATAGTATATTTGTATATCAGTAATCAAAAACAAATTTACTCAAATACTCAAGTATCAGATACACTGAAACACATATATCCTTCTGATGCCTACTGCCTTTTATTTAATAATGCGTACTCTATGCCTTCTATTCTTGCTCTTAAGTTTTGTAACAGCCTCCCATTTCCACTCCCAAACACACCTGCACATCACTCATCTAAGAGACCAGAGTAGTCAACTTCAAATAATTGAATTCTCATTCTTTTTGGTCATTAAAAAAAAATGACAAGCCAGAAACTATTTGGGAACTTAATCCAAATAAAGTGAGACTTTTTTTCATGCAAAACTCTTATGATTTCACCATAAAAGAATGAAATATTTAAAGTTTTTTTTTACCTTATCCCCAATGTAGTCATGCAGCATTCGGATGACAGATGCACCTTTGCTATATGATATAGCATCAAATATCTCATCAACCTCAGATGGATGGCCCACACTGACCTGGCAGACAGTGTGATTCAGGGTTATGACAGGAAGCAGATAGCCTGTAATACTGAATTACATAAAACGCTTTCTAGGAAAACCCTTCTAACTTACATTTTTCTGCCTTTAACTCACTCATAATGTATAACGATGGTCCTCAAAAAAATGTAGTAACTAATAATAATAAAGTTGAATAGAACATGATTCCTGTCATCCCTTAGAGCCTGGGTTCCAGTCCTGGCTTTGTTCTGCTGGGAAAGAAGCCACTATGGTTCTGTTTATTTTTGGGGTAGTTGCAGAGGAGTGATGAGGAAGATATGGAGGTGAAGAACATTAGATTTCTTGCACTAATTGTAATGAATTACAATTATATGGGAGCCTAATTAAATATGTTGAAGTAGCATTATAACTCTAGTTCTTTAGATACAAAATTTATATATATAAACTGAAGTAGGGATAGGCTAAGTCAAGAGAATTAAAGTATTCACAAAACAGACCCTGACAATAAAATATGTCCAGAATTTTCCTTGACATAAACAATGGAACCATAGTGTTACCCAATAGGTATGACTTCTCCCATACTATTCTTTTTCTTTTTTTTTGGCAGAGTTTTTTGCTCTTGTTGCCCAGGCTGGAGTGCAATGGCACGATCTCGGCTCACCGCAACCTCTGCCTCCCAGGTTCAAGTGATTCTCCTGCCTCAGCCTCCCGAGTAGCTGGGATTACAGGCATGCGCCACCGTGCCCAGCTAATTTTGTATTTTTAGTAAAGACGGGGTTTCTCCATATTGGTCAGGCTGGTCTCAAACTCCCGACCTCAGGTGATCCACCTGCCTCAGCCTCCCAAAATGCTAGGATTACAGGCATAAGCCACTGCGCCTGGCCAGACCAATTTTTTTTTACTGCCTACCTTAAAAAGAAATGTTAATTAGAACTTAGACTTACTAGCTTTTCAAGACTAGAAATATGAACCAGTAAAATCACCCATGCTATTTTCTCTTATTTTCAAAGTCCAAAGTATCTATGTAACAAATTACGTATTTCATTGTAAATGAGAGCAGTCATAGGCTAATGGTTAGAAAGTATGGCTCACTTCAATAGGATGGCTGTTATCTAAGGCGTCAAGCTCCTGGGCACGGGTGTAATCAGCAGAAACAAACTGAGTCCAAATATCATACTCTGGGAAGCAGTGGTCTACACACAGATATTCAATCCAGGATGCAAAACCTTCATTTAACCAAAGATGAGTCCACCATTCCTAAAAACAAAAGATGAAAATACTTAAAGAAAATGAAATGATTGTCATTCTACTAATCTAAAACACTCACATGTCCCTTCCACTATATTCCCAAACTCACAATTTAATGACCTAAAATTCAGTTCAAAACATTTGGCAAAGAACTCACATTTCTGAAAAAGAGAGAAGACTAAAAGAGATGTCAAGAAAGGCCAACTGGTGATATGAGAATTATATCTGAGGGTCATTTTCTTTTCCTTTCTTTTCTTTTTTTTTTTTTTGAGACAAAGTCTTGTTTTGTCACCAGGCTGGAGTGTTCACCAGTAGCTGGGATTACAGACATGTATCACTATGCCTGCCTAATTTTTGTATTTTTAGTAGAGAGGGGGTTTTGCCATGTTGGCCAGGCTGGTCTGGAACTTCTGAACTCAAGTGATCCACCTGCCTCGGCCTCCCAAAGTGCTAAGATTACAGGTGTGAGCCACCATGCCTGGGCTAAAGGATATTTTCAAAACATTGTAAATAACTTCTCCCGCAAACCCAGACAGGGTCTCATTCTGTTGCCCAGGCTGGAGTGGCAGGGGCACCATCGTAGCTTACTGCAGCCTTGAACTCCTGGGCTCAAGCAATCCTCCCGCCTCAGCCTGCCAAAGTGCTGGGATTACACGCGTAAGCCAGTGCATTCAGTCCTAAGTAACTTTTTAAATACCAAAGGTAGAAAAGGAAGAAGAGGGAAAAAAAAAGCCCATATATGGAAAAGGAAAAGACAACAGATAAATATAGGCAAATAGAGGTGGAAAATATAATCATGTAGAATTTAGTATAGTAAAGGATTATCTCTGAAAAACAAAAACAGAAAACTATCAGAGCCAAATAAAGAAAAATGGAAATGACAGGGGAAAACCACTCACTAATGAGTTGAATGTTCAAGAGAAACTGAGAAAGAGTACTGCTTATATAAAAATTATGTGAAATTAAACAAAAATGCAGTTCAGTAATGAATGGTGTTTAAGCACTTATGGAATATAAAATTATCACCTGTTAAATAAGAATGCATAGTAAATGGAATGGACAAAGAATATGAGTGACAGATAAAATCAATTTTAAAAAAATTTGAAAGATCTTAATCTAAATTTTATTAAAGTTGATTAAGCCTATTAGTAAAAGAAAGCAGGCCAGGCACAATGGCTTGCTCCTGTAATGCCAATACTCTGGGAGGTCAAGGCAGGAAGATCACTTGAGCCCAGGAGTTTGAGATAAGCCTGGGCAACATAGTGAGACTCCATCTCTAAAAAAATTAAAAAGTAAAAAAAAATTAGCTGGTCATGGTGACACACACCTGTGGTCCCAGCTACTTGGGAGGCTGAGGCAAGAGGATTACATAAGCCCAGGAAGATGAAGCTGCACTGACCCATGATTGTGCCACTGCACTCCGGCTTGGGTGACAAAGTGAGATCCCATTCTCCATCCCCAACCAGTCCCCCCAGAAAAGGCCAGGTGTGGTAGCTCATGCCTGTAATCCCAGCACTTTGGGAGGCTGAGGTGGGAGGATTGCTTGAGCCCAGGAGTTTGAGACCAGTTTAGGCAACAAAGTGAAACCCTGTCTCTACAAAAGGCAATACAGTGAAACCTTGTCTCTACAAAAAGTGCAAAAATTAGCTGGGCATGGTGCCACACACCTGTAATTGCAGCTACTCAGGAGGCAGAGACAGGAGGATTGCTTGAGCCCAGAGGTAAAGACTGTAATGAACCATGATTGTGCCATTGCACTCCAGTTTAAGTGACAGAGTGAGACTCTGTCTTAAAAAAAAAATTATTTTGATATTAAGTGATAAGTGGCTATTTGCCTAGTAGCTTCCTAAAATAAACTAGCATAAAATGAAACTTATTTTCCAACCTATCCCTAAGCCCTTGGAATTTCAGTTCTAATAACTAGAATAGTTACATAAAACCAGTAAAAAGTTGTTTAATAAGAATGTACACATTTCCCCTACTAAAATTTATTGCTTGTTTCAAAATAAAATCATAAAGTTATCTCAAAACCAAGCAAAAAAATTATTTGGTACAAAGTAGCAAACTTGCTGCATTAGAAGAAAAGGCCATTTCTTCACATATTTGAATACAGGCACCAACACATAATTCCACATGAAATTATATTTCTTTTTTTTTTTTTGAGATGGAGTTTCGCTCTTGTTGCCCAGGCTGGAGTGCAGTGGCGTGATCTCGGCTCACTGCAACCTCTGCCTCCCAGGTTCAAGTGATTCTTCTGCCTCAACCTCCAGAGTAGCTAGGATTACAGGCGCACACCACCACGCCCAGCTAATTTTCTATTTTTTTTAGTGGAGATGGGGTTTCGCAACATTGGTCAGGGTGGTCTCAAACACGTGACCTCAAGTGATCCACCTGCCTCAGCCTCCCAAAGTGCTGGGATTACCGGCGTGAGCCACCGTGCCCGGCCTGAAATTATATTTCAAAGAATTTTTTTCACCTGTAAAATTTTAAACATCCAAAATAAAAGGAAAAGATTTATTTTCAAGGGTTGACTTTCTGTAGAAACTCTCTGAGACACGTAATAGTTGATAAATGTCTTACATTCTTATTTATATGACGTATGGACTCAATCTACATTCAAATCAGGTTCTGCTCTTTGGCAGCCTAAAATGTCAGGGAATCTAGCTGGCTCCAGAATATCCAGTTATTTAATTGCAGAGGTACATCTAGTTCACTTATTAAATCCTGTGCTCCCAAGCTCTAACACAGTTGGCATTCATAAATAGTATTTACTTAGAGTAAGAGTGAAAAATCAGGACTGAAGGACAGAGATCATTACTGCAAACATTATAAGGATTTCAACAGAACAGCTGGAATTTTAATACAGCTTTATTCTGCAGTCACTCTGCAGTTTGTTTACTTTTATTTCATTAAATTTCAACTTAACATTTTAGGCAATGAAAAAACTGACTCCTAAAAACATTTCTCTCTAATTAAAGATCAGTTTGTTATTCATCAGGTTACTTTTCAGCTGTGAATCAGATTAACAAATAAGATTCAAGAAACTACAGTTAGCCTGGAATCTCACTGCATGATTCATTCATCTACACCTAAGAGGAATGTTTTTCTCTCACCCAAATTAGTATCTTGACTTTTCCCACTTGCAGACAAATTTTAGAACAGTTTAGGAAGTGTCTGTTGAATAAAGACTGTCCATATGCCCTTGTTCAATGCAGAGATTCTGATAAGCCTTTTCAAAGTGGACCTTTTAAAATAATACTTTTCTATCACTCAATTATTTTTTGGCACAGTGTTGCAGCCAAACTTGAAATACTATGTAGCCAAAATAATGTGGAGTAGGATGAAGATAAATATATTTGAGCACTTAAAAATATTAAATACCATAGTAACAAGATTTCCAAACCATTGATGGGCGAGTTCATGTCCCACAACCAGAGCAACCCACTGGCGGGATGAAGAACAGGAATTTTTTGGATCAATAAGCAATGCAGTCTCCCTGTGTTTAAAAAAAAAAAAAAGAAACAAATTTAAACAATAAAAGTGGGCATGCATAAGTTGGGAAGATTCAGACAGTAAGTCAGATGGACAAGTTAGGCTTTAGAGATATTAGGAAAATATTTCCTAATATGGAAAGAAAAAGTTTCACGAAGATTAAAGACTACCCCAACAGAATTAATACAACAGAATATCAAAGATGTGACACAAGTTTAATTATCAGTTTGTTGATAGAATAGCTGCCTGAAATTTTGGGAAAACATTGTCTAAGGGATTAGCGATTACTGTGCTAGATGGAGAGAGAAGAAAGTCCTTCCATTAAATGAGGGGAGTGGTGGAGGAAGATGCATTCCATAGTCCCAAAAACAGCACTGAGCCGGCTGTCCAACACTTAGCTCATCTAAAAAGGCAATTGAAAGTAGAAGGCAAAAACTTGTTTACAGACAGACTCTGCTTTTAAAAGTTATTCAACTCACATGTTTATGTTGTGGTGACAGACATGTAAAAACTTGGCTAGAAGATATGAAATTAGGGAAGGTTCTCCAAGCTGGATAAATAGCTATGAAACTACTGCAATGAGAAACTTAGCCAAGAATATATCTAAAAATGCTACTACCGCCAGATGCTCACTTTAAAATCTTACACCCTCAGACAGTAGCACCAAAGGGAGGGGTGTCCATCTGCATTCTTGAAATGTGCACGGAAGTGGGGGAAGGTAGAAAAATTTACACCATATCGTAAAGCAGAAGCTACTCAACTGTGATTAGGAGGGAAGCCCTTTTGAAATCAGTGATTTGAAAAGATAAGGCAGGGTAACACATCATTAACATACCTATAAGTAACAAGGCCCCAGTTCTCCATGGCACCTTCACAAAATAAATATAAACATTTATTGATATATATATATATATATATACTCTTGCATCAAAAGTCACAAAATTTTAAAAAGTTATTACAATTCAGCAATAAAATGAAATTTACTTTACCAGCTGCAAAGTCTGCAATAGCAATGAGATCAATTTTAGGTAGAGGATAAGGAACATTGAAGTAGTCCTTATAAAAAGGCAAGGTTTTAGCAGCAACCTATAAAAGTATAAACAAAATAACCATCTAATAAATATGTTATTATAATTCATATTGAAACCCACAAAGGAATCCTGTTGCAAGCCAATGTATCTTAAATTACTAGAAATGAATCCCGAGGAGCCCTACCCTCCGAAGACTGCCTTAGCTCCAAACTTTGAATACAATGGCCAAACTTTAATCCATTTATAACTTGATATGAAAAATATAACTACATATTTTCCAACCCATTCCCTAGAGAAATTCCACTCTTATATTCTCTTAATTATTATTTTGTAAAATAATGAAACACCAAGGTTGGCATTTCCTAAATTCTACTAAAAATAAACCAAGTAGCACAACTTTCAGATTAAATTATAAATAACTGTACTAATAATTGACCAGAAATGTAAATTCCCCAACCTGGAGTTATGGACTGTTGGAACAATCCTCTTCAAGTACATTTACCTCTAACGCAAATTTTCCTTGCTCTGCTTTGCCAACAGGAGTGTAAACACGGACACACACACCATCTTTTGACCTTGTTTCTACAAAGTCATATTCACCCACAACAAATGCCACCAGATATGTAGACATAACAGGTGTGCGGGCAAACTTCACTTCCACTAAATTTTCATCATCAGGGTATGGTTTCCGGTCAATTACATTCTTTAAGAAATAAAAAAAAGAAAAATTTAAATAGGTTTACATTAATACCATAGAGCAAATACCAGCCAAAAACTGTAGGCTTTATTGCATCTCTTTACCCCTTTCTATTCTAGCATGGCTTATTTCTCTACCCCAATTCATCCAGTGCTTTTATGCTGTCTTTAAGAAGGAAAGTGGTCTGATAAAACACTCATACTAAGAAGCTGGAGGCTGAAGTGTTAAAACTACCAAGGACCTGTGAAAGAAAAGAGGAATGGACTTTTCTCAAATACTTATTATAAGCCAGGCATTGGGATGATTTAAGTTAAGGGCTTCATACTTTTCAACTGACATAAGTTTAGGAGAAAATGACTATTAATAAAAATAAAATAGGGGCTAGGCGCGGTGGCTCACGCCTGTAATACCAGCACTTTGGGAGGCTTAGGCAGGCGAATCACAAGGTCAGGAGATCAAGACCATCCTGGCTAACATGGTGAAACCCCATCTCTACTAAAAATACAAAACATTAGCCAGGCATGGTGGGGGGTGCCTGTAATCCCAGCTACTTGGGAGGCTGAGGCAGGAGAATGTCGTGAACTAGGGAGGCGGAGCTTGCAGTGAGCTGGGATCACACCACTGCACTCCAGCCTGGGCGACACAGCGAGACTCCTTCTCAAAAATAAATAAATATAATATAATTGTAGAATCTCCCATTTCAAAGGATACAAACTTCTAGATCGAGGGCATTCTCTACCAAAGTTGGCTCTAAGCTTATTTGTGAAGAAATTTCAACTTTACCTTTGGAGTCCCTAATTTCCTTTGGTGTTCTCCCTCTTTTTCCTATTCAGGCTCTGTTTCCTCAAGCTCTCTCTATTCTTCCTTCCAAGGAAGACTTATTCAAGAACACACTGATAAATTCACTCATACTAAAGTGTGAATGAATATTTCCGTTTAATATATTAGCCTCCTCTTCTAAGAATATGTGAGAAGAGAATGACATTCTATTTATGGGATGCTCTCCCCCAATAAATACATAAAAGAGTTATTTTCAGGTGCAGCAGGTTTTTCCAAGTTCCCCACACAAGACAGTCCTAGACAACACACTTCAAGTGGGGAATGCTTACCCTGTTCATGAATGAGATCAATAACACTGGTGAAGAGAATACATTCCAAGAATACAAACAGCCAGAGACCTAAATATACTTCATTACGCAGCTACATCTTTTGAATTTTTTTAACTTTTTAAAAACATAAGAGACAGGGTCTTGCTCTGTTGCAACCTTTTTTTTTTTTTTCCCCCGAGATGGAGTCTTGCTCTGTCACCCAGGCTGGAGTGGAGTGGCGCGATCTCAACTCACTGCAGCCTCCACCTCCCAGGTTCAAGCAATTCTCCTGCCTCAGCCTCCCAAGTAGCTGGGGTTACAGGTGCCTGCCACCATATCTGGCTAATTTTTGTATTTTTAGTAGAGATGGGGTTTCACCATGTTGGCCAGGCTGGTCTCGAACTCCTGGCCTCAAATGATCCACCTGCCTCAGCCTCCTGAAGTGCTGGGATTACAGGCATGAGCCACCATGCCTGGCCTATTTTTTTTTTTTTAAGAGATGGGGTCTTGTTCTGTCACCCAGGCTGGAATACAGTGGCACAATCACGGCTCCCTGTAGCCTCAAACTCCTAAGTTCGAGAGATCCTCCCACATTAGCCTCCCAAGTAGTTAGGATTACAGACACGTGCCACCATACCTGGCTAACTTTTAAGTTTTAAATCTTTTGTAGAAATGAGGTCTCACTATGTTGCCCAGACTGGTGTCAAACTCCTGGCCTCAAGCAATCCTCCTGCCTTAGCCTCCCAAAGCACTGAGATTACAAGCAAGAGTCACTGTACCTGGCTTTCTTATGACATTTAATAAGTCAAGACCTTTTTCTTTTTTTTTTTTCTGAGATAGGGTCTGGCTCTGTCACCCAGGCTGGAGTGCAGTGGTGTGATCTCAGCTCACTACAAACTCCGCTTCCTGGGTTCAAGTGATCCTCCCACCTCGGCCTCCCAACTAGCTGGGACTACAGGTGTGTGCAACCACACTCAGATAATTTTTGTATTTTTAGTAAGGACAGGTTTTCACCATGTTGGCCAGGCTGGTCTTCAACTCCTGACCTCAAGCGATCTGCCTACCTTGACTTCCCAAAGTGCTGGGATGACAGGTGTAAGCCACCATATCCAGCCCAAGACCTTTTGCTTTTAGTTACTATAAATCTATTAAACTTGTCAATTTACCTCTCTAAATTAAAAGAAGTAGATAATCTTATAAATGTATTTAACGAGGAATTTGACAAAGAGAAAATCCTCCAAAAATAAAGCTATCAAGAAAAAGAGGTCTTGGCTGGGCATGGTGGCTCATGCCTGTAATCCCAGCACTTTGGGAAGCTGAGGCAGGAAGACAGATTGACCCCAGGAGTTTGAGACCAGCCTGGGCAACATAATGAGACCCCAACTCTACAGAAAAAAAAAAAAAAAAGAAAGAAAAAGAGGCTTATTGAAAATAAAGAAAACTAATATTTATGTTCCTATAATATACCAGCACTGTGGTAGGTGGTTTCATATTATCCCATCTAATCAGCAAACTAAATCTGCTAAAGCCTATTAAAATTTTAGATAAACTTATAAACACATACATACCATGTTTGATAAAGCTACTCTGTCTTTAGGAACAACCAATGAGATATCAAAAGTTGCTTTGATAGCAGGCTCATCCCAGCAAGGAAAAGCCCTTCGGGCATCAGTAGCCTTAAGAAAAGAATATGAAATATAAATACCTTAGAATTAACCTAACAAGTTATTTCATAAAGCAGTCACCATTTCCCTCTGTCATTCATTCATTCCCTTGTTCAAATATTTACTTTCTCTTCAGTGCCAGGCAACAAGCCAGGCATTAACTAGAAAGAAAAGACAACACTTGCTACCACTGCCATTCCAGCAAATATCCAGGAACAGTGTCTGCTATGGATTTTAACAATATATTATAATTATTTACAACTAAATTTTTGTTTACATTTTAACATTTCAAATTTAATGCAAATGCCTTCAAATCAATAATGTTAACACAACACAGCACAGAACAGTAAAGAGTATGCTATAAGAATTCAAAGTTGGGAAAACATGGTAAGTTGCCTCTCTGGCTTTTATTTTTGAATTAAAAATAAAAATATTCTCAATCTTTGACGTGCTTTGTTCTTTATCTGGAATGGCAGCAATGGGAATAAAGACAGATGCTCTATCAATTCAAGACAGGTCATTCATTTAATGGCACTTCCATATGCTACACATAAAACTGTCGCCACTTGACCTACTTGAGTCCTTACTCTTTCATTAAAAATTTAAAAAAGAGCAAACTTATGAAAGCAAAATAAAACTTAGGGGTTCTGCAGGGTA
Source organism: Homo sapiens (assembly GCF_000001405.40). Classification (NCBI taxonomy): domain Eukaryota; kingdom Metazoa; phylum Chordata; class Mammalia; order Primates; family Hominidae; genus Homo; species Homo sapiens. The sequence continues at coordinate 47,582,096 of NC_000017.11, read as the reverse complement.
TCAGTTATAAAGGAAAGAAACTTTAGTAAACAGAATTTTCCATTTATTTAGTAAATAAAATGGAACCAATGACAAGATTCTGTATTATAAAAAGAAACAACAGGCTGGGTGCAGTGGCTCATGCTTGTAATTCCAGCACTTTGGGAGGCCGAGGTGGGCGATCACCTGAGGTCAGGAGTTAGAGACCAGCCTGGTCAACATGGTGAAACCCCGTCTCTACTAAAAATACAAAAATAAACCAGGCATGGTGACACATGCCTGTAATCCCAGCTACTCGGGAGGCTGAGGCAGGAGAATGGCTCGAACCTGGGAGGCGGAGGTTGCAGTGAGCCAAGATTGCACCACTGCACTCCAGCCTGGGCGACAGAGCAAGGCTCCGACTAAAAAACAAACAAACAAACAAACAAACAAACCAAAGAGGTAGAAGAAACTTGGCTGACTATATTCTCAAAAACATTAAATAAATAATGAATTCTATCAATGAATAAAAAAGACATCTGAAAAGAAGGGAGAGTATAAGGAAAGAAATGGCAGCACAGAAGCATTTAAATTAGAAGCAGCAGCAGAGAAATGAATTTATACTAAAGGAAATTAATGACATAGATAACAAGATTTAAGTTTGAAAATATCTAAAGGACAAAGTGATAAAAGCAATTAAACATAATTTGAGAGACAGATACTAGAGCTAAACTGGGTATTAACTGAGAAGGGAATGGAATGGATATCACAGTGAAGATATAACAGAAAAACTCTTTCACACTGAAAAATTATCGGAATCTAAAAATCAATAGGGTTCACCAAGTACTAAGCAAAAATCAATGAAAAGTGAACACCTGGTTTAAAAAACAGTTTAATTTTCGATATCAAGATATAATTTAACAAGCAAGCAGGAAGAAAATAAAGCAAAACGAAACAACATCTTACCTACAAAGGAAGAAGAAACATTTTAGTCTGTGACCCCTCCTCTTGAAAAAGTGAGATGTAGAAGACTTTGGAAACAATATTCACAGACTTTTGAAAGTGAAAAATTGTAAGCTGATTGTACTACTCTTACAGTTGAATGAGCTGGGCCTATTACTCATGGCAAGAGAGAACTCACACCATAGGGAACCACTGGTGTCTCCATAAGAATGTAAGAAAGAACCCACTATACGATTTGGGATTTGGTTTACATGATTTGGAAGAGGGTCTAAGTAAACAGGGATTCACTCTAGATTGAGTGCTGCAAGAAGTCCTATGAGGCAATTCTATGGGTATGTATCTCAATAAATCTTATCTATACGGAGGCCAGACTAGAGCAAATCTAAAACCGTAATTGGTAAAGAAGCAGTAGTCACTCATTTTAACTGAGAGATGGAGATGTTTGATATTTTGCGGGTAGCATAGTGATCCTGTATGTACTGTACCTAGGCAAAATTATGGATCCCTTGTTTTGTCTCACTTTATTATGGTCTCAAGTAGCCTTGTCTAAAGTTGGTATTCTGTAATATTATGTCTAATAGGGAGAATAACATGGGCTAGCTGTGAGTGCCAGACAACCTCTGGATGTCAAAAGTTGCTCTTTTTACCTTTTTTCATCAACAAATCTATATACCCAGTAAATCTGGTCATGTATAAAGGCAAATGAAAGACTTTTCAGAAAAGCAAAGGCTCAGGAATTACATTACCCACATACCTTCTCCTAAAAAAAAATTGTTTAGAGACATACATCAGCCAACCATTCCAGGATGAAGTGTTCAAAGTGGGTAGAGAAAGGCATTAGAATCATTCAAACACAGAATTAAACCTAAATATCTGTGGCAAATATTATTCTAAACAGAAAGTAACATAAAATTATTGAAAGAGAAGATACATCAGGTAAAACAAATTAGTAGTAAACTGGATAAAAAATTTTAGGTTATCCCAAACAAGCAAACAATATAGGGATATGGGCAGAAACATAAGAACGGATATCATGAATTGTTTCTTTATCCATATTGAAATTTACAGAAATAAATTTAGATTTAACACTTAAAAATACGACTAGCAGATTCAAAACAATTTATATAATTTGCAAATACTTGACAAATAAAAATCATCCTGGCCTACATAGGACAGCAAATATATATATGTGTGTGTATATATATGTGTATACACACACACACACACACACACACACACACACACGGAGAAAAAAAAAATCAAAGACAGCACAGATACTACAGTAAGATAAACAAAAGATGTCAAAGAAGGAAAGGAATTCCAGAAAACAGCTAATAATACTGTAGGAAAAGCCATAGGTGTCAAATACTAAGAGAATGATTTTAAGAAAGGTACACAGTATATAGGCAATTCAGGTATCAAAATGTGTCGTGTGTTTGAGCGTCTGTGTGTATAACTGTATATAATCATTCCCCAACCCATACCCTTAATTCCCTCCTTTCTATAGAGATAATGGCTAAATATAAAATAAAAATTCTAAAATTGTGAATACAATCATGGCCAAGGGCACCTAGCCTCAAATAATCACCCCACATAATAAAACACAGCTTTGTCAGAATGCCTAATTTAAGAATAATAATATTTTAGAGAAGAATAACCCATACCTCAAACTGTGTTACAGCAGCATAGCGCACCTCTCCAGAAGGGGTAGTATATTTACTTCTATAGAAACCTTTCATTTTGTCATTCAGCTCTCCAACAAAATCTATCTTTAAGGTTCCCGTACCTGTGATTGAAGATAAATAAAAAACACTTTTATGGAGATGTTAAACACAGTTACCAAAAATATGTCCTCAAGACACTATATTCAGTTAGCTATTTACAATGTTCAAATCATTCCTTCCTTTTTCAAATATTCCTCCTGGCAATGGAGAGAATACAGTACTTACTAAAGTAAAAGGCAGACTAATCCTAAAATAACTCTTGAAAGTCATGTTTAGGGTGACTGCCTAAAAAGTTATTAACTTAGTCTCAAACTACCAATATGTGAAAATAAGAACAGGAAAGGAAACAAACATTTATTCTTAAATGCCTGATATGTGCTATTGTGCATAGTGCTTTTAAAATATATATAACTATTTATAAACCTGGAAGTAGATATTGTCCTCATTTTTTCAGATGAGGAAACTGAGGCTGAGAAGCTAAATAACTTGTCCAGTGTCATACAATTAGTAAGTAGTGAGAATGGGATAAAATGTTTAAGTCCAGAATTCATGCTGTCTGCCAATTATACATGTGAATTGGTCCTTTTACACAACTTCATGCATAGAAAGAGAAATGTAGCCAATTACTCTATCAAGATAAGACACTAAATGTTTACTCCAAATGGAACACTGATTGCATAATTTTGTAAGGAGCTATAGGGAAGACCAATGATTTGATCAGCAACAGGGCATAAAACAAATTCTTACAAGTCACCTCAATCATTTGAAATCTGACAAAGAAATACATTTAATTAATAAATTATTAAATGCAAATAAAAATACAACTTAAATATGTATTCTATTGTTGTATAAGAGCAAAAACAATTTAGACAAAAAAGTGAGCTTTTTTGAGTTCATATACTTTCTTTTTTATAACATAAAAAATTATAATTATTATCTAGTAATCATCTGCTAAATACAGATGCATGGCAAAACAGTAATCCCATTCTGTGTTTTACAAATCAAGTCACGAAAAAACGTAGAGGAATGGTGACTTTTTAGTTGACCATTTTAAAGGCCCTACTTATATCAAGATTTAAAGCATGGGAAGTCTAACAAATCAAAGATAGGGCATGACTATAAAGTAATTAACCAATCATACCAAACTTTTATATACTAATGTTTCAAATTGTCATTTTGGAATGCTAAAGAGCAATGACATTTGACATTGTTCAAAATGTTGTGACTTTCTCTCTTTTTTTTTTTTTTTTGAGACAGAGGCTTACTCTGTTGCCCAGGCTGGAGTACAGTGGTGTGATCTCGGCTCACTGCAGCCTCCGCCTCCTGGGTTCAAGCAATTGTGCCTCAGCCTCCTGAGTAGCTGGGACTACAGGCGGGCATCACCACGCCTGGCTAATTTTTGCATTTTTAGTAGAGACAGGGGTTTGCCATGTTGGCCAGCTGGTCTTAAACTCCTGGCCTCAAGTGATCCACCCACCTTGGCCTCCCTAAGTGCTGGGATTACAGGCATGAGCCACTGTGCCTGGCCCCTCTGACATTCTTTTGAATGATCTCAAAGTCAAATCTTCATCTTATAAAATTGAATTTGCTTTTGGAAAGGACCAAAAGTTATGGGGAGTGCGAGTCTACAGAATAAGTGAATGACAAACTACAAACTGTCTCTAGCCTGATGCCTCAAACTGGTTCTAAAAGTAATTTAAGTGAAAATTTCAGACCTTTAGAGCAAAGTCACCACTAATGAAAGTGCTATATTCTTAATCATTCTGAGAAAAAACCAACTCAACTGAAGCTTAATTGAAGACATTTGTGATGTTTATTTTTAAAAATCAGATGTTTGTAAATATCTAAAGAGGACAATGAATACTTTTTTCTTTAAAGAGAATGACAGGTTACTGGGACAGTATATATGAATATAGTAAAATAACTGATAATTCTAAATGATACTAAAAAATTAAACTATAAAGCAAAATTTAAATTAAAAATTTTTAATTTCTATTTTCTTTAGAAATTCACTTAATTTTTTTAAAAAAGCAAATGTATTCACATTAATAAAGTTTGCAAAGAACGTCTAACAGATTATAAAAACCTACTACCTTTAATGGAAACTATATGATGGAATTTTATGTTACAATTCCATAAGTGGAATTGCCCAGTCTGTTTCACTAAGTCAATCAACTGTTAAGATGTTTTTTAAATATAATTCATATTTCATGGTAAATCTACTTGCATTTTTTCCTAGTTGGAACAAAAGTGGTTTTAAAACTCATAACTAAATAAGAAAGACTGCTTACACTTTTACTCGGTTTTAAATCTCCAAGGCCATCAAACCATAACAAGATATTGACAGTGACCACTTCCAAAAAGTGGCATACTAAACAAAATACAAAGTATTGGAAAGAGTTATTACCTGAAATTCAAACAAAACACAAGTTAAAGTATTTAAAAATCATTAATAAGTTTAATTAGTGTCACATTATATGATACCAATTACAAAGTATTTACTTACTATTCATATAGTAGAATTTTAGGGCAAGTAGGAGAAAAAATGACTTTTTAATAAATTTCATTTATCAAATTTACACCATATTAATGAACGGATTGCCAAATTGTCTAATTTTATGCCTATCAACACACATAATTTACACCACTTCCTCAAATTAGATACCTTATTTCATATCCAATGTATGAAATATTTATGTTTGGGGTTGTAAACCTTTTGAAACATATATCAAGCTCGTTTATAAAGTAAACAACTGAAAAATTGGGACTTCCATCAAAAACCTTAAATGTTTAAAGCTTAGGAGAGTATAACAATTGTAAAACCTGGAGTAAATCTTGAAATACTTTAATAATAATAAATTTAATGAGCCTACTAAATGCTATAAAAATAAAGAGAATAATTTATACAAAAAGGGAATAAAGGTTGTTGCCTTTGTGTCACCACTTCTTTTTTTCTTTGGAAAATGGAGTCTCAGTCTGTCACCCAGGCTAAAGTGCAGTGGTGCAATCTCGGCTCACTGCAACCTTCGGCTCCCGGGTTCAAGCAATTCTCCTGCCTCAGCCTCCTGATTAGCTGGAACTACAGGCGTGCGCCACCAGGCCTGACTAATTTTTGTTTTTAGTAGAAACAGGGTTTCGCCATGTGTCACCACTTTTTATTATCTTGTTTTTGACTCTTCAAAATGCTGACAACTACCAGTGTTTCTCCATATAAATGCCACCCTTAGGACCCTCAGCCACTAATTCTAGGGTTGTTAGACCTTACAATAATTATGGTAATTTAATCACTATCCCAGAATGGTGCCAATTTCAGAAAAGTAGGTTTTACTTAGCTGTATAATAGCTTGCATTACTGTTAAATTTGATGAGGCTAAACACAAAGATTATTAATGTCCTCCTAAGATAAGCTCAGTATTTGCTTCATTATCAGATAGATCACTTGTGCAATCCGTCTTGAAAAAGATTAACTTCATTCTTAAAGCAAACCTTGGGAAAATGTGAAAGCCAATGATTTCAAACAGATATTAAATAATTCAATATTGTCGGTGGGGCGTGGTGGCTCACACCTGTAATTCCAGCACTTTGGGAGGCCGAGGTGGGCGGATCACGAGGTCAGGAGATCAAGACCATCCTGGCTAACACAGTGAAACCCCATCTCTACTAAAAATACAAAAACAAAATTAGCTGGGCGTGGTGGCAGGCACCTGTAGTCCCAGCTACTCGGGAGGCTGAGACAGGAGAATGGCATGAACCCAGGAGGCAGAGCTTGCAGTGAGCTGAGATCGCGCCACTGCACTCCAGCCTGGACGACAGAGCAAGACTCCATCTCAAAAATAATAATAATAATAATAATAATAATAATAATAATAATTCAATATTGTCACACCTGCAAGATAATTTTTCTGTTCTAATATTTATATCAGTTGTTATATTAGCTCAAAATTGTTATATTGGCCAAAAATATCAAAAATTATGTTAAATCATACTATACGAATGGTCATAACCTTCTCTAACTTGTTTGTTATTATTTGAAATAGCTTCACCATTTAGCATGTCTGCTGTAAACAGACCTTATCAAGAATGATACATCTCTTATATACTAATAATAAATGGCCTCCAATATTTACAGTTAAGGGGAAAAGAAGAAAGGTGCAGAACATTATGTATGGCATGGTGATTTCTGTGTTCTTAAAAAGTATATACATAAATGCTTACAAAAGCAGGGTATAGTTTTGAAAGGAAAATTTCATTTCATTCTGTTGAGGAATGGAGCTGAGAAAGAAGACGGTAGACTGGCAAACAAAATTTCATTGCATAGCATTTGAATTTCAAATTATGTAAATGTACTATGTTTTTGAAATATTTAATTTGAAAAATAAAGATAGCACAATGTGGTGGTTAAAAGTGCAGACTTTTCAGTTAAACTGCTTGGGTTTAAATCCCAGCTATGTTACTTACTAGCTATGTTACCTTGGACAAATTATTTAAGTTAATGAAATCATTTTTCTGCCTTAGTTTATCTACAAAATAGAAGTAACAGAATCTGGCTGGCGTAGTGGCTCATGCCTGTAATCTCAACATTTGGGAGGATGGCAAGATCCTCTCTCTGAGGTAGGAGGATCACCTGAGGCCAGGCATTTGAGACCAGCCTAGGCAACATAACGAGACCCTGTCTCTACAAAAAAATTTAAAAATTAACCAGATGCAGTGTCATGTGTAGGCAGTCCTAGCTACATGGGAGGCTGAAGTGGGAGAATCACTTAAACCCAGGAGTTTGAGGCTGCAGTGAGCCGTGACTGCACCACTATACTCCAGCCTGGGTGACAGAGAGACTTTGTCACAAAACAAATCTACCTCAAAAGGTTGTTGAAAGGATTAAATAAATTAATATTTTTGAGGCACTTAAAACAGTACTTGGCACAGATTATGTCGTGTGTGTGTGTGTAATCCATATCTTCTATCATGTTAGAAGTTTCTGTCTACTCTTCCCTGGTGAATTCTAGCAAATAAACTGATTCCTTTTGATAAATATAGAATGTTTAACTTTTTAAATTTAATGAAAAATGGTTACCATATTTCCTAATGCTGAACAACAATTCAATCTACGCTTTTATTTTCTATACTGGCTAGGTTTATATATCTTTTGGGACTATTTTTAAATATCAGTTTTTTAATATTTCTGCCCCTCACTTCACTTATTTCATTTGTTTCTGCTCTTAAAACTTTCTTCTACTTTCTCCAAATTACCTTTTGTTTTTATGAGTTTAATGCTTAGCTAATTAATTTTCAGTCTTTCTTCTTAACTAAATATCCTCTCTAATATTTTATCTGCATATGAAACACGTTTATCCCTAATGTTTCATATGTGGTAATTTCATTATTCAGTTCTAAATATTTTCTAATTTCCATAACAAGTCTTCTTTGACTCAATTATTCAGAGGTGTAATTTTTCCAAATATATAAAAAGGTTTTTCATTTCTTTTTCTATTGACTTCTAATTTTTTCACAGTGTAAACGCAGAATATATATAGTCTGTAATGATATAGATTTAAAACTCTAAAATTTTTTAAATTTCTATCAAAATAATAGTTCATAGTTTAAAATACGTAAGCTCCAGGCCCTGCTCAACACTAGGCCCTACTCCCCACACCCTGCCCCTAAGAAGCAATCAATTTCAAACTCTGTGACTTCTAAATGTCTTGCTTACACAGCTATTTTTTCTTTTCCTTTCTTTGAGACAGTCTTGCTCTGTCGCCCAGGCGCGAGGGCAGTGGTACAATCATGGCTCACTGCAGCCTTCAATTCATGGGCAAGCAATCCTCCCACCTCAGCCTCCCAAAGTGTTGGGATTACAGGCATGAGCCACGACCATGGCCTATTTCTTCATTTTTCAACTTTAGACATTTTCTCTTCACTGTAGAAAGTCATGCTTTAGCTAATCCATCCCCCACTCCAATATCTTTTACAAAGAATCAAATTTTCTATGACCTTGCAAATCTGAAAATATTTTTACTCCGAAATTCAAAGTTGGGTTAAGCATGCAATCTTAGGTTGAAAATCAGATTCACTTTGTATTTTGAATGAACAGCTTCATTAGAGTCTAAGTTTCCACTGTTCCTAATGGTAAGTCTAGGACTATTCTGATTCCTAAATTTTAAAGGTAGTATGCTACCTGCCTTCCCTCCTATTGCCCCCTACCCCAGACAGGAACTTTCTGGGAGTTTTACTTTATCGCAAAAGTTCTAAAATTTCAGTCAGTGTGGCAATTTTTACATTTTTTAAGCTAGTCTCTCTCAATGGTGTACCTTTGCAAACTGAAGGCTCCTGCTCTATCAGTTCAAGGAAATGTTCCTGTCTTTTTGAAAGTTTCTCTTCTGGCCGGGCACAGTGGCACACGCCTGTAATCCTAGCACTTTGAGAGGCCGAAGTGGGCAGATCACCTAAGGTCTGGAGTTCGAGACCAGCCTGGCCAACATGGTGAAACCCCAACTCTACTAAAAATACAAAAATCAGCTGGGCATGGTGGTATGTGCCTGTAATCTCAGCTACCCAGGAGGCTGAGGCAGGAGAATCACTGGAACCCACGAGGTGGAGGCTGTGGTGAGCCGAGATCGCACCACTACACTCCAGTCTGGGTGACAGAGCAAGATTCTGTTGCAAAAATGAAAATAAAAAAATCCTCTTCCCATTTTCTCTGCTTTCTGTTTCACTAGATGGATGTTGGTTCTGCTGGACTGGTTCTCAAATCTATTTTTCTGTTTTCTATCTGTTTTTTCTACTGCTTAGAAGTTTCCTCAACTTCATCTTTTAACACTTTTACTGGGTTTTTTATACCCATCATAATTTCCAAGTTTTCCTGCTGTAATTCTTCCTATCTGATGGCATTCTGTCCTGTCCTTGTTTAATGAACGCAATGCTTTCTCTTAATTCTCTAAGGATAGTAATTAGCTTTGGGTTTGTTTGTTTTTTTTTTAACTTTCTTTAGATTTGTCTTTGCTTTTTCCAACTTCCTTTATTTCTATTATACTTATAATTTTGCTTTTTGCCCTATCTTTCATTAGAAACTTTTTGCAAATGTCTGTTAAATGCTACCCCAGTGACTTTGGGCTTGGTCATGCTACTTGCTTTGGTCAATGAAATGTGAGTAGACATCAAGTATACCACCATCATACAGAAATTTTATTTTTTATTTTATTTTTTATAGAGACAGGGTCTCACTACATTGCCTAGGCTGGTCTCCAACTCCTGGGCTCAAGCAATCCTCCTGCCTCAGCCTCCAAAAATGCTGAGATTACAGGTGTGAGTCACCACGCCTGGCCATGCAGAAGTTTTAAATGTGTCTTTGTGTTCTAGCTTTCTCCCCTTCCCTGAGCCTCTGCCCTCTGCCATGCATGATACAGAGAGTGGCTGCCCGCTCACTACTAGTCCTGGAAAGACAGTTGGGAGCCAAGTGGAGCCAGTAGAGTTGGTGATATGGCTGCATATGATCAGCACTCCTCATGGCCCATGTGTAAAAAAGAAAGAAATCTCAGTGGTTATAAGCCACTGAGATTTGTGATCCTATTTGTGGGTTAAATTATATACATAAATTTATATATACATAGGAATATTTCTAGACAGATTCACCAGACAATGCAGCAGAAGAATCTCCTTCCTTTTCAAATTATATTCTTCAATAGCTTTTAATACATGTTCATGGCAAAGCATTTTTTGTTTTGTTTTGTTTTGTTTTTTGGGACGGAGTCTCACTCTGTCGCCCAGGCTGGAGTGCAGTGGTGCGATCTCGGCTCACTGCAAGCTCCACCTCCCGGGTTCACGCCATTTTCCTGCCTCAGCCTCCCGAGTAGCTGGGACTACAGGCACCTGCCACCATTCCCAGCTAATTTTTTGTATTTTTAGTAGAGACAGGGTTTCACCGTGTTAGTCAGGATGGTCTCGATCTCCTGACCTCGTGATCCACCCGCCTCGGCCTCCCAAAGTGCTGGGATTACAGGCGTGAGCCACCACGCCCAGCCCATTTATTTTTATAATAATTACACATAAAGGGCCTCCAAGAGCACTGAAATAAAAGACTAAACATCTCCAATTTAAATTTTTTCTAAAAATAATTTTATATTAATTCAATAGATTCTCAGTAGGAAAATTGTGAAAATCAGACAAAAGATATAAATAAGAATAAAAATCACCAATTATGTCAACACCCAGACATAACTATCATTTTACTTGTGCCATTTAGAGACATGATTCACCACCTTAAATATGTAATTTTATATTCTGCTTTTCAAGTTTACATTATAATAAGCACTTTACAGGGTGAAGAATTCACAAACCTCACTTTTAATTGCTAAGTATATTTCACTATATAGATATATATCATTCCTGGCTTGATCATTTCCTTAGTGTTGAACAAATATATTAATTATAATTTTTTACTACCATAAGTAATATCTCAGACACTTCTGGGCATAAAGTATTTTCTGTATTTATGACTTTTCCTTGGGATATATTCCTATTAGCAGAATTGCTGGGTCAAAGGACATGAACATATTTAGGCTCTTGATATACTGCCAGAATGCTTTTCAAAAAAATTACATGGATTTATACTTCCCCCAGCGATATCAAGGCAGCCATATCATTGGGAATTTTTAAAATCAGCTCACATGAGAAGCAAAAATTTCTCATTACTAGGAGGCTCAATATCTTTTCACATGTTTATTAGTCATTTACATTTTCTTCCTTTTGAATTATCTGTTCCTTTTCATTTGTTCATTCATCAAAGTCTTAGTACTTCACCAATTGATTTGTATATAATTTCTTCCACATACACTAAGCTCAGAAAGTCTATTTCTTTGTGCTTTTATACCTAACAATAGTAACATATCAACCTATCTTTCTTTCTGTGCCCTCAATAACACAATACCTATTTGATCTCTGGTTGTATATCAAAATCATCTGTGACCATTCACTTCAGGGATTTGGATTCAATTAATAGAAGATGCAGCTAGGTAAAGGTATTTTGTTTGTTTGTTTTAGACAGAGTCCCACTCTATCACCCAGGCTGGAGTGCAGTGGCACGATCTCGGTTCACTGCAACCTCCACTTCCTGGCTTCTGGCGATTTTCTTGCCTCAGCCTTCTGAGTAGCTGGGATTATAGGGATGAGCCACCACACTGGGTAATTTTTGTATTTTTTGGTAGAGATGGGGTTTTGCCATGTTCGCCATGCTGGTCCCTAACTCCTGGCTTCAAGTGATCAGCCCGCCTTGGCCTCCCAAAGCGCTAGGATTGCAGGTGTGAGCCACCATGCCCGGCCTAGGTAAAGGTATTTTTAAAAAGGTAAAACTGGAAAACAATACATTACATTCTAGGATAGAATGATCTTTAGTTTTTGTCCTGTTTTTCTTGGCTTGTTCGTTTAAAGAGAATATAGAGTGACAGGAGGTGGAAACCCTGCTTTTCGTAGCCCAACTTCCGCAGAAGGAAATGCTGGTGGCCCAAAAGTTGCAACAAACCTCTTTAAAAAGCTCTTAATACGGCTGGGCGCGGTGGCTCCTGCCTGTAATCCTACCACTTTGGGAGGCCAGGGTGGGCAGATCGCTTGAGATCAGGAGTTCAAGACCAGCCTGGCCAACATGGCGAAACCTTGTCTCTACTAAAAATACAAAAAAATTAGCCGGTGTGGTGGTAGGCACCTGTAATCCCAGCTACTCGGGAGGCCGACGCAGGAGAATCGCTTGAACCTGGAAGGTGGAGGTTGTAGTGAGCCAAGATCATGCCACTACTCTCCAGCCTGGGCAATAGAGTAAGACTCCGTCTCAAAGGAAAAAAAAAAAAAAAGCTCTTAATACTTAATCTGCTAATAACAATGAGGGGAAAAATGGCATACAATAAATTTCTCTGGAGGAAGTCAGATGTCACTATATTCATCACGAGATTTTACAAAAGCTATGTCTCTTACCTGTTTGCAGAGTACTAGGGAAAGACAAGGTGACTTTTTCATCTTCATTCTGATAGTTAAATCCTGTAGCATGTATTTCTGGAATGAGAAAAAAAATTACTTTACAATTCTGACTGGACTGACAAGACGAAATCAAGACTGCAACATTTTCAAGAGCAAAATCTCTACAAAAGCAAAATATTCTTAATTTGGTGAATTAAGTTCCTATTAGCAAGAGTTTCATTTCAAATGAGCCTATTCTAGGCTACATTATCTACATTAAATATGCTCCTTAAAAATAATTACAAATTCTTTAAAATTCACAAAACGTCAGTGATGTACAGGAAAGAAGGCTTTATAAATGTGATGCTTTTCTATCAGATTCCTGTGTGACTATGATATTGTGATATTGCAGTCTTACTCATGAACATTTGAGACTTGGCAACTTGCCAAGATTTCAGTGTTAAAGATACATCAAGGAAAGGTCTGTTCCCCCAAAGGTAAGTAGCAATTCAAACTAAGATATAAATCATACCCACTTCTGGTAAAATTCTTTGTTGTGGCCAGGCGTGGTGGCTCACGCCTGTAATCCCAGCACTTTGGGAGGCCGAGGCAGGCGGGTCACCTGGGGTCAGGAGTTCAAGACCAGCCTGACCAACACGGAGAAACCCCGTCTCTACTAAAAATACAAAACTAGCCGGCTGTGGTGGTGCATGCCTGTAATCTCAGCTACTTGGGAGGCTAAGGCAGGAGAATCGCTTGAACCCGGGAGGCGGAGGTTGCAGTGAGCCAAGATCACATCATTGCACTCCAGCCTAAACAACAACAGAGAAACTCTGTCTCAAAAAAAAAAAAATTATTTGTTGTTACATGAAAACAGGTATGCAAATTGAATTAAGGCTTTGACTTACTCTCTGCCAGGAATGAGAAGAGACTGCTTATTTGACTGATACTTTAGGATGCTTGGACATGTTAGGGAAATAACCAAAGAGACCAACTTCCAACTATGTCCTATCCCCATTCCAAATGAAAAGCTGGCCAATCAGGCCGGACACGGTGGCTCATACCTATAATCCCAGCATTTTGGGAGGCCGAGGCGTGTGGATCACCTGAGGTCAAGAGTTCGAGAACAGCCTGGCCAACATGGCGAAACCCCATTTTTACTAAAAATACAAAACTTAGCCAGGCATGGTGGCAAACGCCTCTAATCCCAGCTATGCGGGAGACTGAGGCATGATAATTTAGAATTGCTTGAACTCAGGAGGCGGAGGTTGCAGTGAGCCGAGATTGTGCCACTGTACTCCAGCCTGGGCGACAGAGCGAGACTCTGTCTCAAAAAAAGAAAAAAAAAAAAAAAAGTATAAGGTAGGATGTAGAGAAACTGGAGCATATATTGCTAATGGGAATGTAAATGGTGCAGCCACTTTTGGAAAACAGTTTGGCAATTCCTCAAAAGGTTAAATACAGAGGTATCATGTGATACAGCAATCCCATTCCTAAGTATATATCCAAGAGAAATGAAAACACATGTCCACATAATGTTTGTATACAAATGTTCATAGTAGCATTATTTATAATAATCCCAAAATGAAAACAACTCAAATGTCCATCAACTGATGGAATAGATAAAATGTGGTATATCCATACAACTGAATGTTATTTGACAATAAAAAGAAATGAAATAGCTGACACATGCTACAACGTAAATAACCTTGAAAACATTATACTAAGAAACCAGCCACATATTTGTCCATAACAGGGCAATCTATGGAGGCTGAAAGTAGATTCATAGTTGCCTGGGGCTAGGTGATAGAGGGGAAATAGGCAGGGTACTTTCTTTCTGGAGTTCAGAAAGTGTTCTAAAATTGATTGTGATGATGGCTGTACAACTCTGTAAATAGACTAAAAACCGCTGAATTGTATGCTTTAAATATTAATAGATGACATGTATGGTATGTGAATTATACATCAATAAAGCTATTATTGAGGCGGGGAGAAAGGAAAGTACTACAGAAAGACAAGGGAGGAGAGGTGGGCATGAGTACCTTTATCAGTCACAGGATGCTGTGGGTAACGATTCAGATTACATAACATTTTACAGGCAAGATGCCCATAATTCTTCCTTTCTTTTATGAATCACCCAAATATAGGATTTCAAATGTTTCTACTGTCACTATGGTTCACACATTTTTATAAAGCCAAAATCTCTACAAAACCAATTAAGAAACTGTAATTTCAGATTTTAAAAGAACTTTAATAAATCCTCTAATCAAATCTTCCTCATTTTACAGATGAAGAAAATGAGACATATAAAGTTAATGGTTTGTCAAATGTTAATTAGCTAGACTACAACTCAGTTCCCTCACTTCTATTGCCAAAATTATTTCTACAATCATAAGCTAGCTCCTAAATTTGTTTGGTTTTGTTTTGTTTTTTGAGACAGGATCTCACTTTGTTGCCCAGGCTGGAGTACAGTGGCGCTATCTCAACTCACTGCTACCTTTCCCATCAGGTTCGGGAGATTCTCCCACCTCAGCCTCCGGGATAGCTGGGGACTACAGGCATGAGGCGCCACTAGGCCCATCTAATCTTTTGTATTTTTAGTAGAGACAGGGGTTTCCCCATGTTGTCCAGCCTGGTCTCAAACTCCTGGATTCAGGCAATCTACCCACCTCAGCCTCCCGAAGTGCTGGGATTACAGGGCTGAGCCACCATGCCTGGCCTAGCTCCTAAATTTGAATAGAAATCAAATTTGACAAGAATCACTTCAATGCTTAAGAATGTTCCTTTCTGGGCTGGGCGCAGTGGCTCACGCCTGTAATCCCAGCACTTTGGGAGGCCGAGGTGGGTGGATCATGCGTGGTGGTGCATGCCTGTTATCTCAGCTACTTGGGAGGCTGAGGCAGGAGAATCACTTGAACCTGGGAGCGGAGGTTGCAGTGAGCCGAGATGCGCCACTGCACTACAGCCTGGAGACAGAGTGAGACTCTGTATCAAAAAAAAAAAAAAACAAAAAACCTACAGCTGTTGAATAAAAAGGTAAACAACCCAATTTAAAAATGGCAAGACTTAAACTTCACAAAGGAAAATTTATAAATGGCAAAAAAAAAAAGCACATAAAAAAAGTGTTCAGCATCATTAGTCATTAAGGAAAGGCAAATTAAAATCACAATGACATATCACTACACATCCATTAGACTAGGCTATTAAATGACTGACAATAAAAATGTTGCCCAGGGCCAGGCATGGTGGCTCTTGCCTGGAATTCCAGCACTTTGGGAGGCCAAGGCAGGAGGATCACTTGAACCCAGGAGTTCAAAATCAACCTGGGCAACACAGGAAAAATAAAAAAAAATTAGTCATACGTGGTGACACAAACCTGTGGTCCCAGCTACTCCAAAGGCTGAGGCAAGAGCATTGCTGAAGCCTAGGAGGTTGAAGCTGGAGTGAGCCATGATCATGCCACTGCACTCCCATCTAGGTGACAGAGTGAGACCCTGTCTCGAAAAAGAAGAAAAAAATGTGCAGGGTGTAGCACAATAACTAGAAGTCATGCTGGTGGTGCCTCTTTTACTATTCAGACTGTAAGCATTTTCCAACCCCAGGGTGTCTGCATCTGATTGCAAAGTCTTTCTCCAGATATCTAAACACTTTATGTCATTCAGGCCTCTGCTCAAATCACTTTTTTTTTTTTTTGAGACAGGGTCTCACTCTGTTGCCCAACCTGGAGTACAGTGCTGCCATCTTGGCTCACTGCAACCTTGACCTCTCAGGTTCAAGTGTTCCTCCCACCTCAGCCTCCCAAATAGCTGGGACTACAGGCGCCCACCACCACACCCGACTAATTTTTGTATTTTTTATAGACATGGGGTTTCACCATGTTGCCCAGGCTGGCCTCAAACTCCCGAGCTCAAGCGATCCTCCTGCCTCAGCCTCCCAAAGTGCAGGGATTACAGGCATGAACCACCACATGAAGCCTCGAATCACCTTTTTTTTTTTTTTTTTTTTTTGAGATGGAGTCTTGCTCTGTCGCCCAGGCTGGCATGCAGTGGCATGATCTCAACTCACTGCAACCTCCGCCTCCCGGGTTCAAGCACTTCTGCCTCAGCCTCCCGAGTAGCTGGGACTACAGGCACGCACCACCACGCCTGGCTAATTTTTGTATTTTTAGTAGAGATAGAGTTTCAGCACGTTGGCCAGGATGGTCTCAGTCTCTTGACCTCATGATCCACCAGCCTCGGCCTCCCAAAGTGTTGGGATTACAGGTGTAAGCCACCACGCCCAGCCTCAAATCACTTCTTTAAAGATCTGTTCTATCAACTTGAAGAACAATCCTCATTCTATACCCTCTTGTGATTTTACAGCACTTATCACTACTTTACATCACATATTTGCTTGTTGCCTATCTTCTCAAATATCAGAAATGTTGATGCTTGATTTTGTTCACAGCTCTACTTCCAATGCTAGCAGTTTCTGGCACATAGTGTGTGTTCAGTAAGTATCTGTAGAATGAATGAATCACTTCAAAAGCAACAGACTAAGTAATTATGTCATGGAGGTCATTAATGCTACTCATATGAAATATATTAATGAAAAATCACATTTACTAATGTTATGTGAATAGAGACATGGCTAGGGATAAAATTTCCAGTCACAACATAATATACTGATTCAAATAAGGATCTATCTCAAACCTCTTAGAAGATAATATTTGCTCTGGAACTGTTAGATTGTTCAAAGGGTAGAAACCCATAAATACTGAAGATGCATATGAGAAGTCTGAGGAGGCTTCACTGGAGAAAAAAGTATTTCTAAATTAATGTTTACATTAATACTAATATATAATTAGTATATTTATATATTATAGTAATATATAATACTGATATGATAAATGAATAATTCATTCACTAATACAGTTTGCAATATATTCATAATTGGAAATGTATATATATGTAAATTAAGCATTGTACATAGACACTTCACTATATATCATGTATCAATACAACTTAAACTTGATAGAAAACTTTTAAAAATGGAGTATGAGAGAATCTTATAAGGTATATACGATTATTCAATTCTCTAAGCCTCCGTTTCCACACCTATAAAATTAAAATCATATCATTACCTAATTCTTTCTTCTTAAAATTGAGATAAGGGTCTCACTATGTTGTCCAGGCTGGTCTCAAACTCCTGGGCTCAAGCACTGGCAATCCTCCCACCTCAGCCTCCTGAGTAGCTGAGATTATAGGAGTATACCATTGTGCCTGGCACTTGCTTCTTAATTAAAGATTGAGGGCCAGGCACAGTGTCTCACACCTGTAATCCCAACACTTTGGGAGACCGAGGTGGGAGGGTCACTTGAGGTCAGGAGTTTGAGTCCAGCCTGGCCAACATGGTAAAACTAAACATACAAAAATTAGCAGGGCATGGTGGCGTGCGCCTGTAATCCCAACTACTTGGGAGGCTGAGGCAGGAGAATCGCTTGAACCTGGGAGGTAGAGGCTGCAGTGAGCTGAGATCACACCACTGCACTCAGTCTGGGCAACAGAGTGAGACTCCATCTCAAAGAAAAAAAAAATTATATAATATACTCTTATATAAAACACACAGCACAGTTCCTAGTTATTGTTAAGAAACACTTTTCAGGGCCGGGAACAGTGGCTCACGCCTGTAATACCAGCACTTTTGGAGGCCAAGGAGGGCGGATCACGAGGTCAAGAGATCGAGACCATCCTGGCCAACATGGTGAAACCCCGTCTCTACTAAAAATACAAAAAATTAGCTGGGTGTGGTGGCACGTGCCTATAGTCCCAGCTACTCAGGAGGCTGAGGCAGGAAAATGGCGTGAACTCGGGAGGCGGAGCTTGCAGCGAGCCGAGATCGTGCCACTGCACTCCAGCCTGGGCAACAGAGCAAGACTCCATCTAAAAAAAAAAAGAAACACTTTTCTAGATCATAACACACCTTACAGTTCTTTATTGATCCAACTGCAATTGGTCCATTATATACATATATATAACAGCTTTTGCTGAAACTACTTATTAGGCCTTTTAAATATAATAAGCATTTTAAAATCTATAAACATACATATTTGGGTATAAGCATCTATGTGTAAGTGTGTTAGTCATCTATTAAATAGAAGTAAAATTTGATTATAAACATAGCATGTATAAAACCATGACCAGGCTGGGCATGGTGGCTCACGCCTGTAATCCCAGGACTTTGGGAGGTCAAGATGGGCAGATCACCTGAGGTCAGGAGTCTGAGACCAACCTGTCCAACATGGTGAAACTCCATTACTACTAAAAATACAAAAATTAGCCAGGCGTGGTGGTGCACGCCTGTAATCCCAGCTACTCAGGAGGCTGAGGCAGGAGAATCGCTTGAAACGGGGAGGTGGAGGTTGCAGTGAATTGAGATCACGCCACTGCACTCCAGCCTGGCTGAGAGAGCGAGACTCCATCTCAAAAAAAAAACAAAACAAACAAACAACAAAAAAACCATGGCATTATAAAATGACCATAAGCAAAATCAAAAGAGAAGTATATATTGGGGAAAAAATGCTCCAACTCATGATGGAAGGTTAATTTCACTCAAATATAAAGACCACGTTTTAAAAAATCAATAACAAGAATAACACTGCAATTAAAAATGGACAAATATGAATAAATTACAGAAAAAGGAAACACAAATGGTTTTTAAAATAATGAAGAGATTCTTTTTTTTTTTTACAATTAACTAAACTTTTTTTTAAATTAACTAAAGTTGGTATTTCACTAGGACGATTTAGCAGATGAAATGGGTTTTAAGTTTAGAACACCATTTCTTCTTCCTTATTACATTTCCCTTTTTAATGTTAGCCCTCTACAAACACACACATATACACACACACACACACACACACACACTCTGCATCAAAAAAGCCTTCCTACATTAATACTTGAGCATGATAACCTTACAATGAAAGGTAAATCATTAGTTGAATCATGAAACATTTTCTTCCCCTTGTGGAGAAAAATCAAATTGCTTTTCCTCTGCTCTTACACCACAATCATCAACACAGTAGACTTCTGTGACCAAATGTGTGGGGATTTCTCCCCACCAACAAGAAGCAATCAGTTCTGCAGACGATACCACCAGCTGAGCACCTTCTAATCCAATTCAATTATCATGCTATCTACCTGGAGATAGCATTAGATCCCACAGGCTGAGAGAGGGCTCAGTCTCACAAGACTGCCCCCACTTCAGACACTAGTTGTAAGGCTAGGCCTCATCCAGAACTTCTGGCCAACCAGCTTCAAGTCAGTGTTCCCATGACCCCCTTCTTAGGTTTGATTAATTTGCTAAAGCTGTGCCCAGAACTCAGGAAAACACGTGTACTGGTTTATTATAAAGAATAGTACAAAGAATGCAGATGAAGAGGTGCACAGAACAAGGCATGTGGGAAGGGGTGCAGAGCTCTCATACCCTCCCTGGGTGCACCACCCTCCAGGACCCTCCACGTGTTCAGCTATCTGGAAGCTCTCTGTACCTGGTCCAGGATTTCACTGGACAGTCACGACTGAAGCATGGACAACCGTGTAGAAATATGATTGGACAAAAGTAGGACCTAATGCTAACAGACTGAGTGGTGAAACCTAGCAAGGTCTCTCTGTTCAGAGTCTTCTTGGCCTCTCTGTGCAACTTCTTTCCTCCCAAGTACAGGGCAGGATGCCTTCTGAAATGGGGGTCTTATGACCTCCAATCAGACAAGGTAGGTCAGATAATTTCTTTGCTGTCAGCTCCAAGACAGAATGTTGGGGGATGATTAGAGTATATTTTTAGTTTCTATGGCCTGCTTGGGGAGAAAAAGGAGCAGGTAAAAGCAAGGCAAGAAAAGGTCAGAGAGAGATTCTGTTTTCTGAAGCCTGCTTCTGAGGTTTAAAGTGCCCCAACATTATTACAAAAGACCATCTTTCACTTTTATTGATCTGAAGCTGTACTGAAGCCACTTCAAAAACCAAGAATAAAAGGCCAAATATTTCAATAAAATATATGTGTATTGTTTTAGTCACTTAGGAAATAACAGGGACTATGGGTGTTCTATGACAGAAACTGTGGACGAAAACCAACATATATATCGTAATATCATAGCACCCCCCCAATCTTTTTTTTTTTTTTTTTTTTTTTGAGACAGGGTCTCACTGCATTGCCTAGGCTTGTCTTGAACTCCTGGGCTCAAGCAATCCTCGTGCCTCGGCCTCCCAAAATGCTGGGATTGCAGGCATGAGCCACTGTGCCAGGCCCCCTTTATGTCTATACATAATAAAACTTAATCACATAAAAGGAGGTATAGGGAAAATGAGAAGTACAAGATGGTATTCTGAGGCCACATTAAAAAAAGATTGAAATTTTTAAAAATAGCCGAAATCATTATTGCTTATACCATCTATACAAGCATCTAGTGGATTCTGCCTAGGCATTACATTGAGATACAGAAACAAAATCTTCTAAAATTTCAATATCAGAAGTGCCAAGTCAACTGTACTTCAAATT